>NC_000005.10:42008224-42640749 GCF_000001405.40 Homo sapiens
TTCCATTATCTTACATTAAGCTAACCTGTTTTAATGAGGAGCAAAGTATTGAGGTACCAAGGCTGCATGACTCTGACCCTTGTTTTGAGTTTTAGGGAGCTAGACATACCAGCCTGATTGCTTTCTGTTTTTCCTCCTGATTCTAGAAAAGGAAATTCTGTGACCAGAGCTCCTAAGGGTAAATTTGGGCAGGCTGTTTGAAAATGTTTCAGGGGATTTGTTTTGATATGCACCATGGATCCTTGTCCGGATTTCTGTACTGATTTCTTCCAACTGACTATGGTCCTAACTGTGACCCCTGCTCCTCTGTGCCCTAAGACTTTGTGCCTACAGACATGTCTAACTAAGTAAGAGTCATAGGAATCACACCCATGATCTTGGTTATATTGCCTCTTTGTGTGTGGGGGAATCTCTTTTAATCCTCCTGTCCAGAAGTGCCTTAACATGGATTTAATTATTTAATCATTAATATTATCATGTTTTTCTAAACTCCATAAAATTTTTGCTTGAATTTTTAATGTGTGATTCTTGGATTTTTAGTATTTGACACTTTAGATTTCTAATTACGTTTTATTGACTGTAAAAGTAAGCTGATCTCTGTTCCAACACTGTCCCAGGTTGATGGGAGAGCATGAGCTGGATCCACCTATTGTGTCTTAGGCCAGGCAAGGGGTTTCATTCCTTTCTAGATCACCATCTATTGCCCAGAGGTCTGCCATTTTCTCTTTTCTAGAGAGATACAAGTGTTCTGGACCATTGAAAGGGAGATTATTCTATGTATGGTAGATAGGATGGAGGTTAAGTAAGTTTTTAAAGCACATAGGCCTCATTCCCGCTAGACTTTCAATAGGTAATCTCCTATCTACTGTCAATGAGAAGGGCAACAGAGGCAGTGCTTCAGGGCAGGTGCTGTGCAGTTATCATTTAATGAAGACTGCAGTATTTCTAAGCACTAACACCTGATCTGGCCACTGACTTAGCTCTTATTTGCTCCCTGTTTCTCCCTAATCTGTTTAACTATCCATGTCTGACAAAGTCAGGCCAATTCTTCAGTGTCTAGACTTTAACTCTTGCGTTCCTTTGGCTTCCCTTCTCTTCATCCCCTACCCTGTGAAACCTTTACCTACTCTGGGAATTGGAGTGTGTGTGTATGTGTGTGTGTGTGTGTGTGTGTGTGTGTGTGTGTGTGTTGCAGAGGGGACTTCAATCTTCTAAATATTTTCCATCCTTCTTTTAGACTGTGGCTTTGGAAAACTTTTCTACTTTTGTTATCTGATTTTGAACTGCTAGGGCTTAGGGGTACAAGTGACTGAATCACAATGGGCTAAGTGGAGCTTATTTCAAAATGATTTTTTAATTTTCTGACTTTAAATAAAATGACTACTTGTGGAACATGTTTAGCACAGGCAGTCTGTGGATGTGGGGTGCAGCAATGATGCTGCACATCTCTGTCTCATCAGTCACTGGACTGTTACATAATTGCTTGTTCATAAGTCTTTCTCCCATAGAAGACTAAGTGTTCCTTTTAGTTTAAATTTTAAATTAAATAACATCAATTTATCATTTCAACCATTTCTAAGTGTGCAGATTAGTGGCACTAAGAACATATATGTTGTTATGCAATTATTACCACCATGTATGTATCTCCACAACTTTTAAATCTTCCCAAACTAAAACTCTATACATATTAAATGACAACTCCCAATTCCCTCTCCTTTCATTATCTGGCAACCACTGTTGTACTTCATGTCTCTATAAATTTGATTACTCTAGGTACCTTAGGTAAGTAGAATCATACAGTATTTGTTATTTTGTGACTGTTTTATTTCACTTAGCATAATGTCACTTAGCATAATTATAAGGTACCTTGATTAGGTACATTAGGTAAATAGAATCATACAGTATTTGTTCTTTTTTGAATCTTTTATTTCACTTAGCATAATGTCCTCAAGGTTCATCTATGCTGTAGCATGTCAGAATTTTCTTCTTTTCTGGGCAGGTGCGGTGGCTCACGCCTGTAATCCCAGCACTTTGGGAGGCCAAGGTGGGTGGATCACTAGGTCAGGAGTACAAGACCAGCCTGGTCAAGATGGTGAAACCCCATCTCTACTAAAGCTACAAAAGAAAAAAAAACTTAGCCGGGCATGGTAGCACGTGCCTGTAATCCTAGCTACTTGGGAGGCTGAGGCAGGAGAATAACTTGAACCTGGGCAGCAGAGGTTGTAGTGAGCTGAGATTGCACCACTGGACTCCAGCCTGGGTGACAGTGTGAGCCTCCATCTCAAAAAAAAAAAAAAAGAATTTACTTCTTTTCTAAGACTGAAAAATATTTCACTTTAGGTATATATCACATTTGTTTACCCATTCTTCCACTGATGGACACTTGCACTGCTTCTACCTTTTGGTTATTGTAAATAATGGTGCTATGAACAAGGGGGTTATGAAATATTTGTTTGAGTTCTTTTCAATTATCTTAGGTATATACCCTGAAGTAAAAGTGCTGCACTTTATGATAATTCTGTTTAATATTTTGAGGAACTACCATACTGTTTTTCATAGGGGCTGCATCATTATACATTTCTACCAGCAATCCATGAGTTTTAATTTTCCCATTTCCTGGCTCAAGATTTGTTATTTTCTGCTCTTTCTTTTTCTTTTTTTTTAAATTATACTTTAAGTTCTGGGATACATGTGCAGAACCTGCAGGTTTGTTACATAGGTATATACGTGCCATGGTGGTTTGCTGCACCCATCAACCCGTTATCTACATTAGGTATTTCTCCTAATGCCATCCCTCCCCTAGCCCCCAACCCAGTGACAGGCCTCAGTGTGTGATGTTCCCTTTCCTGTGTCCATGTGTTCTATCCTGATGGGTATGAATACATTTTTCCTGATGGGCTAGAATAATGTCTTCATCTGCAAACTTGCTGTGATTGGGATGCAATTTGTCCCTATTAAAAATTCATGTTGAAATTTGATCTCTAATGTGGCAGTGTTGAGAGGCGGGGCCTAGTGGGAGGTGTTTTGGTAATGGAGACAGTTTCCTCAAGAATGGATTAATGCCATATCATGGGAGTGAGTTCTAGCTCTCTCGGGACTGCATTGGTTATTGTGAGAGTGGGCTGTTCCTTCTCATGTTTGGTCTCTTCTCTTGGCACATGCCCATTACCAGAAAGCAGTGAGGCCCTCACCAGATGTGGCTGCTCATCCGGGACTTTCCAACCACCAGAATTGGGAGCCAAATAAATATCTTTTCTTTATAAAATACCCAGCTTCAGGTATTCTGTTATAGCAACACCAAACAGACTAAGACAATACTCCCATCATTGCATGCATGTGCCTGGCTCTTACGGATATTTTATATATATTTATTGAACTGTTATTAGATGGCTCTAGCTGAGGCTCTATTGTTTCTCATTATTATAAGAAACTATATTATTCATAGGTTTAGGATAACTCTAAGGAAGGGTTTCCTAATAAACTGTGGTGGCATAATTTCATACCTTGTTGAAGTTCCATTCCTATGTAGAGTGTGTGCAGTAAGAGAAAGTTTAAGAAATATTTTCTAATTGTACAAATAACCATGCCAAATTTGCCAATGGCTTCTATCATTTATAGATGGACATTCCTTGTTTTGGGAAGGATTTCTTGAATGTGTTTTGTTGTTGTTGTTTTTGTGGGTTTTATTTTTTCTTATGTGGATGTGAAGCAATTAGATACCTTTTTGTTCTGGGAAACAAATACCGTCTTCAAATTCCTTAATTAACTAAGCTCCAAATACGTTGGTGGGAAGGTCAGCAAGGTGAGAACATTTATATAGGAATTGAGTAGGTTTCAGAAGAAAAGTTATGGAGACGTTAGATTGTATTTTCCTTGAGGTTCAATATTAGTAGGAACTCTGATGGGTTCAGGAAACCCTAACTAAGAGCAATTGTCAGTAATTAGACATGAGCGTCCTCAAGGATTATTCATCATGGTGGCGTGCTTACCAGGTGGTCTGCACAACACCAGGGCCTCTATAGAATGCCCTGAGAGAGGGCTAGAAACCCTAGTTCTGTAGATGTACCTTGAGAAAATCTCCAAACCTATAGATGTGAGCATGTGTGTGTGTGTGTGTCTGTGTGTGTGTACACTGAAAGATCTATGTTACTAAAGATCTGTAACATTGGGTGATTGGGTGCCCAGGCCTTCTGATGCAGAAACACACTCTGAGAAACCTGTGCTGTTCTACTGAATCTGGAGAGTGGGGTCTTTTACTGGGCACTGTCTCCCGTAAATTGGAGCTCCTAGATTTTGTTGGCAATAATAGCCACAATCATTATAAAGTTTTTGATAGCAAATTAGGACTGTGTTTGGCTTCTAGAATGCTAAGTTGGGGGTCAAGCAAGCCTTATGTCACCACTGAACTTCCAGCAGGGAACAAGAGCTGTCTTCGGTGGCTGGGCTGCTTGTTCCTGACAACATCACCAGAAGTCAGTGCTGTCTGTGAAGGCAAAGGCAGTATGTGCAAGGGTTAAGAACAAGGTCTCTAGATCCAAATGGCCTGCATATAACTTCTGGCTCTGGGCTTCAGTTTTTTCCCAAGAAAAACAGGTATGATTATTGCTCCTGTATTAGATGTTTGTTGTAAGATTTACAATGATGCCTGTTACAAAGCAGCACTCAGTAACGTTAGGTAGCAGAAGAGAAGAACAGCAATCCTATAAAGAATTGCCTAAAATTTCCACTTGTTCTCTATTAGTACCTACAGTCACACCTAGTACTGAGTGGTTTATCATGGGATTCAAGACTGTGGGGGAAGGCTGGGCACAGTGGCTCACACATAATTCCAACACTTTGAAAGGCCAAGGCAGGAGGATCACTTGAGGCCAGGAGTTTTAGACCAGGCTGGGCAACATGGGGAGACTCTATTTCTACAAAGAATAAAAAATTAGCCAGGCATGGTGGTGCGCACCTGTGGTCCCAGCTACTAGGGAGGCTGGGAGGTCAAGGCTGCAGTGAGCCACAATTGCACTACTGCACTCCAGCCTGGGCAACAGAGTGAGGCCCCATCTCAAAAAGAAAGATTGTTAGGAAAGAAAGGTTTCTATAGCCATTCAAATTAAAAAGAGGATAAATGCCACCTTCCACTCTAATTGGCAAAGTTGAACATATTTCTTTTCATATTTCCATGTAGGCATCCTTGTCAGATTAAAGTACCACTCAAATGGTCTTATTGGCTAATATTTTTATCAAGTTATAACCATTCCCAAACCACTCAGGAGAAAACCTGGATTCTATTTTGAACCTTGTTTCTTCCTTGAATTCCACGTTTAGTCAGTCGCTACACACTCTGGTTTTCCTTCATTATGACCCTTGCATCCCTTTCTCCCTCTCCATTCTCACTTCTATTTCTCCAATCCAATCATCCAATCCGGACAGATTCTTAATAAACTGCACACGCTTAAGCGCTGCAGGGCAGAAATAGGTTTTATGAGCTTGTGTTCATTTGGAAGCAAACACAGCTGTACCCTGGCAACACTTGAAGTAGGCAAAGTTAGACTTTGGTGTCTCATTCTTTGCCAGCTTTTTCTCAGAGGTGAGAAAAGCTTGCTGTGGCTTCTGGCCAGTAGTGTACATCAGCAAGTACGTTCTCCATGAATTGAGTATTAATTAATGATTTCCCACTCAGCTGCCGAGAGGAGACAAGATCTGAGAATGGTCTCTTAGCTTCCCTGAAAGATCATATGCTCCATGAAGATAGAGCTATCTTTTTACTGCTGTAGCATAACCATATGATAGGACAACCACATGCAATTGCAAGAAAGGCGGAAATATCAAGACTGCCAACATTTTAGAAAGACAGACGCTTGACTTGCTTGGCTGAGGCAGGTGTGGTTTCTCTCTGAGGAAAGACATTCAATGAGGAGTCTTCCCCATATCACTCCTACCTTGCTTCTGTACTCTCACTTCTTCGTACTCAGGGCTAGAAAATTTTGGTCTATTCATTGTGATTTTTAAAAATCTGCAGAAAATTAAACATCCGCTACCCCCATCTTCTGATTTTATTTAGATTGATTATCTACTTTTGTGTGAATATTAACAATGAGAACCGTTTTCAGGAATTTATACTATAAGAACAAATATATGTGGGAAATGTGAGTAGACATTAATTTAATAACATTGAATATGCTTTAGGAAAACTCCGCTCTTTCACTGTGCATATTCTGACATGCATCCCTAATTGAGAACAATTGCTTCAAACTATATAGGCATTTTAGGTTAAATATGTGTCCTCATGAGTCAGACAGGTTTGACTTTAAATCCCAGTCCTGCCATTTGCCAATACTAGAGTTTCTTCTGCATGTTACTTACCCTCTTATTATCTTAGTTTCCTCACCTACTTCACTAGGTTTTTTAACACAGAAAATATAAGGCAAATTACTTAGCTCAATGCCTGGCCCTTAGAGAGCACACAATACAAGAAAGCTCAATTGTTTAGCTAAGAAGTCCTTTAGGTATCAATTCACTCTAGCCTGCCCTTTTTGAGATCAGGGATATAAGCTTTGAGACTGGAATCCAAGTCTCTTTACATCCTCCTCTAAGCTAGATGGCATCCACCAGAAAGCATGGGTTTTGGAACCTGATGGATCTAAATTTAATTATATTTGTTTTTACAATTACCTCACAAGCTTTGTTTCATTACCCTCAGCCCAAGTTTTTCATCATAATGAAAAATACAAAAATATTATTAGAATATAATCTATATTAATAAAGCACTGAGGCAATTCTTGGCACAAGGTGAGTGTACCAAAAATATTTGTTTTTCCCAGTGGCATTCCAAGAGTAAAGCAGTAGGTATGATCTGCTCCAAGTACAGGCAATAAGCAGAGGGGGCATTATTTGCAGAGAATTTAGAAATGAGAATAAAAGCAACTCTTTCTTTAATTATTGCTATGCACAACAATTATAAACAATTTCACAAATTCAGCAATAAATACTATTCTTTGAAAAAGTGTTTTGTTGGTCTAAGATCCTAATTATTATTGGGCATACTGTTGAGATTTTGTGTGTGTGTGAGTGTGTGTGTGCACACGCACATGCGCTTCAAACTGACACATTTCTATTACTTTTCCTTTAGGAGACGTTGTATTCTACATGGAAGTTAATTCAGGGAGGAGTTGGCCCCTGGCACATACAGACTGTTATAATCGTTCATTTTGAGTGTGATTTTGTAATAGAGGGGACTTTGTCTTCTTCCCCATCCTCAGATCACATGCCTTCAGGCTAGTGCTATTACCAGTTCATCAGATACACCCACCTATGTCTAAATCCAAATTTAGTTTCAATCAGAATCTCTTTTATGTAAGAATAAATGTGCTAATGTGACACCCTCCAAATGTCAACTCTACCACAGTCAGAGGCTGAGAAGAAGATTTAACCCTTGACTCTTTCTTTCTGCTCTGGTGGGGGAATGGTCAAAGGGAATTTGATTAATCTGATATTGCCAGGATTGAAAAAAAAAAAGTATCCATAGAAAAATGAGGATTTAAGTGTGTTTTTAGAAAGAAAATGAGAATAGAGAGTCTGATCTCAAGTGATACTATTTTTAACTAAGTGATTCAAGATATCTATGTAATAAACCATTTGGAATGTAGTGGTCATCTGTGGTTAATACTAGAAATAGAGACTGAGATTTTCCCTCAAAGTAATGGCACAAAATAAAGCCAAGCAAGCTAAAAGGGAATGGCTGGGATGTGCTTAGGGAGTCAGGGATGTCCTCAGTAGGAAAACATTAAAAGTGCATTTAGGTAGAAATGTTAAGTCTTGTGAAGGGAGAACGGACATTAACATTGGGAAGCACAAAGAAAAGATGGAAAAGATACATATATTAATTGATTAAAAGAAAAATAGAGTAGCGAGCTAGAAAACTGTTAATTTTCAATCATTAGCCATTCCCAATTCCCTTTTCCATGCTCATCTCCAGGTATAGAGGCTGAAAAAGTTACTTTCTTTACTTGTCCTGCAGACAGAGGTGGCATGTTGCTCTGTTCTGAGTAATGAGATACAAACAGAAAACTGTTGGGGATGCTGCAAAGGATTATTCTCTCTTGTAAAAGGAGAAAGATGCAGAAGGAAAGCTTTATTCCCCCTCCCTCCTTTTTTTTTTCCTTAGGATGTTATTATATGATGACATGATGATTGGAACTTCAATAACCATTCTGCCACCATGGTAAGAGGCATAGCTAAAGCACAAAGGATAGCAGACTAGAAAAACAAAAAAAGCCTGGGTCCTTCTCGGCATAATTCAACCACAAAGCAACCTTGCAACCTCCTGTAAACAGATTTCTTTTTTATAATTTTAAATAAACAATTTTTTTATTTATTAGTGGTATAAAAACTATGTTCTCAGCAACTTGTTAAAATGTTACTAATATATAATATTTTAAGTGAGAAAAATTGAATATAGGTCCTTTTTTGAAATTTTAAAAAGCTTTATAACAAAGAATGTAGTGATCTGGTTGTAAAATTGGATTATTTTAATAGTCTGTTGTAATTACTGTTGAATTTGAAAAAGATAATAAAAGAAAGATATGATTGGCTGTGGTTACTCAATTATGATACTTAGTTTTCAATTTTATCCACCAGTGGGCAAACTTTGTTTTTTAACCTAACTTTTTTTGTTGAAATAAAAGACTTTATATTTCAGTAGTGTTAGCCAGATAATCTATTACTTGTAGCCAAAAGTATTCTAACTGTTAAAGCAGGATATCGATTAATTAGCAATATTTAGACAGTGTTTTAGATGATATTAGTCTTTTCCTAGACATTCTAGGCAATTTCAAGAATAAAAGAAAATGTTTCTTTTATTATAGTATATCGTATATAGTATAGATATAACATATGTATCTGAGGAAAACTGAGGCAATCGATTGAGAAGAACACAGCTTGTCATCATACTAAGAATAAATAAATAGTAACAACAAAATGTATCTATAAAAGCTGTTTATGAGACAAATCTAAAACAAATGCAAGAAAGAAAAAACTTAAAAAGATTTGGCAAATTCTAAGAAAAAAGTCATGAAAATATTGATATCAAACGGAAGAGAAATATAACCAAAAATCATTACATGGAAAATGAACAGTATCTTGAAGAAAGGTACAATTCTCCAGGAAGACTTTTTTAAGGTAGTTTATTTTATTTTATTTTATTTTCAAAAAATTTCTTTTTTTTTCTCTTTTTCAACCTTTATTTTAGCTTTGGAGGTACATGTGCAGGTTTGTTACTTGGGTATATTGCATAATACTAAGGTTTGGGACATGAATTATCCTGTTACTTAGGAATCAAGCATAATATCCAACACTTTTTCAACCCTTGTCCCCCTCTTTCCTGCCCCCCTCTAGTAGTCCCCAGTGTCATTGTTGCCATCTTTATGTCCATAAGTACCTGATGTTTAACTCCCACTTATAAGTGAGAACATGTGATAATTTCGTTTTCTGTTCCTGCATCAATTCACTTAGGGTAATGGCCTCCAGGGCCATCCATGTTGCTGCAAAGAACATGATTTCCTGCCTTTTTTTTTTTATTGCTGCATGGTATTCCATGCTATGCACCGCATTTTCTTTATCTAATCTACCGTCTCTGGGCACCTATATTGATTCCATCATGTTGCTATTGTGAATAGTGCTGCAGTGAACATGTGAGTGCATGTGTCTTTTTGGTAGATGATTTGTTTTCTTTTGGATATATACTCAGTAATTAGATTTCTGGTTCAAATAGTAGTTTTAAAAAGATTTAGAATCTAAGAATTGATGGCAAAAATTGTTAAAACCAGAACCTCAATGGGAGACTCTAAGGTATTTATCTCTGAAATGATTGATTAAAATGATAAAAAGGAACATAATGAATAATTTCATTATTATTATAATTAACAAACTATATATATAAAATTATATATATCTAATAAACTAAAATATATGTGTAATATTATATGTATTATATTTTTCTCCCATGATAAACTCTAGGTTGAGAAAAAATCAGAGCAAATGTTTCAGATTAGCAGTGAAAAATAATGAGAACACCAAACATAAAAATTGATTATTGAAAGCCTAGCATAATCCTAATGTCAAAACCAGTCATGAATGGCACAGAAAAATAAAACTACAAACAAGTGCAAAAATGCTGATAAAATATTTCCAAATTAAATTCAGCATTGTACTTAGGGAATAACATGAAGAAATAAAAGTAAAACATAAGTGAAACTCTTGACACAATTAATTAGGTTAACAGTTAAATGAAAGAAGATTATGTGATTATCTCAATAGATGCCAAAAAATTGCTTATTGTTTCAAGTTTCTGTTTTTTATAAAGTGTAGAAAGTACTTAAAGAAATTTACCAAGCAAAAGTACAGATTATTTCATATTTTTACATGCTTTCTCAAATATTTACAATAATCTTGTTTGTCCCTAAGTCAATAGAATTTTTCTTTTGGTGATTTACCTTTTTCCCCCAAAAGCATTGAGTTTAACAGAGAAAGAAGTTTTTCTCTTTATTCTCATCTTTCATCAATATTTTGTACTGTTGATCGGTGGCACAATTATAATGACAATAACAAAGAGATCAAGCAGATTTTGTAATAAATGTAACTTCATCTTTGTCAATGCAAAACTCAACTAGGGAGAGAAATGCTGCTAGGGCTACTAATGGGTAGCAGCCTCCTAGCAGCAAATGTCAGCATCTTGTCATTCAGTGTGGTGAACAGAGCGAAGGGAACACTGGTTAATTTATAATTATACTGTCCAATACTATAGCCATATGTGGCTATAGAGCACTTAAAATGAGATTAGTTTAACTGAAGAATTGAATTTTTAATTTAATTTAATTTCAGTACATTTGAAGTTAAGTTTAATAACCTAAGTATATTTGGGGCAACTTATATGCAATCTAAATTTTATAAAATTTAAGTATAATCAAGCATTTCCAACAAAAATATGGCTTTGCAATTAAAATGTGCTGTAAATATAAAATACATACTGAATTTGGCTGACTTGGTATGAAAGGAGGAATGTAAAATAACTTATTAATAATTTTTATATAGATTACATGATGAAATAATAATGAGTTAAATAAGTTAGACGCTCAAATTAATTTTACTTGTTTCTTTTACTTTTTAAATGTGTCTACTAGAAAATGTAAAATTAGGCCAGGTGCAGTGGCTCACGCCTGTAATCCCAGCACTTTGGGAGTCCGAGGCGGGTGGATCACCTGAGGTCAAGAGTTTGAGACCAGCCTGGCCAACATGGTGAAACCCCATCTCTACTAAAAATACAAAATTAGTTGGGTGTGGTGGCACACGCCTGTAGTCCTAGCTACTCAGGAAGTTGAGACAGCAGAATTGCTTGAACCCAAGAGGCAAAGGCTGCAGTGCAATGATTCAAGATCACACCATGGCACTCCAGCCTGGGTGAGACAGAGCAAGACTCCGTCTCAAAAAAAAAAAAACCAAGAAAGAAAGAAAAAAGAAAATGTAAAGTTACATATTTGGATTACATTTCCATTAATTAAAACCTTATTAAAATAATATGTAATTTTTTTCTACCTAGTGTTCTATATTCTTTCATGTTTTTGAAAAGTATATATTACACTTATTTTAAATAATTGAGTGACAAGGTTAGAGATATACAAAATTTGTTTGCCACATTTTGATTTACGCAACTCTGTTTTAGAATGAAAAATAGCTATAAAATAATAATTTTCAAAATTATTGCTGATTTTTTAATTTGTAAATCAATCCATAAGCAAAGCATGAACGACTTAATTTTAGATACAGAAAAGATTATGAATATTCTAAATCCTGCCAAAATAAAAATTGTGGGATTAGGAAATAGTGGGAAGAGAATGCACAATTGTTGATTCTCTCATCTCAGATAATGGAATCAAGAAATAGTGCCCCCAATATTTCAGTTTAAATACTATTTAAGGTCAAAAGGTAGCCACAAGAAATTAAATATAACAGCAAAATTATTTACGGGATAGTAATCTAAACTTTCATCCTTCCTATTAAGGAGTAAAATGAAGTGATCTAATATCAATCAAGTAACAATTATTGATATTCCTTTATTTAACATTTATTCAACAATTATTTGTTGACTGGGATAAACATAACAAACTAGTAAAATTAGAAAACAAAATAATTTCTGATCTAGATAAATACAGAGTGAATCAAGAGGGTAACATGATAGAAACTGCTGTGAGTGTTGTATCACTTAGGATTATGTTTATCTGTGATTACCAGAAAACTTAATAAATAGTGGTTTAAACAATTTTTATTTGTCTCATGAAATAAGAAGTTTGATTTTTCAGTTCACAGTCGGTGTGGTGTTATTAATAACGCCAGCAAGGAACGAGGCTCTTTTCTCTCTGTTCTGCCCTGCTTATCAGGAATTGCTGTACATCCAGCTTTCTGTTTGCATTCCGGGGAGGAAGAATGAAATAGAAGAAACCACAGCCAACTTCAACTTATGTCTCATGGGCCAGAACCGGCAGTATGGCCTCCACTAGCCATAAGGAGGCTGAGAAATGAAGCCTTTATCTTTCCAATACCCACTTGAAAAAGCAAAGGGAAAGGGAGTTAGAATGGGTTAGACACAGGTTGCTCCTTTAGGAAGTGATATTTAAACTAAGACCTTAAAGATGAGAAGGAATCCAGGTAAACACTAGGAAATTAGCATTCCAGGCATGCTCAAAGGACAGGAATGGAGCCTAATGCAACTGGAGTATAGGGTGCAAATAGAAGCATGACATGAAGTGAGGTAAGAGAGGAAGGCAAGAATCAGATCACACAGGGTCCTGTAGGTCACAACTAGGCATTATGATTTTTATTCTAAGTGGAGTATAAGAGTTTTTAAACAGAAAACGATTAGGATCTGATAACATTTTAAAGACTTCTCTGGCTGCTATATAGAAAATAGATTAAAATCGGATAAGAGTTGAAGGAAGGAAATCAGTTAACTGTTCCAGTTGTTCAGTTAGCAACCAGTAGTGGCTTGGATTAAGTGGAACGGACATGGATACAAGGGAAAGATTCAAGATATATTTTGGTTAGAGAGCATTCCTGTGGCTTGGTGATTAATTGACTAGAGAGGGAGAAGGAAATGGAAGAATCAGAGATGACTCCTAGGTCTTGATTTGAGCACCCTTTTAGATCATATTGTCATTGAAATTGGAGAGACTCATGGTGAACTAAATTTGGGACAGAGAATGGTATGGAATCTACAATTCTGTTTTAGGGGTGTTAAGTTTGCAATGCTCATTGAACATACAAGCTGGCGGCTGCCTCTACGAGACTGGTGTTCAGTCAAGAAGTCATGGTTACAATTAAAAAATTTACAGTCATCAACCTAACAGCCATTTTTCCAATCTATAGGTTAAACATATCACTTAGAATTTAGGTGATGATTACCAGAAGATTAAGAGCAGAATTAGTTAAAAGTTATTTTTCCCTTTATAAAGGGACTGGAGTTTGTGGGATTGGGTAGGAGACTTTCGCTTCTCATTTGGTATTGTGTAATTTTTTAAAGTGTGCATTTTAATTCAGGTACATATTTTTAAAGAGACAGAATGTTGAAGAACAGCAACAGAGAAAGAATAAAAGCATGAATCAAATAGCAGGAAAAATATATGCTTTAGTATATTTACTTCACACTTTTCTTACATTGATCTAATTACTCCTGTTGATGGTGAGAGCAAGGACAAACTAGATTAAGTTTTAAGAAAAGCTAACAAAAACTCAGATTTGGTTTCTTTCATGGTCTGGGTTAATTTTGGAAACACTTTGGGTACGTCATTCTGAACGAGAACATTTGGTTTAGCCTTCAGATGATCTCATTCATAAGAAGGGCTTAAATGAGTTGTGTGGGACTCTAGGTCCACTGTGTGCAGCAGACTGTGTCCATTCACTCTTCTGACATGTCCTTCCTTTACCTTCTTAAAGTGGCTTCCCCACAAACCCACTGGAATTTCTAAGCAAATAGATGCAGACATTGGAGAAAAAGAGAAAAGCCCTGAAGGAACATGCCAATTCATATGCACTGAATAAGCCAATTTTATTATTGGGCAAAGCAAATACCCTAAATGAATTGTAAGTGCCCAGCCAGTGGCTGCAAAACTATAGTGAATTTTCAGCTTTATTTATATGAAAGTAAAGCTACAGTTGTTATACATCATTCTGCTTGTATTAAATAGCCAGAAAATATTCAATTTGCAACAATAGTTACACTGAGTTTATTCTGATGTCCTGTTTTTCTTAATTCTTTACCACTTTTACTCTGATGCTATTTTACCACAATTCTTTTTCAGGCTCACCATTGAAGTTCTGATTTTAGTAATTCTTTATGAGTACCTCCTAAAGGTGTCTCTGACAGACGGCATTATCTTATAGACATAATTAGTTACATGCTTCAGTATTCCAAAGTGAGGTTGGATATTTTTGTTTACTCACACAGTAGAAGTGTATAGTGGGTGGAGAAGTTGGGAAATAAAATCACATGGTCTTTTGACACTCTCCAGACTGTTTTGGTTTGTAGATATATGACAGCTGACGTGTGCAGGGTATGAGAGTGTGGAGATGAGGGAGAAAAGAGAAGCTCAGATTATCTGGATACTCTTGTCTTAGTTTTCTCCATGAGAACATAAGCAAGCAAGAAAGGCTCAGATTATTCTGTGAATAGATAATTTGAACAAATACAGGGTTTAAAAAAAATGAAATACAAATGTCAATTTCTACAATGATGTTTAGGTAACAATGCCAATATCAAATATAAACATAATAAAGAACAATGTTCTTATCTAACACTTGATGCACTCCATTGTCTGACTACGATAATGATTTGGGACTGTGGTGAAAAGAGAAGTGAACCCACTTTCTAGGACCGAATACGTGGGCAACCTGGGGAATGTTTTGTAAATTCCAGACATTATTTAAAAAATTGTTATAATAGAATTGAGATTCATAGTTCATAGATAGCACATAGTATGAAGATATATTATACATCTCTAACGTATTGCTTGGAGAAACCTACCAAGAGGGTTGAGATCTGTTGTTATTGTGGAATCTGCTAATTTTTTCCTGTTTAGCATCTCTGTTACCTTTGGGGAATGCACCTCCTTCAATGCCTGTGCACCTGATGATTCCTCACAACCATCACAGGGTTTGGGCAAACGATGAACTCTGAGACAATCCTAGTAGCTTTGTTCCTCTCTAAATACAATAGGTATTCTATTTGGGTACATGGTCTATAATAAGCCAGTCATTCTTTCCTAAATTGTTATACAGTTGCTGTGAGAAAGTTATTTTTTTCCCATCCAGTTTCTAAGCTAAGTGGATATGAAAGCAGAAATATCCATGGCCATTTTCCCCATCATGTGCAGACACCAATTTGCAAATTGAAGTCACATCACAAACAAGGGCAAAGCAGAGAGATGGAGAATCATAGCACACCCTGAAATAATAATATGAACCCCCATCTGCTTGTATTAAATAGCCAGAAAATATTCAATTTGCAACAATAGTTACATTGAGCTTACTCTGATGTCCTGTTTTTCTTAATTCTGAAGGAAGTTCTGCACTGAGGTTTTAAGTTACAAGAATTTATCAGTTCCCATTTGAGCCGACTATCTGCACCTTGCAACAAAGAAAACTGTGGGCAACATTGCTGTTCTCCACACCAAAACCTTCCCCTCTGATCAGGTTTGCTGGCTGTTGGCTGTATATATACATGCACCCTTTGCTCTGAACTTTGGCTTAGGTTGTGACCTTACTGGTCCCTTACATTTATTGTAAAACTATTTATCTAAATTCTATTTATCCTTTATGTCCCAGGTAAAATTCTTTCTTCATCAGCCTTCACTAATAGCCTTCACAGCCTTCTGAGCTCATTGTATTTATTTTCTGTACTGCTAAATGAAAATTTAATCTAATATTGCCTCAAGCTACTTCTTGAATTATTGTTATTTAATTTATATGTGTGTGTCACCAATTAATTTATAAGCTCATTCAAGACAAAGAATATGTACTATACTGCCTATATCTTTCTAAAAGGTAATCATAATGATAAACACATTATAAGAACTTGAAAAATATTTGTTGTCTGTGTAACAGAATGAACTGAAAACAATGCCATACTCTTTTTTAAAATTTTATATGTTCTTTTTAATTTTTGTGGGTACCTAATAGAGGTATATGTTTATATAGGGGTACATGAGATGTTTTGATACAGGCATGCAATGTATAATAATTACATCATGGAAAATGGGGTATCCATCCCCTCAAGCATTTATCCTTTGTGTTACAAACAATCCCGTTAATTCTTTTAGTTATTTTACAATGTACAATTAAGTTAGTGACTACAGTCACCCTGTTGTGCTAATAGTAGATTTTATTCATTCTTTATAAATATTTTGGACCCACCAACAATCTCTGCCTCTCCACCACCCACTCACTCCTGTTCCTAGCCTCTGGTAACCATCCTTCTACTCTCTATGTCCATGAGTTCAATTGTTTTGATTTTTAGATCCCACAAATGAGTGAGAACAAATGATGTCTTTCTGTTCCTGGCTTATTTCACTTAACATAATGACCTCCAGTTCCATCCATATTGTTGCAAATGACAGGATCTCATTCTTTTTTATGGCTGAATAGTACTCCATTGTGTATATGTACCACATTTTCTTTATCCATCCATCTGCTGATGGACACTTATGTTGCTTCCAAATCTTAGCTATTGTGAACAGTGCCGCAACAAATATGGGAGTGCAGATATCTCTTCAATATATTGATTTTCTTTCTTTTGGGTATATACTCAGCAATGGGATTGCTGGATCATATGGTAGCTCTATTTTTTGTTTTGTTTTTTTAGAAGCCTCCAAACTGTTCTCCATAGTGGTTGTACTAATTTACATTCCTGCTAATAGTGGATAGGGTTCCCTTTTCTTCACATCATTACCAACATTTATTATTACCTGTCTTTTGGATATAAGCCATTTTAACTGGGGTGAGATGATATCTCATTGTAGTTTTGATTTGCATTCCTCTGATGATCAATAATGTTGAGCACCTTTTCATATGCCTGTTTGCCATTTATATGTCTTCTTTTGAGAAATGCCTATTCAGATCTTTTGCCCATTTTGATTTTTTTCCTGTAGAGTTGTCTGAGCTCATTATATATTCTGGTTATTAATCCCTTGTCGGATGGGTAATTTGCAAATACTTTTTCCATTGTTTGGGTTGTCTCTTCACTTTATTGATTGTTTCCTTTGCTGTGCAGAAGCTTTTTAACTTGATGCGATCCCATTTATTCATTTTTGCTTTGGTTGCCTGTGCTCATGGGGTATTAATCAAGATTTTTTTTCCCAGACGAATGTCCTGGAGATTTTCCCCAGCATTTTATTGTAGTAGTTTCATAGTGTGAGGTCTTAGATTTAAGTCTTTAATTCATTTTGATTTGATTTTTGTGAATGGAGAGAGAGAGGAGTCTAGTTACATTCTTCTGAATATGGACATCCAGTTTTCTGTGAACTATTTATTGAAGAGACTGTCTTTTCCCCAGTATTTGTTCTTGGCATCTGGGTTGAAAGTGAGTTACTGTAGGTGTGCAGGTTTATTTCTGGCTTCTCTTTTCTATTCCATTGGCCTCTGTGTTTGTTTTTATGCCAGTATCAAACTGTTTTAGCTACTATACTTCTGTAGTATAATTTGAAGTCAGGTAATGTGATTCCTTCAGTTTTGTTTTTTGCTTATGATAGCTTTGGCTATTCTGGGTCTTTTGTGGTTCCATATAAATCTTAGTATTGTTTTGTCTATTTCTGAGAAGAATGTCACTGGTATTTTGATAGGAATTGCATTGATTCTGTAGATTGCTTTGGGTTTTATGGGCATTTTAAGATTATTGATTCTTTAATCCATAATCATGGAATATTTTTCCATTTTTTGGTGTCCTCTTCAATTTCTTTTATCAATGTTTTATAGTTTGCCTTATAGAGATCTTTCACTTCTCTGGTTAATTCCTAGGTGATTAACTTCACTTGTAGCTATTGTAAATGACATTACTTTTTTATTTCATTTTCACATTTTTCACTGTTGGCATATAGAAATGCCACACTGATTTTTATATATAGAAATCAGCATACTGATTTTTGTATGCTGATTTTGCATCCTGCAACTTTCCTGAATTTATTTACCAGTTCTAGGTTTGTTTGTGTAGTATTTAGGTTTTTACAAATAGAAGATTATATCATCTGCAAGGAAGGATAATTTGACTTCTGCCTTGCCAATTTGGATGCTTTTTATTTCTTCCTCTTTTCTGACTCCTCTAGCTAGGACTTCCTGTACTATGTTGAATAACAGTGGTGACAATGAGCCTTCTTGTTGTGCTCTGGATCTTAGATGAAAGGATTTCCGTTTTTCCCCATTCAGCATGATACTAGCTGAGGGTTTGTCACATATGGCTTCAATATGATGAGGTATATTCCTTCTACACCCAGTTTTTTATAAAAGGATGTTGAATTGTATCAAATGCTTTTTCACCATCACTTGAAATAATCATATGGTTTTTATCCTTCATTCCGTTGATATGATATATTACACTGATTGACTTGCATATGTTGAACCATTCTTGAATCTCAGGAATTAATTCCACTTGGTCATGATGAAAAATCTTTCTAATGTATTTTTCAATTCAGCTTGCTAGCATTTTGTTGAGGACTTTTGCATCAATATTCCTCAGAGATATTGGCCTGTAGTTTTCTTTGTCTGATGTGTCTTTGACTGGTTTTGGGATCGGGGTAATGCTGGCCTCATAGAATGAGTTTGAAAGCACTCCCTCCTCCTATGTTTTTTGGAACAGATTGAGTAGGATTGGTATTAGTTATTCTTAAAATGTTTGGTAGAATTCAACAGTGAAACCATTAGGTTCTGGGCTTTTCTTTACTGGAAGACTTTTTATTACAGCTTTGATCTCATTACTTGTTATTGCTCTGTTCAGGTTTTGGATTTCTTCCTAGTTCAATTGGTAGGTTGTATGTATCTAAGAATTTGTCCATTTCTTCTAGATTTCCCAATTAACTATGAGCATACAGTTGCTCATAGTAGTCTCTACTGATCCTTTGAATTTCTTCAGTATCAGTTGTAATGTCTCCTATTTTGTTTCTGATTTTATTTAGATCTTCTCTTTTTTCTTCTTAGTCTGGCTAAGGGTTTGTCAATTTTGTTTAACTTTTTTGAAAAACAGCTTTTTGTTTCATTGATCTTTTGTATTTTTTCATTTCAATTTCATTTATTTCTGCTCTGCTCTTTATTCTTTATTATTTTCTTCTACCAATTTTGGGTTTGATTTGCTCTTGCTTTTCTAGTTCTTTAACATGCATCATTAGGTTCTTTATTTGAAGTTTTTCCTGTTTTTTGATGTAGGCACTGATAAGCTACAAACTTCCCCCATAGTACTGGTTTTGCTGTATCCCATAGGTTTTGGTATGTTGTGTTTCCATTATCATTTGTTTCAAAGCATTTTCTAACTTATTCGTTGACCCACTGGTCATTCAGGAGCCTATTCTTTAATTTCCATGTGTTTGTATAGTTTCCAAAGTTCCTCTTGTTATTGACGTTTGGTTACATTCCATTGTGGCCAGAGAAGATGCTTGGCATTATTTCAATATGTTCAGTGTTTTAAGACTTGCTTTGTGAACTAACATATGGTCTATCATTGAGAATGACCCATGTGCTAAAGAAAAGAATGTGTATTCTATAGTCACTGGGTGAAATATTCTGTAAATACTTATTAGATCCATTTGGTATACAGAGCACATTGAGTCTAATATTTCTTTTTTGATGTTCTGTCTGGAAGATCTGTCTGGAAGAAATGCTGAAATGGGGTGTTGAAGTCTCCAGCTATTATTGTATTGGAGTAGCTCTAATAATATTTGCTTTATACATGTTGGTGCTCAAGTGTGTGTGCATATATATTTAAAATTGTTATATTCTTTTGCTGAACTGACGTCTTTATCATTATATATTGACCTTCTTTGTTTCTTCTTATTGTTTTTGTCTTGAAATCTGTTTTGTCTGAAAGAAGTATAGCAACTTCTGCTCTTTTTTGGTTTCCATTGGCATGGAATTATCTTTTTCCATCCCTTTATTTTCAGTTTTTGTGTGTTTTTATAGGTGAAGTGTGTTTCTTACAGACAACAGATCAATCGGTCTTTCTTTTTTCATCCATTCAGCTGCTCTATGACCTCTTATTGGAGAGTTTAGTCCATTTATATTCAATGTTACTATTGAGAAGTAAGGACTTCCTCCTGCCATTTTGCTATGTGTTTTCTGGTTGTCCTGTGCTCATCTCTTCCTTTTTTCTTTCATTTCCTTTCTTCCTTTAGTGAGCATGTTTTTCTCTGGTGATATGATTTATATTCTTGCTTTTAATTTTTTGTGTATCCAATGTATCTTTTTTGGCTTGAGGTTACCATGAAGGTTGCAAATACTATCTTATAACCCATTATTTTAACCTGATAACAACTTAACATAGTTTGCATAAACAAACAAACAAAAAGAAAACTAAAAAAAAACCAACTCTATGCCTTAACTTTGTCTCCCGCTTTTTACCTTTTTTTGTTTTAATTTTTATCTTATTGTACTTTACTATCTATGTCTTGAAAAGTTGTTGTAGTCATTTATTTATTTGGTTCAATGTTCAGTCTTTATACAGAGGATGAGTAGTTTACACATCACAGTTAGTGTTATAACAGTTTGTGTTTTTCTGCATGCTTACTATTACCAGTGGGTTTTATATCTTCAGATATTTCTTTTTGCTCATTACATTCCTTTTCTTTCTTATTGAAGTACTCCCTTTGGCTTTTCCTGTAGGACAGGTCTGGTATTGACGAAATCCCTCAGCTTATGTTTGCCTCAGAAAGTCTTTATTTCTCCTTCACATTTGAAGAATATTTTCACTGGATATACTATTCTAGGATAAAACTTTTTCTCATTCAGCACTTTATATACGTCATGCCACTCTCTCCTGGCCTGTAATGTTTTTACTGAAAAATCTGCTGCCAGACGTATTGCAGCTCCATTGTATATTATCTGTTTCTTTTCTTTTGCTACTTTAGGATCCTTCCTTTATCCTTGATCTTTGGAAATTTTATTATTAAATTCGTTGAGGTGGTATTCTTTGAGTTAAATCTGCTTGGTGTTTCATAACCTTCTTGTAATTGGATGTTGCTATCTTTCCCTAGGTTTGGGGGATTCTGTTATTATCCCTTTAAATACATTTCCTACTCCTATCTCTTTTCCTACCATGTACTTGGGGCCAATAACTCAGATTTGCCATCTTGAGGCTATTTTATAGATTCTGTAGGTGTGCTTTATTGTTTTTATTTATTTTTTTATTTTTTCTTTTATCTCCTCTCACCATGTATTTTCAAATATCCTGACTCCAAGCTCACTAATTCTTTCTTCTGTTTGATTCATTCTGCTATTAAATGACTCTGATACATTCTTCAGTATGCCAATTGCATTTTTTTCCACTCCAGAATTTCTGCTTGATTCTTTTAAATTATTTTAATCTCTTTGTTAAATTTATCCAATAGAATTCTGAATTCCTTCTCTGTGTTATCTTGAATTTTTTGGAGTTTCCTCAACACAGATATTTCTAATTCTCTGAAAGGAGAACTACAAACCACTGCTCAATGAAACAAAAGAGGATACAAACAAATGGAAGAACATTCCATGCTCATGGGTGGGAAGAATCAATATCGTGAAAATGGCCATATTGCCCAAGGTAATTTATAGATTCAATGCCATCCCCATCAAGCTGCCAATGACTTTCTTCACAGAATTGGAAAAAAATACTTTAAAGTTCATATGGAACCAAAAAAGAGCCCACATCGCCAAGTCAATCCTAAGCCAAAAGAACAAAGCTGGAGGCATCATGCTACCTGACTTCAAACTATACTACAAGGCTACAGTAACCAAAACAGCATGGTACTGGTACCAAAACAGAGATATAGACCAATGGAACAGAACAGAGCCCTCAGAAATAATGCTGCATGTCTACAACCATCTGATCTTTGACAAACCTGACAAAAACAAGAAATGGGGAAACGATTCCCTATTTAATAAATGGTGCTGGGAAAACTGGCTAGCCATATGTAGAAAGCTGAAACTGGATCCCTTCCTTACACCTTACACAAAAATTAATTCAAGATGGATTAAAGACTTAAATGTTAGACCTAAAACCATAAAAACCCTAGAAGAAAACCTAGGCAATACCATTCAGGACATAGGCATGGGCAAGGACTTCATGTCTAAAACACCAAAAGCAGTGGCAACAAAAGCCAAAATTGACAAATGGGAACTAATTAAACTAAAGAGCTTCTGCACAGCAAAAGAAACTACCATCAGAGTGAACAGGCAACCTACAAAATGGGAGAAAATTTTCGCAACCTACTCATCTGACAAAGGGCTAATATCCAGAATCTACAATGAACTCCAACAAATTTACAAGAAAAAAACAAACAACCCCATCAAAAAGTGGGTGAGGGATATGAACAGACACTTCTCAAAAGAAGACATTTATGCAGCCAAAAAATACATAAAAAAATCCTCATTGTCACTGGCCATCAGAGAAATGCAAATCAAAACCACAATGAGATACCATCTCACACCAGTTAGAATGGCAATCATTAAAAAGTCAGGAAACAACAGGTGCTGGAGAGGATGTGGAGAAATAGGAACACTTTTGCACTGTTGGTGGGACTGTAAACTAGTTCAACCATTGTGGAAGTCAGTGTGGCAATTCCTCAGGGATCTAGAACTAGAAATACCATTTGACCCAGCCATCCCATTACTGGGTAGATACCGAAAGGATTATAAATCATGCTGCTATAAAGACACATGCACATGTATGTTTATAGTGGCACTATTCACAATAGCAAAGACTTGGAACCAACCTAAATTTCCAACAACAATAGACTGGATTAAGAAAATGTGGCACATATACACCATGGAATACTATGCAGCCATAAAACGTGATGAGTTCATGTCCTTTGTAGGGACATGGACGAAACTGGAAACCATCATTCTCAGCAAACTATCACAAGGACAAAAAAACCAAACACCACATGTTCTCACTCATAGGTGGGAATTGAACAATGAGAACACATGGACACAGGAAGGGGAACATCACACACCGGGGACTGTTGTGGAGTGGGGGGAGGGGGGAGGGATAGCATTAGGAGATATACCTAATGCTAAATGACGAGTTAATGGGTGCAGCACACCAACATGGCACATGTATACATATGTAACAAACCTGCACATTGTGCACATGTACCCTAAAACTTAAAGTATAATAATAATAAAATTAAAAAAACAAACAAACAAAAAAAGAAAGGTCACATATCTGTGTTTCTCCAGGATTTGTCGTGAATGCCTTATTTAGTTCATTGGTGAGGTCATGTTTACCTGGATGGTCTTGATGCTAGTAGATGTTCTTCAGTGTCTGGCATTGAAGAGGTAGATATTTATTGTAGTCTTCATCGTCTGGGCTTATTTGTACATGTCCTTATTGGGAGAGCATTCTAGATATTCGGTAAGACTTGAGTGCTGTGATTTAACCTGTATCTGCATTAGGAAGCATCGTAAGTTCAGTAACACTGTGGTTCTTGCAGACTTGTAGAGGTACCACCTTGGAAAAGATTCAGGAGAATTCTCTGGATTACTAGGCAGAGACTCTTGTTCTCTTCCCTTACTTTCTCCCAAACAGCTGT
Source organism: Homo sapiens (assembly GCF_000001405.40). Lineage (NCBI taxonomy): Eukaryota > Metazoa > Chordata > Mammalia > Primates > Hominidae > Homo > Homo sapiens. The sequence continues at coordinate 42,032,026 of NC_000005.10, forward strand.
AGTCTCTCTCTCACTCTCTCTGTCTTTTTTTCTGTGTGTGTGTGTGTGTGTGTGTGTGTGTGTGTGTGTGTGTGTTCTGGGTCATGTAAAGCTGGGGGTGGAGTGACACAATCACCCCTGTGCCCACTACCACTGTGTCTGTGCTGGATCAGACCTGAAGCCAGCACAGCACTATTTCTCACCCAAGGCCTGCAGTGACGGCCCTCTGGCTACTGCCTATGTTTTTCAAGGCCCTGGGGCTCTACAATAAGCAGATCACAAAGCCAGGAAGGCCTATGTCCTCCCCTGCAGTCTAGGGAGTTCCCCCAGGTCTTGGGTGGGTCCAGAGATGCCATATGGGAGTCAGGCACTAGAATAAAAACCTCAGAAGTCTACTTGGTGTTCTATTGCACTGCAGCTGAGCTGGCACTCAATTCACAAGGCATAGTCCTTCCCACTCTTCCCTCCCACTTCCCAAGGCAGAGAAGCCTTACCTCTTAGCCCCCACCACTATAGACAATGGGAACTACTGCCAGACTACTGCCAACATTCCCTTAAGGCTAAGGTCTCTTAAGTCAGCTTATGGTGAATGCTGCCTGATGTGAGACTCACGCTTCAGGACAGTGGGCTCCCCTCTGGCCCAGGGCAGGTCTAGAAATGCCATCCAACGTTCAATTCCTGGAATCAAGAATCCCAAGGGCCCACTTGGTGCTCTACCCCCCCGTGGCTGTGCTAGTACCTAAGGTGCAAGAAAAAGTCCCCTTTTACTTTTCCCTCTGATTGTTTCAAGCAACAGGAGTTTTACACCATAGCCACTACAGCTGGCACTGTGCTGAGTCTCACCTGAAGACAGCAGGTCTCAGAGGCTCACCCAAAGCCCTCAACATAGTGCCTGGGTATCGCTGCTGGTTATTCAGTGTCCAAGGGCTCTTCAATTAGCAAATGATGAATGCTCTCAGACCTAGGTCCTTCCCTTCAAGGCAGCCAGTTCCCTTCTGGCCTAGGTTGTGCTAAAAATGCCTGGAATGGGGCCTGATGACTTTGACTGCTGCCATATCATGCTGTGGCTGAGCTGGTATCCAAAATTCAAAACAAATTCCTCCCCACTGTTCCCTCTCCTCTACTTAAGTGGAAGGAAGAAGTCTGTTTTGAAGTTGTGAGCTGTGCAGCCTGGGGTTGGGGGAGGGGTGATGTCAGCACTCCTTTAGCTTCCCCAGCTGGCATCCTAGCAGGTTGCATCTTCCCACAACTCCAGTCCACTGTCTCTTGTCCCAGTTCAACACTAGGAGTCACCTAAGAGTTGCAGTCTTTATGGCCTAGACTGCTTTTCATGTCCACTTAGACACACAGAACACTGTAGCCCTCAGTGGTGATGTTTTTTTAAAATTTTACTTTAAGCTCTGGGATACAAGTGCAGAACGTGTAGGTTTGTTACACAGATATACGTGTGTCATGGTGGTTTTCTGCACCTATCAACCTGTCATCTAGGTTTTAAGCCCCGTATGCATTAGCTATTTGTCCTAATGCTCTTTCTCCCCTCGCCTCCCACCCCTCAACTGGCTCTGGTTTGTGTTGTTCCCCTTCCTGTGTTCATATGTCCTCACTTATGACTGAGAACATGCAGTGTTTTGTTTTCTGTTCCTATGTTAGTTTGCTGAGGATGATGGCTTACAGCTTCATCCATGTGCCTGCAAAGGATATTATCTCATTCTTTTTATGGCTGCATAGCATTCCGTGGTGTATATGTATGACATTTTCTTCATCCAGTCTATCATTGATGGGCATTTGGGTTGGTCATGTCTTTGCTATTGTAAATACTGCTGCATGTGTCTTTATAGTAGAATGATTTATATTCCTTTGGGTATATACCTAGTAATGGGATTGCTGAGTAAAATGGTGTTTCTGGTTCTAGATCCTTGAGGAATCACCACACTGTATTCAGCAATGGTTGAATTAATTTACATTCATTACCACCAATAGTGTAAAAGCATTCCTAGTTATCCACAGCCTCATCAGCATCTATTGTTTTTGACTTTTTAATAATTGCCATTCTGACTGGTATAAGATGGTATCTCATTGTGGTTTTGATTTGCATTTCTCTAATGATCAGTGATGTTAAGCTTTTTTTTTCATGTTTGTTGGCTGCATAAATGTCTTCTTTTGAGAAGTGTCTGTTCATATCCTTTGCCTGCTTTGTGATGGGTTTGTTTGTTTTTACTTGTAAATTTGTTTAAGTTCCTTATAGATTCTGGATATTAGACCTTTGTCAGGTGAGTGGATTGCAAAAATTTTCTCCCATTCTGTAGGCTGCCTGTTCACTCTGATGATAGCTTCTTTTGCTGTGCAAAAGCTCTTTAGTTTAATTAGGTCCCATTTCTCAATTTTGGCTTTTGTTGCAATTGCTTTTGACATTTTCGTCATGAAGTCTTTGTCCATGCCTGTGTCCTGAATGGTATTACTTAGGTTTTCTTCTAGGGTTTTTATGGTTTTGGGTTTTACATTTAAGTCTTTTATCCATCTTGAGTTCATTTTTGTATAAGGTGTAAGGAAGGGGTCCTGTTTCAGTTTTCTGCATATGGCTAGATTGTTTTCCCAGCACCATTTATTAAATAGGGAATCCTTTCCCCATTGATTGTTTTTGTCAGGTTTGTCGAAAATCAGATGGTTGTAGATGTATGGTGTTATTTCTGACATCTCTGTTCTGTTCTATTGGTCTATGTATCTATTTTGGTACCAGCACCATGCTGTTTTGGTTACTATATCCTTGTAGTATAGTTTGAAGTCAGGTAACACGATGCCTCTTAGCTTTGTTCCTCTTGGTTAGGATTGTGTTGTCTATACAGGCTCTTTTTTTTCCATGTGAAATTTAAAATAGTTTTTTTCTAATGCTGTGAAGAATGTCAATCGTAGTTTAATGGGAATAGCATGGAATCTATAAATTACTTTGGGCAGAATGGCCATTTTCTTGATATTTATTCTAAAGATGGTATGTTTTTCCATTTGTTTGTGTCCTCTCTTATTCCTCCTTCCCATCCCTTTTTAGCTGTATTCCTAGGTATTTTATTCTCTTTGTAACAATTGTGACTGGGAGTTTATTCATGGTTTGGGTCTCTGCTTGTCTGTTGTTGGTTTATAGGAATGCTTGTGATTTTTGCACATTGATTTTGTATCCTGAGACTTTGCTGAAGTTGCTTATCGGCTTAAAGAGTTTTGGGGTTGAGATGATGGGGTTTTCTAAATGTAGAAGGGGAATTTGACTGCAAACAGAGGCAATTTGACTTTTTCTCTTCCTATTTGAATACGCTTTATTTCTTTCTCTAGCCTGATTGCCCTAGCCAGAACTTCCAATAGTATGTTGTATAGGAGTGGTGAGAGAGGGCATCCTTGTCTTGTGGCAGTTTTCAAAGGGAATGCTTCCAGCATTGGTTAATATTATGACCAATCTTATCAGAAGCATTTTTAAATATTGTGAAACTGTTAATCTCATAGTTGCAGGTACAAGCTTTCTATAATTCTAATTTTCTCTCTAAAGGTCATATATTGTCATTGGCATTGGATTACTATCAATGTTTTCCTTTAAATGACAGGCTTATTTCATTTTTGAGAAAATGCCTGCCAGATACTCAAGTTTGAAGAACCATGGTTTGTCTGCCAGCATTCCTACAAATAAAAATCGTGTTCCATGAGAAAAGAGGCTTGTTCAGCTTGCAGCTCAAACTGTCATGCAAGAGCTTTTCCCAGAGGCAATTTTTGTACTTTGGTATGCAGTGAAAGTCCTTTATGTGCACTTTCCATTTTTTCACACAGGCTATTAAAGAGAGAAGTACTGAATGGTTAAGATTTAATAAAATTAATATTTTTTATTGGCTCATTAAGGACATTTTTAACTGAAACTTGCCTTTAAAAAAATACAAACTGAGTTTAAACTGACCCTGCCTTGATTTGTGGTAAGGTGACAGCAGTTCTACCCACTATTAATTTTGTGCCATCAGTGCAAATGTCAACACAGTGAAAAAGGCAAGTAATGTCCTAGTATAATTATCAAAATAGTTTTGACATTGCAGACTGCTTAAAACAGTCTCATATACTCCTAGTGTTTTTCAGATATTACTTTGAGAACCACTGGGGTAGAAATTAGAATTTTGGAAGATAAAAACCATAAATTTAAATGGTGGCTTTGGGATGGGAGCCTAATCTGTAAAATAATCAAATTCTTCTCTTCATTTTTTTTTTTGCATGTTTAGTGGATGGGTATGTGAGGAAAATGGACAAAAGTAAAGTTATGTCTACAGAAGAAGTAGCATATTAGAATATGAGATTAGTCTTGTTACTAAGAAAAAAAATGGCTTACATAGGTATCAGCAAACTAGTACCCTCCTGCTACCTGTTTTGATAAAACGTTTGATTGGAAAACAGCACATAGACCACATGACCTGCAAGGCAAAAATGTTTACTCTATGGCCCTTTAAAATAAAACGGGTCGTTAGCTCTTGTCTTAGATAAATGTATTTACCTCTTAATTAAAACAGAGAGAAAATCAGCCATTAGTGAAATTCAAATATTTACCAAAAGGCTTTGAGTAGCGTTGTTTGCATCTAGCCTTATCTTGGGGAATTAAAGTTTATAATATACACAAAGGGCCTGAGGGGGCAGAGTCACCTTTGATGGGGAAAGTTGGAATTTCCAGAGGATAAGTGGCGAGATGCTGGACTGGATTGGAAGGGTTAGAGAAGAGACAGAGATAGGAGCAAAATATATGATACAAACTTGTAAATGACTTCCTTTCAACCACAGGTAGACAGTTACAAGCTTTTTTTTTCTTCACATACCATATGCATTTTGAAAGCTAACTAATCCTTGAGTAAAGAACTTTATCATCTTAATATGATGGTCTGAGATGTCTAGGGAATACTTGGTGGGGAGGGTACTAAAGAAAGGCTAATCCCATTCCTCAGTCATCAGTTGTTTCTTGGGTGTATTGAGAAGCTCCACCCAAATTTCTCTTTCCTCACAGAAAAGGGAGCGCTCTCCAGCACTTGGTTCAGAGATTTGTTCTTTTAAAAGGAAAACCTAAAGACTTTATTTTTGCATGGCTTCTATGAATTGGAGATATTATTTATCCTCACTACAGTTGGAGTTCACTAATCAGTTTATTTAAGCTCATAGTATTTGTGTCAACAGAAGTATGCAAAAACAAAGCTCTTTATTTTGTAGGAGTTACCTTGGCAACATTATTTGAGGGGATTATTTGAGTATTCACTTGCAGGATGAGAGGCAAGGTTATGAGCAGGTATGTTTCTAGCTAAGCACTCCCCGTCCCCCACCTTCTTTTTAGCCCTGATAGAAAGAATCCTAAAATTGGAATGCGCTTCATAAAATCTAAGCATATTACACTGCCAAATTAGAGGAACTGAAACCATCCCTACAAATTTTATAAAGTTAATCAGGGAAGAAGGGAGGGGAAAAACAAAAATAAATTAAGCTTGCAGTGCATTCAGCATTAATCATTAGGTCAGCTTGTTCTCTGACCCACGTCCTCATAGTTGTTTGCCTATTGCCTCAGAATCACGTAGACTCTGTTAGAAGATTATAATTCCTCTTAACTGCTCTATAGAAAACAACCTGAACATTTTAAAATGTTAAGTTTTCCCTTTGAGACATTCTTTCATGTCCTGCATAACAGTGGAACTACTGACATCCACTGGTCTGAAGGGCCACAGGGGAAGCTGACTCAGCAAAGAATGTAGTTTTCAAGACCCGATGCTTTCATCCTCCTAACCCCAACTAATCAATGACCTCAATTTTCCATCCCCTTAAAAATCCACAATCCCCTTAGAAATATCAGCCCAGAACTCCTTGGGGAGATTTATTTGATGGTCTCCTCTCATTTTCTTGCTCAGTACCCTGCCATCATTAAACTCCTCTTCTGCTGTAAACCCTGCAGTCTTGGTGTGTTGGTATGTTACTGCACAGCAGGCAAACAAAGCAGTTGGTCCTATGACAGAAGCATGGGCAACCCTTTCAGAATTCAAACAGTAAGGAAATGAGGTGGTATCTCCTTGACGGTGTGCCCGTTAAAAGAGAGTGTTGTGACCTTTCCAGGAGCATTTTGCTGCCTTACATTCTCAGGTAGAGCATGCCATCAATTCCCCTCTCCCAGTGGAGAAAATAGATGGGTGGGATTTGGGACATGTGCCTTATCTGGTGAGGGATAACTCATATTCTGTTCACCACGAAGCAAGACGACACCTTTTAATTAAAAATATTAAAGTGGAAAAGCAGTTATGGATAGATTTGCAAGTGCCAATCTGTACTATAGTCATTGCTTAATCTTGTTTTCATTAAACGATTGTTTCCAATAAAGGGGAAAGGACAGTTGAAGCAGAGAACTTGACAGAGAATGATATTCTACTACCAGCCATTCCAGGAACTGGTTTTATTTTCTATTTTGTTTTTAAAATTTTTATGTTAATTATTATGGGTACATGATAGTTGTATATGTTTATGGTGTACATGTGATGTTGTCATACAAGCATACAATGTGTAATGATCAAATCAGAGTAATTGTGGTATCTATCACCTGAAGCATTTATCATTTCTTTGTATTAAAAACATTCCAATTCTACACTTTTAGTTATTTTAAAGCATACAATAAATTACTGTTAACTATAGTCACCCTGTTGTGTTACTAAGTACTAGGTCTTATTCATTCTGATTGTTATTTTTGCACCCATTAACTAACCCATTTTTATGCTCTCCTCCCCACTATCCTTCCCAGCCTCTGGCAATCATCATTGCACTCTCTACTTCCATGAATTCATTTTTTAAAGCTCCCACATTATAAGTGAGAACATGCAATATTTGTTTTTCTGTACCTGGATTATTTCACTTAACGTGATGTCTTCTGGAACTGGTTTATTTTTGCCTCTACTTTGTTTACTTCAGCTATACATCTTCCTTTTCATTTTCTATAAGATGTAGAACCCAGTGCTTTGCCTCTTCCCTTGAATTAAATGATTATCCATAGTTACATATTATTCCCATGGCTTTATTCAAGAGAGAGTTTCATTTTATTCTAACTGTAATGACAAATTTGAGAGCCCCGGTATAGTAAAGTGACCTTGTTCTTTGCAAAAAAGTAACATGCAGCTATGTTAAAATTGAGCTCAAATTCTCTAAGGTGAGAACAAATAATCACAACTTGTGCTTTTTTGTGACATCTGATAGTGTCACAAAATACATAAGTACCTTTCATTTCTTGTTATTTGTCCTCTAGATTTGCTGAAAGAGTGAGACTTCATGAAAATGTTAAAAATGTAATATGTAGAATATCTTGACAATGTTCCTCACAGCTCTGTAAAATCGGGCAACCTGTTCCCACTCTGGACCACCTCCCCACTATCCTTGTGCATTGCTGCTCCAATCACACTGGACTCCTTGCTTGATGTTAAACTTCCCAGACATGTTCCTACCTGTGGAACTATGCACTTCTTTCTCCTCTGTCAGTAATGTTCTTCCCTTAAATATCCACTTGCTCTCTCTCCTTATTTTGCTGAAGACTCCTATAACCTCTGGTGACAGATGTACTCTGGGCTGGCCTCAAATACATCACAGCCTTTTGTAAAACCCTCCTATTGAGTGTGGGCACACCTGTGACTTGCATCTAACTGAAAGAATATGGCAAAAGAGATGGGATAGTACTTCCGTGATAATGTTACCTTATACGGCAAAGGTGAAAAGAATTTTTCAGATATAATTAAGTGCCCAAATCAATTTGACTTTAAATTAATAAAAATGGAGATTATACTAGTGGGGCTAATCTAATCAGGTGACTCATTTAAAAGAATGCCTAGATTTTTCCGGAGTTCAGAGACTGTAAACTACAGAGAATCTTTTCTTCTGGCTGTGTAGAAGCATCCTGCCCTGAGTTCCACAGTTGGGAGGAAATGCATTCTGCTAACAACTACATGAGCTTGGAAGAGGAAACTGAGCCTCAGATGAAACCAGCTCTGGCTGACTCCTTGACTGCAGCTTTGTAAGATCCTGAGCACAGCACACATTGAAGCTGAGGCTGGACAGTGGGTGTTGTTTTAAGCCACTAAGTTTGTGATAATTTGATACCTAGCAGCAGAAAACTAATACACCTCCCTTTTGCAAGATGTATCCCATCTACCCTCTCTGTCCCTTTTCGCCACTTTGTTTTTCTTCATAGCCCATATACCTTTCATATTTCAAATAATTTAATATGTGTGTGTGTTTTTATTTTCTTTCCCCACTATGGTATAAGCTTCATAAGTGCACCTATTTTGGTTTCGTTTGTTTACTGTTCTGTCCGCACTGTTTAGAAGAGAACCTGGAGAAAGTAATAAACACTTAATATGTATTTGTTCAACAAATGAATAATAATATTCTTCTGACTTCTTTGTTTTCTCTGTCACTCAACTGACTTCTGTGTTTCCAAGTTTCCCACAAAAGGATTTTTTTTATTTCTTCAATTTTTATCTTAAGAGGAACTTACCTCTCAGCAAAAGAGAAAATTATGTCAGTCAATACCTTAACAATGGAGGTTTACAAGCAATCTCACTTCCCAAAGGACAGAAAATAAGAAACAGGTTGTCAGATTAATTACAACCGATGGCACAGAATGCTTATTAGAGAAAAATCACCGTAAATAAATTCTACAGTTTTAATATTTTTTAGGCTTTTCCAAAATCAACTGAAGATATATAAAGTTTCTTTACACATACAATCCCCAACACACTATGATCATTGATCTAGAAATATCTAGAGTTTTAGATTGGAAAGCAACTTTTGAGAGTTGTTTGGAACTCCCTTAGCTACTTTTATTTGCTTCTAATAAACACTCATATTCGTAGCCGGACTCAGGTCAGTTTGGTGGAGTATTCTCACCTGGTTCCTCTGCCTGGGACACTGCTGGCACAGAGACTCAAGGCTGTTAATACAAACTTTTGGATTTTAATCACTGAATTTAATTGGCTTCTATCTTTGAACTTGGAGGAGGAAATAGACAAACTCATGAGAAGCCCTCTTGTGTCTTTCTCAGAGGTGTGTCTCAGAGAGATTTGCTAAATATCTATCGTGTCTCACAATTGTCTTGACTCCTTGAATGTGGAAAAGAGTACATGCAAATTAGAGGACCCTGGGCAGCCCTTTCAGAAATCAAGTCTTCAGGACTAAGAAGCTTTTGTTTTTCCCTGAAAGCATACCTTTGAAGAAGAATGTTTTAACCATACTTTGAGCATGTGGCTTCTGTATGTTCAGAATACCTCCATGACATTGGGAATGAGTGTGAGTAATATATGAGACACACACAAAAGCATTTCACAGATGTGAAGATCCATCTCTAATTTTCCTTTAAATTGATTGATTCCTCTACAGGCCTTTCATTCATTTTTGCCTTTTTCTGTTTGCAATTACTCTCAGATTTCACTGAGGGTAGAACAATTACATATTCCTGGACCTGTGCTTGTGGCTAGGAGTAGGAACCCTACAAGACAGTAGGGCTTTTGACATGATCCCTGAATACAAGTCTACCCAAGTAAGCAAAGACTGACCCCAATTTGGGGTGAGAATTGGTCTTGCTAATCTTTAAAAATTTTCTATTTTAAAATTTCTATTTTAAAATTTAAAAATAGCATGCCTTCAAATCATTCCAACTATAACTATGGCAATATATTCATTTGTGAGAGGAATGATTCTTCTGCTTATTTTAATTAAGAAAATTACGCCTAAGTGATTTATTTTATTTAGCAAGACAATGACAGTTACAAAATTATAATTAAAAACTCTTGTGTGGAGATGCCAGTCTTAGGTTTCCTCAAAGAAATGTGTAAAAGAAACTGATTACTTCTTTTGTATAGCTAAAAATATATTTGTTGATAAATCAAATATTGTTTTAAAACGTTAATATCCATTTTGTTCCTTATTAATTTGATTTTCTTTTTGTATATCAAGCCCTTTGAATAATAAAGCAATATTAATAAATTATATTTTTTTGTTAGGGACCATAATGCAATACTTAGATTTATAAAATGTAGAAACAAAAAATATAAAAAACAGAAGAAAAACTTTTTTAAAGCTCCATAATTATTTTTATTATAATGTGTGTGGAGAGACTATTGTCTGCTCAGCTTTATCATGGTTACAAAGATAGTTTTCCTCTAATCCTTGCTGTTTAAGAAAACAGTTAATTGCTTTACCAGACCCTCTGAAGAACTGAATTCTAGGTTTCTGTTCTTTAGACGCAGTCTGAATGGTTTATGAATTTCTTTTAAAAAATAAAATTATCAGAAATTAAAAAATTTGCTCTTGCATCTAATTTGATAAATCATTAGATATACCTTATAGAAGAAAAGTAAAAGCTAAATATTATTTAATGTTTCCACCAATATGGGTTATAACTCAGTGGGTTATAAAATCAATTTAGTGAATGGATAATATTTAAAAAACACTAGATTGGACTAGACTAGAATAATATCGAAACTATCAGAGTTCATTGTATACCCTAAGACAGTAAGGTTGACATTGGTTTGTGAAACTTTTGTTTTAGTTTTGTGTATAATATGTGTTTCTTATATTGCAAGTCACTACACTATCATATTAATTTTAAATATTGATGTTAGTAATATAATTGATGCAATCAATGCACAAGTTCTAATAAAATGATTTTAGTACACCAGATAATCATAGTGAAGGGTACAGGTTTTTAGTTAGACTGACAGTATTAACATACAGCCTTGTCACTTACTGGCAGTGTAGCCATGCTCAAGGAACTGGGTCATAGTTTCCTAACAAATAAGATGGGTAAAAATTGCATCTATACCAGAGAATTGTTATATTTATATGAGAAAATACACATAAAAGGCTCAGTATATGCCTCACACAAAGCTCATAGCAACCAGCTACTATAACCATCAAACTTTTAGTTTTCAGTTACTATTTCCTAATGAGAAGAACAGAAAAGATATTCTCTTTGCTTCAAGCAACAGATGACTTAGGTAAGAAAAACCTACGAAAAAGGAAAAAACAAGCCAAAGAGAAAGAGAGAGTTGGGATACCAGGATGGTAATGACAAAAATTTTGCAGTTATTCTCAGATCAATATTCAAAAATATAGTCCAATTGTTTATCAAATAATAAATTGTAGGCAACCAACAACTTTACTGTTGTCCAATGTCAATAGAAAATTTTATATACAAAATGTGGCATTAATTTCTTACACTTTTAGCAATTTTCACACATGAAGTACTTTCGCCCAGATATCATAAATGGCATATCTGAACAACATCATGAGTAAGGATAAGGCCATCAATTATTCAAGAAGATATAGCAATCCTTTATGTGTATGTACCTAACATAGCATAAGAATATGTGAGGCAAAAACTGAACTGCAAAGGGGAATATCCACGATTATAATTGCACTTCAACACTCTCTCTATCAGAAATGGATAGATCTAGCCAGCAGAAAACCTGAAAGGACATAGTTGAATTCAAAAACACAAATCAACCAACTGAATATAATTAACATCTAAGACTGCTTCATCCAACAACAGCAGAATGCACATTCTTCTGAAGCTCACATGACATATTCACCAAGATAGACCACATTATGGGCCATAAAGCACACATTTACATATTCAAAAGAACAGAAATCTTACAATGTCTGGTCTCAGACCACAATAGAATTAAACTAAAATTCAATAACAGAAAGATAGCTAGAAAATCCTCAAACATTTGGAGATTAGACAACGCATTTCTACATAGCACATCAATCAAAGAAGAAATCTTAGAAATTTTAAAATATTTTGAGCTAAATAAAGATGAAACCAGAATTTATCAAAGTTTTGAGGATGCAGTGAAAGCAATGCTTAGAGGAATATTTAGACACAATGCATACATTAGAAAAGAAAGATCTAAATCAATCATCTAAGCTTCCACCTTCGTAAACTTAAAAAACAGCAAATAATAAATTCAAAGAAAGCAGAAGAAAAAATAGAATTAGAGCAGAAATCAGTGACATTGAAAATGGGAAAATAATAGAGAAAAATTAACAAAGTCAAAACCAAGGCTAATAAAAATAAAGGACATAAAGAAAGAAATGAACATCATTACAACAGAAGACATTAGGTAGATAATAAAAAATAATATAGACAACTCTATGCTCACACATTCGATAACCTAGATAAAATAGAATGGACAAGTTTCTTGAAGAGCACAATATGCCAAAACTCAGGTGAGAAAACTAATCTGGATACACTTAAGTCTTTTAAAGAAACTGAATCAATTATTAATAACCTTCTAAAATAGAAAGCATCAGGCACAGATGGGTTCACAAGTGAATTTTACCAAACATTTAAGGAAGAAATTATATCAAATCTCCATAATCTCTTTCAGAGATAGAAGTAGAAGGACTACTTTCCAACTCATTCTATGAGACCATAGCTGCCCAAATACAAAAACCTCATGAAGACATTACAAGAAAAGAAAACTACAGACCAATATCCTTAGGAACATATATATGAACATCTTCAACAAAATATGAGTAAATAGAATTCAACCACATATAAAAATATGCTTCAAAACCAAATGGGATTTATCCCAGGTATCCAAGGCTGTTTCAACATTTGAAAACCAATTAATATAATCCATCATATCAACAAGCTCAAGAAGAAAAATCACATGATTATATCAACAGATGCAGAAACAGCCTTTGAGAAAATCAAATATCCATGCATGATAAAACTCTCAGTAAATTAGGAATAGAGGGAAGCTTCCTCAACTTTATAAAGAATATCTACCAAATAACCCCACAGCTAACATCATATTTAATAGTAAGAAACTTAGATTTTCCACTAAGATCAGGAACAAGGCAAGGATGGTCCCTCTCCCTACTGCTTTTCAATATTATATTGGAAGTCCTAGCTGCTGTGAAAGACAAGAAAAGAAAATGTATATAGATTGAGATGGAAGAAATAAAACTGTGTGCAGATGGCATAATTGTCTATTTGGAAATTGGAAAGAATCAACACAAAAATGTTGGAACTGATAAGTCATTATAGCAAGGTTGCAAGATGCAAGGCTATCATAAAAGGTTAATTGCTTCTCTTTATACCAACAATGAACAGGTGGAATTTGAGATTAAAAAGAATACAATTTCATTAGTATCTTCCAAAAATAAAATACTTAGATATAATTCTAATAAATATGTATAAGATCTATATGAGGAAAACTATAAAATTCTAATAAGAGAATCAAAGAACTAAGTAAATAGATACTCTATGTTCATGAATAATAAGACTCAATATTGTCAAAATGTCAGTTCTTGCCAACTTGATCTATAAATTTAATGCAATACTAGTCAAAATCCCCCAAAGTATCTAGTGACTATCAATGAACTGATTATAAAGGTTATAATGGAGAGGCATACATTCCAGAATAGCTAACACATTATTAAAGGAGAAGAGAAAGATAGACAGACATTACATGATGTCAAGATTCACTATAAAGCCACTGTAATTAAGACAGTGTGGTATTGGTGAAAGAGTAGACAAATGCATCAACGTAATAGAATAGAGAGTCCAGAAATAGACTCACATAAATATAGTCAAATGATCTTTGACAAGAAAACAAACACAACACAATGGAGAAAAGAGGAGACTTTTTAACAAATGGTGCTGGAACAACTTGATATCAACATGCAAAAAAAATGAGACTAGACAAAGAACTCACACTCTTCACAATAATGAATCAAATGGATCAAAAACATAAATGTAAATCAAACAACTATAAAACTCCTAGAATATAACACAGGAAAAAAAATCTAGATGAACTGAGTTTGGTGATGACTTCTTAGACCCAATACCAAAGGCATAATCAATGAAAAAAACAACAAATTGAACATCATTAAAATTTAAAATTTCTGCTTGTAAAAATCACTGTCAAGACAATGAAAAAGCAAGGCACAGACTGGAAGAAAATATTCACAAAAGATATATTTGGTAAAGAAAAACAAAAAACCTCTCAGGTATTATACTTATTAGTAAAAGTGCCACTAAGTACTGGAGTAATCAGTTCTTCAGATTTTATGAAACAGCAGGAATGCTTTGGCCATTCAGAAATATCATCAGCAAAAAAAACACCTGAACTCAACGTGGATCTAGAATGACAGTTGAACTTGTGAGCTTCCTAGTCCAGGTTGAGGATATGAGACAGCACTATAGAAATTCTCATTCACATACTAGAAGGGAAAAAGAAACGGGATTGTGGTTTTAATATATTAATAGCTACCTTAGATCTAGCATGTTGTATAATGATGTTCTTATCTGAAAAAATTGGTCAACTCTGTACCCTAACTCACAGAATCTATGCCTGTTAAATTCTGATTGAGTTGAAAAAATCCAGCATTTAAAAGCCATGCATTCTAGAATGTCAAATTCAAATGATTTCATTTTCTGTGAGTCTTAGAACCTGTGTGGCTATACATCACATGCATAATCTTTCATTCCTAGATGACAACATCGTATGTTGTAATACACACGCACCCTCATTTTAAAGCTCCTTTACATATTCATTCAACAATACAGTTAAGTCTGGGCAAATCGGGTATATAGTTTTGCTGATCTCAGTTAAATTCAGAGAATATTTCCTGAATTTTCTGCACACATAGTAATGAGAACAAAGGTCCAGAGATATTAATTTAAGGAAAAGAGATTCAAATAGGTCTTTCACTTCTATGTTACTCCACTTTGCAACAGTTCACTGAGTATAAGCCAAGGTGCAGCAAAAGACCACCGGGCACTTGACAAGGGAAGAGAAGAAAGGAGAAGGGAGGAGAAGTAACTAAACAAGAAAAGGAGTTAATGCATGGAGGAAAAGAAAACAGTGCAGTGTGGAGGGCAATAAGATAGATTTTTTTTTCATATGCTAAAGTTTCATTCATACTTGTATACACAAGTTTACATCTACTGGGAGTTTAGAAATGGGTTTGTTATTGGCATACATTCATTCAATAAATAACTACATTCAGTAACTACTATGTGCCAGGCAGTGTACTGGGTGCTGGAGATATACCATGAACTAAAGAGAAAAAGATGGTGCCCTTAAGAAACTTATATCCTGGGGAGTGGGGATGGGAGATGCGATACAAAATAAATAGGGAAATCAAATAGTAGGTTATAAAAGTGCTGTGGGCAAAAAAGGTAGAGCAGGAACAGTAAGGAGGATTAGGGTGTCTAGGTGCCTACGGTTAGAGAGAGAAGCAGGTTACAGTATAAATAGAGCAGTCAAGGCAGGATTCACTGAAATGGTAATATTTGAGCAAAGATTGTAGGAGATGAATTTAGCCAATCAGTTTTCTGGGGGAGTGTTGCAGCAGAGGGAAGAGACAGAGCAAAGGCTCTGTGGGGGAGGGGTAGGAGTTTAGTTTGGACATGCTGAGTTGGCATACTATTGGACGTCCAAGTGCAGAAGGCAAGTCAGCAGTTGGATGCATGAGTCTGGAGTTTGGGAGCAAGGTCAGGACTAGAGATAAGTATTTGGGAGCATTAGCAGAGAGATGGAGGATCAAAGCTCAAGCCTGGGCGAAATCACCGAGAAGTGAGGATACCGAAAGAAGAGGACCAAGTCTGTTATGAGATGCTCAAAAATTGAAAGGTTGGGGAGAATTTGAAAAAAAAAGTGAAGGAAATTGAGGGGAGGTTTACTGAAGGATGGAAGAAGAGCACAATTACTCCCTCCATTTTCAAAACTGGTTAATGTTGGTAAGTTTCAAAGAGTGTTTGCTCTACCTAATGAAAGTCATCTCCTCCCCTGTAGGAGGCAATAGAAATTATGCAACACTGGCAAAAAAAATAATAATAACCTTGGTCTCAAAACATGTACCAAAGGTGGGGGGTGCCAAGATGGCTAAATAGAAGCAGCTAGTGCATGCTGCTCTCATGGAGAGAATAAGTGGAGCATAAACACTATCTCTTCAACTGGATCATCCAGGTAGACACACTGAGATTAACTGAGGAAGAAAATGACCTATGGAGAACAGAGAACAGCTAGACAGGATAGCCACCCACATGGGATTGACACAGAGCCAGGGCAGGATCCCCACCCTGGAAAACAGTGAGTGAGTGAGAGCCCCCGTGGACTCATATTTCTGCCACAGACCTTAGCAACCCTGGGCTCAGGAGATCCCCACTGACACCCCCCAACCCAGGGCCTCCAGACTGGCAAGAGAGCTGCCTGGGGTCTGGGCAGACCCATAGCTCAGATACATGCAGAGACCCAGGGACCTTGGATCTCCGGCAACGGTGGCTGTAGCTCCAGCAATTGGGGAGGCCAGGCAACCTACAGAGTAGGAGAAAATATTTGCAAACTATACACCTGACAAAGGTGTAATATTCAGAACCTATAAGGAACTCAAACAGATCGACAGGCAGAAAACAAATAACACAATGAAAAATGGGCAAAGGACATAAACAGACACTTCTCAAAAGAAGACATACACACAGCAAACAAACATGAAAAAATGCTCAATATCACTAATCATTAGGGAAATGCAAATCAAAATGATAAGATACCAGTCAGAATGACTATTATTAAAAAGTCAAAACATAATAGATGCTGGAGAGGTTGCAGAGAAAAGAGAATGCTTATACACTGCTGGTGGGAATGTAAATTAATTCAGCCAGTGTAGAGAACAGTTTAGGGATTTCTCAAAGAATGTAAAATAGAACTACCATTTGACCCAGCAATTCTATGATTGGTTACATACCAAAATGGATATAAATTTTTCTACCTTAAGACACATGCATGTGTATGTTCATTGCAGCACTATCCACAATAGCAAAGACATGGAATCCACCTAGATATTCATCAATAGTGGACTGGAGAAAGAAAATGTGGTGACCAAGCATGGTGGCTCATGGCTGTAATCCCAACATCTTGGGAGGCCAAGGCAGGCCTATTGCTTAAACCCAGGAGTTTGAGATCAGCCTGGGCAACATGATGAAACCCTGTCTCGAGAAAAAAAAAATTAGCCAGGCAAGATGGTGTGTACCTGTAGACGCTGAGGCAGGAGAGTGGCTTGAGCCCAAGAGGTTAAGGCTGACATGAGGTGTGATTGTACCTCTGTACTCCAGCCTGTGTGCCAGAGTAAGACCCTGTCTCAAGAAAAAAATAGAGAGAGAAATGTGATACATACACACCTTGGAATACTATGCAGCTATTAAAAAATGACATCATGGCCTTTGCAGCAATATGGATAGAACTGGAGGTCATAATCCCAAGCAAATTAATGCAGGAACAGAAAACCAAATATCACATGTTCTCATTTATAAGTGAGAGCTAATCATTGAGTATGTATGGACACAAAAAGGGAACAATAGACACAGGGGCCTGGTTGAGGGTGGAGGGTTGGAGGAGGATTAACAACCTTCCTATTGAGTATTATTCTGATTACTTGGGTGACAAAATTATCTGTACACCAAACTCCCATGACACACAACTTACCCAATTAACAAGCCTGCATATGTACCCCTTGATCCTAAAAGAAAAGTTGGAAAGTGGAAAAAAATGTACCAAAGAGAAGACATGTTTTAAGCATATGTAGAAATTAAAGAAAAAAAATCTTTTAGTTTAATGCTAGGAAAACTATAATGAGAGCTTTTTACCTGAAAAGCCCATTAAAAATTTTCACTAGGCAGTAATCCAATTCCTAACACTTTTAGTAACAGCAGTACTCTGGAAGCAGATCTTCCCCACCTCCTCAACTCAAATTTACACACTAATCTCCTCTAGAAACACCCTGACAGATACACCCAAAATAATGCTGTACCAGCTTTTTAGGTATTCCTTAATCAGTCCACAAGTCCAATCCTTCTCAACTTGGCACTCATATGTACCTCCTCAAATCATACTTAATTTCCAAATAAAGATAACAGCAAGGAAATATTCCCACCTAACATGATGCAACTAATATGAACCATCCTGCCTATAACCGAAAACACGTTAATCCATTACCCAGAATCTGGTTTTCAGGATTTCAATATTTGGGACTTTAATCTTTTGGAATTTCAATTTTTGGAATTTTAGACTTTAGAAATTTTAGATTTTAGTCATTTTAGACTTTAGGGATTTTGATCTTTAGAGATGTTTATCTTTCTGTATTTCAACATTCAGGATTGTGGCATTCAAGACTGTGTCTTTTGGAATTATGATCAGCACCAGACTCTGGCACCTAATTTTTCTTGAATTCTCTGACTCTGGGATGATAAAAGGCATCTGTCATCAAAAGACTGCGTTAGATTAACTAGAAATGAAGGTTAACAACTTTTCTTATGCCTGATAGAAATGTGCACATAAAATTAGTAGTAACTTGATTTCATCTAATGGTAAAAAGTGGCTAATAATTCATAAATACATGTACTTTAAATTAAAAAGACTGAGATGTGCATAAATGCAAATCCAGTTATTTTATTACTCTAAGTATAAAAAACTTAGATTAAAGATATAACTAGAATAAACTAGAAAATGAAAATTACCTAGATTTACCATTATCCAAAAAAAGTATCTCCGTTTTTCTTGATTTATTCCCAAACTTTAAGAAGTCCACAGATTTATTCGATAAACAGCTTTTTATGATTATAAAACTAAAGGAGGTGGGAGCAATTCCTGTACATAGTTTTAGAAATTTATAGCAAATATATCAACATACTGAAGGCCTGTCCTTTGATCCCAGTCAAAATAAGCAAATTTACTCTTTGCTGTGAAGAATTCGTGACCTAATGTTCCTAGCTGGTTGAGTGTAATTTGGAAGAAGGCTTAACATAGATCAGGAAAGCTGACCTCATAAAACACAGTAATGTCTTGTGGAATTTAACTTAGGTTTAACAGTTACTCTATGTATAAATGTTATAGGAACTCATAGAACTTTTCAATAAGCAATTTCTCGAGGAAAATGTAAAATAAATTATAAAAAGATGTTCTTCACTTTATATTACTACTAAAAAAATACTCGACCTGTCAGTCAATACAGTCAAACAGTCATGAATGACCAACACTTTCCGAGAGGTTCCCAGTGACTGTCAGTGAATGATATCCTTGGTTGATTTGAATAGTTCTTCATGTTTATGAACATTGAGAAGCTAATATTCATAGCCAAAAGCACTGGGAATGTTTTTTCAAAGTGTTTTCTGGCTTGCACTGTAGACGGCTTTGCCTAGGATGATATTTCCCTTGTTATTTGTCAAAATGCAAAGATAACTCTTTCATAGATAATTGCCCTATGTTTATTTATGTTGTATGTTTCCATGTTTGATCACTATTGATGTGTTTGCTGGCTCTGAGTTGATTTTCATTCAGATTTTTAATGCTAAATAAAATACCAAAAATAAAATAAGTAAAATAAGGGATGGTTTAAATTTTGGAACTTAAATAAACCAATTTAAGAACAAAAAGTTTTGCTCTGTTTTTATCTGTGCATATGAACAAGACCAGGACAAAGGCAAGGTGAGTAAGACACTTGCTCAGGTGCAAATTCAAGGTGGCCTGGACCAGGTAATGAAGGATCTTCTGTGCAGTTTGAATACTATTCTCTAGATAAGGAATTAGCTGGGCTATCTGAAGCAAAGGAGTGATGTGATTAAGTCTTTCTTTCAGAACTGTTCTTTTCCCCAATCCTGATTGAAATCATAAGTGAATAGTAGGGAGTGGTAGCAGTGGCATACTATGAATACAACATCAATGGATTTCTAGTAGATATAGCACAGAGGGTACCAGATAAATGCAGTCATCAAAGATTCCATTATCTTCTAAGAAGGTAATGAAGTGTTGCAGACTCTGTAGGAAACAAAGTAGTCCTGGCCTTTAGTACCTTCTAATTTGGAGGAGTTTGAGTTAGTAGTGAAGATGAGTATGGCAAGATAAGAACCATTTTTCTTGGAGTCCCTAACAATAAGCATTACTTGAAGGCATAGTCAGTTATATGAAAGTTACCTCAGAATAAAAACTCATAATCTATGTCATGATAGGAAAGCACTGATGTTGAGCACTGAAATCATTCAAAGAAAGTATGAACAACTATTGTGTGTTTAAAAAAACACAATTTTTGAAAGTGATAATATACTTAAAATGATCTCAGATTATAATTGAAACGTAATTAAACATAACAGATCATAATTAAAACACAAAACAACATCAAAAAAAGGTTATGGGTGTTGAGGAAGGCACAGATATACTAATTATCTCAGCACTGAAAAAGCAAACACTTGCTGTTTCGTTCTTGACATTGATAATTAGAGGCTAATGGCTTGATTTTAAGACTTACAAGTAAAACAGCACACGTACCTTCCAAACTTCTAGAGGTAAAAGATATCAATGAATATATGCACCATATAGCAGAAGACTAAAAACAAAAGAAACAGCAAGGAGGCAAAGCATAAAATGATATCTCTTATGATATTACACGTAAGTGGGCCCCATCAATGCGGTAGGATGGGAAAGATGCAGTGATCAGCGAATTCTGCTTCAGGCTTGCCCCAGATCTCAGGTACCATGCTCGGTGAAATGTCACAACTTCCTTTAGTTTCTCTGTGGCTGCTTACCCGTTTATGCAGGTAATGTGAAGGATGCTCTGAAAAATACTTTTCTTCTCATCATTTGGTTTCTAAAGCCCCAAATCCCACCAATAGAATACACTCCCTTTTTCTTCTAGGTGAAAAATTCTAGCGTCCCTAGACATTTTCCAGTTTTATCTTGAATCAATCACACAACTTCTTCTTTAGCATTCAAATATATTTTAATGCTTTTATTCAGTTATTAGCTACTGATGTCTTAGCAGAGGCAGATTTTCAGATCGTTTCTCAAGGATAAGTGAGAATAAGTTAGCATTGTGGTGTGGCCCAGATAAGGGTTGACAGCCAATGTATCTGGAGCAGTGATTTCCTTGCTGAAATATTTACTAGCATGAAAGAAAATACGAAAAATACATTGAATTTCTGGAACAGCTAAATATATGCATTTGTTTCTGATATAATAGATTCTTGATGGTTTTTAGTGTTAAAGATTTCTTTGATTTAGAAAATCAGTCATTATTAGTTAGCAATTTTTAAAATGCTCATACTTGGCAAAATAGGTTATGATTAATCCTGTGCTTGTTTGCGTCTTTTTTTCCCTGTAATATATGACTGTTAATTGAGGTCAGAAAGACTCTCATTCATTCATTTACTTATGTATCAAATATCTATTGAGATCCTATTCTTTGCACTGGTTTGGATCTTGGGGATACAATAGGAAACAACAAAATATTTGCTCTCATGGATCTTAAATGCTGGTGAGAGTAGAGTCAAGCTATAAGGAAATAAATATACATCAGGTGAACACAATGCGAACAAGGCACAGTAAAAAAGACAGTGAACAGTGTGTTGCTATATTTGATTAGGTGATAACTGAGTAGAAGTCTTTATGAAATGAGGGATTATTTCCTGATAGGGTAGAAGGTGCCTGCTTGGTAAGGAACAGTGAAGAGACCTATCACACTACAACAGAGTGAGCTAGGAGAAGGTCAATCAATTGAGAGACAAGGAATAGCTTAGCACAATGTCTTGCCAATAATATTGTCTCAAATTTTTGTTTTTCTCCCATACTCCATAGCTATATTTGTT
The DNA here is from genome assembly GCF_000001405.40 of Homo sapiens. Taxonomy (NCBI): domain Eukaryota; kingdom Metazoa; phylum Chordata; class Mammalia; order Primates; family Hominidae; genus Homo; species Homo sapiens. The sequence continues at coordinate 42,053,675 of NC_000005.10, forward strand.
CACCAAAGAGGATACAGGTTGACAGAAAATCCAAAGTATAGAAATTTTTAGCAGTCAAAGAAGGAAGCAGTATGGTGACTGCTAATTAGGCTACATGACAGACATTTTCCATAATTTGAAAGAGTTAAATCTATAGTGCCATGTTTTTGCAAAAATATATTTAAAACACATGATAAAATAAAAATGTATGATCAAAAATTATATCGGCTAAAGTGTATTGAAATTAGCATTTAAAATTTTTTTTCCAACTCTTTTTGAGTGTGTCAATTCAAATAATTTGCTTCTACGTAAAAAAGTAAAAGTACAATTAAGAGTCATTTTATAGTCTTGATAAGTCCATCTGAGCATACTTTACAGAATTGGAAAATGTATATTGCTGTCATGGTGTGTAACTATTTCATTTGCAACTCAAGTGGCTTCTAATTCTTCTTTTTTAATGATACTGTTAAAAATAATTTTTGTTGATAGATCAGTGTGATAGTTAACTAATACAATTAGTATGTGACTTTTACCATGTAACTTGAAAGCAGTTCAAATAATTGAGTGACATTGGTACACAAAATTCCTTTCATTTCCATCTATATAATTTCTCAGCACTTATGTCTATAAAAATGAATAATAGAAATGAAATGTCTGTTCAACTCTAGCTCATTCTAGAAATGGCTAATATTTAACTATAATGAACCAATTGTAAAAAACAGCCACATCCACAGACTTACGTTTTTTAAATAAAATTTTACTTTTCTATGTTTAAAATTATCAGTATTTATAATTTTGTTATATAACTAATTTTTTACTAATAATTAAACTGGTAATTGAATCTAGAGGAAATATTTTAACACAGCCTTATAGTCTAAAATTAAAAAAAATATTTTGATATATATAATATGTGTGTGTGTGTGTATGTCTGTGTGTAGATTTTTGTGCCAAAGAAGATAGATTAACAAAAGAATTTCAAATATGAAAGTAGATTTGATTTGGGTAAAATTCTACAGGCAAAGTTAATAGAAATACAAGGTACAAGCAGAAAAGGGAGCATTGTAAAATTTTTGACTCTTATAAAAGAGCTAATTCAAATATTAAAACTGACAATGATATTTATATCTTTTTTGGATATATTTAAAAGAAAGATTTAACAGTTTTATTTACATGTCAATATTTGAACATACCAGAAATTATACTGTTTGCAATTATTTAAGCTTATGATAAAACATCTTAGTTGGTAAGTTAAAAATGTGCAGAGGTACAGTTTGCCAAAATTCTTTGTGCTAGTATAGGAGTAAGAAAAATACTGGAGACCATTCTCCTGTGATATTTCTTAGTATAGCCTTTATATGTAAATACATGCTAAACTCCCTTAACTTCACTGCAGTAAGAAAACTGAAATAAAATAAAATCTTAAGAAAACCTCACTGGTTACAGTAAACCTGAAAAGGATTTCCATTTCTTATCATTGACCACGAAACCAAGCAAGAGCAGTCTGGTATTCTGTAATTTGAAACAAAATGTTCTGAGGCTAAAATTGAATGATACGAATTTTCTCATTGTTTCATAAATAATATAATAACAGAGTTAAAACTTAAAAGTAGCAAATGAGTAAATACAGAAAAACTTGAAAATGATTCAACATATTAATTTGATAATTCATTTTTCTTTTCAAAGGGTGTGTGTACTAATGATTATGACTATCTATTACATATATAATATAATTTTAGTGTTTGTTTTTGTTTCTTTTGCTAAGAAAGTAGTTCCTGGTTTGTGTTAAGGAATTAAATATAAAAATTTCAAAGTGCTGTACAAAGATTATAATATTTTGAAGAGTCTCATGATGTCGCTGCCATTTGAACACATTTGAGAACCATTAAGATGGATCATTGTTTGTAAACTACTAAATAATCTGAAGAAACCAGCTAGTTTTATTTGGCACATAAAAATGACTGGGCTATTTTTTATATGCGCAATACATTTAATTTCTAAAGTAACGCACATTTCTTTATTAAAATTATTATATAATATATGCTACTTCTTCTCCAGAAGGACTTAATCTCCAAATATGGTTCTTATTTTCTTAAGTAATTACAAAGACCACGCAGGATGAAAGGTTGGATTTTCAAGGACCTCAATAAACAGTGGTATATGGAATAAAGATTTCATAATAAGGAAGAATTATTAAGAATATTTCCCACTTATTAATAAAATAACAGAACTTTATGTCCCCTTAACATGTGCATTTTAGTCCTGCATATGAATCAATAATTTTGTTTAAAACTTTATGTCTATTGACAAGGGTTCCTGACAAGCTGGCTTTTTCTATTAGCCTATTCCAGGAAGCATCTCTTTTCAACTACATTAGAGTATCTTTAAAGTTGATTAAATGTATTGGCTGGATATAGCTTTCTATTGAAGATGAGAGTGATTTGAAATCACTTAAGAAAAAGATTGCTTATAGAATTTATGGAAACATCCCAAGTACACCAATTTTTACTTTCTTATATTAATTCTTGTTGAAGAGTTTTCTTCTTTGAGCTACCAATTCAGTGTTTTTTTTTTTCCTTAACAATATGTTAGACAAGAGATGGATTCACATGGATCTCTTATTTCTTCTCAGTCCAAGTTCTACACATGAGAAAATTTTGAAACCCCCTTTTTTTTTTTGAGACGGAGTCTTGCTGTCACCCAGGCTGGAGTGCAGTGGCGCTAATTCAGCTCACTGCAACCTCCTCCTCCCAGATTCAAGTTATTCTCCTGCGTCAGCCTCTCAAGTAGCTGTAAATGCCTTTATTTTAAGGAAGAACATGTTTAAAGGTCCAATCTTAAAGGGGTTGATCAATTTTTATGTATGTATATACCCATGTAACTACCACTAAGATCAAGAGACAGGACTTTCTTAGCTCCTCACGAGGTGTTCTTCCCAGTCAGCCCTGCGCCCGAGCTGCCCACCTCTCTGTGTTCTATGACCATCCATGAGGTTTACATCTTGCTGAACTTCATAAATGTTATCATGCAGAATGTCATCCTTGTGTCTGTCTTCTTTCACTTTACATATTGGCTGTATGCAGAGGCTATTTCATCTATTTAAGGCAAATACAGGCTATTTAACACGAGAAATTAAAAAGAAGGTTTTTGTTTTTTTATTTCGTCTCTGATAAAAAAAAAGATCTCCTATTTCTCACCCCCCTTGCCTCTAGCAACAACCATTCTACTCCCTGCTTCTATGAGTTTGACTATTTTAGATACTTAATATAAGAGGAATCATGCAGTATTTGTCTCTATGACTGGCTTACTTTACACAGCGTAATGTCCTCAAAGTTCATTCATGCTGCTGTGTATTATAGAATTTCCTTGTTTTTAAAGGCTGAAGATTATTTCACTGCGTTTATATACCACATTTTCTTTATTCATTCATCTGTTGATGGACATGTAGGTTGTTTTCACATCTTGATTATTGCGAATAATGGTGCTGCAATGAACAAAGGACAGGCATAAAATTTTAGTTATGCAAGATGAATAAGCTCAAGACGTTTACTGTGAAACATTGTACCTATAGTCAACAATAATGTACACTTAAATATTTGCTAAGAGAGTATATCTCATGTTAAGTGTTCTTACTAAGAAATTAATCAATGTGATAATCCCCTTGACAAGATTCTGGTGATTCCTTTAAGGCCTACCTCCCAGAGGAGTTTACCTGCAGTGTGGGAGTTTGTGCCAAATTCAACCCCTTCTGGGCACAGGGTAGCATGTCCATGTCTGCCACCTTGTGGTTAGATGGGGCCACTGACAGCGGAAATTAACCTGTCATTTTTGAGCTGGAGCATTTAGTTGATGGTGGGTGACCATCCAGAGATCTCTTGCTCTCTGCCAGGGTGACAAGCATGTTCTAGAAAGGCGCTGCTGCATTAGCCTGAGGGCGGAATAAATGGATGGTACATAGCAAACCTACCAGTTGACAGACGTTCATGTGAAAAGAAAGAAACCATTGTCGTTTTAAGCTGCTAGGATTTGGTGGTCCTTTGTTATCAAAGCATAACAGTGTATGCTGATAGATTCCGAGGGTGAGATGTAAAATTTGAGTAGGAATCACAGGAAGTGATGAACTCATTATTTTTAACTGTGGTGGTGTAGATGTCAGGAAAAGCTTCACAGAGTTTCTGGTTTTTAAGCTAAATCTTGAGGTTGTGAGCAGTTTTGTACATTTTTTTTTAAGGAAAACAAGCATTAAGTTTGACATGTGCTTTAATATTAGCAATATAACACATTTAAGTTTCCAAAAATTTTCTTATATTGAGTAAGATAATAGACTATTTTTCAAAGAAAACATCCATGAGAACTCCTAGCTTTGACTTAAATTATTTTTATTGTAATAATGCTAAAATATATATTAATTTTTTATATCTATTATGGTTATAGCTCACATATTGCTTTAAATTTGAAGCAAATTTAACATGTCATACTTTAATAAAAAGTTTTCAAAAATTTCTAACAAACTTGGGGGGTTCTAATGAGAGTTCCTTAAGATATAATAAATAATAATTTTTTTTTTGAGACAGAGTCTCACACGGTGGCCCAGGCTGTAGTGCAGTGGCACGATCTCTGCTCACTGCAACTTCCGCCTCCTGGGTTCAAGCAATTCTCCTGCCTCAGCCTCCCGAGCAGCTGAGATTAGTAGCCACCATGCCCGGCTAATTTTTTGTATTTTTATTAGAGACGGAGTTTCACCATGTTGGCCAGGCTGGTCTCGAACTCCTGACCTCGTGATCTGCCTGCCTCAGCCTCCCAAAGTGCTGGGATTATAGGCGTGAGCCACCATGCCCAGCCATAAATAATAATATTCTATATTCTGGTTAAATTTAAAGTTATTTTTACTAAAAGTCTTTAACAAAGTACTTTGGTAAATTGATACCAATGGAAACTCCAAAATTAACAACATTCAAATTAATTTGGCATGACAAATGATGTTTTAATTAATTGCTAAAATTTAGTTTAATGTTATAAAAATATGCTTGGATAGTTTCTATTTTACTTGTGGTTAACTTGAATCCTTAAATTTGATTATTATGGACCATCATCTGAGTCACTAACACCGTTGATATTTTTTTCTTTTAAACACTACACAATTTTAAAATGACTCTAGCATCATTTCAATGAGCCAGTCAATTCAATGCTGTACTCCATATTATAATGTCAAAATAATTTAACAATCTATAACAAAATATTCTTCATATTCTCATTACTACACTTGCTGCTACTGAATGCTTCAAGTTCGTACCTGCAGAGCTAGAATCAGTGTGGTATATCTGTTCTCAATGAATATATGGATTGATTACCATAATGTCAGTCTTTCTGAGTAGAGCTTGCTTATGCTACTGTGTGCCCTCTCATCACTCAATTCCCCTTTGCTCAGTTCTACTCATGTCTCCTTGAAGTACTCTGAAAACATTGTTTTCACATTTGTCAAATATTTATTAACACATGAAGGTTGCCTCTGTTTTTTACCCATTAACTCAAGATAATTAAAATAAAAACAACACATGATCCTGATACATTTTATTGTTTTAAAATGGAAAATTAAAGCCTAAATTTATCCAATAATAAGCAAAAATTTTATTTTATGAAAATACCTTCCAAATAACTTAATACTGCGAAAGCATAGTGTAGCCTTTATACCTAGGAACATATTTCAATATGAGTGCAAAGTCAAATTTGGAATGTTTATTACCATTTTCACAATTAGGACAATGTCTACTATTGAAAAACTTCTAAGGTCTGAAATTCCAATCATATGAATTACGTATTTAGTCACACTGGTAGCTTTGTTTTTTTGTCCTTCATTGCTAAGCAACCAAAAAACGTGGTTAGATAACCTGAAGAGTATAGTATAAACCTGTTTGGGTTTGTTTTGTTGAAATCATGCCTAGAAAATTGCATTTGTGAACAAAATAATTATATTTGCAACTTAATTAGTACTTCACATATGTCAGGAACTTTATGTGTATTATTTTATTTAACCCTCACAACAGTTCAGACAACCTCACTTTAATATATTAAAGTCAGATTATAGATCAACTACTTAAAGTCAGATTATAGATCGACTACTTATAAGATAATTTATATTTAGAAGTATTTAACAAGCCTTTGAAAAATTGGTTGAGCAATCGAGGGGTTGCTATATTGTGCTACCATGCTTTCTTTCTAAACTCAGGCACTCATTTTGATATGAGAGCAGGCCAGGGAAGTGCTAGGTACAGAAGGGCCGAATCCCTGGAGAGGGCTCCACCCTTGGGCCTGTGCCCACAGACCTAAGTGAGAACAGACACTTCTCTTTTCACACCCGAATGTTGCGTTTTCCAAGACCACTCTGGCCTGCGACACCCCCCATCCAGTGCCCATGTAAACCTGAGACTTTATCAGGCACACACACAAGCAGTTGAACATCGAGACCAGTAGACCAGCATACCAGAGGCAGCAGAACGAATTGGCAGAGAAAGAGAGAAAAGGAGGGATGTTGGGACATTGAGGGGAGTTTGGCCAGGGGTGGTCGGGGCCTTTGGGCGATTCGACTCCAGGGGGAGACCACCTTCCCACTCCATCCCCCGTTCTGGCTCCCACCCATCTCGCAGAGCTCTACCTCCACCATTCAGCAAAACCTTGCACTCATCCTTCAAGCCTGTGTGTTCCAATTCTTTTGGGACACTGGGCAAGAGATCGGGATACAGAAGCCTGTCACACTGGCCCTCTGCCCTCGCGATAAGGCAGAGGGTCAATTGAGCTGATTAATACACAAGCCGTCAGCAGATGGCAAAACTGAAAGATCTTGGTAACACATGCCCACTTGAGCTGTGGGAGTTGCAGACACCCATCCCTAGACTCTGCTATGGGGCTGCAGCCCAAAAGCATTCGCCCTGGCCTCTGTACCTGCCCATCTGCATGCTTCCCCTAGGGGTTTGAGCTGTGGGGTGACCAAGCAGGCGAGTCACACCCCTGTTGCACATCCTGCAATGGGAATCAGGGAACTCTTCCATTTCAATTTTCCCTGCTGCTGGGGCTGTAAAGCTCCTGAGAGCTCGCTGTTGAGCCCATAAAAAAGAATGAGTTCACATCTTTTGTTGGAACGTAGGTGGAGTTGGAGGCCATTATCCTTAGCAAACTAATGCAGGAATGGAAAAGCAAATACTGCATGTTCTCACTTATAAGTGGGAGCTAAATGATGAGAACTCATGAACACAAAGAAGGGAACAGCAGACACTGGGATCTACTTGAGCGTAGAGGGTGGAAGGAAGGAGAGGAGCAGAAAAATAGCCATCAGGTACTAGGCTTAGCAGCGGTGATTAAATAATCTGCACAACAAACCCCCGTGACACAAGTGTACCCATGTAATAAATCTGCACATATACCCCGAACCTAAAATAAAAGCTTTAAAAATTATAAATAAGTTATAACATCTTATATTTGTAAAAAATACTTAGCCTTACAAAATGCATTTACAAATACTTCATTATTGCATACTCATAACTAACCCTGAAAGATAGAACACATTTTGTTGTTTTTATCTTATAATGAGAAAATGAAAGCTTCCATAGAAGAACCCATGATCACTTTCACAGCTGTCGGAAACCAAGTCCAACATTCTTTCCACTAATTCTTTCATCTTTACTGATACCATAATGATGCAGACATGCTTTTCCACATGTTCTGGTTGATATCTCAGATGTGGAGACGCAAGACAAATAAATTTGAACACTGGTAGTTGTGGCAGAAATAAGCCTTGTGTAATTTGGAGCAAAACAAAGTCACTGAGCCACAGAAGGCATGTTGAGGCAGCAAAGTGCTTGCGAATCTGTTCCTGAGGTGGTGTAAAACTGAAAACAGAGGAGTAAAAAAGGTATAATTCACTGATTTGACATGAATCAAGCTAAACAGCATCAGCAATTTTATTTTGGCAACTTGAAATGTGCCTTGACTTTTGTAAATGTATACCTCTCAAGTGAATGACCCTGGAAATAACTATTTAAGTGAGCTAGAAAAGTCACTTATAACCATAGTAAAATATAAATAATATTGAAATTCCTTGTCAAAAAGCCCTTAGTATTTTAATAAATTAATCTCTATTTGTCACATTTAAAAGCTACTTCTTTGTCTCTCAACAGTTTCATTCATATAATTTTTTATTTATATTGATGTCAGGCAAAATATTGATCATAACAAAGAAAATTTCTACTTACGTTATACAAATGTCTTGGTGTGGCAAACTAGGAAGTAAATACTTTCACTTTTGAAATTTTAGAGACTATTTATAAAGGTGCTTGAAGGCATAACAAATTTTCAAAGGATATTATTTAAAACATTGGTAAGAGAGATTAGAGAAGACACAAACAAAATGGCACCCTGTGGTACTGGACTGTAAAACATTATTGTCAAAATCTCCATAATACCCCAAGTTGTCTAAGATTCTATGCAATCCCTATAAAAATACCAATGGCAGGCTGGGTGCAGTGGCTCACGCCTGTAATCCTAGCATTTCAGGAGGCCAAGGCAGGTGGATCATGAGGTCAGGAGTTCAAGACCAGCCTGGCCAACATAGTGAAACCCCACCTGTATTAAAAAAACAAAAATTAGCCAGGTATGGTGGCATGCACCTGTAGTACCATCTACTCAGGAGGCTGAGGCGGGAGAATCACTTGACCCTGGGAGGCGGAGGTTGCAGTGAGCTGAGACCACGCCATTGCACTCCAGCCTGGGTGACAGAGTGAGACTCCATCTCAAAAAAAGAAAAAAAATACCAATGGCACTTTTAAACAGAAATAAAAAAAATCTTAAACTTCATATGAAAGCACACAAGACCCCAATTAGCCAAAACAATCTCGAAAAAGAACAAAGCTGAAGGCATCATACTTCCTGATTTCAATATATCTTGCAAAGTTACAGTAATTAAAACAGTATGGTGCTGGCATAAAGAGACACATATAGACAAATGGAACAGAATAAAATCCACACCCCTATGGTCAACTGGTCTTTGACAAGGGTGCCAAGAATATACAACAGGGAGAAGATGGCCTTTTCAAGAAATTGTGCTGGGAAAATTGTATATACACGTGCAAAATAATAAAATTGGGCTCTTATACTGTATGCTATATACACATCACACACAAAAGTAAACCCAAAATGGATTAAAGACTTAAATGTCATGACTTGAAACTAAAACTCTTAGAAGAAAATAGGAAAAGCTTCCTGACGGTTTTGGCAATGATTTCATGAATATGACACCAAAAGCACAGGCAACAAAAACAAAAATAGACAAATGTGATTGTGTTATACTAAAATGCTTCTGCACAGTAAGGGAAACAATCAACAGAATAAAAAGGCAACTTACAGGCTCTCTCTTCAAAATAAGTGGTTAAAAAAGGGCAGAGGACTCGAACAGACATTTCTCCAACAAAAAACATAAATGGCCAATAGGTATATAAAAAGATGTCCAATGTGACTAATCAGCAGGGAAATGCAAATGAAAACCACAATGAGGTATCATCTCAAACCTATTAGGGAGGCTATTATCAAAAAGTCAAAAGATAACAAGTGTTGAGGTTGTGGAAAAACTCGAACCCTTGCACACTGTTCATGGGCAACAGTTATGGTGCAATCACTACGGGAAATAGTATGGAAGTTTATCAGAAAACGAATAATAGGACTACCATATAATCCACTGATACCATTTCTGGGTATTTATCTGAAAGAAATGAAATCATGATCTGAAAGAGATATTAGCACTTACATGTTTATTGAGGCACCCTTTACAATAGCCAAAATGTAAAAGCAACAAAAATGTCCATCCAATAAATAGATTTAAAAATATATATATATATATATTCACACACACAGACACAATGCAATGTTATCTAGCCTTTAAAAGAAAGAAATCCTGCAATATGTGACCACAAGGATGAACCTGGAAGACGTTATGCTAAGTAAATTGTCAGTTTCAGAAGACAAATGCTACTTGATTCCACTTACATGAAGTATATTTCTTTAATTATTTGTTTTCTATACATATATATGTCTATGTGTTTGTATGTACAACCATACAAATAATGTACATATAACGATATTGAAAATATTCCCGAGATTTTTGAATCCTGCTTTTCATTTAACATTCTATCATGAGAATTGTCTTATGTCTACATAATCTTTATAACCATGCTTCTTAATGGTAGAACAGTATTCCAATATTGGGTTATAGTCTTTTAAATCCATGATTACCCCTTTGTTGGCCATTTATGGTCCTTCTTTTTCTACTGTTTTGATGAGGGAAGATAGCAAAGCCCAACAGTTAGTAGTACCACATATTGACAGAGCACTTACTTCATGCCAGACACAGATTAAGCACTCTCTCTATATATATATTAACTTTTTAATACTCCAATAATTATATGATAGAAGTACTATTATTATACCTATTTATAGAGGGATAAACTAAGGTACAGTGTTTTCAAGAAAAAGCGAAGTGAACAAACTGTCAAGTACATGGTGAATAGTTTGCATTCTTAGCTACTATAGCTAAATGAATAATTGCTTATGTTCATACAGGACCAGACAGTGCTGTAGGCATTTTGCATCTAATAATTCTATTAATCTTGTTAAAAACAAACACACAAACAAGCCTTAAGTGGTGATGAGGCTCGATTTAGAGGTATACAGCTCTCATTTCAAACTGCAACTAACATCTAGTTGGTTCTGTGGCCTTCCCACATGGCCTTCCTATAGATGCTAATTGCTGCTGCCACATGTAATTTGGTATTATAATATCTGTAAATTGCTTTGCATAATACTTTGGCACATGGTAATCATTCAATAGATGACAGTTGTGGATACAATAATTATTACTACTATCATCTTAAAAATTAGGTTAAAGGTCACCAATACAGTCTTCTAATTTTTTTTAATGATTTTGGTATTTTTGTTTAGCTCTTCAATCCATTTGGAATGTACTTTCATCTATCATGTGGAGTAAATATCTAGCATAATTTTTCACCATGTAGCCAATTTTTAAGCATTATATATTAAATAATCTATATGTTACTTTGCTACTTTCCACTTTCCAACCAGAGTAACTTCTGTGTGCATAGGTATATGTACACCAACACATATAGTAGTCATTCCTTATCTACTGTTTCATTTTCCACAATTTCAGTTACCTGTGGTCAACTGTGGTCCAAAAATATTAAATGGGAAATTCCAGAAATAAACTATTCATAAGATTTAAACTGCTTGCTGGTCTGAGTAACATGATAAAATATTGTGCCATCCCACTCAGGACCTGAATCATTCATTTGTCCAGCAGTATCCATACTGTATACACCACCTGCAGGTTAGTCACTTAGTCATCTCAGTTGTCAGGGTATCACAGTGCTTGTATTCAAATAAACCTTATTTTACTCACTAATGCTGCCAACATGCAAGAGTACTGATGTTGCCATATTGTCCTATTTTATTATTAGTTATTGTTGTTAGTCTCTTACTGTGGATAATTTATTTAAGTTAAACTTTATCCTAAGTATCTATGTTTAAGAAAAAACATAGTACATATAGGGTTTGGATAATCTATGGTTTCAGGCATCTACTGGGAGTCTTGGAAGGGGAATACTCTGTGTGTGTGTGTGTGTGTGTGTGTGTGTGTGTGTGTATGTGTGTGTGTGTGTGTGTGTATACATATGACTGTTGGACTGTTTTCAGGGCTGGATATTGGATATTCTGCTCCATTTATTTGACTATTAATTCTTGTGCCAAGTTATAACCTTCCAATTATTTTATTTTTTAAAACAATTTAATTTTAAATTGATAAATAATAATTTTGCATATTCATAGGGTATACAGTGATGTTGCAATACATATAATATATAGTGATCAGATCAGAGTAGCTGGCATATCCATCATCTCAAACATTTATCATTTTTTGTGTGCTGGGGACATTTGCTATCCTCTTTATAGCTATTTGAAACAATATAATTTATTATTAACTGTAGTCATCCTACAGTGATAAAGAACACTATAATTTTATATTTTGGCTTTTACTGAGGAAACTCTTCACATATTTCTCTTCTTCTTGAAACTATGCTTAGCTATTCTTATGAATTTTTATTCCAAATATCTTTAGAATCATTTTGTAAAGGCCTATAGGCCTTGATAGGACTATGGAAAGGCTAGAAATTTATTTAGAGAAGGTCTGATATATTATAATATTTAGTCTTCCTATGAGGAAGTATACCTGCCACGTATTAAAACAATTTACAACCGTTAGAAAGCTTTTCTTTAATAAAGTCCTACATATGTCTTGATAGATGTATTCCTATATTATTTGTATTTTTGTTACTATTGTGAAGGAAATATTATCCTGCCTGTCATTTATTATAACTAGTTATTATTGGGAAAGAAGGAAATGATCAACTTTTAAACTTTTATCTTGATAGTAGACACTTCACTAAACTTTTAAATAAATTTCAACAGTTTTGTAGTTGACTATTTTGAGTTCTGAGCATGTAATACTAAGTTAAACAGTAATGATGGCTGCAAGCTCCTTCTTTTATAAGCGATATTAATAGGACTGGCTCCAGTATTCTACTAGTAGGCATGATGCAGCTGCTGCATTTAAATTGATATTCTTAGCTTTCTAAGCACTTTAATTAGGTGTCAAATGCTATAGAACATCTTTTGTCTTCTTATCATCATATGATTTTTTTGGTGGATATATTTTCAGTAGCAACATAACGAATAGGAGGCAGGGCTTAATATCCTAGCTTTCATTCTCATTAGCTACATTTTCCCCCATTCTTTGATATAAACAATTGAGATATTCCGAATCTTTGGTAAAAAATTTAGATCTCTATCTCACTTTTGTTTTTTCATAATGTCAAGCTCTATATTTCCTATGTAGTTTCTTTCTGTAGCCACTTTTGAACCAAGTAATATATTTATAATCTATATTTTAATATTTCTTTTAATTCATAAAAAAATCCGTTTTCAAAGTTGGAATAAGAACTTAAAAGGTACATTCGAAACAAACTATCCTCTTTTAAGTCATGATAAAATGGATGTAAACAAATACTATCCTGGAAAAATGGGACATAAAATCACTTAATCTAGAAAGATCCATAAGTGCCATTGAGCCTTGTTTTTTCTTATGACTCATTAAATTTATACTGATTTTAGGGGAAAAACCCATTGGAACTAGAAAATTAGTCTTGAATGCTTACTTAAGGAGTATATTATTGAATACGTCTTGAGAGGCTGGCTTGGAATAGAGTTGATTAATAAGGCCCAGTAGCTCATAGCAAAGAATTTATTCTTTATGCTGAGAATAAAGGTTAGCATAATTAGATTAAAATTTTTTTTTAATGTTTATGGGTATACAGTTGGTGTATATACTTATAGGATATATGAGATATTTTGACACAGGCATATAATACATGATAATTACCTCAGGATAAATGTGATATCCATCACATCACAAACTTATTTCTTTATGCTGGAAGCATATAAATTATATTCTTTTAGATTTTTTAACATGTAAAAAATTATTATTAACTGTAATCACCCTGTTACAGTATCAAATATTAAATGTTATTCCTTCTATTTAATTACATTTTTGTACCCATTAACTATCTCACTTTTCCCTATCCCCCACTCACTACCCTTCTCAGACTCTGGTAACCATCATTCTACTCTCTATCTCCATGAAATCAATTGCTATAATTTTTAGCTCACACAAATAAATGAGAACATGTAAAATTTATCTTTATGTGCCTGGCTTATTTCACTCAACATGATGTCCTCCAATTCCATTCGTGTTGTTGCAAATGATTAAATCTCATTCTTTTTTATGGCTAAATAGTACTCCACTGGGTATATATACATTTTCTTTATCCGTTTGTCTGTCGATGGACACTTAACGTTGCTTCCAAATTTTGGCTATTGTGAATAGTGCTACAATAAACAAGGGAGTACAGATATCTTTTCAATATACTGATTTCCTTTCTTAGAGGTGTGCAGCTGGCAGTGGACTGGATCATAAGATAGTTCAATTTTTAGTTTTTTTAAGGAAACTCCATACTGTACTCTATTATGACTGTACTAATTTACATCCCCAGCAACAGTGTACACGGTTGCCTTTTCTCCACATCATGACCAGCATTTGGTATTACCTATCTTGTGGCTAAAAGCTATTTTAACAGGTGTGAGATGATATCTCATTGTAGTTTAGACTTGCATGTGTCTGATGATCAAGGATGTTGAGAACCTTTTAATATACCTGTTTGCCATTTGTATGTCTTTTTTTTTCAGAAATGCCCATTCAGATCTTTTGTCCATTTTTAATCAGATTATTAGATTTTTTTCCTATAGAGTTTTTGAGCTCCTTTTATATCATTATTAGATGACTTGCAAATATTTTCTCCCATTTTGTGGGTTGTCTCTCCACTTTGCTCACTGCTTGTTTTGCTGTGCAGAGACTTTCTAACTTGATGTGATCCCATTTGTCCATTTTTGCTTTGGTTGCCTGTGGTCTTGGGGTATTACTGAAGAAATATTTGCCCAGACATGTTTCCTGGAGAGCTTCCTCAATATTTTATTTTAGAAGTTTCATAGTTTCAGGTCTCAGACTTAAGTATTTAATCCATTTTAATTTGATTTTTGTCTATGGTGAGAGAGAGATAGGGATATAGTTTCAATCTTCTGCTTATGGATATCCATTTTCCTCAGCATCATTTAGTGAAGAGACTGTCCTTTCCCCAGTGTATGTTCTTTGCACCTTTGTCAAAAATGAGTTTGCTGTAGATGTATGGATGTATTTCTGGGTTCTCTATTCTGTTTCATTGGTCTATGTGTCTGCTTTTATGACAGCATCATGCTGTTTTGTTATTTGGGTTATAATAGCTCTGCAGTATAATTTGAAGTCTGGTAATGTGATTCCTCCAGTTTTGCTCTTTTTGATTAGGATGGCTTTGGCTATTCTGGGTCTTTTCTGGGTCCATATCAATTTTAAGAGATTTTTTTTCTATTTCTATTTCTATAAAGAATGTCATTGGTATTTTGATGAGAATTGCACTGAATCTGTAGATTTCTTTGGGTAGTATGGATATTTAATGATATTAATTCTTCCAATCCATGGATATAAAATATCTATCAACTTTTTGTGTCCTCTTCAATTTCTTGCATCAATGTTTAACAGTTTTCATTATAAAGGTCTTTCACTTCTTTTGTTAAGTTTATTTCTAGGTATTTTATTTGTTGCTGTTGTAAATGGGACTACTTTCTTGATTTCTTTTTTCAGATTGTGATTGTTGGCATATAGAAATCCTACTGATTTTTGTATGTTGATTTTGTGTTCTGCAAATTTACTGAATTTGTTTAACAATTTTAGTAAGTTTTGGAGGAGTCTTTAGGTTTTCCCAAACATAAGATCATACCTTTTCCACACAGGGACAATTTGACTTCTTCCTTTCCAATTTTTATGCTTGCTTTCTTTCTTTTCTTTCTTTCTTTCTTTCTTTCTTTCTTTCTTTCTTTCTTTCTTTCTTTCTTCTTTCTTTTTTCTTTCTTTCTTTCTTTTGTCTGATTGCTCTTGTTAGGACTTCCAGTACTATGTTGAATAACAATAGTGAAAGTGGGCATCCTTGTCTTCTTCCAGATTTTAGATGAAAGGCTTTCAGTTTTCCCCCAGTATGATACTAGCTGTGTTGTATATGGTTATTGTATTTAGGTATGCTTCTTCTATACTCCGTTTTTTGAGTATTTTCTCATGAAGGAATGTTAAATTTTATCAAACCCAGAAATACACCCAATAATTTTCAGCAGCAATCAAAATAATTATATAGTTTTTGTCCTTCCTTCTGTTAATATGATGTGTCATGTTGGTTTGCATATGTTAAATCATCCTTGCATCCCTAGGATAGATCTCACTTGATCATGATGGATGATCTTTTTAATGGATTGTTGAATTCAGTTTGCCAGTATTTTGTTGAGGATTTTTGCATCAATGTTTAGCAGGGATATTGGTCTGTAGTTTTCTTTTCTGAATGTGTCTCTGTCTAGTTTTGGTATCAGGGTAATTCCAGCCTTATAAATTGTGTTTGGAAGTATTCTCTGATCCTCTATTTTTGGAAATGTTTGAGTATTATTAGTTCTTCTTTAAATGCTTGATAAAATTCATCAGTGAAGCCATTGGGTCCTGGGCTTTCCTTTGCTGGAAGAATTTTTTTTTATTACTTCTTTAATCTTATTACTTGTTATTGCTCTATTCATGTTTTGGATTTCTTCATAGTTCGATCTTGGTAAGTTGGATGTGTCTAGGGGTTTATTTATTTCTTCTAGGTTTTCCAATTTATTGACATATCATTGCTCTTAGTAGTGTCTACTGACTCTTTGAATTTTGATGGTATCAATTGTAATGTCTCCCTTTTGATTTATCGTTTTGTTTATTTGGATCTTCTCTTATTTTTAGCCCATTAGTCTGATGAAATAATTGTGGGTTTTGTTTCTCTCCAAGAAGGCAAATTTTTGTTTTGTTGACTTTTTGTATTTTTTTGTTTCAGTTCCACTTATTTCTGTTCTCATCTTTATTATTTCTTTTCTTCTACTAATTTTGGGTCTGCTTTGCTCTCGTTTTTCTGATTCTTTCAGATACATCATTAGGTTGTTTATTTTACATTTTCCTACTTTTTTGATGTAGGTGCTGATTGCTATACACGTTCCTCTTAGCATGGCTTTTGCCATATCTCATAAGTTTTGGTATGTTATATTTCCATTTTTGTTTTCATTTATTTCAAGAAATGTTTAAATTGATTTGAAAAGTGTTATTGGCTTCTAGTTTTATTCCAATGTGGTCAGAAAGGATACTTAATATGATTTCAATTTTCTTGAAATTTTTAAGCCTTTTATTGTGGCTCAACGTTTGGTCTATCCCTGAGAATGATTCCTGTGCTGAGGAGAGTAATGTGTATTCTGCAGCTGTTGGATGAAACATTTTGTAAATGTCTGTTAGGCACCTTTGGTCTATAGTGCAAATTGAGTCCAATGATTTTTTATAGGTTACCTGAGGCAAGATCATAAAGGCTCTTGAATGCTTTCTGTGGGTCTTATTCTAAAGGCATTAGGTATCATGAAAGTTTTTAAGAGGAGTGTGATATAATTGGGTTTTCACTTTGGAAAGATTACCCTTACTTAGTGGAGAAAATAAATCAGGGATAGAGATGACTTCAAGACCAGAGACGGAATAAACCTTTCAGAGTCTATAGCAATCATTTCTGCTAGAAATGTCGGTAGCCTGAACTAAGGTAGTAGATGTAAAACTAGACAGAAGTGGATTGAATGGAGAGTTATTAGGGAAATTACATCAATAACAATTATTGACATGAGAAGGGAGAGTTGGGAATTACACAAGAGAAGAATAGGCTTAGAAGCAAGATGTTATACCAACTGTGAACAGATTGAGTTTGAGTTAACTCTAGGGCATCCATGTGGTGATGTTCAAGATAAAGTTATGTATATGAGTCTGGAACTCAGGAAAGGAGTCTGGATTAAAGAGATAAATTCATGAGTCTAGCATTTAGTTGGTAACTGATGCCTGGATATAAATATGGATGAGCTTGCCCAGGGAGTTAGTGATTATCACAAAACTCTGTGGAACACCAAAAGGTAAAGCATGGTCAAGAAACAAACATGTATTTTCAAAGAATATTGAAAATAGTTATAAGTAGGAGGAAAACCAGAAGAGTGTGATTTCAGGGAATCCAAATAAAGAACAGAGGAGAGGTTGAGAGTCACATGGTGCACACTGGTAAAATAAGGTAAATACTGGAAATTAAAACAAGGAGGTAATTGGTGACTTTGGAATGTATTCATTCCTCTAAGTGCTAAATGACACTGAGAGTGTCAGTCAGTAGCATCAAGATTCCAGTAGAATAAGAAATGTTCAAGAAGTAAGAAAATGACATGGTTCCTGTTTGCAAAAGGGCAATTATCCTGTGTAGGTGGATGCTATGAATTAGCATAAGACAAAACTCACAAGATCTAGAGGAAGAGCACATTGGTCAGGCAAGGGTGCCAATAGCATTCACCTTGGTTATGAAAGGCAAAAGAGGAATACATCAGTAGTTTAAGAGAGATCTGGGCTAATTTTTGTTTGTTTGCTATTGTTGTCACTTTTGTTGATAATAGTGGTGTGGGGGTGTGTGTGTGTGTAAAGAGTAATTCTTCAGTAATTATTCTAGACCCTAGATGTATATTATAATCACTTGAGGAGCTTTTTAAACAATCTCAGATATTCTATTTAAACTGTCCTGGATATGGCTGAACATGTGGTGATTTGGGTGTATAACCAAATGTTAACAATTACTGCTCTGAGCATATGTAAACACTGATGGGAAACAGCCAGAATACGGGGGGCAGGGAAGTGTTGCAGATAATTGAGAGAGGTAATTAATTGATAGCTATCCCTGGGAGTGAACTGAAATCCACATTACAAGTGGGGAGATTGTACATACACAAGAAGAGGTAAGGCAAGGAACAATGGAGAGCAGAAAGGACAGATGACTATTCTGGTAACTGAAAGTTTGGTATCGAAAGATACACTGAATTCCTTTCTTATGTGATCCGTTTTCTCTATGAAGTAGGAAGGGTAAGTTATGAGGTAGAGATTTTGAAAAGAATCCTTAAAAAATAAAAAACAAAACCCCCAAACAAACAGATGAATAAATTTAAGGGTGATAAGTGACAACTTATGTTTGCTTTGAGACCATCCACTTTCTTCTACAAAAACACTTGTTCAAAGATGACTGACAGGAGAATGGCTGTGAAAAAAGTGACCATAAATAACATAAGACCTCCAACTTCAAAGCATTAACCCATATAAGAACCTTTCTGAACAAATTTTCTGAACTAGAAAGCCACAGCCATTTTTTCTCTGAATTTTATTAGAATTGATAGTTGTCTATAACTCCCATAGATATGTAAGAAACAAAACATTTTTCACATTGCACTATAATAATTTGGGAACAAATTTATAATGAATTATCTCTTCAGCAGTTAAAGAAAGAAAAGTGAATTAAGTTAAGGCACAAAAGTGAATTACACAGAATGGAGCTTCTGAAATGGTAAAATAAGGCGGTTGGCTGACCCTCTAATCAGCAAAACAATTTAACTGGTGAAAATTACAAAATATGATTATTTAAAGTCTCTGAAAGTCATTCGAAGGACATATAGCAAATGGAAAAATATTCATTCAAGAAAACTTATTAACCCTTGGTAAGAATAGCAAGATTTTATGGAACTTGAGCCATGACCCACTCCTTTATAACCTTCCCCCAGCTCTTTGTTAGCTCTACTTCAATGAGGTACTCCAGCTGTGGCCAAGAAGATGGGGGCTCTTCTCTCCCAGATCCTAGTCTTGGATTATGGTTTCACCCTAGGAGGAGGAGTCTTCCAAATGTTTTTCACCCCTGCAGCTCTGTGTTGCAGAAACCCTATATCAAGTCAGCATGATGAAAAAGATCCCACCTCCCTCCAACGCAGCCCCTATTTATAGGGTGAAAGCTCTACCCCAGGCATGACAGGCCAAAAATACTGGGGTCCCAATTATCCCAATTTACTCATGGGGTAGGGGTTCCATGCCAGGACAGTCAATCCAGGAAGACTAGGGACACCACCCCCAATACCTTCTTGTAGAGAAGGGCTCTCACTTTGGGAATAGTGGGTCTTTCCCCCAGCTCTGGTACATAGGAGTTCTGCCCAGAGGAAAGGCAGGTGTAAGTACAGATGAAGAAGTTTCGTAACTCTGCCTGAGAAGAATGATTTTATTAGGAACAGAGCTCAGAGAACTTAATACCTAAAAGTGTTGTCAAAAGCAATAAAGAGGTTGGTGAAGAGCAGTTAAGAGGAGGTTGAGGAGGTTAGCAGCACCATGATAAGAGCAAAATGGCTCAGCAGCCAGAAGTTTAATAGAATCAGAGAAAGATACAGCCCCCTACTATCACTACTATATTAGTCTGCCATTACAAAATACACAGACTGGGCAGCTTAAACAACGAAAACTATTTTCTCACAGTTTAGGAAGCTAAAAGTCCAAGATCAAGGTGTTGGTGGGATTAGTTCCTTATTAGGGTTGAGTTTCAGATAGATAACTTTTTGCTGTGTCTTCAAAGGATCATCCCTTTGTCTGTGTTGTCTGCTTACTAATTTCCTGTTCTTATAAAGGCACCAGTCATATTGTATTAAGGCCAACCCTAATGATCTCATTTAAACTTAATTACCTCTTTAAAGGTCATATCTACAAATATAGTCACATTCTGAGGTACTTGGGATTAGGACCTCAAATATTAATTTGTCGGGGACATAATTGCCCATGACAGCTGCTAACCTTGGGGATTTGAGAGGCTATGTACTATGTCCCGGGCTTCACCCACTGGGGAGAAATTACAGCATGATGTGGGGCAGCCAAGATAGCATTTCCAAAGCCACATGTAGATCCGTCCACAAAGGGGAAAAACTTCACTGACAAAAGGGGTTAAACACAACCTCTGACAAAACACTGAATAACAATAAGATACTCAAATGCAGGGACAACTCCTAAGAAGCCAGGCCTAAAATTAAAATTTCTTGCATCCCTGAGAGTCTGGAAGACTGTTTGCATGTCCGAGACTGTTTCCTCTCTGGAGCAATCAGAGAGGGGACATCCAAACTAATAGTCCCTGGATGACATTGGGCAAACAAAGTAAACTCAACTGCAATAGCAGCCTCAAAGGAACACACATATCCAATGTTAAAAGGGTAAAAATACAATTAGGTAATGGGGCCTAAACACAACCTTTAACCTAGAAATAACTCTTAGATACCCAAGATAAAGGATAAAACAAGGGGGAAAATATCTGAGTAGGGACAACAGAGACTCCACATGACAGAGAAAATAGACTTTGCAGAAGGAGTTCAAGAGTTCAGCGCAGTCACTAAGCAAATAAACAAATGACCAAACCATCAACAACAGTATCCTTCCCCTTTACTGAAGAGAGACATTGTATTCAGAGTTGCTAAATTTTATCTAAATACCCAGTCTTAAACAAAAAATTAAAACACATATGGAAATAGAAAAATGTGATCCATATACAATTCAACAATAATAGTTGAAGACTTCATTATCTTCTTTTACTTAAAAATAAAACTAGGCATAAATCAACAAGCAAACAGAAGACACGAACATTATAAACCAACTAGACCTAACAGACATCTATAGAATACTTCATCCAACAGCAGCAAAGTAGACATTCTTCTCACATTCTCCAGGATAGATCATATGCGAGGCTGTAAAAGAACCCTCAACAAATATAAAAGGATTAAAATTATACAAAATTTGTTCTCAGAGCATGGTAACAATTAAAATAGACAAAAATAACAGAATAAAATTCAGAAAATCTATAAATATGTGAGAATTAAACAAGACATTCTAAACAACTAAAGGGTCAAGAAAAAATCACAGTGGAAGTCCCTTCAGAAGAATAAAAACACAATCCATAAAAACCTATGGGATGCAGACAATCACTGCTTAGAAAGAAATTTGTATTTGGAAATGTCTATATCAAAAAAGAGGGCAAATCTCAAATCAATAAGCCAATCTTTTACCATAAGAAATTAGAAAAAGAAGAGCAAACCAAACCCAATGCAGATAAACAGAAAGAAGATAATAAAAATTAGAGCAGAGATAAGTAAAAATATAAAATAGAAAAACAATAGAAAAAAATAACAAAATTAAAAGTGTTTTGGGAAAACTTCAAAACTGATAAGCTTTTTGCATAACAGACCAAGAAAATTAGAAAAAAATACTTATGATGTAAAATGTGTTATAGGAAAATACTGTTAACAATTATATGCCAGCAAATTTGATAACCCAGATGAAATTGAGACATTACTAGAAAGACACAAACACTAAACTGACTCAAAAAGAATAGAAATCTGATAAAATAAGAAATACAAAACGTGATATTTAGTTAGTAATTTTAAACAAATTTTCTCTTCCCAACACACACACACAAAACCCAGGACCAGAGAGATTTAATAGTGAATTCTATCAGACATTTACAGAAGAGTTAATATCAATTACTCACAAACTATTAAAAAACAAGAAGAGAGAACACTGTTTGACTCATTCCACAAGGCCATTAGTACCCTCAGGCCAAAGTTCAACAAAGAATATTATGGACTGATATTCTTATAAACATAGAAGCAAAAATCTGCAACAAAACATAAGCAAATTGAATCTAGCAACATATAAAAATGATTTACACAATGACAAAGGAGATTTATCCCCAGAATTCAAAGTTGGTTTAAAATCTGAAAATTAATTAGTGTGATCCATCATATTAATAAAAGAAAAATGTTTCATGATGATCTCAATAGATTTGGAAAAGTACAGTCAGTCCTCATTAACATAATTGATAAGTTCTTGGAAGCTGTAAGTTTAAGTGAAATGACATATAACAAAATCAATTTTACCATAGGCCAATTGATGTACACAAGATTTAAGTTCTTACATCATATTTTTGGTAAAAAAAATCATCACCAAACTTCTAAATAAAGACCCAAAACACTTCTAATGTTAAACATTGAAATAGGAGGGGGGTCAAGATGGCCGATAAGAAGCAGCTGCAGTCCACGGTACTCATGAAGAGGAAAGAAATGGGCAAGAGAATACAGTACCTTCAACTGAAATATCGAGGTTCTCGCATTGGGACTGATTAGCCAAACAACTTGACCCATGACCTATGAAGAAGGAAGAAAAGCAGGGTGGGTCTGTGGCACACCCAGGAGCAACACAGAGCCAAGGCAACTGGCACCCCCAGCCAAGGGAAATGGTGAGTGATTGTGCAACCCCACCTGGGAAACCACACTCCTTCCACGAATCTTTGCAACCCATGGATCAGGAGATCCCCTCATGATCCTGTGCCACCAGGGCCTTGGGTCTTAACACACAGAGCTGTGTGGAGTCTCGGCAGAGCAGCTGACCAGGCACACACAGAGACACAGGAGCTTTACACACTCCATCCCCAGGATCCCCAACAATGGTGTCTGCAACTCAGGCAAGGAAGGAGGTCCGTGCATACCCCTAGGAAGGGGGCTGAATTCAGGGAGCCAAGCAACATCATTCTGTGGTTCCCACTTCCGTAGCACCTCACAAGATAAGACTCACTCACTGGCTTGAAATTCTAGCCAGCCAATGGCAACAGGGTGGAATTTGCCTAAGGCTGGTAGGAGCTCCCAAGGGGAGGTGTGGCCATCATCTCTGTGGTTTGGTCCATTCAGCCATTCCAGCGTGCAGGCTTTGAAGAGTCCAAATGGCCCAGATGAGGAAGGGTCTCCCCCAACACAGCACAGTTGCTTTTCCATATCGTGGCCAGACTGCTTCTTTAAGTGAGACACTGATTCACTCCTCATCACTGGACAAGACCTCCCAGCCAGGGCTTCAGCCATTCCAGCCAGTTTTCCATGAACAGAGCTCTAATTTCCCCCTGGGAAAAAGTGCCTGGGGGTGGGGCAGGCCACCACTTTGGCTGTTCAGGTTTCCCAGTCAGTTCAGCCTGTGGGCCCATAGAAATACAAACCACCACCAGAGAATATTATAAACTACCTCTATGCACATAAACTAGAAAATCTAGAAGAAATACACAAATTCCTGGACACATACAGCATCCCAAGACTGAACTAGGAGAAGCTGAAGTCTTGAATAGACCAATAATGAGTTCTAAAATTGAGGCAGTAATAAATAGAATACCAACCAAAAAAAAAAAAAAAAAAAAAAAAAAAAAGCCCAGGACCAGATGGATTCACAAGCTGATTTCTGCCAGAGTTACAAAGAAGAGCTGGTATCATTTCTACTGAAATTATTTCAAAAAATTGAAAATTGAATGATGCTGGCCTCATTCTATACCAAAACCTGGCAGAGATACAACAAAAAAACAAAACTTCAGGCCAATATCCTTGATAAGCATCAATGCAAAAATCTTCAGTAAAATATTGGCAAACTGAATCCAGCAGCACATCAAACTGCTTATGCATCACCATCAAGTAGGTATCATCCCCAGGATGCAAGGTTGTTTCAAAATACACAAATCAATAAATATGATTCATCACATAATCAGAACTAAAGACAAAAACACATGATTATCTCAATAGATGCAGAAAAGGCCTTTGATAAAATTCAACATCCCTTCATGTTAAAAACTCTTAATAAACTAGGTATTAAAGGAACATACCTCAAATAATAAGAGTCATATATGACAAACCCACAGCCAATATTATACTGAATGGGAAAAAGCTAGAAGCTTCCCCCTTGAAAACCAGCACAAGAGAAGGATACCCTGTCTCACCACTCCTATTCAACACAGTATTGGAAGTTCTGGCCAGGGCAATCAGGCAAGAGAAACAAATAAATAGTTTTCAGATAAGAAGAGAGGAAGTCAAACTCTTTGTTTCAGTGACATAATATTATATCTAGAATATTCCATCATCCCAACCCAAAAGCTACTTAAGCTGATAAGCAACTTCAGTAAAGTCTCAGGATAAAAAATCAAAGTGGGAAAATGATCTGAAGATGGAGGAATAGGAACAGCTCTGGTCTACAGCTCCCAGCGTGAGCGACGCAGAAGACGGGTGATTTCCGCATTTCCATCTGAGGTACCGGGTTCATCTCACTAGGGAGTGCCAGACAGTGGGCGCAGGTCAGTGGGTGCACGCACAGTGCATGAGCTGAAAGAGGGCGAGGCATTGCCTCACTCGGGAAGTGCAAGGAGTCAGGGAGTTCCCTCTCCTAGTCAAAGAAAGTGGTGACAAATGGCACCTGGAAAATTGGGTCACTCCCTCCCCAATACTGCGCTTTTCCCACAGGCTTAAAAAAACGGCGCACCAGGAGATTATATCCTGCACCTGGCTCAGAGGGTCCTACGCCCACGGAGTCTCGCTGATTGCTAGCACAGCAGTCTGAGATCAAACTGCAAGGCGGCAGCGAGGCTGGGGGAGGGGCGCCCGCCATTGCCCAGGCTTGCTTAGGTAAACAAAGCAGCCTGGAAGCTCAAACTGGGTGGAGCCCACCACAGCTCAAAGAGGCCTGCCTGCCTCTGTAGGCTCCACCTCTGGGGGCAGGGCACAGACAAACAAAAAGACAGCAGCAACCTCTGCAGTCTTAAATGTCCCTGTCTGACAGATTTGAAGAGAGCAGTGGTTCTCCCAGCAGGCAGCTGGAGATCTGAGAACAGGCAGACTGCCTCCTCAAGTGGGTCCCTGACCCCTGACCCCCGAGCAGCCTAACTGGGAGGCAACCCCCAGCAGGGGCAGATTGACATCTCACACGGCCGGGTACTCCAACAGACCTGCAGCTGAGGGTCCTGTCTGTTAGAAGGAAAACTAACAGACAGAAAGGACATCCACAACAAAAACCAATCTGTACATCACCATCATCAAAGACCAAAAGTAGATAAAACCACAAAGATGGGGAAAAAACAGCAGAAAAACTGGAAACTCTAAAAAGCAGAGCGCCTCTCCTCCTCCAAAGGAACACAGTTCCTCACCAGCAATGGAACAAAGCTGGATGGAGAATGACTTTGACAAGCTGAGAGAAGAAGGCTTCAGACAATCAAATTACCCCGAGCTATGGGAGGACATTCAAACCAAAGGCAAAGAAGTTGAAAACTTTGAAAAAAGTTTAGAAGAATGTATAACTAGAATAACCAATACAGAGAAGTGCTTAAAGGAGCCGATGGAGCTGAAAACCAAGGCTCAAGAACTACGTGAAGAATGCAGAAGCCTCAGGAGCTGATGCAATCAACTGGAAGAAAGGGTATCAGCAATGGAAGATGAAATGAATGAAATGAAGCAAGAAGGGAAGTTTAGAGAAAAAAGAATAAAAAGAAACGAACAAAGCCTCCAAGAAATATGGGAGTATGTGAAAAGACCAAATCTACGACGGATTGGTGTACCTGAAAGTGAAGGGGAGAATGGAACCAAGTTGGAAAACACTCTGCAGGATATTATCCAGGAGAACTTCCCCAATCTAGCAAGGCAGGCCAACATTCAGATTCAGGAAATACAGAGAACGCCACAAAGATACTCCTTGAGAAGAGCAACACCAAGACACATAATTGTCAGATTCACCAAAGTTGAAATGAAGGAAAAAATGTTAAGGGCAGCCAGAGAGAAAGGTCAGGTTACCCTCAAAGGGAAGCCCATCAGACTAACAGCGGATCTCTCGGCAGAAACTCTATAAGCCAGAAGAGAGTGGGGGCCAATATTCAACATTCTTAAAGAAAAGAATTTTCAACCCAGAATTTCATATCCAGCCAAACTAAGCTTCATAAGTGAAGGAGAAATAAAACACTTTACAGACAAGCAAATGTTGAGAGATTTTGTCACCACCAGGCCTGCCCTAAAAGAGCTCCTGAAGGAAGCACTAAACATGGAAAGGAACAACCAGTAACAGCCGCTGCAAAATCATGCCAAAATGTAAAGACCATCAAGACTAGGAAGAAACTGCATCAACTAACGAGCAAAATAACCATCTAACATCATAATGACAGGATCAAATTCACACATAACAATATTAACTTTAAATGTAAATGGACAAAATGCTCCAATTAAAAGACACAGACTGGCAAATTGGATAAAGACTCAAGACCCATCAGTGTGCTGTATTCAGGAAACCCAACTCACGTGCACAGACACACATAGGCTCAAAATAAAAGGATGGAGGAAGATATACCAAGCAAATGGAAAACAAAAAAAGGCAGGGGTTGCAATCCTAGTCTCTGATAAAAGAGACTTTAAACCAACAAAGATCAAAAGAGACAAAGAAGGCCATTACATAATGGTAAAGGGATCAATTCAACAAGAAGAGCTAACTATCCTAAATATATATGCACCCAATACAGGAGCACGCACATTCATAAAGCAAGTCCTGAGTGACCTACAAAGAGACTTAGACTCCCACACATTAATAATGGGAGACTTTAACACCCCACTGTCAACATTAGACAGATCAACGAGACAGAAAGTCAACAAGGATACCCAGGAATTGAACTCAGCTCTGCACCAATTGGACCTAATAGACATCTACAGAATTTTCCACCCCAAATCAATAGAATATACATTCTTTTCAGCACCACACCACACCTATTCCAAAATTGACCACATACTTGGAAGTAAAGCTCTCCTCAGCAAATGTAAAAGAACAGAAATTATAACAAACTATCTCTCAGACCACAGTGCAATCAAACTAGAACTCAGGATTAAGAATGTCACTCAAAACCGCTCAACTACATGGAAACTGAACAACCTGCTCCTGAATGACTACTGGGTACATAACGAAATGAAGGCAGAAATAAAGATGTTCTTTGAAACCAACGAGAACAAAGACACAACCTACCAGAAACTCTGGGACACATTCAAAGCAGTGTGTAGAGGGAAATTTATAGCACTAAATGCCCACAAGAGAAAGCAGAAAAGATCTAAAATTGACACCCTAACATCACAATAAAAAGAACTAGAAAAACAAGAGCAAACACATTCAAAAGCTAGCAGAAGGCAAGAAATAACTAAAATCAGAGCAGAACTGAAGGAAATAGAGACACAAAAAACCCTTCAAAAAATTAACGAATCCAGGAGCTGGTTTTTTGAAAGGATCAACAAAATTGATAGACTGCTAGCAAGACTAATAAAGAAGAAAAGAGATAAGAATCAAATAGATGTAATAAAAAATGATAAAGGGGATATCACCACCAATCCCACAGAAATACAAACTACCATCAGAGAATACTACAAACAGCTCTACACAAATAAACTAGAAAATCTAGAAGAAATGGATAAATTCCTCAACACATACACTCTCCCAGGACTAAACCAGGAAGAAGTTGAATCTCTGAATAGACCAATAACAGGAGCAGAAATTGTGGCAATAATCAATAGCTTACCAAAGAAAAAGAGTCCAGGACCAGATGGATTCACAGCCGAATTCTACCAGAGGTACAAGGAGGAACTGGTACCATTCCTTCTGAAACTATTCCAATCAATAGAAAAAGAAGGAATCCTCCCTAACTCATTTTATGAGGCCAGCATCATCCTGATACCAAAGCCTGGCAGAGACACAACCAAAAAAGAGAATTTTAGACCAATATCCTTGATGAACATTGACGCAAAAATCCTCAATAAAATACTGGCAAGCCGAATCCAGCAGCACATCAAAAAGCTTATCCACCATGATCAAGTGGGCTTCATCCCTGGGATGCAAGGCTGGTTCAATATACACAAATCAATAAATGTAATCCAGCATATAAACAGAACCAAGGACCACATGATTATCTCAATAGATGCAGAAAAGGCCTTTGACAAAATTCAACAGCCCTTCATGCTAAAAACTCTCAATAAATTAGGTATTGATGGGACGTATCTCAAAATAATAAGAGCTATCTATGACAAACCCACAGCCAATATCATACTGAATGGGCAAAAACTGGAAGCATTCCCTTTGAAAACTGGCACAAGACAGGGATGCCCTCTCTCACCACTCCTATTCAAAATAGTGTTGGAAGTTCTGGCCAGGGCAATTAGGCAGGACAAGGAAATCAAGGGTATTCAATTAGGAAAAGAGGAAGTCAAATTGTCCCTGTTTGCAGACGACATGATTGTATATCTAGAAAACCCCATCGTCTCAGCCCAAAATCTCCTTAAGCTGATAAGCAACTTCAGCAAAGTCTCAGGATACAAAATCAATGTACAAAAATCACAAGCATTCTTATACACCAACAACAGACAAACAGAGAACCAAATCATGAGTGAACTCCCATTCACAATTGCTTCAAAGAGAATAAAATACCCAGGAATCCAACTTACAAGGGATGTGAAGGACCTCTTCAAGGAGAACTATAAAACACTGCTCAACGAAATAAAAGAGGATACAAACAAATGGAAGAACATTCCATGCTCATGGGTAGGAAGAATCAATATTGTGAAAATGGCCATACTGCCCAAGGTAATTTACAGATTCAATGTCATCCCCATCAAGCTACCAATGACTTTCCTCACAGAATTGGAAAAAACTACTTTAAAGTTCATATGGAACCAAAAAAGAGTCCACATCGCCAAGTCAATCCTGAGCCAAAAGAACAAAGCTGGAGGCATCACACTACCTGACTTCAAACTATACTACAAGGCTACAGTAACCAAAACAGCATGGTACTGGTACCAAAACAGATATATAGATCAACAGAACAGAACAGAGCCCTCAGAAATAATGCCGCATGTCTACAACTATCTGATCTTTGACAAACCTGAGAAAAACAAGCAATGGGGAAAGGATTCCCTATTTAATAAATGGTGCTGGGAAAACTGGCTAGCCATATGTAGAAAGCTGAAACTGGATCCCTTCCTTACACCTTATACAAAAATCAATTCAAGATGGATTAAAGACTTAAACGTTAGACCTAAAACCATAAAAACCCTAGAAGAAAACCTAGGCAACACCATTCAGGACATAGGCATGGGCAAGGACTTCATGTCCAAAACACCAAAAGCAATGGCAACAAAAGCCAAAATTGACAAATGGGATCTAATTAAACTCAAGAGCTTCTGCAAAGCAAAAGAAACTACCATCAGAGTGAACAGGCAACCTACAAAATGGGCGAAAATTTTTGCAACCTACTCATCTGACAAAGGGCTAATATCCAGAATCTACAATGAACTCCAACAAATTTACAAGAAAAAAATAAACAACCCCATCAAAAAGTGGGCAAAGGACATGAACAGACACTTCCCAAAAGAAGACATTTATGCAGCCAAAAAACACATGAAAAAATGCTCACCATCACTGGCCATCAGAGAAATGCAAATCAAAACCACAATGAGATACCATTTCACACCAGTTAGAATGGCAAGCATTAAAAAGTCAGGAAACAGCAGGTGCTGGAGAGGATTTGGAGAAATAGGAACACTTTTACACTGTTGGTGGGACTGTAAACTAGTTCAACCATTGTGGAAGTCAGTGTGGCGATTCCTCAGGGATCTAGAACTAGAAATACCATTTGACCAAGCCATCCCATTACTGGGTATATACCCAAAGGACTATAAATCATGGTGCTATAAAGACACATGCACACGTATGTTTATTGTGGCATTATTCACAATAGCAAAGACTTGGAACCAACCCAAATGTCCAACAATGATAGACTGGATTAAGAAAATGTGGCACATATACACCATGGAATACTATGCAGCCATTAAAAATAATGAGTTCATGTCCTTTGTAGGGACATGGATGAAATTGGAAATCATCATTCTCAGTCAACTATCACAAGAACAAAAAAACCAAACACTGCATATTCTCACTCATAGGTGGGAATTGAACAATGGGAACACATGGACACAGGAAGGGGAATATCACACTCTGGGGACTGTTGTGGGGTGGGGGAAAGGGGGAGGGATAGCATTGGGAGATATGCCTAATGCTAGATGACGAGTTAGTGGGTGCAGCGCACCAGCATGTCACATGTATACATTTGTAACTAACCTGCACATTGTGCACATGTACCCTATAACTTAAAGTATAATAATAATAATAAATAAAAATCAACGTGCAAAAATTGCTAACATTCCCATACTCCAATAACAGGGAAGCAGAGGGCCAAAGCATGAATGAACTCCCATTTACAATTGCCACAAAGATAATAAAATACCTAGAAATACAGCTAACAAGGGAAGTGAAGGACCTCTTCAAGGGGAACTAGAGACCACTGCTCAAAGAAATCAGAGATAACACAAACAAATGGAAAAACATTCCATATAGTTTGTGTTCATGGATTAGAAGTCTTGATATTGAATTCTTAGCTATGACATGAGAAGCACAAGCAAAAAAAGAAAAGTTAGTAAATTGGACTGCATCAAAATTAAAAATCTTTGTGCATCAAAGGACACTCTCAAGAAAATAAAAAAAATAGAATGGGAGAGAATATTACGCATCATATATTTGATAAAGGCCTTGTATCCAGAATATATAGAGAACTCTTAAAATTCAACAACAAAAAGAAAAACAGCTCAGTTAGACAAATGATCAAAGAACTTGAATAGACACTCATTCTAAGACGATACACAAATGGCTAATAAGTACATGAAAAGATAATATGCTTAGTCATTAGGAAAATGCAAAACAAAAATTCATTGTGGTAATACTTCATAACTACTGGAATGCCTATAATTTGAAAGATACATAATAATATGTGTTGGTAAGAATGTGGAGAAACTGGAATTATCTTATAATGCAGTGAGAATGTAAAATGGCACAGCCACATTGGAAAACTGCCAGTTCCCCAAAATGTTAGGAATATAGAGATACCTTATTACCCAGTCATTATACACCTAGGTATATAACCAGGAGATTTGAAAACAAATATCCACACAAAAAAATTTACAAACTTTTACAGCTATTCTTAGTGGTATTATTCATGATAGCCAGAACATAAAAATAATGCAAGTTTCCATCAACTAATGAATGGGTAAACAAAATGTATTCGATCTTTACAGTGGAATACTATTTAGCAATAAAGAGAATTGAATTAATGCTTCATGCTGCAGCATAGATGGACCTTGAAAACATGCTAAATGAAAGCCAGTTACAAAACACCACATATTGTGTGATTTAATTTACATGAATTATCCAGAATAGGCAGAATTTGTGGAGATGGAAAGAGGATTAGTGGTTGCTAGGGACTGAGGGAAGGGGAAAATGGGGAGTGATTGCTAATGAGTATGAGTTTTCTTTCGTGGGGGAGATGGAATGTTCTAAATAACATCGTGTTGATGTTTGCACAACCTTGTGTATATATACAATACATTGAATTGTATATTTTAAATGAATAAATTTTATGTTATATGAATTATGTCTTGATAACACTATCAAATGCTAATTACAAAATAGCCTGCCAAATATTTTAGTATTAGAAGTCATCTCAAGACCTTAACTCCTTTTAAATCTTCCTTATGCATTTTAATTTTGTTGTGAATATAAGAATACCTTAGCTGTATTTTAAATATTATACTAAATGCTCTCAACTTAAGTAAATTTGTTTCTTATTTGAAAATCTTGCCATTTTCACTCTCTCAATGGGTAGAAATAATTCTGTGAGTTGACTATTTTAACGTCATAAACAGAATGCTAATTATTATTGAATTCATCCTTAAGCAAGCTATTCCAGTATGGTAAGACTATTGAAGCTTATCCACATCACAATTCTATTGCTTATGTAGGTTTAGTCAAATAATGGCAAAGACGCTCTAAACCTGTGTCCTAGTCACAGTAAGCCAGGTTATCTTCAGAGTAGGCTCAGCATTATGGTTTCCTTGTGTATTAGGTCAAATGGGCAACTCTTTTCTTACCATGTTCATTTTAAAAGCCCACCATTCTATACAAATTTACTTCCAGCATTTCCGTGACTGAAGGTTTAAAACAATCCAACCTTGAAAACAGCCATTAGTGTTAAGTGGTCTCTCAGTTCAACAAACAAGATGTACCAACCCATAAATGTCTAAAATCGGAGTGATGTTGACCAGTCATTTGTTCTGTTTCCTGGTAAGTTAACTACCAATGTTCTGTGTTTTAAAATCTAGGACAAATAATAATGATCTTAATTTTGAGTTCTACCCGGGATCATTTTGCACAAATAAAATTTAGCTTTCTTAGCTATTAGCACAAAACTCTTCTACCACATTCTATTCATCTTAATAAATAAAGTTGGTCAGAATCTAAGCAACTAAAAAAATTACATAAAAAGCAAAGGTTTATTTTGCTACCAAAACCAATGAAAGATATAGATGTTACAGTCTTTCTGTGGGAAATGGATAAAATACAAAAGCAAAACAAATAGAACCAGGAACTGGTAATGACCTTGCTAGAATGGAAAGTCATGTCAGTATTATCTAAATTGATATACAAGCACAGAAAAGGAATAAAAATTTATTCAGAAAATAAAGTGCTGATGCTGAGGGAAGTGATGTGAACAAACGATAAATTAAAAGGAATATTTGTTCCCGTTTTTACTCAGATGTAATTTGTGAATCCCATAAAAAGCATAGGGTGCTTGTTTGATGTTCTTGCCTTATGAATCTTAAATTTCTCTGCAACAAAGTGATCTTCTTTGAGGGTCTACACAAATCAAGTTGATAAAAGATTTGTGTGGCCAAACCTTGGCCACCCTATGAAGAACTTGTGATTTGTCTTTCCTCTCCCCCTTCCTTCTTATTCTTGTCTTCTGGTGAAACCTTTTCATTGCCCTAAAGATCTGTCCTAGAGACTC
Source organism: Homo sapiens (assembly GCF_000001405.40). Classification (NCBI taxonomy): domain Eukaryota; kingdom Metazoa; phylum Chordata; class Mammalia; order Primates; family Hominidae; genus Homo; species Homo sapiens. The sequence goes on from NC_000005.10 coordinate 42,087,034, forward strand.
TCTAATGTGCTCTTATCACAGTCAGAAGTATTGCTTTACCTTCATCAAGATGCACATCGCTTTAGAGCCTAACAGTATCTGGAAGTTGGAAGTAATTTTTGGATACAATGCTTCAGAGTATACCTAAGAGAGCCTACATTTGAAAAGGATAAATTGTCAATAGGAAATGATGACTATCTAGTGATTTTCACATCAAAAATTGAAACAGGGTAAAGGGCTGATGATTACCTTGGAAGACAAAAGCCCACTTTTACCTCAAGTCAGCACACTAGAAGTGAATGTGGGCATCAACTCTCTTGAAGTTTAGCTTTTGCATCTCTCTCTGCCTAGACATTATTACATCAAATTAAAGGAAGTACTTTAGAGATCATCTAGTCTCATGTATTTTCATACTTTTCTCTATGGACAGAGGCATAGAATTTCAGAATTGTTTCTTAGGATTTCACTTTGGGTAGTGAGAAACAGAGAGGCCCAGTAAGTGAGGCGAGGGTTTTAAAGGTTTACCTGTGCTTCAGGAAATTTGATCAATTAAAAATGTATTTAATATACTCACAACTTGAATAAGATTTTATTTGAGCAATTTCTGATTTAAAACAAAAGTTAAAACCCAATGTTTCAGCCTCTCTGTTGTCTGCTGAGGGTCACACATGAATGTGGTAGCAGGGCTGGAATCCAAGTCCACTGGTTTTCAACCCAGTGCACATACATACCATCATGCCTCCATATTGGTATCTCTGCATTCCATCTTCATTTTTGCCCAGATTATTAACTGAAAACCAATTTTGATGGGTACCTTATCATATATGGATTCTACATTACCTCTTCAATAATGTGGGCAAAACAAAATGAGGCAATGTAGTGGCAATTGCATGTTATTTAGTTAACATCCTAATGTTGGACAAAATAAAACGAGGCAATGCAACAATAATTGCAAGTTATTTAGTTAACATCCCAATCACTCTTCCAAGCATCCCTCCTTACATTGCCATTGAAACAAAATTAATGTATTCTAAATCTCCTAACATAACCGTAAACATAATAAATAAAATCCTCTTTATCTTCTGATTTTAAGCCCATAAGCAACCTACATATATCCTATGATAGCAGATGTTTACTGAATATGGTTCTACACCCCAGCACTACCTGAATAAATCTGTGTATAACATCCAGGGTTTTCCTTTCTGCATAATGTTGCTCCCTGTTGGTGTTGCACCAAAATTATTTCCAAAATGAGCTGATTTGTGGAAAAGGGAGCTATGATGTTGGAGGCTATTGGGGTCTTGAAGTTCTGTCTTCTGGTTCTAAACTTGGCAGAACATTTCTACTTCTTGAGAACCACTCTATCGTTTTTAGCTGAAAATAAATATACCAGGAATGCTTTCTCCTCCAAAATTACACTCCATATTTTATAGAAAGAAGATTTAAAGAAAGAGTTTTTATTCTGTCTATGAAACAGGCCCCACCTTGAACATAGAAGACAAAATCTTATGCCTGATAGGAATAGTGATTAAATGACCATTCAGATAATGCCTTCTATGAATAATGCAGAGCACACCTGGTACTGTGTGGACACAAAGCAGAGTCTAGCAGTTGAGAGGTTTGGACCTAGCAACGATCAACATATGTTAACTTCCCATATTGAGTAGTTATTAGTTATTTCACTTTGGCAAGTTCAGCTTTTTATGTCCTAGTTTCCTTATGTGTGAAATACAAATAATACTAGTTCCAGCTTCAGAAGGATTTTTTTAAAAATCGTATGTAAATGATTTAAAATAGCAATTTAAATAATTTACTTTATAAATAATACATATAGCACTTTGGGAGGCCGAGGCGGGCAGTTGCCTGAGTTCAGGAGATCGAGACAAGCCTGGGCAACACGGTGAAACCCCGTCTCTACTAAAAAATACGAAAGAAATTAGCTGGGCGTGGTGGCCTGCACCTGTAGTCCCAGCTCCTGAGGAGGCTGAGGCAGGAGAATTGCTTGAACCTGGGAGGCGAAGGTTGCAGTTAGCCGAGATCATGTGACTGCACTCCAGCCTGGGCAACAGAGTGAGACTCCGTCTCTAAAAAATAATAAAAATAACACAAAAAGAATTATTATTGACTTTATTAGGTTGTAATAATGGCATTGTGGCTTTGTTTAAAAATAAATCTTTGTTAAATATCCATTCTAAAGCATTAGTTAAATAATATGATACTTAGGTTGTGCTTTAAAATACTTCAGCAAATCTCCCCAGGGAAATAGATGAAATGTGAAGAGTATAGTAGTGACGATCCTTGAAGTTGAGTGGTGGTACATGACTGTTAATTATGCTATCATATTGACCTTGTGTACGTTTGAAAGTTTCCGTAATAAAAAGTCACTGAAGGCCAGGCGCGGTGGCTCATGCCTGTAATCCCAGCACTTTGGGAGGCCGAGGTGGGGGGATCAAGGTTGGTCAGGAGTTTCAGACCAGGCTGGCCAACACGGTGAAACCCTGTCTCTACTAAAGATACAAACTATCAACCACTCAGATGGGACCTATTTCCATCCTTCCTCAGCGACAGATGGAACACAACTCCATCTTTTTTAAATGACTCAGATAGGACACATTTCCAACCTTCCTCAACGTCTAAGCTAGGACCCATGTCCATGTTTCCTCAGTGATTCAAATAGGACCCATTTCTATTGTTCCTCCATGACTGAGATAGTATTCATTTCCGCCCTTCCCCTAGGACCCGATAGGACTCATCTTCACCCTTACTCAATGACATAGAGAGAGCCCATCTCCACAGTTCCTCAGTGACTAAGATAGAACCTATCTCCATCCTTCTTCAATGAATCAGAAGTAACAGACTCAATCCTTCCTCAGTGATTCAATTGGGACCTATCTTCATCATTTCTCAGTGACTAAGATATTACCCATCTCTATTCTTTTGCAGTGTCACAGATAGAAGCCAACTCCACCCTTTCTTGAAGACTCAGATAGGACCCATTTTCACTCGTTCTCAGTGACTCAGATAGAACTTATCTTCACATTTCTTTCATGACTCAGATACGATCTATCTTCATTTTTTCCTTAGTGGCTCAGATATAACCCATCTTTATTATATTTCAAAGACTCATATGGCACAAATCTTCACCCTTCCTCAGTGACTCAGATGGAACCTATCTCCATTCTTCCTCAGTCACTCCAGTAGGACTCATCTCCATTCTTTCTCAATAAAACAGATAGGATCCATCTCTACCTTTCCTCTATGGCTCACATAAGACCTATTTCCATTTTTCCTCAGTAACTCAGATAAGACCCATATCTATTCTTCCTCAATGACTCAGGTAGGAATCATCTTCACCCTACCTGAATGACTGAGATGAGATCCATTTCCATCCTTCCTCAGTGACTCAGATAGAAACAATTTCACTCTTCCTCATTGACTCAGATGGGACCCTTCTGTCTTTCCTCAGTGACTCAGATTGGACCTATTTCCATCCTTCCTCAGTGACATATAAGACACTACTCCAGTCTTCTTCAGTGACCCAGATAGGACATGGTCCTATTTTTCCTTAGGGGCTTATATAGAACCAATATGGGCTCAAGAAATCCTCCCACCTCAGCCTCTCAAGTAGCTGGGACTACAGGTGTGTGCCACCACACCTGGCTATTTTTTAATTTTTATTTTTAGTAGAGATGAGGTCTCGCTATGTTACCCAGGCTGGTCTCAAACTCCTAGGCTCAAGAAATCCTCCTGCTTTGACCTCCCAAAGTGCTGGGATTACAGGCATAAGCCATCTCACCCAGCCTGAGACCCACCTTTGTCCTTCCTCAATATCTTGGAGAGGACCCATCTTCATTCTTCCTCAGTAGCTCCAACAATAGGACGAATCTCCAACCTTAATCACGACTCACAGAGGACCCGTTTTCATCCTTCTTTACTCAGATAGGACCAATAACTTTTCTTTCTCATGTATAAGATAGGACCCATGTAAACCCTTCCTCAGTGACTCAGATAGGACCCATCTCCATCCCTTTTTAATGACTGATATATAACCTATCTCCATTCTTTCTCAGTTGACTGAGGTCAGACTCATCTCCATCCTTCTTCATGACCCTCATTAACTAACTGATGACTTCCTTGTTTATCTGCCTTCATAAAATCCCTGCCACCCATCACCACCACCTTTTTAGATATTTCTCATTATGGAACATTCTTACTATTGCAACAGCCTAAACAAATTTATTTATTTAATTGTCCTGTGCATTTTGTCTCTTTCAGGGGCCATCATCTCTTTGATACACCTTTATTATTCTGGAGGATTCCAGGATATTTACACCTCCATTCTGATTATTATCAAATGTATGAAAGGATGCAAAACAAATTCTGTTTGTGACTTCAACAGCAGCAGCATTAGTATAAAAAATATTCAGATCTTCCCCTCTTCCCCAGTCTCATACCCTGCTAGTAAGTTATAATGGATTAGACTTATTCGAGCAAACCAAGATAACAATGCAGAACAGTTTTCTATTTATAGAATAAGGACCACTTTCTTTTATTTAAAGCAAATCAATTGGGACATAATTCAAGTTTCAGAAACCTTTTCTTTCAGTGTATCTGAAGTGTAGTTTTAAGGCAATTCTTTTGATGGGCTATGTTTGAACAACAGACAGGATTTCTTAAAGCCAAACTAATCCCTTTAATTCTTTTGGTTGACTAAGGGAGCCTGTGAAAGTTTTTCCAAGAAGGAAAATTTAGAAATATCTACATGGTCTGTATTTACTTGATCCTTTTTCCATGTCAATTTAATTCTGTTCCTTCTTCTAGGAGCTCCCAAAAGCCCAAAATTGCATTTGTTGAGTGATTTCTTTTTTGAGAAAGGTTTTTCTTGATATGATAGGATCAACTTCACTGGGATTATTTCCAATTCTAATTGCTTTTCTGCATTATTAGAATAATATAAACTTATATGAATCTGTTTCCATTTTAAGCAATAGATGATAGATAGATAAATAGATAAGAATATGGTTAATAGTAAAATATTTTACTTTTATTAATACTGGTCTGCGTATACCATGTTGAAATCTTGTATTTCTGAGAGACAAAGTGCTATGCATTTATTCTAGGTTTTTGTTATGAATTTCTGTTCATTTACAATTGCCATACAGATCAACTTCAGCCTTCAAAAGGTAATTTTTTGGGACCAATCTTTTAAATTTGTGATAATGAGTAAGAGAGAAACATTTTTCAGGAACCTAAATCTAGAACTGTTTAGCATCTTACCCCCTGAGGTCCTCATTTACTGTTTTCAGCTGAAGCTGAACTGATCTAATACATTTATTTTATAAATTATCAATGTTATTTCTGTCCTCAGAAAAGTTCTTAGGTAGCATTGTCTTAGATGTGACATTCTCCTTCTTGGAGAGACTCTCCCTGAAGACTTGAGACTTTCAGAAAAAGGCTTCATCTCTTACATCCATAGAAATTTACATTATTTTGACCAGAACTATGTCAAGTTCTATTTTGTTCCAATTTAGACTTTGGACCTCTCACATAAGAATTGTCAGTCCTTGCTGAGAGTCCCCTCCGTCTGTGAGTTCGTGGTAACCACTCATTGCTAACCACATTCAATAACAGACTTTTTATTTGTAGCCCAGGTTTATTACCACCCAGCTGTTTATTTTTCAGTCTAATTTGATCCCAGTGGCACACCCTCACTGGAAGCCTTGTCCGCCACTATTGAACCCTTGTTAAATGACAAAGATGTACATACAATGGATCTAAGTGACCTGAAGTATCTTCCACTTGGAACTTTCTGTGCTTCTTTTTGACTTTCTTCAGTGTCTCTATACCTTGAAGCTTTGCACTACTCATGTTTGTGCCTTACTTCTGAGTTTTTAGGAGGCATCTTGGTATGTTAACTATTCTATACAACACGCATTTGTATTTCCTTGATTTTTACATTTATAATCTCTAACTGAGATGAAAACTTTACCAATTAGGGATGTGCTGATGGGTTCCTGAACATGACATACTCAAGTTCTGCTGTAATAATATTTCTTAGAAACGTATCAGGAGGAAACTTCAGTTACCATCAGCTATAAACTAATGTGAAACAAGTTTCTCATGCAGTGGAGTCCTCAACAATTGTGTGTTCTCATCTGTGAACTATTAAAGGATAATAATAGCAGCTAACGATTACTGAGCACTTACAAAGGCACTATGTACTACATTGTCATGTTTGAATTCTGCTACAGCCCTACGAACCAGACATTATTATCCTCATTTGACACATAAGGAAACTAAGGATCAGTTCGTTACATAACATGCCGATGGCTACCCAGAAGCTGTGGGACTCAAATATGGAATCTGGCTGATACCAAGTCCATTCTCTTAATGTCATATTCTTCAAAAGAATATAGCAAAGGTGAATATTTCAGCTTGTGCATATACAAATAAATCCCCAGTCAGTGTTTACCGTGATACCTGGTACAAGCAGTTACCAAAGGACTGAGAATTAATTGAAATACAACTGGACTAGATTATAAAACCCTCTAACTGCTGTGGGAGGTTCATTCTCACAATAAACATTGAAACTGTAGTCTGTTACTCTAATCGCTACCTTAGAATATGCTCAGGTCTTTAGATTGCAACTGTTGTCATCTAAACGTTCCTCATAGAATTTGCTGCAATTAAGTTTTTTGTTACCTGGAATTGGAAACTAGGGTATGCCTTCCCCTTGTACCATTGACCGGCCCCTGAGCTAACACATTCTATCTACCCAAAAAGTGTTGGCCATTTTCTCCAGAATCAGTATATTGAAGCACTACTTTAAGCTTTTTCAGCATCAAGTCCTGTTTCTCTGCGTCAGGCAAGTCTACTGTCTAATTGGATCTGTGCAATTCTATAGTGTTACCTTTATACCTTAAGCTCTGCCTGTTTTAGGTCAGCAACCCTCAATCATTAATTAGAGCTTCAGACCTAAAAAAAACTCCCGTAGAATCTCTCAAACCACTTGATTAGCTTATAACTCCCAGCTCTGACCTGGACTGCCTCAAGTTTCCAACAATCTGAAGTTCTTGCCACCACCCCCACACCACTGCACCTCCTGCCCCAATAACCTAATGTCTTAGTTCATTCTGGCTGCTATAACAGAATACCATAAACTGGGTGGCTCATAAACAAGAGAAATTTATATCTCACAGTTCTAGAGGCTGGGAAGTCCAAGATCAAGATGATAACAGATTTGCTGTCTAGTGAAGGCCTGTTTCCTGGTTCATAGATGGTGACTTCTTGCTGTGTCCTCACACAATGAAAGAGACTAGTTAGCTCTCTGCAGTCTGTCTTTATAAGACCACCAGTCTCAATCATACAAGTCCACCCTCATCATTTAATCACCTCTCAAAAAGCCTCGGCTCCTAATAACATCACCTGGAGGGGTAGGATTTCAATATATAAATTTTGGGGGATATACAAACATTCAGACCATAGCACCTAATAACTCTTTCTGTGGGTTTTTGTTTTATGTATTTGCTTTCTTTTCTGCCCTCCTGAGCTTTGTATCCATACTAAAAGCCTTTAGTTCTTTTAAGGATGACCCAAGGCAAAAATACACAAGTAAATGAAATATATCACTTCCATGGATGGGTTATGTATTGCACAAATAGTTTCATTATAGCCTAAGTGCCTAGCAGAGTTCCTGACATATACTAAACATTTGAAAAATTTTGAAAAGTAAATGAATAAATACCAGATTTCTATCCAATAATAATCCTATCTATTTTAAATGCAGAGGAATGGAGCACAGTTTGATACAGTCAGCAATGGTCAACTTTGGTGTTATTTCAATGTATTACCGAGATTTTTCTTCCCCTTTCTTTCTATTGGTGTTGACAAAATTTTTGAAAACTTAAAATACACATCTTCTCTTTTACTTGTTAATGTCTGAAATGTCCTTATATCAGATATGGCTACAAATAATATTCCATTATTGTATATGTACCACATTTTCTTTATTCATCTGTTGATGGAAACCTAGGTTGATTCAATATTTTGGTATTGTGAACAGTGCTGCAATAAACATGGGTGTGCAGATATCTCTTCCATATACTGATTTCATTTCTTTTGGCTATATATCCAGCAGTGGGATTGTTGAATCATATCTGTGGTTTTTTGATGAACCTCAACAACTATTTTTCTTAATGGCTGTACTAGATTACATTCCCATCAACAATGTATGAGAATTCCCCATTCTCTGCATCCTTACCAGCATTTATTATTTTTTGTATTTTTGATAACAGCCATTCCAGTGAAGGTAGGATGATGTTTAATTGTGGTTTTGATTTTCTCTTCCCTGATGATTTGTGGTGTTGAGCATTTTTTTTCCCCTATGCTTATTGGCCATTTATATGTCTTCTTTGGAGAAACGTCTATTCAAATATTTTGCCTAATTTTAAATCAGATTATTTATATATTTGCTATTGAGTTGTTTGAGTTATATATTCTGGTTATTAATCCCTTGTCAGATGGAGAAATTCAACTATCTTCTACAATTACGTAGGCTGTATCTTCATTTCATAGTTTGTTTCCTTGCTGTGCAGAAGATTTTTATTTTTATATAATCCCGTTTATTTATTTTTGCTTTTGTTGCTTATGCATTTGAGGTCTTACCTAAAACCCTTTGCCCAGACCAATGTCCTGAAGCATTTCACCAATACTTTTTAAAGTATTAGTTTCACAGTTTCAGGTCTTATATTTAAGTCTTTAATCTATTTAAAATTGATTTTTATATACATCGAATGACGAGAATCTAGTTTCATTCTTCTGTATGTGGATATCCATTTTTCCCAGCACCATATATTGAAGAGACTGTCCTTTACACAATGTATGTTCTTAGTGCCTTTGTTGAAGATCAGTTGGCTGTAGATATGAAACAGCATAGAAAAACCATTAATGAACGGGTTCACTGGTCTCATTGGTCTATGTGTCTGTTTTTATGCCAATACTACACTCTTTTGGTTACTATAGCTTTGTAGTGTATTTTAAAATCAGGTGGTGTGCTGCCTTCAGCTTTGTTCTTTATGCTCAGGAATGCTTTGACTCTTTGGGCTCTTTCGTGGTTCCATACGAAAGTTAGAATTGTCTTTCTGTTTCTGTGAAGTTATTGACATTTTGATAGGAATTGCATTGAATCTTTAGACTGCTTTGAGTAGTATAGACATTTTAACAATAATATTTTTTCTGATCCTTGAGCAGGAGATATTTTTTCATTTTTTGTGTTCCCTTAAATTTCTTACATCAGTGTGTTAATAGTTTTCCTTGTAGAACTCTTTACTACCTTGGTTAAATTTATTTCTAGGTATTTTGGGGGGTAGCTATGGTAAACAAGATTGCCTTCCTGATTCCTTTTTCAGTGATTGCTGTTAATGTGTATAAAGGGTAGTAAGTTTTGCATGTTTATTTTGTACCTTGCCACTTAAATAAATTGGTTTATCTGTTCTAAGAGTTTTTTTTGTGAAGTCTTTCAGTTTTTCTAAATATAGGACCATGTCACCTGCAAGCAATGATAATTTGCCATCTTTCTTTTCCATTTGGACACCTTTCATTTCTCTTTTGTCTAATTCCTCTGCCTAGAACTTTCAGTACTATGTTGAAAAAAAAGTGGTAAAAGTGGATATCTGTGTTTTCTTCCAGTCTTAGCAGAAAGGCTTTTAATTTTTCCTCATTTAGTATATTAACTGTGGGTTTGTCATACATGGCCTTTATCATGTTGAAATATCTATCCCCAGTTTGTTGAAAGTTTTATCATGAAGGGATGTTAAATTTTTTCAAATGCTTTTTCAGCATCTATTGAAATAATTCTCTTGTTTTTGTTTTTGATTCTGTTGATTTGATGTGTCACGTTTATTGATTTACATATATTGAACCATCCTTCCATCACTGGGATGAATCTCACTTGATCATGGTGAATCATCTATTTAATGTGTTGTTAAATTTGATTTGTTAGTATTTTATTGTAAATTTTTGCATCTCTGTTCATTGGGGATATTAAGCTGTAGTTTTCTTTTTTTGTTGTGTCCTTGTCTAGTTTTGGCCTCAGCGTAATACTGGCTGCATAGAATGAGTTAGGGAAAATTCCTTCATTTTCAATTTTTGAACTAGTTGAAGAGGATTGGCATCAGTTGTTTTTTAAATGTTTGGCAGACTTCAGGAGCTAATTTATCAGGTCCTGGGCTTTTCTTTGATGGGAGACTTTTTTTTACTGCTTTGATCTCATTACTTCTTATTGGTTTGTTCAGGTTTTCTATTTCTTCATGGTTCAATCTTGAGTAGGTTGTATGCACTCAGGAATTTATTTGCTTTTTCTGGTTATTCCAACTAGTTATTGTATAATTGTTCACAGTAGTCGCTAATGATTCCTTGTATTTCTGTAGTATGAGTTGTATTTTTTTCATCTTTTATTCTATTTATTTGGTTTTTCTCTCTTTTTTCTTAGTTAATTTAGCCAAAAGTTTGCTAATATTTTTTACATTTTTAAAGAATCAACTGTTTGTTTTATTGATCTTGGTACTTTTTTTAAGTCTCAAGTTTATTTATTCTGCTCTGATCTTTATTATTTATTTTCTTCTAATAATTTGGGTTTGGTTTGTTCTTCCTTCTCTAGTTCCTTGAGATACATTGTTTGGTTGTTTATCTGAAGTCTTTCTATTTTTAAAGTAGGTATTTATTGCTATAAACTTTCCTTTTTTTTTCTTTTTTTTTGAGACAGAGTCTCACTCTGTTGCCCAGACTGGAGTGCAGTGGCTGGATCTCAGCTCACTGCAACCTCCATCTCCTGGGCTCAAGCGATTCTCATGCCTTAGCCTCCAGGGTAGCTAGGATTACAGACTTTCACCACCCAAACCAGCTAATCTTTTTCTTTTTTTTTTTTTGTATTTTTAGTAGAAACAGAATTTCCCCATGTTGGCCAAGCTGGTCTTGAACTTGTGGCCTCAAGTGATCCACCTGCCTTGGCTTCCCAAAGTGCTGGGATTGCAGATGTGAGCCACTGTGCCCAGCCAACTTCCTTCTTTTTACTGCTTTTGCTATATTCTGTAGGTTCTTGTATGTTGTATTTTCATTTTAATTTGTTTCAAGAAATTTTGAAAATTTCTTTTTAATTTCTTCATTGACTCATTGGTTATTCCGAAGCATATTGTTCAATTTCCATGTATTTGTAGTTTCCAAAATTTGTCTTCTTATTGATTTCTAGTTTTTTTTTTTTTCCGTTGGAGTCACCAAAGATACTGGATATAATTTCAACTTTTAAAAATTTGTTGAGATTTGTTTTGTGGCCTAACATATGGTCTATTCTGAAAAACATTCTATGTGTTGATGAGCAAATTTGTATTCTGCAGCTGTTGGAGGGAATATTCTGTAATAGTTTGTTAGGCCCATTTGGTCTAGGTTAGTTTAACTAACTTTAACTCCAGTGTTTGCTGATTTTCTGAAAGTGAGGTATTGATATCCTCTATTATTATTATTATCTCACAGTCTTTCTCCTTAGATCTATTAATATTTGCTTCATATATTTTGGTGCTTTGGTGTTGGATGTATATATTATAATATCTTCTCGATGAGTGAACCCCTTTGTCATTATATAATGGCCTTCTTCATCTCCTGCTAAAATTTTTGACTTAACATGTATTTTATCTGATATGAGTAAGTGACCCTTACTCTTTTTTGGTTTCCATTTTCATGAAATATCTTTTTCCATCTATTCAGTTTCAGTCCATCTATAGCTTCATAGGCAAAGTGAGTTTCTTGTAGGGAGCATTTAATTTGGTCTTGTTTCTTAATCCATTCATCCACTGCATCTTTTTTAATTGAAGAATTTAGTCTATTTACATACATATTATTATTGATAGGTAAGAACTTACTATTGCCATTTTGTTGCCTTCTTTTTTAGTTGTTTTGTAACTGTTCTCTTTCGTTTTTTCCATTTCTTACTGTCTCCCTTTCTGGTTAAGTGATTTTATTGATAGGTAAGAACTTACTATTGCCATTTTGTTACCTTCTTTTTTAGTTGTTTTGTAACTGTTGTCTTTCATTTTTTCCACTTCTTACTGTCTCCCTTTCTGGTTAAGTGATTTTCTTATGGGATTCCTGGGTAAAAATGTAGCTCTGTTCTTAAGTTCTTTAAGAAATCTCCAAATTTCTTTCCACAGGGGCTGAACTAATTTATATTCACAATAGCAGTCCATAAATGTTCCCTATTTTCTGCAACCTTGCCAACATCTGTTATTTTTAAACTTTTTACTAATAGTCACTCCGACTGGCATAAGATGGTATCTCATTGTGGTTTTGAAGCATTTACCTAAATGATTCGTGATATTGAGCATTTTTTTTCATATGTTTCTTGGACCCATTTTTTTTTTTTTTTTTTTAGTGAGCTGTCTGTACATATCCTTTGCTCAGCTTTTCAATAGGATTGTTTGTTTGGGGCTTGTTGATTTGTTTAAGTTCCTTATTTGTACTCAATATTAGACCTTTGGTGGATGCATAGTTTGGAAATTTTTTCTCACATTTTGTAGGTTGTCTGTTTATTCTGTTGATAGTTTCCTTTGCTCTGCAGAAGCTCTTAAGTTTAATTAGGTACCACTTATCAGTTTTTGTTTTTATTGTAATTGCTTTGGGAGTCTTCATCACAAAGTTTTTGCCAGGGCCGATGTCCAGAATAATATTTCCTAGGTTTATTCTGTCGGGGAAAAGCTGAGTGTTGGGAAAAAGGCTGAGGCAGGGCTTGCATGTCTGACATAATGTAAAAGAGTCTTGGAACATGTCCGGGGTCCAGGGTCTAAAACCCCTCATGGCCTTTGGAACATCAAGCTCTGTGCCAAAGGGTGGAAGGTTGCCCTGCCACACCGCAATCTAAGCCCAGGGCATAAAATCCCTCGTGGCTTGGATGGAATCCAGGGCTCAGGGCATAAAACCCCTCATGGCCTCTGGAATGTGTATAGACTTGCTGGCTCCTTGCTTCTAGCACTCCCAGGTTCATAAAACGATTGTATCTTAAACTAGAAGAACATGTTTCCCATTATCTCAAGTAGCAGAACGTGCTCCCTATGCTCCAAAGAAAATGCTGAAATGACACAGCTGTAGATCATGCGCTTGATACACTGCTTTCTTTCAACCCCCACATCCTCACCACCTGCTTCTTTATTTGATCACCAATAAATAGTGTGGCTTCCAGAGCTTGGGGTCTTTACAGCCTCCATACTAGTGTTGGCCCCCTGGTCCCACTTTTACTCTTACCTTGTCTTTTCTCATTCCTTTGACTCCGCTGGACTTCATAGCCCCCATGGCCTGGTGTTGGGTCTGATCACCCCAACATTCTTCTAGGGTTTTTATAGTTTTAGACTTTACATTTAAGTCTTTAATTCATCTTGAGTTTTTTTTTTTTTTTTTTTTTTTTTGCACACAGTGAAAGGAAGGGGTCAAGTTTCAATCTTCTGCTTATGGCTAGCCAGTAATCCCAGTAGTTTTTAAATAGAGTCCTTTAATCTTTTTGTCAGCATTATCAAAGATCATATGGTTGTAGGTATGTGGCTTTAGTTCTGAGTTCTAATATTTACCACTGGTCTATGTGTCTATTTTTTCACCAGTTCCATACTGTTGTAGTTACTGTAGCCTTGTAGTAGTGGGTAATGTGATGCCTCCATCTTTGTTCCTTCTTCTTAGAATTGTTTTGGCTATTCAGCCTTTTTTTTTTGTTTCCAAATGAATTTTAGAATAGTTTTTCTAATTTGGTTTAAAAAACTATTGGTAGTTTGATACGTAATATGATTTGGCTCTGTCCCCACCCAAATCTCATCTTGAACTGTAGTTCCCATAATCCCCACATGTGGTGGGAGGGACCTGGTGGGAGGTAATTGAATCATGGGGGCAGTTTCCCCAGTGCTATTCTCGTGATAGTGAGTAAGTTCTCACAAGACCTTATGGTTTTATAAGGGGCTTCCCACTTCGTTTGACTCTCATTCTTCCTGCTGCCATGTAAAGAAGTACATGTTTATTTTCCTTTCCCCCATGATTTTAAGCTTTCTGAGGCCTGTCCAGCCCTGCAGAACTGTGAGTCAATTAAACCTGTTTCCTTTATAAATTACCCAGTCTCAGGCAGTTCTTTATAACAGTGTGAGAATGGACTAACCCAGTAAATTAGTACTGCACAGAGTGGGGCACTGCTGTAAAGATACCCCAAAATGTGAAAGCGATTTTGGAACTGTGTAACAGGCAGAGGTTAGAACAGTTTGGAGGGCTCAGAAGGCAGGAAAATATGGGAAAGTTTGGAATTTCCTAGAGACTTGGAGGGCTTAGAAGACAAGAAGATGTGGGAAAGTTTGGAACCTCCTAGAGACTTGTTGAATGGCTTTGACCAAAATGCTGATAGTGATACAGACAAAAGTCCAGGCTGAGGTGGTCTCAGATGGAGATGAGCAACTTGTTATGAAATGGAGTAGAGGTCACTCTTGCTATGCAAACAGATTGGTGGCATTTTTCCCCTGCCCTAAAGATCTGTGGATCTTTGAATATGAGAGAGATGATTTAGGGTATCTGGCAGAAGAAATATGCAAGCAGCAAAGTGTTCAAGGAGAAGCAGAGCATAAGTTTGGAAAATTTGCAGCCTGATTATGAAATAGAAAAGAAAAACCCATCTTTCTGGGGAGAAATTCTAGCTGGCTGCAGAAATTTCTATAAGTAACAAGGAGCCAAATGTTAATTACCAAGACAGTGAGGAAAATGTCACCAGGGCATGTCAGAGACCTTCATGCCAGTCCCTCCCATCACAGGCTTAGAGCCCTAGGAGGGAAAAAATGGTTTCATTGTCTGGGCCCAGGGCACCCCTGCCCTATGCAGCCCCAGGACATGGTGCCCTGTGTCCCAGCTGCTTCAGCTCCAGCCATGGCTAAAAGGAGCCAAATTACAGCTCAGGCCATTGCTTCATAGGGTACAAGCCCAAAGCCTTGGCAGCTTACATGTGGTGTTGGGCCTGTGGGTGCACAGAAGTCAATAATTGAGGTTGGGTAACCTCCACCTAGTTTCAGAGGATGTGTGCAAATGCCTGGATATCCAGGCAGAAGTGTGCTGCAGGGGCAGAGCTCTCATGGAGAATCTCTGTCAGGGCAGTGCAGAAAGTAAATGTGGGGTCAAAGCCCCCACACAGAGTCCCCACTGTGGCACTGCCTAGTAGAGCTGTGAGAAGAGATCCACTGTCTTTCAGATCCAAGAATGGTAGATCCACCTACAGCTTTTACTATGCACCTGAAAAAGCTGCAGCTACTCAATGCCTGTCCATGAAAGCAGCCAGGATGTGGGCTGTGCCCTACAAAGCCACAAGAGCAGAGCTGCCCAAGGCCATGGAGCCCACCTCTTGCTTCAGTGTGACCTGGAAGTGACACATGGAATTAAAGGAGATTATTTTGAGCTTTAAGATTTAATTACTGCCTCCTTAGATTTTGGACTTGCATGGGGCCTGTAGCCCCTTCATTTTGGCCAATTTCCCCCATTTGGAATGGGTGTATTTATCAAACACCTGTACCTCCATTGTATCTAGGAAGTAACTAACTTGCTTTTGGCTTTAAAGGCTCATAGGCTGAAGGGACTTGCCTTGTTTCAGATGAGACTTTGGACTTTGGGTTAATGCTGCAATGAGCTAAGACTTTGGGGAACTGCTGGGAAGGCATGGTTGTGTTTTGAAATGTAAAGACAAGAGGTTTGGGAGGGGCCAGGAGTGGAATGATATGGTTTGGATATGTCCCCACCCAAATCTCATTCTGAATTGTAGTTCCCATAATCTCCAGGTGTCATGCGAGGTAATTGAATCATGGGGGTGCTTTCCCCCATGGTGTTCTCATGATAGTGAGTAAGTTCTCATGTGATCTGATGGTTTTAAAAAGCGTTTTCCCTTTTGCTAGGTCACTCTTCTCCTTCCTCCCATCATGTAAATTAGGATGTTTGCTACTCCTTCTGCCATGATTGTAGGTTTCCTGAGGCCTCCACAGCCCTGTGGAACTGTGAGCCAATTAAACCTCTTTCTTATAGAAATTACCCACTCATCGGCAATAAGGACGGACTAATACAATCAGAATCACATTGAATCTGTAAATTACTTCAGGCAGTATGGCCATTTTAACATTATTGATTCTTCCTATTCATGAGCATGGAAGATTTTTTCATTTGTGTTGTCTCTGATTTCTCTCAGCAGCAATCTGTAAGATCGCTGTGTAGAGATCTTCCACCTCCTTGGTTTGTTGTATTCTTAGAGATTTCATTTTATTTGTTGCTATTGTTAATGAGATTGTGTTCTTGATTTGACTGTCAGCCTGAATATTATTAGTATGGAAACACTAACAATTTTTATACATTAATTTTGTAGCCCGAAACTGTGCTGAGGTTGCTTATCAGCTCTAGGAGCCTTTGGGCAGAGGCTATGGCATTTTCTAAGTACAGAATCACATCATCTGAGAACAGAGATAATTTGACTTCCTTGGCTTCTCTTTGGATGCCCTTTAAGTTCTTTTTCTTGCCAGATTGCTCTGGCTAGGACTTTCAGTACTATGTTGAATAGAAGTAATGGGAGTGGGTATCCATCTCTTGTTACAGTTCTCAAAGGGAATGCTTCCAGCTTTTGCTCATTCAATCTGATATTGGCTGTGGGTTTGTCATATATGGCTCTTATTATTTTGAGTAATGTTCCTTCAATATCTAGTTTTTTGAAGGTTTTTGACATGAAGGGATGTTGAATTTTATGAAAGGACTTTCTGCATCTATTGAGATGATCATGTAGCTTTTGTTTTTAGTTTTGTTTAAGTGATGAGTCATATTTGTTGATTTATGTATGTTGAACCAACTTTGCTTCCCAGGAATAAAGCCACTTGGTTGTGGTGGATTATCTTTTTGATATGCTGCTGGATTCAGTTTGCTAGTATTTTGTGGAGTACTTTTGCATCTATAGTCATCAGGGATATTGGCTTGACATGTTCTTCCTTTGTTGTGTCTCTGCCAGGTTTTGGTATCAGAATGATGCTTTCCTTGTAGAATGACTCATGGAGGAGTTCCTCTCCTTCAATTTTTTGAAACAGTTTTACTAGATTTGGTTCTTTTTCTTCTTCATATGTCTGGTACAATTTGGCTGTGAATCCATTTGGTCCAGGGATTTTTCTGGTTGGTAAGTTTTCAAAATTGCTGATTCAACTTCAGACCACATTGTGTTCCATATTTCAATTTCTTTCTGGTTCAATACTGAACGGTTGTATATTTCCAGGAATTTATCTGTTTCTTCTGGGTTTTCTAGTTTATGTGCTTAGAAGTGTTCCTAATAGTCTACGTTCATCTGAGTGTTTTTTGTATTTCTGAAGGGTTAATGGTAATGACCCCTTTGTCATTTATGATTGTGTTTATTTTTATCTTCTTTTTTTTCCTTTGTTAGTCTAGTTAGTAAGCTATCATTCTTTTGGAGAACCACTTTTCAGTTTGGTTGATCTTTTGTAGATTCTTTTCTCATCTTCATTTCAGTCAGCTCAGCTTTGATTTTGGTTATTTATTTTCTTCTGCTAGCATTGGAGTTGGTTTGCTCTTATTCTTCATATCTCTCTAGGTGTGAGGTTTGGTTGTTAATTTGAGATGTTTCTCACTTCTTGATGTGACCATTTAGCACTACAAACTTCCCTTTGAACACTTCTCTGTGTTCCAGGGATTCTGGTATATTGCATATTTGTTTCCATTAGTTTCAAATAAATTCTTGATTTCTGCCTTAATTTCATTGTTTAGCTAAAAGTCATTCAGGAATAGGTTGTTTAATTTTCATGTAATTTTATGGTTTTGCGAGAGTTTCTTTGTATTGATTTTTATTTTTATTATACTGTGGTTTGAGAATGTGGTTGGTATAATTTTAAGTTTTTTTGTATTTTCTGAAAATTGCTTTATGACCACATATATGGTCACTTTTAGAGTACGTGCCATGTGGAGATGAGAAAAATGTATATTCTATTGTTGTTGGGTGGAATGTTTTGTAGATATATGTTAGGTCCATTTGGTCAGATGTCAAGTTTAGGTCCCAAATATCTTCATTAGATGATCTGTCTGATACCGTAGTGGGATGTTGAAGTCTCCCACTATTATTGTGTGGGTGATCCAGTATTAGGTGCATAATTATTTATTTTTTTTTTTTGGAGACGAAGTCTCATTCTGTTGCTCAGGCTGGAGTGCAATGGTGCAATCTAGGCTCACCACAACCTCCGCCTCCCAGGTTCAAGCGATTCTCCTGTCTCAGCCTCCTGAGTAGCTGGAATTACAGGCATGGGCCGCCACGCCTGGCTAATTTTTTTTTTTTTTTTTAGTAGAGGTGGAGTTTCACCATGTTGGCCAGGCTGGTCTTGAACTCCTGACCTCATGATCCACCCACCTTGGCCTCCCAAAGTGCTGGGATTACAGGCATGAGCCACCACACCTGGCCAAAAATATTTAGGACAGTTAATTCTTCTTGAATTGGATGCTTTATCAAGTAATGTCATTATCAAATAATGGTATTCTTTGTTCTTTTAGATCATTGTTGGTTTAAGTTTTGTTTTGTCTGAAATGAGAATAGCAACCCCTGCTCTTTTTTGTTTTCCATTTGTTTGATAGATCTTTTTCCATCCCTTTACCTTTAACCTGTAAGAATCATTGCACGTGAGATGAGTACCTTGAAGACAACATGCAATTGGGTCTTACAATGTGATTTTTTATATTGCCTATCTGTTAATAAATTGTTGGAGTTATTTTTATTCTTAATCGTTTTGCCTTTTAGTTTTCTTAGGAAAGATACAAGTGGTTAACACATCACAATTACAATATTAGTGTCACCCTCATTTTAGTGTCCTTTCCTTTTAATTAAAAAAACTGCCTTTAGCATTTCCTGTAGAACAGGTCTGGTAGAGATAAATTCCCTCAGATTTTGTTTGTCTGGGAGTTTTAATTTCTCCTCCATTTTCTAAGTATAGTATTCTTTATTGGTAATTTTTTACTTTAGCACTCAATATATTTTCCCACTGCCCCCAGGC
This sequence comes from Homo sapiens, assembly GCF_000001405.40. Lineage (NCBI taxonomy): Eukaryota > Metazoa > Chordata > Mammalia > Primates > Hominidae > Homo > Homo sapiens. The sequence goes on from NC_000005.10 coordinate 42,106,083, forward strand.
CATAACATTTCTGCTGAGATGTCTGCTGCTAGGTGTATCAGATTTCCTTTATATATTATTTGCTTCTTTTTCTACTTTCAGGATTATCTCCTTGTCTTTGATCTTTGAGAGTTTGATTATAAAATATCTTGGGAAATTTTTATTTGGGTTGCATCTGATTGTAACTTTTGACCTTCCTGAATGTGGATGCTTACATCTTTCTGTATGGTTTAAAAGTTTTCTGTTATTTTTTTTTAAATAAACTTTCTACTACATTGTCTTTCTCAGTTCTGTATTTCACTCCAATAACACAAATGTTTGTTCTTTTAATGTTGTCCCATAGATCTTGTAAGCTTTGTTTACTCCTTTGTGTTATTTTTCTGTTCTCTCCTCTGACTGCATTTTCAAATAGTCTGCCTTTGAGCTCACTAATTCTTTTTTCTGTCTGATAAATTTTGCTGCTGATTCTCTGTTTCATTTTCTATTTTATTAATTGTCTTCTTCAGTTCATGGATTTCTGCCTGTTGTTTTGAAATTATTTCAATCTCTCTCCTAAATCTCTTAATTGGTTATTTGTATTTTCTTGAACTTTGTTGAACTTTCTTAAAACAGCTGTTTAGAATTCTTTCTTTCAGAGATCACATATCTCCATTACTTTAGGTTCAGTCTCTCATACTTTATTGGTCCATTTGAAGTCATATTTCCCTGAATGTTCTTGATGCTTCTGGACATGTGACATTGTTTATGTATTGAAGGATTAAATATTTATTTTAGTCTTCACATTCTGGCTTTGTTTGTGACTATCCTTCTTCAGACATCTTTCCAGTGATCCTAAGCAGACTGACTGTTGAGTTCTCTGAACCTATGAACACTGCAGCTATCTCAGCACTGAAGGACCCTCTAAGTCCACGCTTACCATGTGTCTTATGGGAAACCTGAGGTTGACATGGCTTTCCAGCCAGATGAACCTGGGAAAGATCCAAGGCTGTGAGCAAACACTGGACAAATACCTGAGTCCAGAAGACTGCCTCAGTGGCTCATACTGGCATACCTCCCAGCAGGTATCTGCATGGGTCGGATAGATTCCTGACTGCAATGAGACGGGTTGGGGTTGAGACTGAGACCCCTCAGAATATGCTGTGGAAATGAGGTTGGTGGAACTGTTTTATTGGCCCAGATTGTTAGGTACCACCCAGCAGGTTCCTGCAAAAGCTGGATAGGTAGATTCTTGATTGCAACAGGGGAGGCCAGAGCTGGGACTGGTGCCTCTTGGAATCTGCTGTGGGATGGAGATTGGTGAGCCTATCAGGGTGGCTCAGATTCCCGGGCTGCAAGATATAGGTGAGACTCCCTTTGGATGCTTGTGCAGGTAGCTATGAGCAGGGAGCTCAGCTGAGGGCACACTGGAGCTGAGTCACAAGGCAACTTTCAAGTTTTTTCCTGTGACTGCTACCAATGGACAGAGAAGCCTTTCTGCCAAGGCACTAGTGTGTGTGATTCTTTCTGGACTCTTTGGCAGATGGTTTTGGTTGCAGGTTCAAGGCAAACAGGCTTCTAGCCATTCCCCTTAGAGAACTAGGCTGCTTCTGAGCTTCAGCCTGGGAGCAAGCTTGGAGGATTAGTGACTCAAGTATTGGTCTGCATTCTCAAAATGATCCTTCAAGGACTTGGATTCCAGTAGGATTTCACAAACTTCTATCTGAATCCTGATAGAGAGACTTTTGTCTGTGGATGTATACAGAATTTTTTTTCTTATGGGGGTATATGAGCAGGTTACCTTCCATCATCTTGGTAACCTATGTGCAGTATTTTATATATGATCACAAATATTTTCCTCTGCCCAAACAAGGACCAAAAAAGACAAGTTACCTTTTTATCTCCCTAAGAAGGAAGCTTTTTTTTTTTTTTTAATCTTCCACTGAGGTATGGTCTTTCAATGTGTCCAGCTTTAGGTTGAGAACTCATTTCCAACTGTACAACCTTTATGGGAATTTTTTCCTCGAGCCAACAAAACCAAGTCTCTAGGTTCCTCTTATCAGATATGTCCTCGAGGCATAGATTCAGGTATAGAACTTCTTTTTTTTAATCTCTGAAGAGTTCCTTAACTTTTAAAAACTCAGTTATAGAAATAAAAAGAAATCTTCTGACATTTTATTCAGCATTCCTAGGTATTTTTTCTTGGGAGTTTTTTCAGGAAATCTAGTTTGCTATTTTTTCTCCCAGTTTCTTATGTAATTCTCTCTCATTCTTTAAGTTATAGATTAAAATTCACCTCCTCAGTGAGGCCTTTGTAAATAGCTCAAGCAACCAACCTCCTCTATCCCATATACTTCATTTTCTATCACTTGCTGAATTTAAATTATTTACATATTAATTCATTATTTCTTAAATTTAATATAAAATATATATGCATAAATATGGAAATTTGTTTAATTTATTTATTTACTAACATGGCCATTTTTTGGTTGCCATATGCTAGTCAGAATGGTGAAAAGTACTGGGACTTTGACTCATTCATAGCAGTATCCTTAGGACTTATAAAACTGTCTGTTATATGTTGCTATCCATTAAGTACTTGTTTAATGAATGACTCATCCAATAAGTAAGTGAGCACACAGATGGTTGTTTACCAAAGGGCTTTTTATTTGATATCTCTTAAATAAACAGATCCTTATCTGTTTGACAAACATTAGGGTTAAAGCAAGGGTTAGGATTAAAGCCAAATTCTTAGGAATAGCTTTATTTATAATTTAGAAATAAATGTGCTAATTAGCTTTAAGGAGCCAAGCTGAAAATCATGTGAAAGAATTACCATGCAAACCACTTACCAATAAATTTATTTTCAAATTTAGAAGAATTTTGTAAAAAAAAAATGTTAAAGCACTATGGAATTAGGTAACAGGAAGAGTTTGGAGGGCTCAGAAGAAGATAAAATGATGGGGAAACTTTGGAACTTCTTAGAGATTAGTTAAGTGGTTGTGACTAAAATGCTGATAGAAATATAGACCATAATGGTCATACTGAGGTCTCAGATAGTGTGGGCATTCAGTCAGGCTGGTGGGAAAAATTTTAGTTATGATAGCCACAAACCCTCTTGGAAGGCCTGAGAGTTTGTATAACTTCTGTAATACATCTGGCTGAAGGCAGCCTGATACCCTTACCTTTAGTTAAATAAATTAGAGTAGAAACAAAGGAATGTGGGGAATTTATCTAACTTGTTTACACATGTGGTCTTAAGACTAACCTTTGTTCTACAGTGGGTGCTTAATTGCTTTCTACTCGGGAAGTCTATAATGTCAATTACCCTCTAGCAGTGTTGGCTCAAGCCTTTGTCAATTAATCTTTACTGAATAAATGCAAGTCTCACTGGCTGGTCAGGGCCCTGTCACAACTGTTTACAGCACTCTGTGTGGAGTCTGTAAGCGGCCCAGAAACTCAACTGGACTGGCAAAGCAGAGTATCTGTGTGTCAGTGTACTTTATTCATCCATCGTTGGGTCAGGTTCTACAGGACAGACCCCCACAAAATAGAAATGAACTGACTGGGACTTGGAGCAAAGGTCACCCTTGTTATGCTGCAGCAAAGAACTTAGCTCCATTGTGTCCATGCCCTAGGGCTTTGTGGAAGGCCAAACTTAAGAGTAATAACCTATAGTACCTGGTGGAAGAAATTTCCAAGCAGCAAAGTCTTCAAGAAGTGCAATGGCTACTTCTAACAGCTTACAATTAGATACCGCAGCAAAAAAAAAAAAAAAAAAAAAATGACCTAAAGGTGGAATTTTTAATTAAGAGGGGAGCAGAGTGTAAACATTTGGAAAATGCACAGACTGGTAGAGAATGAAAGAGGATTTCAGGAGAAAAATCCAAGGATGCAGCTGAGACCTTTTGCTAGAGATTGGCATGGCTAAAATAGAGCCACGTGCTAATAGTCAAGACAATGGACTAAAAAAAGCCCTGAAAGCTTTTCAGAAATCTTTGAGGCAGCCCCTCCCATCATAGGTACAGAGGCCTAGGAAGACAGAATGGTTTCAGGGGACAGGCCCAGGGTGTCACTTCCCTGTACCACCTCAGAATGTTGTGTACCACCTTGGGATGCTGCTCCTTGCATCCTAGCTGATCCAGCTCCAGCCACAGCTCAAAAGGCCCCAACTATTGCTTGGGCCACCACACTGGAGAGCTCAAGTAGTAAGTCTTAGTGATGTTAAGTGGTGTTAAGTCTATAGGCTTGCAAAATGCAAGAATGGTGAAAATGTGGCAGTTTCCACCTAGATTTCAGAGGATATATCAGAAAGTCTGTGTGCCTAGGCAGAAACGTGACATGGGTGCTTTGCATGTAGCCTGTAGAACCATGAGCCAAATAAACCTCTTTGTTTAAAAAATAAAAGCTTGATTAAGTTTGTGTACTATTTCTGACACCAGTATTAAATTTTTACTTTTACTTTTTAAAGCCCAAAATCGTATCCAACTTGGTGGATTAAAAAAAATTCTAAAAAACTGATGCAGTCTATTTCTAATTCATTATTTTTAAGCTGTAGTATTATTTTCAGGTGAACCTTTCTCTGCTCTGATTAAATAATGCTCCATTTGCTACCATTTCATTTCTTCCAATTTGAAATTTAGAGCATGATGTTCAAGACGCATGGTGCTGTCTGTAATTTTGTAAGCTCTTCTTCCCCCTTTCAGTGCTTTTGTGCTTGCAACTCTCTCTGCCTGCCTTATTTCATAACAGCTACTCATCTCTAAGAATCCAGATTACAAGACACCCTGTTTAAGATTCTTTACCTCTCTGTTCAAGTGTCTTCTTTGTGTGCTTCACAACTCCCTTTTACTCATCTCTATCACAACATTTATGACAATGTATTGTAATGTCTATGTGCTTACCTGTGTCCTTCACTGCGACCTCTTACAAAACTCCAGAAGGGTCTCTGATTTCTGGAAGCCCAGCACCTAGTAAAAGGCCCTGCACAGACCAGATATTCAACAAATATTTGTTGAATCAATAATGGCCAATCTACGTTCTTAAGAATAATTTCACTAATAAGAAATAGAGAACTCTCCAAATTTCATATATTAATGAGATGTGAAGCCAGCTGGGCTTCTGGGCCAGATGGGGACTTGGAGAACTTTTCTGTCTAGCCAAAGGATTGTAAATGCACCAATCAGCACTCTGTGTCTAGCTAAAGATTTGTAAATGCACCAATCAGCACTCTGTCAAAATGGACCAATTAGCACTCCGTAAAATGGACCAATCCGCACTCTGTAAAATGAGCCAATCAGCTCTCTGTAAAATGGACCAATGAGCAGGATGTGGGTGGGGCCAAATAAGGGAATAAAAGCAGGCCACCCAAGCCAGCAGCAGCAACCCACTCATGTCCCCTTCCACGCTATGGAAGCTTTGTTCTTTCGCTCTTTGCAATAAATCTTGCTGCACCACCCAATAAATCTTGGGTCTGCACTACCTTTATGAGCCGTAACACTCACTGTGAAGGTCTGCAGCTTCACTCCTGAAGCCAGTGAGACCATGAACCCACCGGGAGGAATGAACAACTCTGGATGTGCCACCTTTAAGAGCTGTAAAACACTCACTGTGAAAGTCTGAAGCTTCACTCCTGAAGTCAGGGAGACCATGAACCCACCAGAAAGAAGAAACTCCAGACATGTCCGAACATCAGAAAGAACACACTCCAGACACACCATCTTTAAGAACTGTACCACTCACCACGAGGGTCCATGGCTTCATTCTTGAAGTCAGTGAGGCCGAGAACCCACCAATTCTGGACACATTTTCATGACCCCAAAGGGACCGTCACCTATTGCCAAGTGGTAAGACTATTGCCTATCACCAAGCAGTGAGTACCGTGGGACCCCTTTCACTTGCTATTCTGTCCTATTTTTCCTTAGAATTCGGGGGCTAAATACCGGGCACCTGTTAGCCAGTTAAAAGTGACTAGCATGGCAGCCGGATAAAGACATGGGTGTCAGGCTTTCTGGGAAAGGGCTCTCTAACAACCCCTGACTCTTCGGAGTTGGGAGCATTGGTTTGCCTGGAACCAGCTTCCACTTTTCCTGTACTTCTGGGCTGGGCCAAGGGTCAACAGAGAGTAAAGCCATTCAGCTCCAGGTTCCCAACAACAAGTTGGTCGACCTTGCGGCCATGAGCAGAACTCTCAAAGGCATGTCGCCCAAGTGAGACTCACGCATCTATTCTACCTACTCTGACCCTTGCCTCCTGGGTCCTGATGCCTGCCAGACAAACTTCCTCTAGCCTCTCTTCTCCGAGGCTAGTCCCACTTCTAAGGATCACTCCCTGTCTCTGGTGCCTTTCTAGTTTCTCCTATAAGAATGATTTCTATTATAAACTTCAGGTCTCTGTTACCTTCTTTTGGCACATGGGTTCACCAATCAGAAATAAATAATTTTTGCCCAAAGCCCCATCATGGTGGGGACTATCTGGAATTTTAGGATAACTCCTCAGACTAGCAGGCCTAGCAAAAGCTATTCCTGAAGCTGGGATATGAGGAGCCTCAGAAATTGTATCCTTCCTATTCATATAAGTGAGGACAAAAGGTGTCACTCTTCCAACCCTGGAGATCCCTTCCCTCCCTCAAGGTATGGCCCTCCACTTTTTTGGGGCATAACATCTTTATAAGACACAGGTAAGGTCCCAATACTAACAGGAGAATGCTTAGGACTCTAACATGTTTTCGAGAATGCGTTGGTAAGGGGCACTAAATCCAATTTTTCTCGGTCCTCTTTGTGGTCTAGGAGGACAGGCAAGGGTACAGGTTTTTGAGAATGCATCAGTAAGGGCCACTAAATCTGACCTTCCTTGGTCCTCCTTGTGGTCTGGGAGGAAAACTAGTGTTTCTGCTGGTGTGTCGGTGAGCACAACTATTCCAATCAGCAGGGTCCTGGAACCATTGCAGGTTCTTGGGTGGGGGAGAAACAAAACAAAAAAAACCACAGGCAGTTTTGTCTTTCAGATGAGAAACACTCAGGCATCAACAGGCTCACCCTTGAAATGCATCCTAAGCCATTGGGACCAATTTGACCCACAAACCCTGAAAAAGAGACAGCTCATTTTTTTCTGCACTATGGCCTGGCCCCAATATTATCTCTCTGACAGGGAAAAATGGCCAACTGAGGAAGAATAAATTACAATACTATCCTGCCACTTGACCTTTTCTGTAAGAGGGAAGGCAAATGGAATGAAATACCTTATGTCCAAGCTTTCTTTTCATTGAAGGAGAATACACAAATAATGCAAAGCTTGCAATTTACATCCCACAGGAGGACCTCTCAGCTTACCCCCATATCCTAGCCTCCCTATAGCTCCCCTTCCTATTAATGATAAGCCTCCTCTAATCTCCCCTGCCCAGAAGGAAGTAAGCAAAGAAATCTCCAAAGGCCCACAAAAACACCTGGGCTATCGGTTATGTCCCCTTCAAGCTGTAGGGGGAGAGGAATTTGGCCCAATCTGGGTACACATCCCTTTCTCCCTGTCTGATTTAAAGCAGATCAAGGCAGACCTGGGGAAATTTTCAGATGATCCTGATAGGTACATAGATGTCCTAAAGGGTCTAGGGCAAACCTTCAACCTCACTTGGAGAGATGTCATGCTACTGTTAGATCAAACCATGGCCTTTAATGAAAAGAATGTGGCTTTAGCTGCAGCCCAAGAGTTTGGAGATACCTGGCATCTTAGTCAAGTAAATGATAGAATGACAGCCAAAGAAAGGGACAAATTCCCTACCAGTCAGCAAGCCATCCCCAGTATGGATCCCCACTGGGACCTTGACTCAGATCATGGGGACTGTAGTTGTAAACATCTGTTGATTTGCATTCTAGAAGGACTAATGAGAATTAGGGAAAAGCCCATGAATTATTCAATGATGTCCACCATAACTCAGGCAAAGGAAGAAAATCCTTCTACCTTCCTCGAGCGGCTATGGGAGGCCTTAAGGAAATATACTTCCCTGTGACCCAACTCCCTCAAGGGGCAAGTGCCAGCTCATGTCATCACCCTCCCTGAGTCCTGGGTTTGCTTAACCATTGAGGGCCAGGAAATTGACTTCCTCCTGGACAATGGCATGGCCTTCTCAGTGTTAATCTCCTGTCCTGGACTACTGTCCTCAAGATCCGTTACCATCCAAGGAATCCTGGGACAGCCTGTAACCAGGTATTTCTCCCACCTCCTCAGTTGTAATTGGGAGACTTTTCTCTTTTCACATGCCTTTCTTGTTATGCCTGAAAGTCCCACACCCTTATTAGGTAAGGATATATTGGCCAAAGCTGAAGCTATTATCTACATGAATATGGGGAACAAGTTACCCATTTGTTGTCCCCTACTTGAAGAGGGAATCAACCCTGAAGTCTGGGAATTGGAAGGACAATTTGGAAGGGCAAAAAAATGCCTGCCCAGTCCAAATCTGGCTAAAAGACACTATCGCTTTTCCTTATCAAAGGCAATATCCCTTAAGGCCTAAAGCTCATAAAGGATTGCAGGATACTTTAAACATTTAAAAGCTCAAGGCTTAGTAAGGAAATGCAGCAGTCCCTGCAACACCCCAATTCTAGGAGTACAAAAACTGAGCGGTCAGTGGAGACTAGTGCAAGATCTTAGACTCATCAATGAGGCAGTAATTCCTCTAAATCCAGTTGTACCCAACCCCTATACCCTGCTCTGTCAAATACCAGAGAAAGTAGAATGGTTCATGGTTCTGGACCTCAAGGATGCCTTCTTCTGTATTCCCCTGCACTCTGACTCCCAGTTTCTCTTTGCCTTTGAGGATCCCACAGACCGCATGCCCCAACTTACATGGATGGTCTTACCCCAAGGGTTTAGGGATAGCCCTCACCTGTTTGGTCAGGCACTGGCCCAGGATCTAGGCCACTTCTCAAGTCCAGGCACTCTGGTCCTTCAGTATGTGGATGATTTACTTTTGGCTACCAGTTCAGAAGCCTCATGCCAGCAGGCTACTCTAGATTTCTTGAACTTTCTAGCTAATCAAGGGTACAAGGTGTCTAGGTTGAAGGCCCAGCTTGGCCTATAGCAGGTCAAATATCTAGGCCTAATATTAGCCAGAGGGACCAGGGCCCTCAGCAAGGAACGAATACAGCCTATACTGGCTTATCCTCACCCTAAGATATTAAAACAGTTGCAGGGGATCCTTGGAATCACCGGCTTTTGCCGACTATGGATCCCTGGATACAGCAAGAGAGTCAGGCCCCTCTATATTTGAATCAAGGAAACCCAGAGGGCAAATACTCATCTAGTAGAATGGGAACCAGAGGCGGAAACAGCCTTCAAAACATTAAAGCAGGCCCTAGTACAAGCTCCAGCTTTAAGCCTTCCGACAGGACAAAACTTCTCTGTATACATCACAGAGAGAGCAGGGATAGCTCTTGGAGTCCTTACACAGACTCGTGGGACAACCCCACAATCAGTGGCATACCTAAGTAAGTAAATTGATGTAGTAGCAAAAGGCTGGCCTCACTGTTTAAGGGTAGTTGCAGCAGTGGCCGTCTTAGTGTCAGAGGCTATCAAAATAATACAAGGAAAGGATCTCACTGTCTGGACTACTCTATAAATGGCTTACTAGCTGCCAAAGGAAGTTTATGGCTATCAGACAACCACCTGCTTGGATACCAGGTGCTACTCCTTGAGGGACCGGTGCTTCAAATACACACATGTGTGGCCCTCAGCCCTGCCACTTTTCTCCCAGAGGATGGGGAACCAATCGAGCATGACTGCCAATAAATTATAGTCCAGACTTATGCCGCCCAAGATGATCTCTTAGAAGTCCCCTTAGCTAATCCTGACCTTAATCCTGACCTTTCACCAATGGAAATTCATTTGTGAAACATGGGATACAAAGGGCAGGTTATGCCATAGTTAGTGATGTAACCATACTTGAAAGTAAGCTTCTTCCCCCAGGGACCAGTGCCCAGTTAGCAGAACTAGTGGCACTTAGCTGAGCCTTAGAACTGGGAAATGGAAGAAGAATAAATGTGTATACAGATAGCAAGTATGCTTATCTAATCCTACATGCCCATGCTGCAATATGGAAAGAAAGGGAGTTCCTAACCTCTGGGGAACCCCCATTGAGTATCACAAGGAAACCATGGAGTTATTGCATGCAATGCAAAAACCCAAGGAGGTGGCAGTCTTACACTGCTGAAGCCATCAAAAGGAGAGCGAGAGGGGAGAACAGCAGCATAAGTGGCTGGCAGAGGCAGGGAAAGATCAGCAGAAAGGAAAGAGAGAAAGAGACAGAAAGTCAGAGAAAGAGAGAGAGAGGAAGAAACAGAGACAAAGAGAAGGAGACAGAGGAAGAGACAGAGAGACAGAAAGTCAGAAGGAAAGAGAGGAAGAGAAAAAAGGGGAGTCAGAGAGAAAGTCAGAGAGAAAGAGAGAGACAGACAAACAAGGAGTCAAAGAAAGAGAGAAAGAGAAGCAGTAAAGAAAAAAGTGTATCCTATTCCTTTAAAAGTCAGGGTAAATTTCTGTCTACCTCGCCAAGGCATATTCTTCTTACATGGAATCTCAACCGATATCTGTCTCTCAGACAGTTTACAAGAAATAATGAGATCTATCCTTACTCTACAATCCCAAATAGATTCTTTGGCAGCAGCAACTATCCAAAACCGCCTAGGCCTAGACTTCCTCACAGCTGAGAAAGGAGGACTCTGCACCTTCTTAGGGGAAGAGTGTTGTTTTTACACTGACCAGTCAGGGATACTATGAGACGCTGCCCGGCATTTACAGGAAAAGGCTTCTGAAATCAGACAACGCCTTTCAAACTCTTATACCAACCTCTGGAGTTGGGCAACATGGCTTCTCCCCTTTCTAGGTCCCGTGGCAGCCATGTTACTGTTACTCACCTTTGGGCCTTGTATCTTTAACCTTCTTGTTAAATTCATTTCCTCTAGAATCAAGGCCATCAAGCTACAGATGGTCTTACAAATGGAACCCCAAATGAGTTCAACTAACAACTTCTACCGAGGACCCCTGGACCAACCCACGTGCCCTTCCACTGGCTTAAAGAGTTGCCCTCTGGAGGACATTACTACTGCAGGGCCCCTTCTTTGCCCTTATCCAGCAGGAAGTAGTTAAGTGGTCATTGGCCAAATTCCCAACAGCAGTTGGGTTGTCCTGTTTAGAGGGGTGACTGAGACATGAAGCTGGCTGAGCTTCTGGGTCAGGTGGGGACTTGGAGAACTTTTCTGTCTAGCTAAAGAATTGTAAATGCACCAATCAGCACTCTGTGTCTAGCTAAAGGTTTGTAAACACTCCAATCAGCACTCTGTCAAAACGAACCAATCAGCACTCTGTAAAATGGACCAATCAACTCTCTGTAAAATGTACCAATCAGCAGGATGAGGGTGGGGCTAAATAAGGGAATAAAAGTAAGCCACCCAAGCCAGCAGCAGCAACCCGCTGGGGTCCCCTTCCATGCTGTGGAAGCGTTGTTCTTTCACTCTTCACAATAACTCTTGCTGCTGCTCACTCTTTGGGTCCGTTCCACCTTTATGAGCTGTAACACTCACTGCGAAGGTCTGCAGCTTCACTCCTGAAGCCAGCGAGACCATGAACCCACCAGGAGGAATGAACAACTCCAGACGTGCCACCTTGAAGAGTTGTAACACTCACTGCAAAGGTCTGCAGCTTCACTCCTGAAGTCAGCCCGAGACCACAAACCCACCAGAAGGAATAAACTCCAGACACGTCCAAACATCAGAAGGAACAAACTCCACACACGCCATCTTTAAGAACTGTACCACTCATCACGAGGGTCCGTGGCTTCATTCTTGAAGTCAGTGAGACTAAGAACCCACCAATTCCTGTCACATTAATAGGACACATAACTTTGAAATATGAAATAGAGATTTATAAGCCTAGAGGTTGAATGGATTAGCTTGAAATTTATTTTTTTCTGTCATTGACATGGAACCATTTCTAAGAAAAATAGATACTTGAAGCTTATGGATAGGACAGGAATATAAAAATTTATATTTCTAGCTTCTGGAGTATGTATTAGATTTTAAAGCTGAGAGGCTTTAGTGCAACGGGAAGAGTGCCACACTCTTCAGGTAAATGTAGCTTGAAGATGTGGCCCCTGGGGCATAGTCCTTGCAAAAAAAGATGCCTCTTTCACATCTTGAAAAGACATTCTAAATATTCAGAGAGGCCAAAGATGTGAAAAGAACAGAAACAAAATAGATTATCTGTGCCACCATCATATCTACTGCTCTTAGTAACTTGAAACACAAATTTTGTCTAACTACAAAACACATAGCTGAGCAAGTCTTGCTTTTCTTTTTCTGACTTTCTTTAAAATTGTGTTAGAAGAAAACATCTCTTACTATGTAACAGAATGTCCTCTAATGGAGCCTGGTGGAAAAACGAAACCTGGTGGAAAGATGCTGAAGAATATAAATAGTATTTATTTGACTTAGAAAAATTAATATATGGTCCCCAATAAGTTTAAAAGTAATAGAGCATAAATAGGAGAAGAAAATGTCAGTGCCTTCTTTATTTTGCAAGTGAGGATACATATTAAGTATGTATTGAGATCTCAAAAAACTTGATTTCCTGAGAACATCAGAAATGTAAACAAATAATGTAAAGCATGATGAAAATACATGATGTAATTGATTGAAAATAAATCAGTGTTGTAATTTGCTAACATTGCACTTGTATTTTATAGGGAAAATATCTCTTTATCCATGATGGCAATCATCAAATGTCCTTACTCATTAATGATAAAGTATATATTGGCGTATGTATACATGGAAAGCAGGCTCTTGATGAATTGCATGTTCAATATATTGAAAGTAGATAAATACAGTGATTTAAAAAAATGAAAAAATTTTCTAGATTACCAAACTGTAAGTTCTAAGGAACACTGAGAAGTCATTATATAACCCCTGCCTTTGGATTGGATGATACTTAAAATAGTCTTACAGAGTGACAATCCTGTTATAGTTCCACAATTACTGAAGCAGATATCATAATTCCCATCAATCAGAAAATCCTCCATGTTCTAATGAGTTATGAACAGGACATGTGCATAAAGCCATTTCTTCTTAAAGATAATCATATAATTTCTGTCCCAAAGTAAAATAATATTAATGAATAATGATAATACAATTTTATTTCTTATAAAATTTTTCCATATACTTGTTAGGTTTATTTTATCCTCATAAAAGCCCAGCATGGCAATTACACTTTCCTTGTTTTACATTTGGAATGCCCAACAGTTGGTGAGGGCTTAAGTCATTGGCTTTGGAGACAAAGGGAGGATAGGTTAATCACATACTTGCCCATGAGAAATAATAAGGAGTCTTCTATTCCAGTTGTGGAATGGTGTTTGGCAACACTGGTTCCTAATTCTCCTAGGATGAATTATTTTAAGATAGAAAATATAATTTTTGTTTTTAAGTAGGTAGCCCGTTATGTAACTGACATTATCCTAGGTATTTTACATGTTACGCTATTCCTTTACGCAGTGATCCTTCCCTGTGATTAAAGCAAGTTGATATAATTTCAATAATACTTGTGCACCTGAAATCGCAAATGAGAGGTTAGATACAGCCAATGCCTAAAACACATAGGTTTGAGGCATAGATAATTTGATGAACAAAAGCTTTTAAAGAGATTGCAAATCCAGTGGCTTGCAGCTGTGCACAAGTTTACTATGAGACTATGTAAAAACACCAAAATAATTCATTTCCACAATGTTCTCTTTATCTGAATTTGCTTTCATGTTTCAGAGAAGGCAATTAACACAGAGATACAGAAATTGCCTGTGAGTTGGCAGCTATCCTATCCTTTGAGCCAATTAATTGTTGCTGTTTTCTTTAAGGCATTTGATTAAGATTCATCCTTCACAAACCTCAAGTTGGAACAGCCACTTTATTTGTATCCAAGTCATCCATTCAAAGAGGCACTTGAGATGGAGAGGATTTATTCTTTATTTTTTTATTGTTAGTTAACATGAATTGGTGTCATTGATGTTTAGCTCAAAAGAGATATTTTTTCTTAAATAAAGAAATGTTATTTTATCACTTTAAATCATGAGTAGGTTTCATTCATAAAATTTTACTACTTAAAAAATAAAAGAAAACCTTAAAGTCCAATGGATAATAAGCCTCCTAAAGTAGGGGCTGAACTATGAGGGAAAACCAGTAATTGTTTTAATTTGCTGATTAAGCAAAGGCAGTGTATTCCAGTGGGAAAAAGTTAATTGTTGAGCAATTTTTTAAAAATTTTTGAGATAAACCACCACAACTATGGCAATCTCTGAAACTGACAAAATTTATATAATTTTACAATAGAAATAATTTCAGAATCCTTTTAGTGCAACTCCTCCCAAATATAGTATATAAACTGAGGGAGCTAGTGTGTTTAGTAAAACATCATAGGGTATATGAATTTTCCAAAAGAAATTTTAAACTATTTTCATTTTGTTGATCACATCTAGTGTAATATAAGCATATTGGGGACTATGAGAGGGCCTTCTATAAAGATCCCTAGTTTCAGTGGTCATATTTGCATTTCTGTTTTTGATAGTATGCTCAGCCAAGAAATCTTAAATGATATCACAGTGCATGCCATTAATAAATGTAGCATGGAAGATTAAACTGATAAAATTAGTAGGAGCACTGAATCTTCATGAGGCACACAAAACAGATATACCACACTAAGCCCATATTTCCAATGCAAACAGGTACCTTGCATGAATTTGGTTTTGCACGTTATTAACTTGCAACAATTAATTAGCAGTTAAGTATGGAGATGGAAGATACCTCTGACGAAAAATACTTCTGAGTTCAGTAAAATATCAGCTAGATACCATTTAATACATATTTCAATAAATCTACAATGCTTATTACCAAGTAACAGAGAAAGATTTAAAATATTATCAAGTGAAAACTTACTATTACTGCCATTAGAGAATTGTTTGCTAGCTGAGTTTTAGTTAAGAATGAGAGCTGATAGTCCTATACTAGCCAAAAAAAGCCTTGAAGTTGTTAATGACATTTTGTATATAACACTTAAACAATTCCAACAGTGTGCTCTGAATTTGTATAGTTGAAGATAAAATACAGTAACAGACTAAATACAGAAACAAGCCTTGGGCTGTATCTTTTTGTTTTTGAATTCAACATCAGTCATCTAGCTCCAGAAATAAAACAAATGTATCACATTAATGTTATAAATTTAAATTTTATTTTGGCATTGGTTAATTTAGTTGATAAGTTTGCTTTGCTTTTATAGTTTTATTAGAGCTAATCACATAACGAATCTACAAACAATTTTA
The DNA here is from genome assembly GCF_000001405.40 of Homo sapiens. Classification (NCBI taxonomy): domain Eukaryota; kingdom Metazoa; phylum Chordata; class Mammalia; order Primates; family Hominidae; genus Homo; species Homo sapiens. The sequence goes on from NC_000005.10 coordinate 42,121,387, forward strand.
AATGGAGTATCTTTCATTAATATTAAAATACAAGTGATTTTGGTCAACAGCAAGAGTCTGGAAGAAATGTTTTCCTTTTAAAGGCATCTGTAGCTGAGAAAGGCTTGTCTACCAACGATTCATTTGCTCCCTGTTGTAGAAGGGCTTTCCTACAAACAGAAACATAAAACTGGATTCTTGTGCAAATGATTTAGTGAGGGAGTGATTTCAGGAGAGGGGGAGTGAAAAGAGAATGATGGAGCGGGGAAGGGGGAGGTAAGCAAGGATGTGGTCTCAGCTGGAGACAAGCTGGAACCAATCTGGTCCACCAGAAGCTATGGAACATGAATTCCACCATAGTTTTCCCAATGTCAGCAGGGGTTGTAGGCTGGGGTGATTATAGAGGTTCCCATTAAAAGAAGGGAAATGACTGTGAGCCTCTTACAGCTGCTAAGGCATGGGAACTGGGGATAGGTGTTCCCGTTTAGTATGGTGAATCTGGGCAGAGCAACAATAAGGCCTCTTGTAGTATCCACCTTACAATTCTCAGATCCACTTGCCTCTCAAATTGTTAACTCCATCTAGGCACAGATTTTCCAGGTTTATGAAAGGTAAATTTTCTGGGAAAACTTACAAGGAGATTATTTAGATAAACTACATCTCTTGCTGCAGCAATTGACTGGTTCTCAGATAGTCATCATCTATCTCCTCTACCTCCCGTTCTCGACTGCCCTCTCCCTTGGCTAGCACCGCTGCTGGACTAATTGGTTTCCCTTATGGCATCTGAGGCTCTGGTTATCATGCCTTTACCAGTTTATGGTTACTAGAGCTGCTCATTATAGTAAAATTGGTCATGGAACTACAAAGAATAGTCCAGCGAATTACCTTGCTTGCATTAGATGGCAGTAGCTCTACCTCTTCCTACTGAGCAGGGTCAATTGAGACCCCGTGCCAGTTGAGAAACTATTTTTTGTCTGATGGCCTACTGTTTTGAGGAGCCCAAAGTAATAAGGAATCAGCCAGAGCTTTATTGGGATTTTCCATGTCTCCTGATAGAATAATCCACTCTTACAAAACCAGGACAAGCAGAGCCTGAAAGCAGGAGCAAGGAAACAAAAATTTCCTGAGTGGGTGTCTGGGAGGAATGATGAGTGGAACCACTCTTACTTTCACCCTTTGGATTTCTTGCATTCTACTTACTGTAGATAGCACTACTTAGTGTCTTTGGTTTAGGGTAAATACTTCATCCTGAAGGATAAGGCATATACTGCATCCTTGCAAAGTGACTTCTTTGAGATGGAGCTTCAATTAAGCACTAAAGACTTCCCACTACCCTATCAAGGCATAAGCTGCTGAGTGATTTAATATATGGTGGGATCAATAAATAGATCCCATGGCTATATGCTGCCACTGAACATCTTTTGCCATAAATTTTATCTTTATGGCAATGCTATTTGTGTGAAATCATAGATCAGAAACTCTGAGCCCTTGGAGTGGTGATAGTTGGGCAGTGTGGTCAGGGACTGGCAGTTGATTGACAGTCTGGATGAAGTATTGCTCCTTGCAATGAAGAAGAGGTTCTGGGTAATCAACTTGCCACCAAATGACTTATGGGTCTCTTTGAAGAATGATACTGTGTTCTCACTGTTGCTATCTGTTGCTAGCATATTGGACATTCAATGGTGACAGCAGTTGGTCAGCTGTCATGAGAGGGAACCCATGCTGTTTGGGTCCTTACATGGCTTTTACCTCAACTAGAATTGCTTCTCTGTTCTAGAGCCCATTGCACAAGCAGAGTTGGCAAGAACAGATGCTGGCTACCATCTACTGGCCAAGTCATTTTGTCAACTTTATAATTTAGTTTCTCTTCCATGATGAATTCCCTCTTGTGAGCAATGACTTATGACACAAAGATCATTATGTATTGTATTCACTTTCACAGTTCCATCCCAATGCTTCTTTCTCAGACGTCCTTGTCCCTAACTTAATATTTTTACTTTCAGGTCTCTAACCAACCATACAAACTATTTATAATGTTCATGAGTCAATTTTTACCCTTACTGTAAAATACTTTGTCTTCTCAAAGTAAATGACAAGATGCACTGCTTGAGTTCCTTCCAGTGGAAGATTTTTCACTCATCACTGTCTTCAGCGCCATCCCTGGGTGGAATGTGGCATAATAGCAGTTCATTTTCAGCTTGTACCCACATACCAAGACAACCCACCTTTGAACCAACCTCAGGCTTTTTTTCTGTACTACCAGATCTAAATAAAATCTGTTTGGGGTCCTTTTTTCTTTTATTCTGGTAGGTATGGAAAAGAATGCTTTCTCAGATCAGCGGGCATATACTACATAATAAGAATTTGTGTTAATGCGGTCTGGTAAATATATCACAACTGGCATAGCAACTGCAGTTGGGGCTACAGTTGGTTAAACTCCAGTAGTCCTTTGTTACGTTTTGATCTATAGAATTTTTGCAGGAACTACACTGGTGAAGTAAGTGACGGAAATGATGGGGATCATCACCCCTGCATGTTGGCCTTTCCCACTGTATTAGTTCACTCTCGCATTGTTTTAAAGAAATATCTGAGACTGAGTAATTTATAAAGAAATGAATTTTAATTGGCTCAAGGTTCTGAAGGATGTACAGGAAGCATGAGGCTGGCATCTGCTCAGCTTCTAGGGAGGCCTCAGGAAACTTGCAATTATGTTGGAAGGTAAAGAGTGACGAGGCATGTCACATGGCCAGAGCAGGAAAAAAAGCCGGGGGAGGTGCTAAAAGTGAAGGTGAAGGTAGACCAGCTGAGACTGGATCCATGATTAGCTTTTTCCCCTCCCCACCACCCTTTTTGCTTCACTTTTAAACAACCAGATCTCATGAGACCTCTCTCACCATCACGAGGACAACACCAATGAGATAGTGCTAAACCATTCATGAGAAATCTGCCCCCATTATCAAATCACCTCCCACCAGGCCCCCCTCCAACATTGGGAATTACATTTCAACATGAGATTTAGGTAGGGATACACATCAAAACTATGTCACCCATGATAAATGCGATTACTCTATAGGTTATGGCACCAATACGGGAATTCTGCCAATGGTTAAGGGTATTTATGCTGATTATATGTTCAGAAACCAGAAAAATAACAGCTGGGTAGAAATATGAAATGGACCTGAACAAGGGCTCTATTGATTATCACAGAATTACCTGAGACTGGGTAATTTATAAAGAAAAGAAGTTGAATTGATGTTACAGTTCCACAGGCTATATGGAAAGCATGGCTGGGAGGCCTCAGAAAAATTACAATCATGGCAGAAGGCAAAGGGGAAACAAGCACATCTTACCACGGCAGAGCAGGAGAGAGAGAACCAAGAGGGAAGTGCTACACACTTTTAAACAACCATATCTCATGAGAACTCACTCACTATCATGGGAACAGCAAGGGGGAAATCCACCTCCATCATCCAATCACCTCCCACAAAGTCCCTCCCCCAATATTGGGAATTACAATTCAACATGAAATTTGGGTACAGAGCCAAACCATATCACAGAGTAACATATGTTCTTACTACAGTGGGGGCCATAGTAGTTCCTTGGGCCTTCTGGTTTCAATGTCAAAGTAAATGCTGTATTCAACAGATTTCTAAAGATCTTAGTATTTGCCTTTCCTAGTACAACTATTCAAGTAAATGATCTTAGGTACCTTTAAATCTCTGCCTTGTCACATAATGTGGAAATTTCATCCTACTTATGGGTCTTGTGGTCACTAGGAAAGGTGGGAGCAGATGTTGAGAAGGGCAAGCGTTGTCTTATTAGGCACATACCTCAGGTAAAGTCTCTGGAATGTCTTCAAACAAGATGAAGGCTTGTATTTTCTAGCAAAAATTAGTGCACACATTCTACGAGCCTAGAGGTTGCAAAAAATCTGAAGGTTCAAGATTTTGGTGCGTCTATCCAGGTATTCCTACCTCAGGTTTCAACTTCTTCCTTATCAGAGCCCAGAATGCTGCATAGGAGACTTGCATAGCCTGAGAATTCAGCCATCTTTGATATTCTGACATTCTTATAAGAAGTATTGTGCCTAGTGTTTAGCTCTGTCTTCCCTTGGCTGAAAGAGATGGAATTATCTTTAAATGCTGCCAAAGAGGCCTCCAATTCTCACATTTTATTTTATATAAATAATTAATTAATAGATCTGAGCTGGCCATTTCCTCTCTTTAATCTATCAGCGGCACTTAGCAGCATTGAAATGTTTCCAAAAGTCTTTATAGCTACTATTTCCTCAGTATATCTCAAAAGCCAGATACACCCTTAGGTGAATGCTATTGTACCTGCATTCCACTCCAATTCACCACAGGTGGAAGCCTTAGTGATTGGATCACTGCAGATGCCAGGGTCTGGCAATTCTCCACCTGCCATTGAGGCTAGGGTGTTAATTACTATACAGCTGTCAATGATCTTATCCCCTGATATGGTTTGGCTGTGTCCCCACCCAAATCTCATCTTGAATTACAGCTCTTACAATTCTCACACGTTGTGGTGGAGGGTTGGGGGGAGGGTGGTGGGGAACCCCAGTGGGAGGTAATTGCATCACGGGGTGAGTTTTTCCTGTGCTGTTCTCTTGATAGTAAATAAGTCTCAAGAGATCTGATGGTTTCATGAGGAGGAGTTTCCCTGCACAAGCTGTCTCTTTGCCTGCCGTCATCCATGTAAGATGTGACTTGCTCTTCCTTGCATTCTGCCATGATTGTGAGGCCTCCCCAGCCATGTGGAACTGTGAGTCTGTTAAACCTCTTTCCTGTATAATTACCCAGTCTCAGGTATATCTTTATTAGCAGCGTGAGAACAGACTAATACACCCCCAGAAGCGCATCCTTAAAGTAAGATTCCTAGGACCAATTACGACACACTCTTTTAGGTTGGGTTCTCCAGATTGAGTTTCCTAGAAGCAGAGCCTGAGGTAAAGATTTGTGTGCAAGTGATTTACTGATGGAGTACTTCCAGGAAAATCTGGAATGAGAAAAGCTGACAAGGGTAGGTGGGGAAAGGTAATCAGGGATCCAGTCTCAGCTGGAGTCTACCTTCAGCTTGATTCCACGGGGAACTTGAGCATGACTTTCACCATAGAGTTGGTCTCACTTTGAATCAAAGGGCCTGACTTCTGTATGCCAATGTCAGTCAGTCATTGTGTGTTGTCCCTGGGCAATGGGGAAAACCTGCCAGGCAAATCGTTTCCATTTAGCTGCAGGCAATTCTGAAAAAAGGGGGACAGCTATGAGTTCTTACAACCAACATCTACAGCAGCCAAGGGATGAGCTCACCAGCCTCATAGTGAAATTTAGGACAGCAACAGATTCCACCACTTATCCTTATTTTTTTTCTCCCTTTAGTTAGACAGAGATATGTGACTATTTCTAGCCTATGAAATGCACATATTTCCAATCTTTCTATTTCTGCTGCAATAATTAGGAATGTACACGTTACAGTTTTATCTATGAGGTGAAGGAACCTCCATCATCCTGGGTCCTTAAGTGACTATATGGAGCTCAGACCCATAGAAATCACCGATGGACATGAAACATAAATGAGAAACAAAATCTTGTGTTAATGTTCTAAAGTTTGTAAATAAATTTACTATTGCATTATAACTCAGCCTATAATGTCTAACACATGGTTTATCTATTAATTAGATTCAAGAAAGATTACCCTGGAACCACCTCTACTTTGCAGATGAGGAAACTGAGGCCCAAGGATGTCGTGTGATTAGCCTGAGAATGAACTAATGGAAGAACCAAGATTCAAATTCAGGCTCCCTAAATCTTCCTTACACCAGATCATAGGCACCAGGATTCCTCCATTACAATTTTTTAACCACTGTGTGGATGGCAGAAGGAGTTTCAGCATAATTAAAACTTATTAATTCACTTACTCAACAGATACATATCGAACACTTACTGTTTGTTAAATATAGTTGTAAGTGCTGGGGATATGGCCACCAATGAGACCAAGTCTCTAATCTCATGGAGCATACCTTTTAATAGATGCTGAATCAGAACCCATTGATTGGTGTTTTCCAAAATGAGTGGTAAACTTTACCTTTAATACACTGTAAAAGTGTTGTTCATATAAAATAAATTACCATTGTTGTTTTAAAGAAAAATCTCATGGATATGACTCAAACTCTCAAATCTATTTTAGATGCTATCACACTTAAAAATCGTGTTTCTATTTACTTTTCATTTATGCTTTCATCCCCAGTGAGGGCAAATTTTAAAGAAGATTTACCTTGATAAGTCATTGATATAAATTTAACCTAGAGCTTTACAGTATTTAATACATTTATCTGGTTTATGAATTTTTCTATCTCAAATTTACTTAAAATTTTTTTACCATTACAGATTATCAGTGGCTTTATTGGATATAACCTTGGCATTCTAGAGAATACATGTCACAAATTGACCGAAGGAAAAGATCTACCTGCTACAGTCTCATTTAAAAATTACCCAGGCTGCTCTTATATATGTGGCTGGAACTTCTTACACCTCATCATCATTATCATTCCCTTATCACTTCCATCAATAGGCAATTAACATTTACAGAACTCTAACTCAGCTACAAGCTGAGGAAAATGATATGAAAAGCAGATATAGTTACTGTTCTTATGGAGCTTACAGTCAAGTTATATAGATGGACATTAGTTGAATAGCCACCCACCTAATGGAAAATGTAACTGGAGTGATCGTTTTGGTGATGATTTTGAATATAATCATCACCATTGTTAGGAGAAGCAGTAAATATGAGAGGTGTTAAACACAATCTCTCATTTTCTGTAGAGTCTAAAGGTACATCTTTTCCAGATTTTAGCATTTCTGAAATAAAGATGCACCTTCCAGTTTATGTCATCTGGATGTTAAGATGTTTTAGAAATCATTTAGCCAACTTCATTTGATACGAGCAATGAATGAAAAATCTAAGTCTCATGCAGCCCTTATACTAGGATGAAATCATTTGTTTAGTTGGTAGTATGTTTTTTCTTTCTTAGTGGTATATAAGAGTACATTTTTAAACAATGGTATCTTAGACTATATACAGTAGATGGAGGCCACTGATATGTGCTCAGAATACATAGGTACACCTCACAGCCTCTGTTCTAAAAAAGACCTCAAACTTTAACTAAATTTAAAGACTATGTTGTAGGCATCATTGAGTGATCTTAGCTTAGAGCTCCAAAATAGAAAATGGATAATAGCACTGTTTCATGGGCTGAACATCGGGATTATTTGCACTTACATTTTCAGCCCATGTTCACTTGCTAAAAGTGTTCATCTCCATCTCCCTTCTGCCCAGTTTTCCTAACAATTTGCCTCTGTAACCAATAATGCTTTGAAACAGCAAATGCCACAGGCTGATAGACTTTATAATAGTGTCACAGTAGTTTCATATAATTAAGGGACACTGTTGGATTTTAAAAACCAAATGGGGGATGAGGGAAAGAAAGGACACTAGGTGAAAATATTGCTGTAAGAACATGAATCAATTTGGTCAGAAGCACATTTAGCCAAATATTTGATAATACCACATTCAGGAAGAACAGGTGAAGGCTTGATTCAGACTGGAAATGATACTGATCAAGAGGGGAAGAGTGTTTAGCCTGGTGGACAAGTTTACTTGTCAGATGTGAGGATGAGGAAAAATAATCTCTGTGTGTGTGTGTGTGTGTGTGTGTGTGTGTGTGTGTGTGTGTGTAGAGAGGGAGCATGTTTGAATGTTACATTATTTCAAGACTTTAAATTAGCTTTTATAACATAATAGATCTTCCATATAGTTTTTATTTAGTGTGTGAATGTTTAGAAAAGTCTGTGGCATCCTTCTGAAATCCAGATTATCCCTTACTGTTTACCAGTCTAGAAAGGATACCTGGTAATAGTTGCAAGCACAGCTAAGTTTTAGGGTCAGAGAAATCCTAAATGATTTCATTTTCTCACTTTCATGGAAGGTTTTACCCTATTACTTCATTATATCTTTTTAAAATCCTTTTGAATTCACATTATGAGAAAGCTTAATAGCTAAAGCTAGTTAGTGATAAGGTACTTCTGGCATATTAACAAACTTGAATCCAAGCCAAAATGGAATTTTCTATTGCTGTCTTTAACATTTGAATAATGTTTGAGAATATGTTCATGTATTTCTGTTAGGTTAATGTGGTGGTCTTCTGAACACACAGTTCCTGGTAGTAAGGTTTGTCTAACCCACCCACATTTGTTTAAAAAGTGCTAATTTAATGAATTTGATAAGCAATTGATTTCTGGGTGTGTTCCTATTTTGTCACAATTTAGGAAGCTTGAATGTATTTCTTAGCTTTTTAGAGAAGATTCTCCTTATGAAACAAACATCTTTCTTTGAGCTAAAAACAAAACAAAACCCATAGGTTATTAAAGGGAAGTAAAAAGTATTTGGTGTTTAAGAATTTCACTATTGTAAAAGAGAAACATTGTGATGTTAGCAATGCTTCCTCTGAGACTGAAAATTGTTCCTGAACTAGCATCACACTCTTCAACACAAATAAACAAAAATATAATGCAAACATATTAAGCCCAAATTCTTAAGGTCCAATCTGCCATTTCTCTAAGGCAAAGAAAAATTTCAGTGAAAAAGGGCAGCGGAACTACTAGAAGAACACGGTAAAAACTCAATTATTTTTCTTAATAATATGTTGTGTAACCTAATACATCTAAAGTATTTCAAGTTGTAATCAATATAAAAATTAGATATTATAAATAAAAATATATACACATACACATATTTAGTAATTCTTTTTTAAATTAAGTTTAGGCGCAAAGTTGTACAGCCAATCTCTAAATGGATTAAAGATGTAAACATAAAACCTGAAATTGTAAAACTCTTGAAAGAAAACATAGGGGTAAAGTTTTATGACATTGGCCTTGACAATGATTTCTTGGATATGGCACCAAAAGTGCAGAAAACCATAGCAAAAATAGACAAGAGGGGACTCATGAAACGATAAAGCCTCTGCATTACAAAGGAAACAGTCAATAGGTGAAAAGGCAATCTACAGAATAGGAGAAAATATTTCCAGCACTTTGGGAGGCTGAGGGGAGCGAATCACGAGGTCAGGAGTTCGAGACCAGCCTGGCCAACATGGTGAAACCCTGTCTCTACTACAAATACAAAACATTAGCTGGGCATGGTGGCAGGCACCTGTAGTCCCAGCTGCTTGGGAGGCTGAGGCAGGAGAATCACTTGAACCTGGGAGGCGAAGGTTGCAGTGAGCCGAGATTGCGCCACTGCACTCTAGCCCAGGTGACAGTGTGAGGCTCCATCTAAAAAAAAAAAAAAAAAAACAAAAAACAAAAAAAACTACATATTGTATTAGGAGTTAGGAGTTAGTATCCAAAATATATGAGGAACTACTATATCTCAATAGCAAAATATAAATAATCTGATTTTAAATTGGTCAAAACAAGTAAATAGACATTTCTTTGAAGGAGATGTCAGGTGTATGAAAAGATGTTCAACATCACTAATCATCAGAGAAAAGTAAATCACAACCACAATAAGATATCACCTCACACGTGTTAGGCTGGCAATGATCTAAAAACAAAAGATAACAAGTATTGACAAGGACATGGAAAAATTGGAATTCTTGTGTTCTATTGGTAGGAATGTAAATTGATAAAGTCATTATGGAAACAATATGAGGGTTCTTCAAAAAACTAAAAATGCATTGTGGTCAGTGCTGCCACAGGGAGAGAAGCATGCATTCTCCTGAGCCTGAGAGCTGCCTGCCTGAGACTGCTTATAGCAACCCCACCTCCACCATCAGCATGGCCTCAGTGCTCTAGCATGCATCCTGAGTTCAGGCTCTCCCTGCATACTGTGGCTGCTGCTACTGATGCTGTCACTGAGGGCTGAAACACTTAATCCCCTGAGCCTGAGAACTTCCTGCCTGCCTGGGAGAGTTGACAGCAACCCTACTTCCACCAGCAGTAGGGCCACTTTTCCCCTGTGTTAGCGCAAGCCCTGAAGACAGGCTGTACTCTAAAGGAACGCCTGAGACAGGGTAATTTCTAAAGAAATGGAGTTTATTTGGCTCATGGTTCTACAGGCTTAACAAGAAGCATGGTGCTGACATCTGCATCTGGTAAGAGCTTCAGACTGCTTCCAGGGGAGCAGGCAAAATAAGAGGGACAAAGAAAAGAGAGGAGGAAGCACCAGACTCCTTTCAACAACCAGTTCTTGCAGGAACTAAACGTAAGAATTTACTCACTCCCTCAAGAATGGCAACAAGCCCTTCATGAGTTCAACCCTATGACCCAAGCACCTCCCAGTAGGCCCCACCTCCAACATTGGGATGAAATTTCAGCAGGTGCTTTTGGGGGCAAATATCCAAGCCATAGCACCGGCTCTTCTCAAATATCACCAGGGATCACCCTGCCCCGCCTACTACAGCTTGCACTTGTGTGGATCACTGGGAGGTCTGACGCCAGGCATGCAAAGCCTGACGCTACCTCTCCCCTCCCCAGGCCTGAGCACACTGCTTGTGAAACTGGGAATCACTCTGCTTAGTCTACTGCCTCTGGCATTTGTGCACTCCTCTGAAAGACCTGAAGATGTGTCAATCCAGCCTGACTCCAACAGCACCACTGGAACTCCCTGCACATGCCACCCAGGTGCCTGAAGCCTGGCTCACCTAGCCCATTTTGGCCACTGTTAACATTAAGCAGTGCTACCTGGGAGCCCAAGGATTGTCCTGCCACCACTATTCCCATTGTCTCTACCACATGTACTGCCAGGGCTCTGAGGAGCTGCTCACTCATCTGGTCAACCACTGCCACTACTGGCACCTGAGCAAGCCATGTAGGGGACCATGAATCAGCCCACCTGGACCTGCTATCATGGGTGCCCACATATACTGCTTGGGGGTCCAAGGACAAGAACACTTAGCCCATCTACTACTGTCACCACCAGGGCCCAGGACTGGCTGATGAGGCATCCCTGTCTACGCCAAAGCCTCATCTCAGCCTCCACTTACAACTATAGTCAAGCCACTGAGGAAATCAGGCACCACTGATGCTGTTCACAGCTGAAGAAATCATATGGAGCCTACACTATTGCATGCACCCAGAATCAAAGTGAAAGTATCCTTCTGAATCATTGCCATAGACACATCTTCAGGAAAAAGTCTTCCCCTACAAAAGTTAGTCCAAAAATTGGAAGAGGCAACTGTTACACCAGATGTACAGATACCAATGTAAGGACACCAGAAACACAAAGCAAGGACAGCTCCATAGCATCACAACAATTCTTCAATAACAGATTCTAATTGGAAAAAAAAGTTATAAAATGCTGCAAAAATTTTGAAATAATGATAGTGAAGTTCAGTAAGATATAAGACAACAAAGATAAGCAATACAAAGAAATTAGAAAGGTAATTCAGGATATGAATGAGAAATTCACCAAAATGATGGGATATAATGAAAAAGAACCAAACATAAATCCTGGAACTGAAGAATTCAATATGTAAAGTAAAAATATATTTGAGGGCTTCTACAATAGACTAGATCAAGAAGAAGAAAGAATTTCATAACTTGAAGAGAAGTCTTTTGAAACAAGCCAGGCAGACAAAGAAAAAAGAAAAAAAAAGAACAAATTCTACATGACATATAAGACACCAGAAAGCAATCAAATATTTGAATTTTGGGTGTTCTAGTAAATGAAGAGAAGGCCAACAACATAGAAAACTTATTTAACAAAATAATAGCTGAAGTCTTCCCAAGTCAAGTGAGATTTACACATTTAATACAGGAAGCTCAGAGATCCCCAAATAGATACAACCCAAAAAGATCTTCTTGGCATATCACAGTCAAACTATCAAAAATCAAAGTCATAGAATTCTAAAAACAGAATGAGGAGAACATGTAGTTACATATAAGAAAACTCCTATCAGAATAAGAATAGATTTCTCAGCAGAAACTTTACAGACCAGAAGAGAGTGGGAAGATGTATTCAAAGTACTAAAAAACAAACAAACAAACAAACAAACAAACAAACTGGAAGGCAAGAATTCTATAGCCAGCAAAGTTATTCTACATAAGTTGAGAGAAATAAAATATTTCTCAGATAAGCAAAAACTGAAGGAATTCATCACTACCACTAGACCAACCCTATAAAAAATGCTTAAGGCAGCCCTAAACCTGGAAGTGAAAGGGTAATATTTTCCACCATGAAAACACACAAAAGAATAAAACTAATTGGTAAAGCAAACACACAAATGAGGAAGAGAAAGGACTCAAATGTTATTAAAATAGAAAACCACCAAACTGCAATGATAACAATAAAAGAGAGAGAGAGAAAAAAAACCCCAAAGGATATTAAAAAAAAATTCAGAAAACAATGAACGATATGACAGGAACTAATCCTCACATATAAACAACCTTGAATGTAAATAAGTTAAATTTTTCAATTAAAATATAGAATGTCTAAATGGATTTTCAAAAATGATTCACCTGTATGCTGCTTGAGAGAAACTCCCTTCACCTGTGAAGACATATATAGATTGAAAGTTAAGGAATAGAAAAAGATATTCCATGCAAATGGAAACCAAACGTGAGCAGGAGTTGTTATATTTATGTGAGGTACAACAGAGTCTAAGTCAACAAACAGTGAAAGGAGACAAAGAGGGTTGTTATATAATGGTAAAGTAATCTAAATAATCTATTTAGCAAGAGGATAGAACAATTCTAAATATACATGCGCCTACAACTGGAGAACCCAAATACACAAAGCAAATATTACTAGATTTAAAGAGAGAGAGATTAAACTGTAATACAATAACAGTTGAGGGCTTCAACACCCCCTCTCAGCACTAGATAGATAATTTAGACAGAAAACCAAAGAAACGTTGGATTAAAACTGGACTTTAGAACAGAGGACATTAACAGACATCTACAGAACACTTTATCCAACAGCTACAGAATATACATTCTTCTCATCAGCACGTGAAACATTCTGCAAGATAGACCACCACATTTTAGCTACAAAACAAGTTTCAAATTTGTAAAACATTTAAATTATATTTCCCAATGTTTAGCTCCCACTTATAAATGAGAATAAGCAGTATTTGGTTAGACACTGGGGACTAACTAGAGGGAGGAGATTGGGAGGAGCAAGGGCTGAAAAACTACCTATTGGGTACTATGCTCACTGCTTGGGTGATGGAATAATTTGTACCCCAAACTTCAATGTCATGTAATGTACCCATGTAACAAATCTTCACATGTATCCCCTGAATTTAAAATAAAAGTTGAAATTATTAAAAAAGAAAGAAGCAAATAAATTGAAATGTTTATTCCAGACCCATTTTTGGTGATAACTGAAGAATTATGAATAATTTGAAAGATTAGAAGAAAGTTGTCCATACTTCTTTTCTTATAAAATGTTGTTCTCTAAAAACTTATGCAAGTGAGTGTGGCAATAACCTCAACCAAATTAAACAAAAATCATGTTCGGACTTAAAGTGAGTATCTGAAGGGCCCTGATTATTCACTGGGAATCAAAAGAATTGTTTCTCTTGAAAAACAGTTGAAGTCAGGTCAAGTACTTTCTCAGACCACAATGGAATAAAAGTAGAAATTATTACCAAAGGGAAATATAGAAACTATTCAAAAGCATTAAAATTAAACATGCTCCTGAATGACCAATGGGTTAATGAAGAAGTTAGGATGAAAATTTTAAAAATTTGCTTGAAACAAACGAAAATGAAAGCACAATATAACAAAATTTGTGGAATACCACAGCAGAAACAGTGCTAAGAGGAAAGTTTATAGCAATAAACACCTACATTAAAAAGTAGAAAGATTTCAAATAAGCAATCTAATGGTACACCTCAAGGAACTAGAAAAGCAAGAACTAATCAAACTCAAAATTAGCAGCAGAAAAGAAAAGATACAAATCGAGTAGAACTGAATGAAATAGCATATAAGGAAACAATACAAAGGATCAGTGAAACAAAAAGTTGCTATTTTTAAAAAGATAAGCAAAACTGATAAACCACTGGCTAGATTAATCACGAAAAAATGCAACCCAAATAAAATCAGAAACGAAAAAGGTGACATTACAACTAATACTACAGAAATTCAAGAGATCATTATAGATTATTATGAACAACTATATGCCAACAAACTGGAAAACCCAGGGGAAATAAATAAATTCCTGGCCACATACAACCTACCTAGATTGAATCTTAAACAGAAATCCTGCACAGATTAGTAATGAGTAACGGGATTCAGTCAGGAATAAAGTCTCCCAACAAACAAAAGTCCAGGACTTGATAACTTTAGTGCCAAATTCTATCAAACTTTCAAAGAAGAATAAACATCAATTCTCATCAAGCTATTCCTAAAAAAATGAAGAGTAAGGAATTCTCCCTAACTTCTTCTATGAGCCAAACATTACCCTGATACCAAAAGCTGACAAAAAAATGCAACAACAACAAAGAAAACTAGGGTCGATATTCCTGATGATCATGGACTCAAAATTCTCAACAAAATACTAGCAAACTGAATCCAACAGCATGTCAAAAAACATACCCTCTGACCAAGTGGTATATATCCTGGAGATGCAAGGATGACTCAAAATGTGAAAATCAATAAACATGATACATCACATCAACAGAATGAAGGATAAAACCATATGATTATCTCAATAGACACAGACAAAGCATTTGATAAAATTCAACATTCCTTCATGATAAATCTCTCATCAAACTAGGCATAGAAAAAATGTACCTCAACATAGCAAAGGCCAAATATGACCAACACAGAGCTAACATTATACTGAATGAAGAAAAACTGAAAGTCTTTTCTCTAAGAACTGGAACAAGACAAGGATTCCACTTTTAACATGTCTATTCAACATAGTACTGGAAGTTCTAGCCTGAGTAATTAGGTAAGAGAAAGAGGTAAAAGGAATCTAAATTAAGTAAGTCAAATCATCTCTCTTTGCAGATGATAAGATTTTTTTTTTTTTTTTTGAGAGGGAGTCTTGCTCTGTCCCCCAGGCTGGAGTGCAGTGGCTCGATATAGGCTCACTGCAAGCTCCGCCTCCCGGGTTCACGCCGTTCTCCTGCCTCAGCCTACCGAGTAGCTGGAACTACAGGCATGTGCCACCATGCCCAGCTAATTTTTTGTATTTTCAGTAGAGACGGGGTTTCACCGTGTTAGCCAGGATGGTCTCAATCTCCTGACCTTATGATCCACCCGCCTCGGCCTTCCAAAGTGCTGGGATTACAGGTGTGAGCCACCGCGCCCGGCATGATAAGATCTTATATTTAGAGAATCCAAGAGTCCACCAAAAGCCTCTTAGAGCTGATAAGTAAATTCAGTAAAGCTGCTGGCTACAAAATCAACATGCAACAATAAGTAGTGTTTCTATACACCAAAAATGAACTAGCTGAAAAGAAAATCAAGAAAGCAGTTCCATTTATAATAGCTACAAAAAAACCCCCAAAATAACTAGGAATAAATTTAACCAGGACGTAAAAGGGCTGTACAAGAAAACTACAAAACACTGAAGAAAGAAATTGAAGAGGACACAAACAAGTGGAATAACATTCTGGGCTCACGGAGCAGAATTAAAATTATTAAAATGACCACGCAACTCAAAACAACCTACAGATTTAATGTAATCTCTATCAAAATACTGATGTCATTCTTCACTGAAATGAAAAAAAAAACCTCCTAAAGTTTGTATGGAATCAAAAAGAGCTCAAATAACCAAAGCAATCCAGAGCAAAAAGAACAAAACTGGAGGCATTACACAACCTGACTTCAAAATATATTACGAGGCTGTTATAACCAAGAAGCATGGAATTGGCATAAAAACAGACACATAGACCAATGGAACAGAACAGAGAACCCAGACATAAATCCACATATTTACCACCAACTGACATTAGATAAAGTCACCAAGAACTTACATTTAGGAAAGAACAACATCTTCAATAAATGATGCTGGTAAAACTGGATATCCACATGCAGATGAGTGAACCTAGACTCTTATCTCTCACCATATACAAAAATCAACTCAAGATGGATTAAAGTCTTAAATGTAAGCCCCCAATCTATTCTAGATAAAAACATAGGGAAACACTTCAGGATATTGTTCTATGCAAATACTTTATGGCTAAGAATTCAAAAACATAGGCAACAAAACCAAAAATAGACAAATGTGACTCTATTAAACCAAGCTTCTGCACAGCACAGGAAACAACCAACACAGCAGAGACAAGCTGTTGAATGGGAGAAAATATTTCCAAGCTATTTATTCAACAAAGGAAGCATACCCAGAATATACACAGAACTCAAACAACTCAACAGTAAAAAAGCAAAATTTTTTAATCATTAAAAATTTGTCAAAGGACACAAAATAGACGTTCCTCAAAAGAAGACATGCAAATGGCTCACAGGTATATGAAAAATGCTCAACATCCCCAATCATCAGAAAAATGCAAATTAAAACCACAATGAGATATTATCTTACCTTAGATGGAGTGATTATCATCAAAAGGACAAAAAAAAAAAAAACAGCTGCTGATGAAGGTGCAGAGAAGGGGGAATTCTTATACACTGTTGGTAAAAAATGTAAATTAGTATAGCAGTATGGAAGACAGTATAGCAGTATGGAAGAGTCCAGAATGCCGGACTTTTCTCTGACCACCCCTGATCGAATTTCTGTCAGCATCTGCATCGTTCCACCATTGATGGCCTACTGGCATCTGTCAGTGTGTTCTTCTGCTGGTGTGCTCCTCTCCACATCCAGTCACTTGTGTGTGTGTGTGCCCACTAGGGTCTCAGGGTTTTGGTGGGCACAGGATGGGGGGCATGGCAGGCCAAAAGGCAACTTTTGGGGTGTGAAAAACAGGAGTGCCTGTTCTCACTTAGGTCCTTGGGCACAGGCCCAAGGGTGGAGCCCTTGCCAGGGACACTGCCCTTCTCTACCCAGCACTTCCTTGCCCCCTTCCCATATCAAAACCAGAAAAAGTTAACCAAAGCCACTGTTCTTTTTAGGAAGCAGGGAAGAAAAAAGGTAAAGAGAATATGCACCTGTTAGAGAATATGCTACTTTTCGAAACAACTTCCTAAATGTGTTTATAATGCAGGAGCTTAAGTGTTGTGCTGCAGATTTCTGAAAGTTTCACAATATAAACATTTTGTTTGGGACATAGAACCTAGGTGATAATCATGTTGTTTTATTTCCACTTGATAACCTTCGTAGTAAAATGTGCTCACCTTTTTATTTATTCCAACCATAGGTCTCTCTTTTTTGTATTTTAGACTTTAGGGAGAAGGGAAAAGAAAATATTCCTTGTGAGAAAAAGGAACATGACCACAGCTTCAGCTCTGAGTCCATTACATTGCAATACTGTTTCCCAAAACACTGTAAGGGCCCAGAAGTCCTATATTTTACTTCATCTTCTATGTATATTACAGGATGTGCCAATAATAAGCACTCAGCTCAAATGGAGTCTATCTATAAACTAGATTCATATTTTAAACAAAAAATGAAAATAAAAACTGGGAATAAATAGCCATGTACCTAAGATAAAATAATTCAGTAGCTGAGCATAGAACTTAAAATTATGAATTACACAAAGATTAACATAAAATTAAATTATGTATGTTTGCATTTTATATAGAGGACACATATGAAAACATATGTAACTATATGTAAACTTCTGATACGGTAATATATGTAACCATATGGAAACATGTGAAAACCAATGTTAGTATCTGGAATTTTCAGGCAGGCTCTAGCTTATTTGACATTGCCCAGCCAGTAGTAATCAACACTGAGCATCCCCACAAATTGCCAGGGTTGTATTCCCCATTTGAAGGCAAGAATAGCTGCCAAGTTATTTTCTTGTCTCATATTTCGAAAAGAGACCAGACCAGCTGCACAGGAGTGTTGGGTGTCTGCATGGTTCCTCTCTTGAGTGATGCTTCATTTACTTATGTTTGTTCCTGTTTTTATACAATTGTCAGTAATTTTCCTTGGCTCTTCTAATTGTCTACACTTTCCTGGCTCTTCTATTCAAATTATTTCATGCTCTTTTTCATTTGTATTTAGTATTAGCTGCACTGGCTTGTACAACTGGTCAAAGGTGAGTAAAGAGTTCATAAAGCAAACAGCAGATGCACTTCCTAATTATACTCTTGCCGTTATGAACAATGTGAAATATTCTATGTAATAAGTTCTGAGATGATATATTCCAAATTTTCTTTTTAATTTGTGTTCTTTTCATGTCAACAACACAGTGTTCTTCAAGGGAATTGTTTACTTTATTTCTTCTTTTCCTACATTAGATTATATTTATGCCTGCAGGAAATACCTCTTCCTCTTCCCTATCAGCGCTGTCATGCGTGTTGTAAATTATCAACACATAAAAGATGTAGAGTCCTTTTTATTTTTAGCTATTTGAATTGTAGATTAGGGTAAATTTACTATTGTGTTAATTTGAAGAAAAGCCATTATTAATTAATCATACAAGGGTTTAGAAACTAATCAATTGAGGTATATACTTACTGGTCTCCATCCCATCCACATATTAATGATCTCCTCCCGTTTTCCTTAGAGCCTAAGATTCTTTCTATACTAAGAGAAGTTACAACTTTCACCAGACCATTTCTACCAAATTCAAACCCCAGTTGACACACGGGTCACAGCCCTTTGATAACAACACCAGTTTCAAAGAAAGACCCAAGAGCCGGGCACAGTGGCTCACGCCTGTAATCCCAGCACTTTGGGAGGCTGAGGCGGGCGGATCACAAGGTCAGGAGATGGAGACCATCCTGGCTAACACGGTGAAACCCTGTCTCTGCTAAAAATACAAAAAATTAGCCGGGCGTAGCGGCAGGCGCCTGTAGTCCCAGCTACTCGGGAGGCTGAGGCAGGAGAATGGCGTGAACCCAGGAGGCGGAGCTTGCAGTGAGCCGATATCGCACCACTGCGCTACAGCCTGAGCTACAGAGCAACTCCGTCTCAAAAAAAAAAACAAAAAACAAACAAAAAAAACAGACCAAAGAGTCCATCGCTGATCATGCAGACATGTAAATAGAGAACTGCTACGATTTATTTTTGAAAGGCTTATTATTGAAACTAGGAGAGACTGTAAACCATATTAGATGTGTTGGATTAAACATTTTTTCAAGTTGCATATAAAATTGACCATGCTTGGCAATTAAGTTACATATGCTTTATGTATTGAAGACAGGTCTTCTTTGGCATCATACTAAAAAGTTATCTTCTCTATAAGCTATAAATTCTATTTACAAGTAGGGAAAGGAACTATTCTCACTTATCTGGGCTCTCTCATCAATCCCAGCACTTTGGGAGGCTGAGGTGGGCGGATCACCTAAGGTCAAGAGTTCGAGACCAGCCTGACCAACATGGAGAAATTCTGTCTCTACGAAAAACACAAAATTAGCTGGGTGTGGTGACGCATGCCTGTAATCCCAGTTACTCGGGAGGCTGAGGCAGGAGGATCACTGGAACCTGGGAGGTGGAGGTTTGGTGAGCCAAGACTGTGCCATTGCATTCCAGCCTGGACAACAAGAGCGAAACTCCATCTCAAACAACAACAACAACAACAACAACCAGAAACAAAATAAATCTTCAAGAAGCGTTTGAGGAATGAATGAGTTAGCTAGAAGGGAATCTGTGTATAACCTGAACTTTTTTCTTATAGAAGAAAAGGGATCCAAACATATATGAAGTGCCCTTTTGGAATTAATAAAACTATATGCAAAGCTGCTGATATAGTAGAGGTGTTCTAAAATCAGCAAGCTCACATGCAGAACTTTGATTGCTATGTGTTTTAAAGTCAAAATTATACATTCTCCTTTGAAATGGTGAAAAGCCACTGTGAATATAATGTATTATATAGATAGGTTATAAATATCTTGATGAGTCAATCCTATCTATATGAATATAAATATCTATTTGGCTATTTATGCAAATAAAAAAAATAATTTAATTTATGGAGCATCCAACTAACATGGGCCAAACGGCCAAAGTTTTAATTTCATGGTTAAGTTGCATCAACATGAAGAGCTATGAATATGTTAGCAGTTAGACGTGTGCAATGTAGAAGGTATTAGGAAATTTGTCCAAGTGTGCCATAAATTTCTGAATCATACTTTCAACCACCAGTGCCTCACCTCAAGGTGAAAAGAAGAAGCAAGAAAAATGTTATGTTTTATTGCTACCAGGGCCTTAGTTCTAAATGCCAGCAGAGAGCTCTGGAAAATTATATTAATTTTTGTAAAGAAATGTTTTATGAGTCTTGACTGGCTTCAAATGCTGAGAGTGAAAGTAGAGGGGGTCCTGCTTAGCTTTTTGAAACTCTAAGCAAAGTCTCTGATGTTACTACTTGAAATTTCTTAAATAAGCAGAAAAGAGTTCAAGAGCCTAAGAGAGGCATGGCACGGTGGCTCACGCCTGTAATCTCAGCACTTTGGGAGGCAGAGGAGGGTGGATCACGAAATCAGGAGATCGAGACCATCCTGGCTAACACGGTGAAACCCCGTCTCTACTAAAAAGTACAAAAAATTAGCCAGGCGTGGTGGTGGGCGCCTGTAGTCCCAGCTACTCGGGAGGCTGAGGCAGGAGAATGGCATGAACCCAGGAGGCGGAGCTTGTAGTGAGCCGAGATCGCACCACTGCACTTCAGCCTGGGCGACAGAGCGTGACTCCGTCTGAAAAAAAAAAAAAGAGCCTAAGAGTTTGTCTGAATGCTTGGGTGGTGTGGAAGTATGTATCCAAAATGAGAATAACATTCATTTGGTCTGCCTCTAATGAATATGAGAAGAAGGTATCTCAGTATTGGAGAAAAGAGAGTACAAATGACACATCACACTTTTTAATTCTCTGTTTTTGGCTTGACCTGTATCTCAACCTACTTGATGACTAATTAATTGTTTTTAATCCAAAACAATCATAGTTCATTCCTTCTGGATACAGAAAGAGAAAGAGGAAAGAAATACCTAAAGGTACCCAAGAGACCAACACTAAGTAGAAACAATTGCCTTCTGCAGTACATAAAATGTTATATAAGAAGAATAATCACCTTGTAAACAAATAATATCTGCTCAGTATAAAAAGGTATTCTCATTCCCTGCTGCAAAGGACATTGTAAAAACTATAAAACTTCTAGAAGATAACATAGGAGAAAATCTAGGTGGCTTGGGTTTGGTGATAACTTTTTAGATTTAATATTAAAAGCCAATCCATGAACAAATTAACAAGTAGGATTTTATTAAAATTAAAGACTACCGCCCTGAGAGGATACTGTTATGAAAATGAAAAGACAAACAATAAATTGGAAGAAAATACCTTCAGAAGATATTTGATAAAGGACTATTATCCAAAATATGCCAGGGATTCTTAAAACTCAATAGTAAAGCAAATAATCTAATTACAAAATGGATAAAAGACCTGAATGGACACCTTATCAAAGAAGATATATAGCTAGCAAAGAAGAATATGCTCAACTCCATATGTCATTAGGGAATTGCAAATTACATTGACAATGAGATACCACTAAATATCAATTAGAATGGCTAAAATTCCAAACATTGACAACATCAAATACTGATGAGGAATGCAGAGCACAACAACACTTATGTACTGCTAGTTGGAAGGCAACATGGTATAATTGCTTGAGAAACAATTTGGCAGTTTCTGAAAAGCTCAACTTAGGCTTACCATATAATCCAGCAATCATGCTCCTTGGCATTTATCCAAATGAATTGAAAACATACCTACACAAAAACCTGCACATAAATGTTCATAGCAGCTTTATACATCAATACCAAAAATTAGGTGCAACCAAGATGTCCTTCAATAAATGAATGCATAAACAATCTGTAGTACATCCAGACAATGGAGTATTATTCAGAGAAAAGGAAATGATCTATCAAGCCATGAAAAGACACATAGGAACTTTAACTGCATACTGCTAAGTGAAAAAAGCCAGTCTGAGCAAGCTACATACAACATTATTCCAGCAATATTACCTTATGAAAAGGGCAAAACAATAGAGGCAGTGAATGATTGGTGCTAGCTAAGGGCCTCGGGGTAAGGAAGGAGGGATGAATAGATTGAACAAAGGGCACTTGGGGCAGTTAAACTATTGTATATGATATTGTAATGATTTGTAGAACATTACTAATTTGCTAGAACCCAAAGAACTACATAAGACAGAGTGAATCATGATACTATGGACATTAGTTAACATTAAAGTATTCACATTGTCTCATCAACCGTAAAAAATGTAGCACACTAATGCAAGATGCTAATAATAGAAAAAACCATGGGAAGATGGCGGAGGCAGAAGAGTGGCATATGGGAACTCTGTATTTTACACTCATTTTTCTGGAAGCCTAAAATGGCTGTAAAAAAAAAGTCTATTTAAAAATTATATTTAAAAAATATATGTTGCACCAGCCCCTACAATGAAGGTATCAGCTTCACTATCATATTTATCACTTGCTTAGCACTAAAACAATATACTGCTGAGGAAAGAGAAGGAAAGATAATCAGACAGACCTGTTTTTCAATTCCAGCTATGCTGCTTACTGTTCAGGTGATATTGGGAAAATTATATGACTTATCTGAGCCAATGTTTCTTCATGTGAAAAATAAACATTGTATACATGTATAACTTATAGAATTATTTTAGATATTATATGGGATAATATTTAAGTACCTAGTAAAGAACATGACACATATTATTAGTTACTCCATAAACATTAGCTCTGTTGTTGTTTGTTGATGTTGTTGTTGTTGTTTGAGACGGAGTCTTGCTCTGCTGCCCAGGCTGGAGTGCACTGGCGCAATTTTGGCTCACTGCAACCTCCGCCTCCTGGGTTCAAGTGATTCTCCTGCCTCAGCCTCCTGAGTAGCTGGGATTATAGGCACCCACCACCACGCCCGGCTAATTTTTTTTTGTATTTTTAGTAGAGATGGGGCTTCACCACGTTGGCCAGGCTGATCTTGATCTCCGAACCTCAGACAATCGGCCCACCTCGGCCTCCCAAAGTGTTTATATTACAGGCTTAACCACCATGCCTGGCCAACATTAACGCTTTTATCTAGGTTAAATTGTTTCAGGACCTGTCCTAAGATTTTATGTCCTACAGAAGGTTGCTTTGACAATTTTTCAAAGTTGACAAAGGCAAAAAAAGCACTTAATTAATTTAAAATGTTATATTTTTGTGGAATGAATGAAATTAAAAGAACCTTCATTTTCAAAGCAACAGGAATTGACAATTTCAGGGTGGAGAGTATGGTGACTTTTATAGCCAGCAGGAGAAAGTGGTAAGAAAAGGAGAGTTATTAAGCCAGCACCTCTGAACACAGTGAAGCTGGTAGGCAAGGGAGAGAATAGAATCTCAGCTAGTTCTTCACGTAGAAATAAGCAACAGAATAAGAAGTTAAATCTATAAATGCTATCTTCCTTTATATAAAGCCTCAGGAGACTTCGTCAAAACTCAACTATTGCTAAGAGATTTTGAATGCCATGAACACAGTCAAAACAGGTTCTCTTCATAGCCAATGCTGGAAGCTGAACTTTCTCCTGATTGGGCATCTTTTTTATTCTATATCCTGCTTTCCTCTCAGATATCCAGAGCACCTAATGTTACAAGCCCAGATTTGAGCATTACTCCCTGCCAAAAAGCTGAATCCCTTTAAATGCTCCAGATTTCTTTCTTTTTATCTCATCATTATTGTCATTGTCTATCTACTCCAAGAGAGTTATGTAAAGCAATCTTTAGATATTAGGAGCAATTAAAAAGAAACAAGGAAAAAAATCTGAAAGCTCCTCTCCATTTGAGAAAAACTCAGGTTAATTTTTTAATTAAATAATTATTTTTTCTGAAAGGGAAATGGCAAAAAAGATGTAAATATCTAGATGAATGTATTAGTTTCCTATCGCTGCTGTAACAACACATTACCACATAATTGGTTAATACAATGCAAATTTGTTATTTTAAAGTTCTGTAGATCAGAAGTCTAAATAGGTCACACTGGTTAAAATCAAGGTATTGGCAGGGTGTTGCATTCTGGAGGCACTAAAGATGAATTTGTTTCCTTGCTTTTTCCAGCCTCTAGAGACTGATGATATTGCATGGCTCATAGCAATGGAAAGCTGAGTTCTTTTCATATGACATCACTGACACTGACTCTTTGGCCTCCATCTTCCTCTTTTAAGTTCCTTTCTGATCACATTGGTCTTGCTTGGCTAATTCAGAATAATCCTTTCTTTAGGTCAGCCGATTAGCAATCTTAATTGGAGTAAACCTGCTATCTTTACTCTTTGATATGTAAAATAACATATTCACAGGTTCTTGAGATTAGGAGATGGGTGTCTTTTGGGGACTACTATTCTGCCTACCACAGTAATGACAAGTTAGGGGTTGCTGCCTATATTATCAGAGATGAGTTAGCACATGTATTATACTCTAATACCTCAGTCTTTTGGGGAGAAGAATAAATAAGCCCATTAACTTGATGGAGAGACTAGTAAAAGGTCTTTCAGCACATACTGCTCTGAAACTGTTGCCACAGAAGTTTGTGGCTGCAGGCAGGTGCACGTGACTCTTTGACATCAGTTTATAGCTATTGAATCTGTTTACGTGTTCTGGTGGATATACTGCCTTGCTTTGACAATCTTTTTTATTTTTTTTAAATGAAGCAAATGTTAAACAACAAGTTTATTTCCAGGAGGCAGGTCTCTGCTTTGCATAGCCATTTGGAGGGAGTGAAAATAGACAAGAAGTCATAGCAAACAATCTCAACGAATCATCTGATGACAAGTGAATTATGTTATTTATGGGTGTGGATATATTCGCAACTTCCTTAAAAATGCTTTGGTGTGAAAACATTGACCATCTGAGAAACATCTGAACCTGAGCTCTGGGCACTGACAATATCAGAGACTAATAAAAGGAAAGGAATGAAAAACAGAAATGTTTTGTTTCCCTTAAGACTGACCAACTCAGAATGGATTCTCTGGTTTCACAGACACATCATTCTGAGAATAGTAAACCATAATTCATGGAGTTTTCACCCCTCCCAAAGCCTGTCTACAGACCAGGGGATGAACTGATTCACTTCTGAATATCCCTCATCAATCAGAAAGCCTTAGAGATGGAATTTAAACTGCCATATAATTTTGAGATTTATTCATTCACACCTAGGTTGGGCTCTTCGTTTGCAAGAATGAGAAATTAATTGCGATGTCTCAAATGTAGGATAATGAAGTTTAAAAATATCCACTACTTGTAAAGGTGTAATATGTTTCCTAATTGTGTCCAAAATGGAATTTTTATGATTACAGAGTCATTCTTCAATTCTCAACCTTCTGAAATAAACATCTGAATATGACTATAAATTCCCCATGGGTAAGACTAGGTCTTCTATTGTTAGTTATCTTTAAGCTAGGTTCTGGGCTCAATAGCATTGCCTTCTCTATTGCATAACCTTAATCATTATATAATGATGCCTCAGAAGAAGTGTTGTCCTCAAAACTGGCAAACTCCAGAATGTTTCACAGAAATTAATTTTCTGGGTGTTTGTTCTAACTTGCTGAATCTCTGACACCATCACCAGCAATTCTGATTCTTAAGGACTGGTTGGGTATAAGGAATTGGCATTTTTAACAGATTTCCCAAGATATTCTAGTCATAGAGTTTTCTAAGCACACTTTTTTTGAGAAGTACAACCCATGCCCTCTGAACCATTCTGGATATGCGTTTGTGTGCATCCACTTTGTGCAGCCATCTTCATTAAAGAACACACTCTCACATCACACTCTGAGCCAATTAATCTCATTTCTCTAATCATGAGTGTTATAATTGTTCACTCTTCAAAGTGGCAAGAGATTTCTCAGAAACCACTTTGGTTTTTGCAGAAGCAGAATGACTGCCTCAACACTGATTTTGCTTTTGTAATGTGAGCAGAGGATAAAATTAACCTTTTGTTTTCTGGTTTGAGGCAATCATTTACCTCAAAAAGGAAAGTCATTAATATATACACTGAATCATTTGGATTGCTTACAAACTAAATAGATTTAGTAATTCAGATTTTCATGAGTCTTGACATTTTTCATGTCTAGTTCGGAGGTTGGATGGTTGCTGCAGGGGAGAAGAAATGGAATAAGAGTAGGTGAGGAGGTTTTTCAAGACATTTTATTTTAGGAAAGCTGCCTCTATTCCTGATATCAACTTGAGCATTCCAAGAACAAATGGTTCTTAACATTCTGTGGGGAGTCAAGATTTCATTTAGGAGCCAGACATGGTGGCTCAAGCCTGTAATCCCAGGACTTTGGGAGGCCGAAGCAGGTGGATCACGAGGTCAGGAGTTCAAGACCAGCCTGCTCAACATAGCGAAACCCCGTCTCCAGTAAAAATACAAAAAAATTTAGCTGGACATTGTGGAGGGTGCCTGTAGTCCCAGCTGCTTGGGAGGCTGACGCAGGAGAATCACTTGATCCCAGGATTTGGAGTTTGTAGTGAGCCAAGATTGTGCCACTGCACTGCAGCCTGGGTAACACAGCAAGACTCTTCTCAAAAAAAAAAAAAAAAAAAAAAAAAAAAAGAATTCATTTAGGGATCTGATTAAAGATTTAAACTAGGTTACTGGAAAAATGAATGTAGGCACACATACAAACAAAGATTTTCCAGAAACTTCAGTCCATCATAGGCCACCCAAAAGCTCTTCTAAATTTAGAATGTATGCCTTCTCATATGGTTTGGCTTTGGGTCCCCCACCAAATCCCATCTCAAATTGTAATCCCACATGTCGGGGAAGGGGTCTTGTGGGAGGTGAATGAATCATGGGGGTTGACTTCCCCCTTGCTATTCTCGTGATAGTGAGTGAGTTCTCAGGAGATCTGGTTGTTTGAAAGTGTGTGACGCTTCCACTTCACTCTCTCTTTCCTGCTCTGCCATGGTAAGATGTGCTTGTTTCCCCATCACCTTCTGCCATGATAGTAAGTTTTCTGAGGCCTCCTAGTCATGTTTCTTAAGTGTGGAACTGTGAGTCAATTAAACTTATTTGCTTCATAAATTACCCAGTCTCAGGTAGTTCTTTATAGCAGTGTAAGAATGGACTAATACAGAAAATTCGTACCAGTAGAGTGGAATACTGCTATAAAGATACCTGAAAATGTGGAAGCAACTTTGGAACTGTATAATGGGCAGAAGTTGGAACAGTTTGGAGTGCTCAGAAGAAGATAGGGAGATGAGGGAAAGTTTGGAATTTCCTAGAGACTTGTTGAATGGTTGTGACCAAAATGCTGATAGTGATATGGAAAGTGAAGTCCAGGCTGAGGTGGTCTCAGACAGAGATGAGGAACTTATTAGGAACTGAAGCAAAGATCACCCTTGCTATGCTTTAGTAAAGAGGCTGGTGTCATTGTGCCCCTACTATAAGGATCTGTGGAAATTTGAACTCGAGATAAATTATTTAGGATATCTGGTGGAAGAAATTTCTAAGCAGCAAAGCATTTAAGATGTGACCTGGCTGCTCCTAACAGCATACAGTCTTATGAATTCACAAAGAGATGGTCTGAAATTGGAAATTATGTTTAAGAGGGAAGCAAAACATAAAAGCTTGGAAAATTTGCAGCCTGAACATGTGATAGAAAAGAACAAGCCATTTTCTGGGGAGAAATTCAAGCCAGCTGCAGAAATTTGCATAAGTAAACAGGAACTGAGTGTTAATAGCTGAGACCATGGGGAAAATGTCTCCAGGTCATATCAGAGACCTTCACAACAGCCCCTCCCATCACAGACCCAGAGGTCTAGGAGGGAAAAATGGTTTCATGGTCCAGGCCCAGGGCTCTGCTACTCTGTGCAGCCTCAGGACATGGTGCCCTGTGTCCCAGCTGCTCCACTTCCAGCTGTGGCTAAAAGGGCCCAAGATACATCTCAGGCCATGGCTTCAGAAAGTAAAAGCCCCAAACCTCAGCAGCTTTCATGTGGTGTTGGGCCTGTGGGTGTGCAGAAGGCAAGAGTTTGGGAGTCTTCACCTGGACTTCAGAGGATGTATGGAAATGCCTGGATGTCCAGACAGAAGTCTGCTGCTGGGGCGGAGCCCTCATGGTGAACCTCTACTAGGGCAGTGCAGAGGGGAAATGTGGGTTTGGAGTCCCCACGCAGATGCCCAGTGGGGTACTGCCCTAGTTGAGTAGTGAGAAGAGGGCCTGGTTCTCCAGACACCAGAATGGTAGATCTACTGTAAGCTTGCAACTTATACCTGGAAAAGCTGCAAGCACTCAACACCAGCCTGTGAAAGCAGATGGTGGGGTTATGCCGAGCAGAGCCACAGGGGAAGAGCTGCCCAAGGCCTTGGGAGACCACCCCTTTCATCAGTATGTTTGTGAGACATGGAGTCAAAGGAGATTATTTTTGAGCTTTAAGATTTAATGATTGCCCTGCTGGGTTTCAGATGTGTATGGGGCCTCTATTCCCTTTGTTTTGGGAAATTTCTCCTTTTCTGAATAGGAGCATTTACCCAATGCCTCTACCCCCATTGTATCTTGGAAGTAAATAACTTGTTTTTGATTTTTACAGGCTCATAGGTGGAAGGAGCTTACCTTGTCTCAGATGAGACTTTGGATTTGGACTTTTGAGTTAATGCTGGCATGAGTTAAGACTTTTGGAGACTACTGTGGAGTCATGATTGGTTTGGAAATGTGAAAAGGACATGAGATTTGGGAGGGCCCGGGGAGTGGGGGAATGATATGATTTGGCTGTGTGTCCCCACACAAATCTCATCTTGAATTGTAATCCCCACATGTGGAGGAGGGGCCTGGTGGGAGGTGATTGAATCGTGGGGGTGGACTTCCCCCTTGCTCTTCTCATAATAATGAGTGGGTTCTCATGAGATCTGGTTGTTTGAAAGTGTGTGGCAATTCTGCTTCATTCTCTCTCTTCTGCTCCACCATAGTAAGATATGCTTACTTCCCCTTCATCTTCCACCATGATTGTAAGTTTTCTGAGTCCTCCCAGTCATGCTTTTTATTAAGCCTGTGCAATTTGAGTCAATTAAACCTATTTTTGTTTTAAAATTATTTTATTTTATTTTATTTTATTTTAAGTTCTGGGATACATGTGCAAGATGCATAGGTAAATGTTTGCCATGGTGGTTTCCTGCACCTATCAACCCATCACCTAGGTATTAAGCCCTACAAGCATTAGCTATTTATTGTGATGCTTTTCCTCCCTCTACCCCCCTGACAGCCCCCAGTGTGTGTTGTTCCCCTCCCTGTGTCCATGTGTTCTCATTGTTCAGCTCCCATTTATAAGTGAGAAAATGCAATGTTTGGTTTTCTGTTCCTGTGTTAGTCTGCTGAGAATAATGGCTTCAGGCTTCATCCATGTCCCTGAAAAAGACATGATCTCATTTTTTTTGGCTGCATAGTATTCCATGGTGTATATGTACCACATTTTCTTTATCCAGTCTATCACTGATGGGCATTTGAGTTGATTCCATGTATTTGCTATTGTGAATATAGCTGCAATAAATATACACATGCATGTATCTTTATAATAGAATGATTTACATTCCTTTGGGTATATACCCAGTAATAAGATTGCTGGGTGGAATGGTATTAGGTCTTTAGGTCTTTGAGGAATCACCACACTGTCTTACATAATGGTTGAATTAATTTACACTCCCACCAACAGTGTAAAAGTGTTTCTATTTCTCCACAGCCTCGCCAGCATCTATTGATTCATGACTGTTTAATAATCGCCTTTCTGACTGGTGTGAGATGGTATCACATTGTGGTTTTGATTTGCATTTCTCTAATGATCAATGATGTTGAGCTTTTTTTCATAAGTTTGTTGGCCACACAAATGTCTTCTTTTGAGAAGTATCTGTTCATATCCTTTGCCCACTTTTTGATAAGGTTGTTTGTTTTTTTCTTGTAAATCCGTTTAAGTTCCTTGTAGATTCTGAATATTAGGCCTTTGTCAGATGGATAGATTGCAAAAATTTTCTCCCATTCTGAAGGTTGTCTATTCACTCTGATGATAGTTTCTTTCGCTGTGGAGAAGCTCTTTAGTTTAATTCGATCTCATTTGTCAATTTTTGCTTTTGTTGCAATTGCTTTTGATGAATTAAACCTATTTTCTTCATAAATTGCCCAGTCTCAGGTAGTTTGTTATAGCAGTGTGAGAATGGACTAATACACCTCTCTTCAGGGTTTTTTTTTTTTGCTACCACAGGCACTCTTACATTAGACCTTACACATTGTAAAAACAAAATCATCTGAGGATAATTAACTATGTAGATCCCTGGCCTCCACCTAGATCGCTGCAATTATTTTAGGATCCTCAGGTAATGCTAATGCAGGTGATGCATGATCATAATTTGAGAAACAAGGCAGTGACACAGAGAGGAGGTAGCTCACTGATATAAACATTTAGTGAATTCCCACCTAATATGTACCTACAAAAATTAAAAATTAAAAAAAATAGTTGATGCAATCAACCCATTTTCCTTCACCAGGTGGAAACTCAGGCATGAAAAGCAAGGCTGGTTTTTTCATTCCAGACCTTGCTCTATCTGTTCTTCTGTTCAGCTTTGCCATCCTGGGACACCATTTTTATGTTTCTCAATTATAATTGTCCCCAGTGCTCATTTTACAAATTTTCCATGTAAAAGGTTAAGGATGATGTTGGGTAGACAGAGAAGTTTCTTTTTCACCCCAAACTCTCACAAAGTGGGCCTTGGGCCTATTGTTTTTCTGCAAAGGACCTTCTTTTCCTCCGTGTGTTCATGGACTGTACTGCCTCTAACTCAAAAGAGATAAAGGGAGAGAGTGTTGAAAAGAAGGGCTGCAGATACTCCTCCTCACCAGCCTCTAATTGTTTCCAGACAGCAAGTTGCTGGGATATTTTGAAACAGCGCAGAGGATTTTTCCATAGGTTGGCAGTAGCCATGGGTAAGCAATTCTCTACAGTTTTTGAGAGTTATGCTTGTGCCAGTGGATGAGAATAGTATAGAAAGATACAAAGGAAATTTGGAGTCCAACCTGCCTGAGAGGCAGGCTCATAATTTGCTTCATTGATATATCAAGATACTAGTTAGAATACAATACAAACCCATTTACTCTACCTCGATCAAATCAGACATGTGGCCAAAGAATTCTATGAACATATTTCAATATCAAATTAAAATTTTTTGTTTCAAAGAGCAAATGCACATTGCTTCAGTGGCATTGACCTCAGCAAACTTTCCCAACTCTGGCTTGTTAAACTCTCCTCTTTCATTTCTTACTATAAATAAAGATTGCTTTCAGATTGCTTGAGAAGAAATGGGAGAAAAGGGTAGTGCTAGGGCTCTGATGCAAAAGGACATTTTAGTGGTTCTCATCAAGGGAAAAAAATTGAATTTAATTATTCTTTATTGTTGACCTAAGGAGATGGTTCCCTTAACTACTAACATGTGAGGTGGTAGAGCTAGAAGATCTGAGCACTCCTATTCAACTTCACCCACAGCGAATTAAAAGGCTTTCAGACAAACAACAGTGATGGCACAGGAACAGCAGCCTATCGGATGCTGAGGAGTGGTGGGGTGGCAGATAGGTAAGGCAAGGCAACTTCTCAAGTGTCATCAAAGTTTAAGTGAAACAAAACATACTGGAGGCACTGTTTCATGAACATTCAAATCAATTACATTCAATGAAATCTAATTATTGTGCACTGCTATTTGTATTCTAAGTGATTTCTTGAGGCGAAAAGAACAGAACCTTCTCAATTAGAAAAGAGCTAACAAATATTTTATTAAACACCGAATGAGAATTGCACTGTGGTAGGCCACAAAGTTCCAAAGAACAAATAAGATGGCTTAGGGTTTTGAGAAACTTGGATACTATGAGCTGCCAATGAAAGAGAAGGTTGGCATCCCTACCCTGTCATTGGGAAACTTGAGTACACTGCAGTCCTCTTATTAAGACATTTCTGAGAAGAAAAAAAATAAAATGTAGGTGTTCTGAGGTGCTGTAGAGATGGAAAATAAAATGCTCAGATGCCTCCATTCCCTTCTGTGCCTACAGTAGACGTGGGGTTTCAAACAAGACTTTTTTTCTTGCTTTTCCAGAACTCTTTCCATTTCGTAAATTCAGCACTGTCAGTTCTATGGAGGCATTAGCTGCATCCAGACAACTTCATTCCTGGAAATATGTACTAACAACTCCCTTTGTTGGCTTTCTGTTGTAGAAATACAAAATTTATTGAATTTAATGAGTTAAGATAGGAGCTTCCCATGTACAAAAATAAAATAAATTAAAATGTACATAATTTTTATAGAATTGAATGTCATATCTGTGGATATATAATAACCTAAAGAAATGAACTGAAATATGGTTAGTTATGTACAAAAATGTTCATCATAGTGTGACTTATAACAGTATAAAATTGGACATTATACACATGTCCTAATGTATAAAATTAGATAATAAATTTGGCCTTTCCATTTCCAGCTACTGAAAATCAGGCTTGCAGATATCAAAGGATATAGAAAAATGTTCAATATTGTATATTACTGTTGAATAAATAGAAAGCAAATTGTAAGATAATATAAATTAAAATATAAATAATATATGTATTCATTGAAAATCTGGAAGACTCGCCCTTTACATTTTTATTTAAAAGTAATTAACTGTATTATGGGTGAATTATGTCTGTGATTTCCAAATGTTTGACAATAGGAATCTTCTATTTTTTCCTCACTTAAAAATACTGTTGGCCAGGTGTGGTTGCTCATGCCTGTAATCCCAGCATTTTGGGAGGCCGAGGCAGGCAGATCACTTGAGTCCAGGAGTTTAAGACTAGCCTGGGCAATATGGTAAAACTCCATCTCTACAAAAACAACGACAACAACAACAAAATTAGCCAGGCATGGTGATGTAGTCCCAACTACTTGGGAGGCTGAAGTGGGAGGATTGCTTGAGCCGAGGAGGTCAAGACAGCAGTGAGCCATGATAACGCCAGTGCACTCCAGCCTGGGCCACAAAGTGAGAGACCTCTTCCAAAAAAAAAAAAAATTGTTTTCTTATTATTGACGTCTTATTATAGACACAAGTCTTATCAAATATGTGTTTTGTAAATATTTCCTCCCTTCTATGGCTCGTGTTTTCATTTTCATTTTTGTAATATTGTCTTTTGAATAGTAGAAATTTTTAATTTCAATAAAGTAGAATTTACAAACATTTTCTTTTAAAGGTTATGCTTTCAATGTCATATCTAAGAAATCCTAGCCAAAGGTTACAAATAATTTCTCCTGTATTTTTATAAAAGTCTTATAATTTTAAGTTTTATGTTTAGTTCTATGATGCATTTGAGTAAATTTTTGTATATTTTTCTTTAATTTCCTTTAATTTATAGTAGTCTCCTTGGTTTTTAGTTTTGCTTTTTATGATATTGACTTTTTTTTAGAAGTGAACAGACCACTTGTCTTGTATAATATCCAACAAGTTGGATGTGTCTAACTGGTTTCTCATGCTTAGGTTCAGGTTAAACATTTCTGGCAAGATTAATTTACAGAAGTTTTGTACTCAATGCACAACAACAAAGGACATTAAAAAGAACTCACACTGATATTTTTAATTCAAATTTGATATTACATGGTTTCTTCTTTAGCTATTCAAATGTTATATTTATATTTCTTTATCTCTCACAGTGAAACCCTTGGTTCCTCTTAGTAATATACTTATTTCACATACTATAAATCAAACAGTTTCAGAATTAAAACAATATTACAGCCTGCAATAAACTGTTATGTACAGCTTAATATTTCTTTACAGTTCTTTTTTCTTTTATAATGGACCCTATTAAGATAAAACAAATGTTTTCAAAAGTATGTGAATTAATTCCTCTCCTTGCATAGCTATATTTAATATTCAATTTAATATGAATATTCAATTTAATGAATTTAATATTCAGTTTAATATTCAATTTAATGAATTTAATATTCAATTTAATATTCAATTTAATATGAATTTATATTCAATTTAATATGAAGTCAGATTCATTTTTTATCTTCATATTCAATTTTAGAGTTTGCTTTTCTAACCTTAGTTTTATTTTTAATAATTCAGTTTTATTGTTTCAATATGTACAGCATTTGCATAACTCAAATTACAAATAATATGTGAAACATTTTAGCTTTTCACCCATTCCCATTTCTACCCAATGGATAACCATTTTCATTAGTTTCTATATGTCCTTTCTACTTTCGTATTTGTTTTTTGTTTTCACAAAAGTAAGCAAATTTGTGATATCTATTCTCATTCCTCCTTCTTTCTTATGCACATGTAGCATAGCATATACACCCTTCTGCACTTTGATTTTTTTTTTTTTTCAGTTAAAAATACGTTCTGGAAATCACTCCATGACAGTTCATGGACATGTCACTCATTCTTTTTTACAACTTCATAAAAATTCATTTTGTGGATAAACCACAGTTTATCCTTTCACATAAATAGACATGTATTTGAAAGATACAAAAATAGACAGTAACTTGCTATTACTAACAATGTAACATTGAATAGCTTCCATTTTGCCTACATATAGAGAGATATGTCTTCAAGATGAATTCCTAGAAGTGAGGTTGCTAGGTCAAAGGGTGATTGCATATATGGTTCTAACAGTTATTGTTACATTAATCTCTTTAGAGGCTATACCATTTTGCACTCTCACCAGCAACATAATAGAGCACCTTTTGCTTTTCAGAAAAAAATATTTAAATTAGATGCCCATGGAAGACTCATCAATATGGGAGATAATTTCTGATACAATGTATGCATTTATTTATTTATTTGTTTGTTTGTTTGTTTGAGATGGAGTCTCTTTCTGTTGCCCAGACTGGAGTACAGTGGTGTGATCTCACCTCACTGCAACCTCTGCCTCCTGGGTTCAAGCCATTCTCCTGCCTCAGCCCCCCGAGTAGCTGGGATTACAGCTGTGCACCACCAAGACTGGCTAATTTTTGTATTTTTAGTAGAGATGGGGTTTTGCCATGTTGGCCAGGCTGATCTTGAACTCCTGACCTCAAGTGATCCACCCACCTCAGCCTCCCGAAGCGCTGGGATTACAGGCATAAGTCAACACACCCTACCTGAAATGTATGCATTTAAAGCAGCTGTAAATTGCTAGTAGGTCATACATAACTGAATATAGAGGTGTGGAAAGATAAGAAAGAAAAGCTGTAAATATGTGAAAGGAGACAATGCCTGTGGATGTGGTTATTATCCTAGGAGCTGACTTCCCACTCTTTTCCTGCCTTTTCACCTTCCCAGGCCAACTGCCTCTTATCCTTTCATCAAAACAATGGATTTGTGAGATGGGGAGGTGCATTTTACTCCTGAGCACCCCTTAGCTTGCCTGGCTTATGAGTGCTGTCTTTGATGTTCCCAAAGGTTATAAATCATTTATAAGATCCCTTAATCAGAACCAGTGTCTGAATTCTTTACTTACCAATTCATCCCATGAACAACTTTCTGGAAATAGCTAGAGGGGCAGAGAGGAATCAGGCTGCATTCTTTTTTAAGTGAGTGCCAACTATTCAGATTAAAGAGTATGGAACTCTCTCTTTCTAGTACAATGACATAGAGGAAAGAAGGTCTGGGTACACAGCTGCCCTCTTAGGCAAGTGCTGGGGAGTTTGTTTCCACATTATCTCTTAACCCTTCTCAGTTTTGTTCCCAGGGGAAGAGGACCAAGTTAGCTGATAAATGAGACAGAAAAATTTCATTGACCGGGCTGGGCATTCAGGATGTAGGGTTTTTGCTTTGTAACTCTAGTTTCCATCACTCTTGGTCTTCCCAGAAGTTGCTTGATTTCAGACAGAGTATTTTCTTGTTGCTGAGAAAAGAAACTGAAATCTTGCTCTGCCCCCAATAGGAATAAACATTATAGTCTGCAGTCAGAAACAAAGCACATTGCACCTGGAAAGAACAAAAATCAAAATGAGTCATTCTGTCTGGCACAGGTCCCCCATAGATGAAACCTTGATTCCTGTTTTTCAAGGTGCTGATTTTCTAACACAAATAACTCTATCCCTGTCATTTGCAGTACTGATACGTAACAACTTTGCAGATTTAGTAATTATTTGATTATATACCATTTTCTTCACCATCGACATATTATTATAACCTTGGGAAATTGGTGGTTTTATAACTTAAACATCTTATTTTTTTATTTGATAAGTCAATTCTTCCAACATCTGAAGTCTCTTGTAAAATTTTATTTGTAAAATAATGTTTTACTTGTCTTTTCATATGGCCTACTTCTCCCTTGCAGTAAATGCCTCAAGTTGCAAATTTCCAGGTTCTACATTCACGATTCAGGGTGGGCAGGGTAATAAAAGTCTCTGCACAGTTAGAGACTCTGCAAGGCTACCCAAACAAACTTGACTAATGATAAAGTTGATACCTTATCTCCTTTGATTCACTACCTTGTATGAGCTGCTGGCCATAAACTGTAAGAGTCCCAGCACCAAATCCCGCTTAGAACCTTTATGAGGGTGAAGAGAAGGTCCATTTGCTTTTTAATATTTCTCACTTTTCTATTCCTATAGAAATTTCTTCATAGTATGTTAGTGGCTAATTCATTTTAGATAAATATTTTTTTTCTCCAAACTTCTCTTTTAAAATAAACTGGGCCTGAAAACAAATTGAGTGAATGAAACATTTCTGTTTGACCAAATTCTCCTTCCATTATGGAAGGGACAGCATAAGAGCCCTAGGTAGCTAGGAAAACAGGGACAAGGGAAACTGGGGGCACAACATCACATATCTTCCAATTTTGCAAGACTTGGTGTCTGTACCAACTGAATCTGACAATGTGCATGGTGGGTTAGAAGGCCCTTTTGCTGGTAGGTTTTCCAACTCTGACACCATGGAGTTATTCTGGGATTTTGAAGTAAAAAGGAAGCTAAAGCACCCAATCAATTGATTGAAGAACTGCAACAATGAAAGGCATGATCTAGGCCCCAGTAGTTTTCCCAGTGAATATAGTAAGGCCTCAGCCCCGTTGTTCTGCTCTAGCTGTAAACAGTTATTGAAACAGAAGGTTTCCTGAGCAGTGCAGACTGTCTTTCTGCTGAGTGTTGCTCTTTGCTGGCCTTCCTAAGGAACTGGTGATGTGTGAGAATGAGATTGTGTTTCATCACCTCTCATTATTTTTTCCATGTTCTAAAAACAGTTGTCTAGACTGTTAGTTTCTGCCATGCCTGGCCACATTCTCCCAGCCTGAGAGAGCTCCTTGGGAGCACAGAATGAACATGACAATTTTATATTTTACTTTTACAAGCCATCTGCTCTTGCATTTGTGTGAAGACCATTGGAATCAATGGGGAAGTCAGTGCTTTGCTTTATAGGTTCAGTCTTAACAGAAAAAAAGGGAAGAAAGAAAATTCTTCCCAGTGGGAATATGTGGCCTAATTAGACACTGAATTAACCAGAGTCAATTAATTTGGGGGTATAATCTGATAAATCATTTAATACTGAACATATTGCTTGAATAGCTTGAAGTCAGTTAAGTGAAATAGATAGAGCTTACCATTAATTCCTTGGTCCTGAGATAACACTAAGGAAAATAAAAAGAAACATGATACTTCAAACTCTGTAATCTCCAAACCAAACTCATCATTTTTGCCATATGACCTTTTCCACCTCCCAGGTTCCTAGCTCAAGAAACAGCACTATCATTTACTCAGTTTGCTGAAGCCAGAACCCGGGCACCATCACTTCCTTCTCTCATCCCGATGTATAATCTCAATTAATTGACTTTCTTAGAATCTCTCATATTCATTCCCTGCTCTTCATCGTTCTTTGCTATATCCCTTATGGAAGCCACCATCATGTCTTACCTGGATATTGCAATAGTCTTAAGAGTAGTTTCTTTCTATTCTCCTTCTTGTTTAGCTATCCACATTCTTCCTCCAAACCATCCATTCATAATGCAGCCAGAATGATGTCTCTAAAATAAAGTATGATCACATTTCTCTTTTAAAATCTTTTAATACTTCCAATCATTCAGTGAATGAACTCTAAAATGCCTTAGCATCTCTAATGATTCTCTCCTATATCTACATCGTGGTCCTATATGGCCACTATTTGCACATGTACTGTGCTCTTCATGTTCCTTTATCACATCCCACACTCTCTCACATCCAGGATTTGACTTGCCCTTGTTTGTCTTAAGCT
The DNA here is from genome assembly GCF_000001405.40 of Homo sapiens. Taxonomy (NCBI): domain Eukaryota; kingdom Metazoa; phylum Chordata; class Mammalia; order Primates; family Hominidae; genus Homo; species Homo sapiens. Next base: position 42,159,674 of record NC_000005.10, read on the forward strand.
ACATCTTAATCATTCTCTCAGTCTCAGCTAAAACTTCACCTCACCTGGGCATCATTTTCTGATTCTAGACTGAGTTAGGTGCTCTGAATTTCCTTATTAAATACTCATCACTTCTATTTGTGATCAGAGAACTTCAATTGTTGTCTTTGCCGGACTGAAAGCTTTGGAAAGAGCCTGTATCTGTCTTGTTTATAACAAATATGAAATAATTATGGGAATAAATAAGTAAATGAACAATGCCTGGAGATTTTGCATGAATAATGGCCCAAAGTCACCATTTTAAGATAACATGAACAAAGTACAATTTACACAACAATGCACATTTTATGTGTGCAGTTCAATGAGCGTTTAAAAATATATAGACTCAGGGCTGGGCATAGTGGCTCATCCTGTAATCCCAGAACTTTGGGGGCTGAGATGGGAGGTATGGCTTGAGGCCAGGAGTTCAAGACCAGTCTGGGCAACATAGTGAGACCCCATCTGTACAGACACTTAAAAAAAATAGCTGGTTGTGGTCGTGTGCACCTGTAATTCAAACTACTCAGGAGGCTGAGGAGAGACGATTCCTTAAGCCCAAGAGTTTGAGGCTGCAGTGAGCTATGATGGCACCACTGTGCTCCAGCCTGGGTGACAGAGCAAGACCTTGTCTCTAATATGTATATCTAGATCTGTCTGTCTGTCTGTCTGTCTATCTATCTATCTATCTATCTATCTATCTAATCTATCTTTCTATCATCTATCTGTCTTTCCAGAACATGTCTATCACTACAGATAATTCCCTTATGCTCCTCTGCAATAAATTCACCCTTCCTGCCCCCACTTTTGGTAACCACTGATATTATTTTTATCACTAGAGATTGATTTTGCACATTCTTGAATATAATATAGGTGGAAAACAGGGAGTGTACTCTTGTATATTTTTTTCACACAATAAAATTTTTGAGAATCACCCATGTTGTTGCATTTATCACTAGTTTGTTCCTTTAAATTGCTGAATAAAATGTTGTTGAATGGATACGTCATGTTTTGTTTTCCATTCTCCTACTAATAAACATTTGAGTGGTTTCCAAATTTTAGCTATTATGAATAAAGCTGCTATGAACATTTAGGTACCAATTGTTTTGTAAGGATGTATTTTTATTTCTTTTGATTTCTAATTACTCCACATCCTCACAAACATTTGATATTTTCAGTCTTTTAAATTTTATGTATTCTAATGGGCATGAAATGGTATCTCACTATGGTTTTAATTTTCATTTCTTAGATGATGATGATGATGATGATGATGATGATTATTATTTGAGACGGAGTCTCACTCTGTCACCAGGCTGGAGTGCACTGGCTTGATCTTGGCTCACTGCAACCTCTGTCTCCCAGGTTCAAGCGATTCTCCTGCCTCAGCCTCCCAAGTAGCTGGGACTACAGGCATGCACCACCATGCCCAGCTAAATTTTTTTGTATTTTTAGTAGAGACGGGGTTTCACCATGTTGGCCAGGATGGCCTCAATCTCCTGACCTCGTGATCCACTCGCCTCGGCCTCCCAAAGTGCTGGGATTGCAGGAGTAAGCCAGCACACCTGGCCCAGATTATTAATGATGCTGAGTACGTTTTTATGTGCTTATTACCAATCCAAGTATCTTAATTTGTGAAACGTCTATTCATGCCTTTGCACATTTTGAGATTGTTTTTTGTCTAATTATTGAGTTGAGAAAGAGAGTTACTTAAATGTTTTTCCTCAGTTGAAGGCTTGCCTTTTCATTCTTCATTTTTTTTTTTTTACGGTGTCTGGAAGAGGATAAGGTTTTAATTTTAAATAAGTCCAATTTATCAATGCTTTTTAAAAAAGGTTCATGCTTTTTTGTGTCCTAAGAATATTTTTCTACTCAAAGGTTAGAAATATTTTCTCTGAACCTTTTTTTCAGAATTTTCATAATTCTAGCTTTCATTTTTAGGTATATGATATTTATCAAATTACTTTTATGTGTGGCATGAGAAAAAAGTAATGATTTTTTTATTTTTTTAATATTTTTTTTTGAGATGGAGTTTCACTGTTGTGGCCCAGGCTGGAGTGCAATAGCATGAACTCGGCTCACTCCAACCTCCGCCTCCCAAGTTCAAGCAATTCTCCAGCCTCAGCCTCCCAAGTAGCTCGGACTACAGGCACCCACCACCATGCCCAGCTAATTTTTTAATTATTATTTTTAGTAGAGATGGGGCTTCACCATGTTGGCCAGGCTGGTCTCGAACTCCTGACCTCAGGTGATCCAACCATCTTGGCCTCCCAAAGTGCTGGGATTACAGGCATGAGACACCACACCTGGCCAAGAGTAAAGATTTATTATTTCCACATGCATATTCAGTTTTTCTAGTGCTATTTATTGTATTGTGTGTGCCTTCATCAAAAACCAAATGATTATATGCGGGTTTGTCGATTTCTAAATTATATTCTATTCCATTGAATTATATTTCTACTCTGAACAGAAGCTTTTTAGTTTAATATAGTCCAATACCATACTGTTCTTTTAAGCTTTATAGTTAATTATTGAAATCCAGTTGGATAAATTCTTCAACTTTTTTCTTTTTTTTCAACATTGTTTTGACTATTTAAGGTCTTTTGCATTTTCACACACATTTTAGGATGAGCATGTCAGTTTCTACCTCAAAAGCCTCTTAAATTTTTATTGGTATTATAGAAATCTATAAATCAATTTGGGGAAATGTGTATCTTAACAGTGTTAAGGGATCTAGTCTATCAATAAGATATATCATTTCATTTATCTAGATAGATATTCAATAATTCAGTAATATTTTATAGATTTAATGTGGAAGTCTTGTACACTATTTTTTCTTGGTACATAATATTATACTTATTTATGGGTTACCTGTGATATTTTATTACAGGCATAAAATGTATAATGATCAAGTCAGGGTATTTGAAATACCCTTCACCTTGAATATTTATCATATCTATGTATTGAGAATATTTCAAGTCCTCTCTTCCACCTATTTTGAAATATACAACACATTGTTGTTAACTAAAGTCACCTTACTCTGCTATCAAACATTAAAACTTATTTCTTCTATCCGACTCTATGTTTGTACCTGTTAACCAATGTCTCTTAACACTCTCTCTCCTACTGACACACTCCTCTCAGTTGCTGCAAGTGACATAATTTCTTTCTTTTCTATGACATGATTTCATTCTCCATATTATTCTTTATAATGATAACATAGTATTCTATTGTGTATATATATATCCCATTTCCTTTATCCATTCATCTGTTGATGAACATTTCGCTCACTTGATTCCACATTTTTGCTTTTGTCAATAGTGCTGCAGAAATCATGAAGATGCAGGTATCCCTTTGATATACTATTTTCCTTTGGATAAGTAAACAGTAGAGGGACTGCTGGACCATATAGTAGTTCTATTTTTAGTTTTTTTAAGAAAAATCTGTATTGTTTTGTATTCTGGCTGTACTAATTTACATTCCCACCAAAGTGTATGAGTTCCCTTTTCATCGCATCATCACCAGCATGTTTTTTAAAATCTTTCTGATTATAGTTATGCTAACTGGAATAAGATAATATCTCTTTGTGGTTTTGATTTGCATTTTCATGATGACTAGCTATGCTGATCATTTTTACATATATCTGTGGGCCATTTGTATCTCTTCTTTTAAGAAATGTCTATTCATGTTCTTTGTCCACTTTTTAATAGGTTTTGTTTTTACTGTTGAGTTTCTTGCATATTCTTTTTACTAGTCCCTTGTCAGATGAATACTTTGCAAGTATTTTCTCCCATTCAACAATAGGTTTTCTCTCTATTCCATTAACTGTTTCCATTGTGAAGAAGCTTTTTAGTTTAATACAGTTCAATTTGTCTACAATTGTTTTTGTGGCCTGTGTTTTTGAGGTCTTAATCATAATATTTTTGCCTAGACCAATGTACTGAAGTGTTTCCCTATGTTTTCTTCCAGTAGTTTAACGGTTTTGAGTTTTTTTGCTTAAGTCTTTATCTATCTTTAGTTGCTTTTGTACGTGGTGAAAGGTAGGGGTCTAGTTTCTTTCTTCTGCATGTAGATATCCAGTTACTATAGCATTGCAATATATTTTGAAGTCAGGTAGTGTGATGCCCCCAGCTTTATTCTTTTTGCTTTAGATAGTTGAGTTCTTTTTTGTTTCATACAAATTTTAGGATTTTTAAAAATTTCTGTAAAATATAACATTGATATTTTGATAGCAATTGCACGGAATATGTACATTGCTTTGGGTAATACAGTCATTTTAATGATTCTAATTTTTCTGATTCATGAGCATAAGATGTCTTTTCAATTATTTGTGTACTATTCAATTTCTTTCTTCAGTGTTTTGTAGTTTTCCTTGTATAGGTCTTTCACTTCCTTGGTTAAATTTATTCCTACCTATTTTATTTTATTTATCTATTATAAATTAGATTATAAATGAGATTTCCCTCTTAATTTCCTTCCCAGCTACTTCATTATTTCCACATTGAAAGACCATTCATTTTTGTATGTTGATATTGTACCTTGCAACTTTACTAAATTTATTTATTAGTTATAAGAGTTTACTAAATTTATATGTTAGATATAAGAGTTTTTTGGTGGAGTCTTTTGTTTTTTCTAGATATAAGATCATATCAACAACAAAGAGGGACAATTTGACTTCTTTTGCAATTTGGATGCCTTTTATTTTTCTTGCCTGATTTCTCTGGCTAGGACTTCCAGTACTAGGTTGAACAGGAGCGGTGAATCAGGCATCCTTGTCTTGTTCCAATTCTTAGGGAAACAGCTTTAAGCTTTTCCCTGTTCAGTTAAATGCTGACTGTGGGCTTAACATATATAGCCTTTATTATGTTGAGGTATATTCCTTATATGCCTAGTTGTTGAGACATTTTGGATTTGTACATGCTGAACTATCTTTGCATCCCTGGGATAAACCCTACTACATTGTGGTGTATTAGTCTTCTGATGTGCTATTGGATTTGGTTCACTACTATTTTGTTGAGAATTTTTTGCATTTATGTTCATTAGGGATATTAGCCCATAGGTTTCTTTTTTTTTTCCTTGCATCCTTGTCTGATTTGGAATCAGGGTAATGCTGACCTCATAAAATAAGTTAAGGAGAATTCCCTCCTATTTAACTTTTGGGAATAATTTGGGGAGGACTAGTATTAGTTTTTCTCCGTAAGTTTGGTAGAATTTACTAGTGAATCCATCTGGTCCTGGGCTTTTCTTTGTTGGAGACTTTTAATTGCCAGTTCATTCTTACTACTTGTGATAAATTTATTCAAGTTTTCTATCACTTCCTGATTCAATCTTGGCAGGTTGTATGTTTCCAGGTATTTATCCATTTCCTATGTTTTCCAGTTTGTTGTCATGTAATTGTTCAGAATAGTATCTGCTGATCTTTCTTATTTCTGTGGTATCAGTTGTCATGTTGCTTTTTTCATTTCTAATTTCCTATATTTTATCTTCTCTCTTATTTTCTTGATTAGGCAGTTTCTCTGACTCTTGAGTCAGATGCCTGTGCAGCTTCATGAAGAAGCCTGTTCAGCTTCCTCAGCAGGTCATCAGTGTCAACGAGCTTATAGGCAGAGGTAGATGTGGCTTCTGATTTCTCTTGATGGACTCCAGATTGTACTGGAGCTTTAGCTGCATCCTACAAATTTTGACATATTGTATTTTCATAATCATTCAGTTAGAAATCATAATTCCTTATGATTTTTTCTTTGACCCATAGATGTATATCATTTTATTTGAAAATATTTGGGAATTTAAAGAAAATATATTTAATAAGACTTTATTTCTTATTTAATTATGATGTAGTCAGAGAATATCAATCTTTTAAAATTTATTCAGATATGTTTTTCATCCAAGATATTGTCTTTCTTGGTTAACATTGTATGCGTACTTTAAAAGACTGTGTTCTGGAGCTGTTAGGTGTATGTTCTATAAACATCAATTAAGTGAAATTGTCTCATAGTGTTATTCAGATCTACTGTATCCATAATCATGTCTTTGGTCTAGTCATTTTATCTGTTATTGAGAGGGGCTTATTAAAATTCCCAATTATGGCAGTAGATTTTTCTATTTCTCTCTTAAGATCTATAAATTTTTTATTCATAAGTTTTAAAACTTTGTTTTTTTTTTTCTTTTCTTTTTTTTTTTTTCTTTTTTTATTATTATTATTATACTTTAAGTTTTAGGGTACATGTGCACATTGTGCAGGTTAGTTACATATGTATACATGTGCCATGCTGGTGCGCTGCACCCACTAACGTGTCATCTAGCATTAGGTATATCTCCCAATGCTATCCCTCCCCCCTCCCCCGACCCCACCACAGTCCCCAGAGTGTGATATTCCCCTTCCTGTGTCCATGTGATCTCATTGTTCAATTCCCACCTATGAGTGAGAATATGCGGTGTTTGGTTTTTTGTTCTTGCGATAGTTTACTGAGAATGATGGTTTCCAATTTCATCCATGTCCCTACAAAGGACATGAACTCATCATTTTTTATGGCTGCATAGTATTCCATGGTGTATATGTGCCACATTTTCTTAATCCAGTCTATCATTGTTGGACATTTGGGTTGGTTCCAAGTCTGTGCTATTGTGAATAATGCCGCAATAAACATACGTGTGCATGTGTCTTTATAGCAGCATGATTTATAGTCATTTGGGTATATACCCAGTAATGGGATGGCTGGGTCAAATGGTATTTCTAGTTCTAGATCCCTGAGGAATCGCCACACTGACTTCCACAATGGTTGAACTAGTTTACAGTCCCACCAACAGTGTAAAAGTGTTCCTATTTCTCCACATCCTCTCCAGCACCTGTTGTTTCCTGACTTTTTAATGATTGCCATTCTAACTGGTGTGAGATGATATCTCATAGTGGTTTTGATTTGCATTTGTGAGTGAACTCCCATTCACAATTGCTTCAAAGAGAATAAAATACCTAGGAATCCAACTTACAAGGGATGTGAAGGACCTCTTCAAGGAGAACTACAAACCACTGCTCAAGGAAATAAAAGAGGACACAAACAAATGGAAGAACATTCCATGCTCATGGGTAGGAAGAATCAATATCGTGAAAATGGCCATACTGCCCAAGGTAATTTACAGATTCAATGCCATCCCCATCAAGCTACCAATGACTTTCTTCACAGAATTGGAAAAAACTACTTTAAAGTTCATATGGAACCAAAAAAGAGCCCGCATCGCCAAGTCAATCCTAAGCCAAAAGAACAAAGCTGGAGGCATCACACTACCTGACTTCAAACTATACTACAAGGCTACAGTAACCAAAACAGCATGGTACTGGTACCAAAACAGAGATATAGATCAATGGAACAGAACAGAGCCCTCAGAAATAATGCCACATATCTACAACTATCTGATCTTTGACAAACCTGAGAAAAACAAGCAATGGGGAAAGGATTCCCTATTTAATAAATGGTGCTGGGAAAACTGGCTAGCCATATGTAGAAAGCTGAAACTGGATCCCTTCCTTACACCTTATACAAAAATCAATTCAAGATGGATTAAAGATTTAAACGTTAGACCTAAAACCATAAAAACCCTAGAAGAAAACCTAGGCATTACCATTCAGGACATAGGCGTGGGCAAGGACTTCATGTCCAAAACACCAAAAGCAATGGCAACAAAAGCCAAAATTGACAAATGGGATCTAATTAAACTAAAGAGCTTCTGCACAGCAAAAGAAACTACCATCAGAGTGAACAGGCAACCTACAACATGGGAGAAAATTTTCGCAACCTACTCATCTGACAAAAGGCTAATATCCAGAATCTACAATGAACTCAAACAAATTTACAAGAAAAAAACAAACAACCCCATCAAAAAGTGGGCGAAGGACATGAACAGACACTTCTCAAAAGAAGACATTTATGCAGCCAAAAAACACATGAAAAAATGCTCATCATCACTGGCCATCAGAGAAATGCAAATTAAAACTTTGTTGATTGGAGCATCCATATTTAAGATTGTTGAATCTTCCTGATGATTTTATTTTACATTATTAAATGACCCTTTATCATTTTTAAAACTTTTGGTCTTGATGTTTAGTTTGTCTGATATTAATACAATTGCCCAACTTCCTTATGTTTTCAATCTATTCATGTCTTTAAATTTTGAGTGTGTCTCTTTTAGGCAGAATGTAGTTTGGTTTTACTTTTTCATCCAGCCTGACAATCTCTGCCTTTGAATTGGAGTGCTTAGGCCACTAATATTTGCTATAATTATTGATATGATTTGGTTTATATGTACCATCTAGCTATTTATTTTAAATTTGTCCTATCTGTGTCTCTCTCTCTTGTTCCTTTTCTGTCTTCTTTTGCTTTTATCAGTTTTTTATTATTTTGTTTTTTGCTGTTATTATTTATACATATTTTTATTATTTTTAGTGGTTTCTCTAGGTTTAATAATATATTTCTTAACTTATTCAAGTCTATTAACAGTGAATATTATGCCATTTTACACTTCACACTTTCCAGTTCAGACATGGAATAACCTTACAATACTCTACCATGGTTTTTCTGGTGTCTCAGTTGAATGCCTGACGTGTTACTAAGGTGTTGAACCTGTCTTTCTAGTCTGGCTGGGCCAGCACTTCAATGTTCTTGGCACTTCTGGATCACTAGCATCTCTGTTCCATTCTCCACTCTTTGGTAAGCCTCACACAATTCATCTTGCTCACGTGAAGCCCTATCCTTGGTCAAAAACTTATGCAGAACTCCTCCTACCCCCATTGATGTGCAGACTCTGAGCCCCCTCCTCTCTGGAGCTTCCAGCTGCTACAGCTTCCTCAAGTTAGCAAGACCATCTTGTTTTGCTGATTTCAGCTTGCTGGGTTTCAGTACCGATAGTCCTAGGCAGGGAGATGAGACAAATGTCAGATTCCCTTTGGTAGTTTCCATTCTTTCAAAGACTTCAGTCATGTATAGCCTGTTGTCTAGTTTTACATGTGTATAATGTAGATGGGCTAGTCCAGTACCCATTACAACATATTAATCAAAACCAAGAGGTGTTGGGCACTTTTTTGTAATGAATGTAATACGCTTTAGGAGAACAGGCTCACGACATATTTAAGTTAGAAATTTGTAGTTTAATTCCACTTTGCTTTCTATAGGACTCATCTAAGAGTCCCTATTGATGCAACTTGAATTTAAGAAGATCATAGAGGTTCTTGAAACATTCTGAACGAATTTTATTTTTCAAATTCTGAGCATTTTAGAATTTTCTCCACAGTTTCTCTAGCATTGCTTATCTTCTTTTGCCTTCTTTACTTTCTTTTTTACCTTCATGTTTTCCTTGTCTTTTTAGTTAACAAATACTTGTGCAGCACATAGCATGGACCTGACATTATTCTAAATGCTTAATAGATATTTATTTAATTTTCAAGTGCAATGGATGAAGTAAAAACTGGAGTGGTAGTTGCAAAGGAAATATTCCTTCTTTATCATTTGTTTTTCTTCTACAAAATAAAATAAATTATTTGTATTGTCCCCTTCCCCTGCTTCTTTTTAAGTCTATTTGAAAACAGTGAAAACAACCACCTGTAATATTTTTTTGAAAAAATGTAGAACAATTAGTAGCAACTTCTTTTTGGTAAAAACATAGGCAATCAACTCCTTTTTATGCTTTACCTCGTCCTTTGGAGACTTGGAAAAATTCTTCCTATTCCTCATATTATGTGACTAATTTCAATACAGGATAAAACCTTGTCATTTTTTTTTTGTTTCTTTTTAAAAACTTCCAAACTAGACAGATCTGGTCATCCAAGTTATAGTTCAAGTAGTGGTTACTTAGGAAAAAAAAAGTTTTTTGAATATAGGACTAATTCAACTATTTATAAGAGCCTGCCTGGATTTTTTTTAATGTTACTTTTTTTTCTAGCTCTGGAATTGCAATCAAAATGCCCCAAGAGAAGTGTGAAAACATGACTGTCAATACCCAGATGATCTGGTCTAAAAAGTAGAATAAGTTGAGGGAAAACCAGACCAAACCAAAACATTGCCACCATTCTCTCTTATGTTCTACAGTTAAAACACCCAGTGTTTGCATGCTTTTTCTGTATCAGGACAATACTCCCTTCAGAATATATAGCATGTTAGTTCCCAAAGAACAAAGTGATAAAAAATCATTTTATCTATAGCAGCAAGGACACCAAAATGTAAGGGGACATTCCAGCCTCGACTTTGGCCTTTGCAGTGCAGATGTCTACAGATGGCAGTCCCAAAAGTAAGTTTTTACTGTGACCATAAAGCCTCATTCCTGGTCCATGCATATAGCTGTGAGACATTTATAAATTAATTAATGGGCATATTGTTACCCTAAGTGAGATGGAAAATATTTCTTATGGAAGACCTGCTCTAGAGGTGGTCTTCTTTCTTGGACTGGAATTTTTATATGCCTGCCAAAGCTAATATGCCTTTTTGAGAGTCAGAGATAGTCCTCACAGGGGAGTTGGGATCGTTGTTCACATAGAGACACCACCTTAGGACCTACTCTCATGCTTTTCCCACTGCCTGAGACACTTGTCTTCCTTACTCCTTATGGCTCACATCCTCAGGTCTCCATTTAAAGGCTACCTCCTCATAGGTGCCTCCCTAAATCACCCCAATTCAAATGGATCCTCCAGATATATTCTCTCATAGCCCTGTGTTCTTGTCCTACAAAACATTTGTCACACTATGCAAATATGTCATTTTTGTTTGTTTATTTGCTTATTGCTTGTCTCTCTATGAAGCTAGGAACTATTTCTGTTTGACAAACCACAGCATCTATGATTTCTAGTATAGATACTGGCCCATAGTGGGCATTCAGTAAATACTTGTTTGCTGAATGAATGAATCACCTTTTCTCTACCTGCACCCCCACAGGGGGTATGGTAGCCATGCGGAGACAGCTTCAACAGCCAGACAGAGGAGAAGGCAAATTCATCTTATTCAAACCTATGTGGAAGACTTATAATAGCACCCCATGGAAAAGGTCACAAATATACAGGGCAAACAGTGAAAAGCATGGTTAACTTTGGCAACCAACTAAAGAAAACAAAACCTCACACAAGCCACATTTACCAAGGCACCTGGTATAAAACCAGGGGAAAGGGCAGGACTTTTATTGCTCATTTTTTACAAACTGAGGTTTTAAAAAAGTGAGGTTCTTATATGCTGGTATTAATATCTTCCTCCCTGTGAGTGGGATGATGAAAGTAACCAGTAGAGAGCAAAGTAATACCAAAGAAAGTCAGCTTACTGGGATAAGAGCTTCCAGAGTTAAGGCACAGAGGAAGGCATCTTGACACCTTCTCTCAGCTAAGTGGGGAAATACTTGCCTGAGTAAGTAGTCTCAACTGAAAATTGAGTATTCAATGAAAATATATGTATTAAACAAAAATATCTCACTATCTTTTCAGTGTAACAGGGAAATTTTGGAACAAATATGCCCAATTCTAATCCAGGGACAGCAAAGAAATTTTATTTGGTGGGCTAAGTCTGACCCATTGGCCATGGCTTCCCAAAGAGCTAGACTGTAAGAAATTCTAAAGGTGAGTCCTGGACTCAAGGAGGAAATGAGCCAGGACCAGTTATTGAAGACTAATGGACAGAGAGCAGGGAATTAAAATATTCATACCACACTGTTGCTATTACCAGTAAAACTAAAAAACAGATGGTTGTAAAAATAGAGGTTTCAAATTAGACTTACCTGCTGGTACCATGAGGGCCAACTTAAGTGGGGAAGTATCACCATGCAGGCAGAGTCTACTGTTAACATAATCATTATTTTTTCCCTATCCCATTTTTCCTATCACATAAAGAACTCACTTCATTCACTCAGAATGCTTCCTTTTCTCTTTTTGGTGCTGCCTTTCATCTGTGTGATCCTTGCCCCCCACCTAGACCAACTAGATTATTGTAGGTCTTCTGCAAATTCCTAGTGTACTCGTACGTGGAATATCATTGCTCTGGGCCTCAAATGCAATGGTCAAAAGAGAATATTGACTTAGATAACCTATATAGTCCTATCCTCAGAATCTAAATTCTTTGATTACTGGTATCTCTCATGATTGCATTTAGGAAATGTGGGACTCTTTCCATTTTTTTTACTCAAGAAAACACGACAACTCCAAAATCCAATTTTAACAGAAGCTGAGTCATAGACAGGCTACTGCTTTTCAGAACACTTAGTGAAAAATTGGCTTCAAGAACAGCGCTAAGTTCATAATTCCTAGTCCTGAGTCCAGGTAACTGGACCATTCATGTTTTTTAGGAAAATATGTTTTTGACTTATAAATAATTTTTAAATAACTAATAATAAAGCAATAAAAACGCAAAAACTTTGTATGTTTGTGTTTGTCTTCTTTCATAGTTTTTCTTTTTTAATTTTATTATTATTATAATTTAAGTTTTAGGGTACATGTGCACAACGTGCAGGTTTGTTACATATGTATACATGTGCCATGTTGGTGTGCTGCACCCATTAACTCGTCATTTAGCATTAGGTATATCTCCTAATGCTATGCCTCCCCCCTCCCCCCACCCCACAACAGTCCCCGGTGTGTGATGTTCCCCTTCCTGTGTCCATGTGTTCTCATTGTTCAATTTCCACCTATGAGTGAGAACATGCGGTGTTTGGGTTTTTGTCCTTGTGATAGTTTGCTGAGGATGGTGGTTTCCAGTTTCATCCATGTCCCTACAAAGGACATGAACTCATCATTTTTTATGGCTGCATAGTATTCCATGGTGTATATGTGCCACATTTTCTTAATCCAGTCTATCGTTGTTGGACATTTGGGTTGGTTCCAAGTCTTTGCTATTGTGAATAGTGCTGCTATAAACATACGTGTGCATGTGTCTTTATAGCAGCATGATTTATAATCCTTTGGGTATATACACAGTAATGGGATGGCTGGGTCAAATGGTATTGCTAGTTCTAGATCCCTGAGGACTCACCAAACCGACTTCCACAATGGTTGAACTAGTTTACAGTCCCACCAACAGTGTAAAAGTGTTCCTATTTCTCCACATCCTCTCCAGCACCTGTTGTTTCTTGACTTTTTAATGGCCACCATTCTAACTGGTGTGAGATGGTATCTCATTGTGGTTTTGATTTGCATTTCTCTGATGGCCAGTGATGATGAGCATTTTCTCATGTGTTTTTTTGGCTGCATAAATGTCTTCTTTTGCGAAGTGTCTGTTCATATCCTTCACCCACTTTTTGATGGGGTTCTCTGTTTTTTTCTTGTAAATTTGTTTGAGTTCATTGTAGATTCTGGATATTAGCCCTTTGGATTAAAGACTTACATGTTAGACCTAAAACCATAAAAACCCTAGAAGAAAACCTAGGCAATACCATTCAGGACATAGGCATGGGCAAGGAATTCATGTCTAAAACACTAAAAGCAATGGCAACAAAAGCCAAAATTGACAAATGGGATCTAATTAAACTAAAGAGCTTCTGCACAGCGAAAGAAACCACCATCAGAGTGAACAGGCAACCTACAGAATGGGAGTTTTTCTTTAAAGGAGTGTTTCATATAAGTTAAAAAACAGTTTATCCTCCTTAATTGGTTCTTGCTGCTGAGATATATTCATCCTTCCTTTTTTAGATAAACAGCTGAACAACATTCCATATAAACCTGTGCTGGGTTACAGTCCTCATGTGACATGAACAGGCTCTAAATCTTAGTGCAGGGCAAACAGGAATCACCTGTCATACTGAGTACATTTAATCAGGCTCTCCTAAATATTAATTTTCTGCTAATAAGATATAAGTTGAGGCATTGACAAAGGAATTTACATAAATTTCATCAGTTTCATATTGTTTATTTCTAAAAAATGAAAATGATTTTTCCATAAAATCTGAAAAAATATTTTGGGTGTACTAGATAATGTATAGTATATTGCAGCAATGATGTTACTAGTTACATTGTATGTAATTAGTAATTAACTAAGTTTTTGGTTTTTGTTCTTGTGGCTTATCAGGATTAATTAGTTGTGTACAAATTTAGTTAATTCACTTATTAATTGACTAATTAGTTAATTCATTAATTACTAATTACATACAATGCCTCTGCTTTAAACTTGTTGGTGCTATCCCATTGTCTGTAAGATTAAAGCTCAATCAAGTTCCTCAAAATGGTTTACAAGACCTATTTTCACCTGCTAATTTCTACCTCCCTAACTTCATATCTCCTTTGCCTTGCATCATAATCACAAAAAATACCAAATTGCTAGTAATTCTCAGCTCATCAGCCATTCCTTTCTTTCTTAACTTTGGCCATGTGCCCCTCTCTGCTTAGAATGGCTCCTTCTCCCTTCTTTGCCTGATAATTTCAATGTATCCTTAATCAGCCCCTCCTAATACCACATCTCCAATCATGCATGGTAGGTACTCCTTCTTTATGTCATTGCTGAGTTTCTATCTTTATCACTATGCAGATAAGTGTAAGTATTTTATATATGAATCTCTCTCTCTGCAACATAGGCACTTCTCAAGGTAGTGAGCAGTGTATTGTTACTCTTTGCATACTCAGTGCCATATCATTGCCAGTGTTTGGCTCATCAGAGCTAACAGGAAATGTTAGCTGGTTGAATAAAGTATTGAATAGAGAAAAGTCATCATCTCAGATAATGAAGGTGAAAAGTACACTATAACTAATTCATGGTGATAAGCCACAAGAACAAAAAACAAAACATTATGTGATTACTTACTTATTACACAGCTTATAGTAGAAATAAGATGAGAAAATCTCTATGCAGATCATAGAAAAGAACTGAAGCTGGTTTGATATTACTTTGGTTCCTTGATTCACCCTCCTCTTCTCTACACGGCAGCCATGTCACTGTCCTTTTTTCCCTGATTCTTTCTCTGATAATCAGATCATCATTTCATGACCACCTTTTTTCACAGCTAACTTTCCTTCTTCTCAACATTTATACAATTTTCTGTTTATGCTACTGGCTTGATATTTAAGTATAACCTTGAACTCTTAGATATCTTTTCTGTGTCCTGTTTTTTCTGTTAGATCATAACCTCATGAAAACCAATGAAACCATGTTTCTGATACATTTGCTTTCTCTGTAATATCTGGCAGTGACTCTTATAGATGGAGAATATCTTGCAAACATGTAATATATTCATTATGTGACAACATTGGAGAAGAAAGAGCTAGAATTGAGAATCAAGAGATCTGAGGAAAAATACTAAGCTTTGGGACCTTGGGCAAATTATTTAACTTCTGTAATCCTCAGCTTTATGGTATGTAACAGAGTGGATGCAAGAAGAGCATGAGATCATGTCTGTATAGAGCTTCATCAACTGTGAAATGCTCTTCAAATAGTCAGTAATTCTCTTAGCTCATTTTCTGTTGCTGTAACTGAATACTTGAGACTGGATAATTTATAAAGAAAATAAAGTTATTTCTTTACCATTTTGGAGGCTAGAAAGTTCAAGGTCGAGAGGCTGCATCTGCTGAGGGCCTTTTTGCTGGTGAAAACATTCTGGAGAGTCCTGAGGCATTGCAGGGCATCAGTCTCTTCCCCGTGAGGACTTTGCATAAAAACTGTTGAATTGAGTAAGACTTCACCTTTTTTTGTAACACAGAGCTCTGACGCAAAGAGTCATTATCAAATCATCCCATGAACTTTAGGAAGTTTTTTAAATGAAAGCAGCACCAAAATCCAGCTGGATTTGGGTCTCAGAGCAGAGGGCATACAGGGAATAGTGATACTTTCAGAGAAACTGAGTTGAATCTTAAAGAGATAATACCAGTGGCCAAACTGTATCACTAAAATTGCTTCTTTATTAGGATTTTCTCCCTAATCTGGAAAATAATAAGGGCCCTGACATAACTTACCCAGAACATTATGTATAGTTATTTGTTTAATTAAAGATGAGGGAAAATCAATTCTACCACTACATGCAATATTTTGGTAGAGATTGTCTGCTTAAAAACAAAACACATGCACTTCATTTGGACTTACTTTCAAGAAAATATTCGGAAAGAAACTTACCAAAAGGGACATAATGTTTTCTTCCACTACTTCTAAAAATAGTAGAGCTCTAAACTTTCCTCTTTTCTTCTTCCAAGATAAAAGTGTTAACAGATATATACAAGCCATAGGCAGGTTTTGAGATTTGATGTGGTTGTTTCTGTTTGTTTGTTTTTTAAAATGAGAGATAGAAGGGGAAAGAAGAGAGAAATTTGGCACTTTTCTCAGCAGTGGTTTAGTGTTGTGCCTTCTTCCCATTCTTTGGCTTATGATTTGGGAAAGGCAAAAGCAGCTAGCCAGAAGGACTTGACACTCAATTCCATTCATAGCAGCAGCTGCTGCAGACCCCAGGTGAGAGAAATTTTCATTTCTATGCTGACTCTGTATTAGTCCATTTTCACGCTGCTATAAGGAACTGCCTGAGGCCAGTGCAGTGGCTCACACCTCTAATCCCAGCACTTTGGGAGGCTGAGGCAGGCAGAACACATGAGGTCAGGAGTTCGGGACCAGCCTGGCCAACATGATGAAACCCTGTCTGTACTGAAAATCCAAAAAAAAATTAGCCAGGCATGGTGCCACATGCCTGTAATCCCAACTACTTGGGAGGCTGACACAGCAGAATCACTTGAATTTGGCGGGAGGCAGAGGTTGCAGTGAGCTGAGATTGCACCACTGCACTCCAGCCTGGGTGACAAAGTGAGACGCCATCAAAAAAAAAAATCCTGCCTGAGACTGGGTAATTTATAAAGGAAAGAGTTTAATTGACTCACAGTTTCACAGGGCTGGGGAAGCCTCAGGAAACTTACCTTCATGGCAGAAAGAAAAGCAAACATGTCCTTCTCATGGCAGCAGAAAAGGGGAGTGCCAAGCAAAAGAGGGAAAAGCCCCTTTAAAAACCATCAGATCTCATGAGAACTTACTCCCTGTCACAAATGAGCATGAGGGTAATTGCTTCCATGGTTAAATTACCTTCTATCAGGTCCCTCACGTGATATGTGGGGACTATGGGAACTATAATTCAAGGTGAGATTTCAATGGGGACACAGAGCCAAACCATACAATTCCACCCCTAGACCCTCCCAAATCTCATGCCCCCATATTTCAAAACACAATCATGCCCTTCCAATAGCCCCCCAAAGTTTTAATTCATTCCAGCATTAACCCAAAAGTCCCAGTCTAAAGTCTCATCTGAGACAAGGCAAGTCCTGTCCACCTCTGAGCCTGCAAAATCAAAAGCAAGTTAGTTACTTCCTTGATACAAGGGGCATACAGGCCTTGAGTAAATATACCCATTACAAATGGGAGAAATTGGCCAAAACAAATAGGCTACAGGCCCCATACAAGTCCGAAATCCAATAGGGCAATTATTAAAGTTCCAAAACAATCTTTGACTCCATGTGAAAGGATTCACATTCAGGTCATGCTGATGCAAGAGATGGTCTCTCATGGCTTTGGGCAGCCCTGCCACTGTGGCTTTGCAGGGTACAGCCCCCTTCCAGCTGCTTTCAAAGGCTGGAGTTGAGTGTGGCCCTCTTCTCACAGCTCCACTAGGCAGTGCCCCAGTGGGGACTCTGTGTGGGGGCTCCAACCCTGTATTTCCCTTCTGCACTGCCCTAGCAGAGGTTCTCCATGAGAGCTCCGTCCCTGCAGCAGACTTCTGCCTGGACATCCAGGCATTTCTCTACATCCTCTGAAATCTAGGCAGATGTTCCCCAACCTCAATTATTGACTTATGTGCACCCAGAGGCCGAACACCACAGGTAAGCTGCCAAGGCTTGGGGCTTGCACCCTCTGAAGCCATGGGCTGAGCTGTAACTTGGCCCCTTTTAGCTACAGCTGGAGCAGTGGTTGGGATGCAAGGCACCAAGTCCCTAGGCTGTACACAACAAGGGAGCCCTGGCCCTGGCCCAAGAAATCATTTTTCTCTCCTAGGCCTATGGCCCTGTGATAGGAGGGGCTACCATGGAGGTCTCTGACATGCCCTGGAGATATTTTACCCATTGCCTTGGCAATTAACATTTGGCTCCTCACTATTTATGCAAATTTCTGCAGCTGGCTTGAATTTCTCCTCAAAAAATAAAATTTTCTTTTGTACTGCATTGTCAGGCAGCAAATTTTCCAAACTTTTATGCTTTGCTTCCTCTTGAATGGTTTTCTGCTTAGAAATTTCTTCCGCCACATACCCCAAATCATCTCTCTCAAGTTCAAAGTTTCACAGATCTCTAGGGCACAGGCAAAATGCCACCAGTCACCTTGCTAAAGCACAGCAAGAGTCAACTTTGCTCCAGTTCCCGACAAGTTCCTCGTCTTCCTCAGAGACCATCTCAGCCTGGACTTCATTGCCCATATCACTATTAGCATTTCAGTTAAAACGATTCAACAAGTCTCTAGGAAGTTCCAAACTTTCCCATGTCTTCCTGTCTTCTGAGCCCTCCAAACTGTTATAACCTCTGCCTATTACCCGGTTTCACAGTTGCTTCCACATTTTTGGGTATCTTTACAGCAGCACTCCACTACCTGGTACCAATTTACTGTATTAGTCCATACTCACACTGCTATAAAGAACTGCCTGAGACTGAGTAATTTATAAAGGAAAGAGGTTTAATTGACACAGTTCTGCAGGGCTGGGGAAGCCTGAAGAAACTTACATTCATGGTGAAAGGAGAGGCAAACACAACCTTCTTCTCATGGTGGCAGGAAGTGGAAGTGCCAAGCAAAAGGGAGAAAAGCCCCTTATAAAAACATCAGATCTCTTGGAACTCACTCGCTATCAGGAGAACAACATGAAGGTAATTGCCTCCATGATTAAATTACCTTTCACCAGCTCCTTCCCACAACATGTGGGGATTATGGGAATTACAATTCAAGGTAAGATTTGGGTGGGGACACAGAGACAAACCATATCACTCTTTATTCTAGGAAAAGCTAAACCACATTGCAACATTGGATATCTGTGTGAGCTCATAGTTAGGTTAAAATTTTTTTAGATTATATTCTGTGAAGTATACAAGAGTATTCAAGTATTTAGTTCAATATGAATAAAACTGTGTTATTGTTTCTTTAGTCAATAATTGGTTAGGACTAAGCAGGAACTAGTAAAACCTTTTATTTGATTTCCTCTGCCATGTTTTTCTATACTCAGTGGGGCATCAAAAGATTTCCCATGCTTCAGCTATGAGAAGTCGGTTTGGTTGGTTGAGGGCTCAGGTGATAAGCTGAGTAGGAGACTCACTGTATAATACATAAATCTTTTTCTGGAATCTATTTTTAAATTATTATTTCCTCTTCTAAATCTTGCTAATGTGATTTGGTTTTCTCGCTGTTTACTTTCTTTTTTTGTGATGTCCTCATTTTGACAATACCTGACAACCAAAGTAAGAAGCAAATAAGAAGTCACATTTGACAAGAATAAGGTTTTCTGCTATTGGTTTCTTGTAATGCATGTTTCTTCTCTTGTCATTATGGCAGTTTTTTTGTTGGTTTTTTTTTTTGTTTTTTTGTTTTTGTTTTTTTTTTTTTTTTTGAGATGGAGTCTCGCTCTGTCCCCCAGGCTGGAGTGCAGTGGCATGATCTCTGCTCACTGCAAGCTCCGCCTCTCGGGTTCATGCCATTCTCCTGATCAGCCTCCTGAGTAGCTGGGACTACAGGCTCCCACCAACATGCCCGGTTAATTTTTTGCATTTTTAGTAGAGACGGGGTCTCACTGGGTTAGCCAGGATGGTCTCGATCTCCTGACCTTGTGATCTGCCCTCCTTGGCCTCCCAAAGTGCTGGGATTACAGGTGTGAGCCACTGCGCCTGGCTGGCAGTTTTGTTTTTTAACCTATTTGAAAGCTAAAAGTGATTGTGTGCACATGGAAAAAAATTTACTTAGTATAGAAAGTTATAAAATGAAGTCTTTCTGTTGCATTCCTCTACCTGGGTTTCTGATTTCAAAGATAAAATTGTTTCTGGCTTTTGTTTTCTTAAAAGACAAACAGTTGAAGAGATTATTCTCTTTGAGAATAATTATTATCTTTGAGAGACAATTGAAAGAGAAGGAAAATCATTGAAAGCAGCAAAATGAAGGCAGTGTGAATAATGGATAATTATCCCAGGAACCATCACACAGAAAACTTGGAAGATTTGGTTGAAATGCAAGGAGATCTTTGAGGGTAGAGAGGAAAGAGGGGCATGGAGGTAACTGGGTGGCTGCAGGTGCACCTTCCTAGGGAAAAAATTATGTCACTATTTACAATAGCAAAGACTTGGAATCAACCCAAATGCCCATCAATGACAGTCTGGATAAAGAAAATGTGGCATATATACACCATGGAATACTATGCAGTCATGAAAAAGAATGAGTTCATGTCTTTTGCAGGGACATGGATGAAGCTAGAAACCATCATCCTCAATAAACTAACACAGGAACAGAAACCAAACACTGCATTTTCTCACTCATAGGTGGGAGTTGAACAATAAGAACACATGGACACAGGGTGGGGAACATCACACACTGTGGCCTGTAGGGGGCGGGGGTCAAGGGGAGGAAGAGCATTAGGACAAATACCTAATGTATGTGGGGCTTAAAACCTAGATCATGGGTTGATAGTACAGCAAACCACCATGGCACATGCATACCTATTTAACAAACCTGCATATTCTGCACATTTGTCCCAGAACTTAAAGTAAAATAAAATATTTTTTAAAATATGATTGTGAAAAAGCAAAAAAAAAATTCTCTGTTCCAGGAGCCCAGTCTTGGTAAAGGTTCAATGCACCATATGTGACACCATAACAGCAAACTACTGATAGCAAGAGGCCATCAATGCAACAATAAAAAAAAAAACTATCCAATTAAAAGTAGGCAAAATGCCTGAAGAGATATGTCATGAAGAAGATACTAGGTTGGTGCAAAAATAATTGTGGTTTTTGCAATTACTTTTAATGGCAAAAACCTCAATTATTTTCGCACCAACCTAATATAAAGATGTCAAACATGATATGAAAAGATGCTCAACCTCATGTGTCATTAGGGAAGTGCAAATTAAAATGACAATGAGATACCACTACACACTTATTAGAATGGTCAAACTCCGAAACACTGACAACGCCAAATACTGGTGAGGATGTGGAGCAACAAGAACTCTCATTGATTGCTAATAGGAATGCAAAATGATACAACTGCTTTGGAAGACAGTTTTGTGGTTTCTTACAAAACTAAAATACTATTACCATATGATCCAGCAATAGTGCTTCTTGGTATTTATCCAGATTAGCTGAAAACTTATGTCCTCACAGAACCTACACACCAATGTTTATAGAAGCTTTATTTATAACTGCCAGTAATTAAAAGAAATCAAGACGTCCTTCAACAAGTAAGTGAATAGTGTGGTACATTCTAACAATGAAATATTATTCAATGCTGAAATAAAATGAGCTATCAAGCCATACACACACAAAAAATGGAATAAAGTAAAATGCATATTACAAAGTAAAGAAATCAATCTGACTTCAATTACATGACATTCTGGAAAAAGCAAAACTATACAGACAGTAAAAAATTAGTAGTTACCAGGGACTAGGGGTTGGAGGAGATGGGGCAGGGTGAATAGGTGGAGTACAGGGGATTTTTAAGGCAATGAAAATATTCTGTATCCTATTTTAATGGTGGATACATGACATTATGCATTTGTCAAAATGTATAAAATGATAAAACACAAAAAATGAACCCTAATGTAAACTATATTCTTTAATAATAATATATTAACATTGGTTCATCAGTTGTAAGAAATGCACCACACTAATGCAAGATGCTAAAAATAGAGAAAACTAGTGTTAGTATTGGAGGGTTGGGAGTAAATGGGAACTATCTGTATTTTCCACTCATTTTTTTTGTAAGCCTGAAACTGTTCTAAAAATAAAGTCTATTAATAACAGATTTTTTAAAAGACCAGGGCTTGAAAAATTATAATGGGGCATAATTAGGAGACTTCTCCTCCCACTTTTGAGGATCACATAAATGTTCCAGATGCTAGTGGAAAGGGAAGGGGCCCAGCAACAATAAACATTCACTTTCTTACACATCTCTCACAATAAAGGCTTTACCAGATTCAACTGTGCAGAAAGAAAAGACATGTAAACTCTTTTGAGTTTATGATACATTCATACCTACTACCGATGAGTTTAGATTTTCCATCCCTTTTGTCATTTATTCTTGGACATTGGGGTTTTCATATGTATTTTTATAGTATTTTAAAAGTACTCTTTCTGATTCATTTATTTTTTAATATATTATTGGTTATTTCCACTTTTTATTTATAATTGTGTAAATGTATACTTTCTCTTTTTTCTGGAATAGAGAAGCCATTTTATTTTCCTTTTAAAGCAATATAATACCTTGGGTTTATTTATTTTACTATTTTCTTTTTAAATTTAATCCATGTTTTCTTTTATTATTTGCTCTCCTATGCTTTTCTTAATACACGTGAGTTTAATATTTAAATCATTGAATATTATTTTTTCTTTGGTAATATACATGTCTAATACTAAATATTTTCTTTTGAGCTCAAGGAGTGTGATATTTATTATTTTCTTTTGCCAATATTTTCTAGTTATACTATAAATTCTGTTTTATTTTTTATTTGATTTAGAAGTTATTTAAAAACATTTTTGTGGTTAATTTCCTCAGTAACATTCTGGTCTCTATGTTATTTTCTACTTTTGATGCATAATACACTGAAAAAATGTTTCATATAATTTCTATTTTGTGGGGAAAGGCCACTTAAAATGTTCACTGTTATCAGAATATAGATTTTGGAGAGGACGCAAGGTAAGATGACCATATGGAAGCCTCCACTGATCGTCCTCCCTGCAGGAACACCACATTTAACAACAATCCACAAAAAAAACAAAACAACAACAACAAAAAAAACAACTTCACGAGAACCAAAAATCAGGTGAGTGATCACAGTGCCTGTTTTTAATTTCATAGCACTGAAAGAGGCACTAGAGAGAGTAGGAAAGAAAGTCTTGGATTGCCAACATCAACCCTCCCTCATCCCCTGGCAGCAGCCATGTGGCATGGAGAGAGAATCCGTGAATGTGAAGGAGGCAGAGCACAGTGATTGTACAACTTTGCATTGTAACTCAGTGCTGCCCTGTTACAGCGGAAACCAGCACTTGTGGAACTCATCCAGTGCCCATGGAGGGAGCTTTTAGACCAGTCCTGACATATTTTTGCTCTTTGTTTTCTTGGCTTTTTATTCTCCCTTTTTATTGTATTTTGTTGTTTTATCATCTCATTTTTGATGTACACTTTATTAAATTCACATTTTCTATCAGTTTTCTTTAGAAAAATAACTATAGGGATGGTTTTTCTTTCTCTGAGATTAAATTGTCTTGTTTTGCTTTGCTGTACTTTCCTTTCCTTTGTTTTTGCAGAATTGATTTTCTTTCATTCTTTGTTTCTTTTTTTTGGTTTTTGCTGTAATATTTTGCATACGGTCATGCTGTTTCTTTTTCAAGTTATTCATATGTAAATTAAATAGCCCTGTCAAAACTTTGATTTGCTTTGATATAATATGGGTCAATTCTTCCAGACAATTTTAGTTTTAGAAAGATACATCACAATTATCTATGTCAGAAACCCATGCATCTTTGGAACTCAAAAGACCTATAGAGCTAACGTTTTAAAAAACTCAAGCCCAAGAAAGCAAATGTCACACTACTCTGGATGGCTGAGCTGAAACAAATACTATGTCTGCTGACTGTAATACAATTTTCCCTTTAGGTTAGGTCTATACTTCATTGGATTAAGTCCTGCCATCAGTTGTTTAATTTTGATGTCTCCAGCTGTGACACTTTCTTAACATTGTGACACTATCTCAACATGCTGAGAGGTGAATTGTACAAAATTTTGCTTGTCTAAAAGAAGACATTGTTCTCAGGTGATGTGTTGATCAATTCAATCCCTGAGCCTTAATTTTCCTGTGCCTAACATCATCTATCTGAATCCAAACCAGACTTACCTGTCTGAATCCAAACCAAACCAGACCTATAAAATGACATGCATTTCAAGTAAATCTTTTACAACTCTGATCAATCATTAAAAAAAAAAAAAACTTACTCAAACCCAACTGCCTTCTTGCCCATGTTTGGCTCTTGGATACCCTGATTATTTCTCCCATTTGTTTGACATTTACTTAAGGAGTGATGATATTAATAAAATTTATTATGATAGACTTCATTTATTGAGCACTTGCTACATGTCAAGAACCGGCTGTATATTTTACAAGTATTATTTCATTTAATATTCATGATAACTCCAAAAGTATAGTTACCACTTTACAGAAGAGAAAATTGTGATTCAGAGAGTGTAAATACATTTTATAAAGGCATCTGCTAGAAAGTGTTGGAGCTGGAATTCAAGTATGCATGTGTGTATTCCTAGCCACAATGCTACTGGCTTCTATGTAATTATATATGGAAATAAGGTCTGTTGACCTATATGTAGGAGGGTTATTTCATATATCTCTATATTATTCTCATTGAAATTCTCCTTCCCTCTTTCTTTTTCTCTTTGTGGTCAAAAGACTGTGAACAGTCCTTCAAACACTTCAAATTAATCAACTTATCAGCAGCCCTTGTATTTTTACATGAAATCCAGGTAGTGCCATACTCAGCTGCCCACAAATCTCTACTTATTTTCCATTGTCCACAGCTCAATCTCCAAACTTAAGGCATCATCCTCCAGCCAATATCATTTCTCATTATTCTTTAATATGAAGATTTCTTTCTGTCAGAGTCTCCTCAGTTATCCTAAACACACCCCACACAATTTCACCGGAAAACCTTTGCCCATGTTCTTTCTCCAGACTGGAAACTCCATTTTTCCCTCTCCTCTCAAAATGTTCAGTATATTTATCTTTCAATTCAGATATCTATTCATATTTATTGCTCATAAAAATTTTCTGACTACTTGACTTCTTAAAATGTTTAAGATTCACTTTTGTTTTAATACAAATAAATGGAATGTCTATAAAAGAATTACAGGATTTTGGAGCCAAAAAGACCTTAGAAATTATTTTGTCCAATATCTTCATTTTATGGATGAGGAAATGAGGCTTAACGATGTTAATTGATTTATTCAGGTTTGCATAGATAATTTTTATCATAGTAATAAACTTGGGATCCAGACCCTAAATTCTTTTAATTTTAAGTAAAAGAAATACCTTGAAATCTATTTACCTTAAAATCCACAAACCATCTTACATTTAAAAAAGATTTTAATATTGTTTACTATTTTGTATTGGTACTGCATGAATGGACTGCCTAATAGCTAATGTTTGTCAAAAGAATAACCAGATGAGTTAATGCACAGATGAATATATGAGTGCAGAAACTCCACGTACTTCGTGAAGGTATGTGATCATCTTGAGACTTTTAATAACTATTTTCTTTCAATGTGTGTCCTTATAAATATAATCTCTGCATAAACCACTTTTTACTCCAAATGTTATATGTATAATGTGTACACTATACATTTAATGAAAACTTAATATTCTTTAAAATGCCTTATTATATTTGCATTTCTCAGGAAACAACAAATTTTAGATAAGTTCAAAAATTATGATTTCACTAACAACTTCAAGTTCTTCAAACCTAACACAACGGTTCTTTTTCTAAGTAAATATCCAACTACCCTGTCATTTATGTTTTCCCCTTTCTTACTTTTACTTCCAGCTTGGTGATGGTTACCTTCAAATGAAACAATAGCTACCAAGTGTCCTAGATAATAAAGTCATTGATTCTTGCTGACTTCCTGGCAGTCTAGGAGGCCCAGATGTATTCCATGTTGAGGTTTTACCTTTCATTTGAGACAAGACATTTGTTAGATTGATGGGATTACTATAATTGTACTCATTAACACCATCAACACTGTTCACAGATTTAAATGTTACAGGTGGAAGGTAGGACAGCCATTGGAATATGGAGGGCCTTGCTCCTTATAATACAGCACTATGGTACGATCTTTCTATACACTGTACCATGAGGGTTTCATTTTGTCGGTGGAAGTTATGATTACACTTTAATACTGCCTCTTGAAAAAACCAGAAGGCAGTAGAGCAGCACGGTAGTTAAGGATACGAACCTTGCACTCTGATAGATCTGGATTTAGTCCTGGCTTTTTCACTTCCTGTTGGCAATTCCTTGAGCAAACTTTAAGCTTCCATTTTATCATTTGTAAAATGAAGATAATTAAGAGTCCTTGCCTCTTAGGGAAGCTGTGAAGAATAAATGAAATGATGCATGTAAGATGCTTAGTGCACTGACCTATTCCCAGTAAGCACTAATTAATAATAATCAAATCATTGTGGCTACAGAAAAGGACCCATTTCATTATCCTACAGTAATTCTTTCCTCAGACTTTAAAGGCATGGCTTCTATGAAATGTTAAGCTCCTGCCATTGAGATCAACCAAGCACTAGATTGTCTACCTCCACTGAATTGAAGAGAGGTCCATAAGTATGAGCATCTCTCCAGCTAAGAGTAATATCCTGCACTGTCTTCAGATTCCCCGACGGGATAGCAGGTTTTTCAAAACAAATATTTAGACAAATGAGTTGATGTACAAAATGTCCTACAATGCAGTCTGAGAACTGCACTTAGCTTACATTGCTTGCCATCCAAGGAGACCAATTATTTAAACCAAATTTTGGTCAGTTCAGAGGCATCGTGGCAAGGTGTATTTCTTCTGAGAGTGCTGTGCGCATATCTCTGCTAGGACAGAGAATGTGCTTCATAAATGCTGATTTACTAAGATTATAAAAGACCGATTCCAGTTATAGTATTTTAATACTCCCTAGATAATTTCCAGGATGCTGTTTTTTTTTATACTGACTTTGCCAATATGATAGAGGCTTCCAAGGACATATAATCAAGGAAAGAGGTCTTCACGGACAGATAGAGCACATGGTTCAAATTCTGTAGGGTGTGATTTCCAATATGCAGAACTCCCTTGCCCCACACCTTAAAATGGTGACGTAGTATGGCAGTGGGAGCATGACCTCAGAACCAGCCTACCTGGGTTCAAATTCTGTCTTTGCCACTTGCCAGCCTATTACTTCAGCAAGTCATTTAGCACCTCTGTGCCTTAGATTTTTTATTTCCAAAATAGAAATAATTGTAGCTATGTTAATAGAATTATTGAAAGAAACAAATGAGTTAATACACATAAAATGCTTACATTATTGCATATAATGTAGTAAGTACTATATGTAGTTCATTGCTAATATTATTTAACAGTAATAAGTTCATAATGCTGACCATAAGATACTAAAACAGGTAATCAGCTTTCTGAATGATTAAAAGAGCACTAAGTGATAGTTATAATCATAGCTGAAAGAATTTATTTGCCTCATTTTGTGCCTGTAGTATACTCTGTACCTTATTGTATTCTATTTCCTTATAAACCAACCATTCATGCAGCTTTTATATTAATTAAACTCAGTTAATCCAATACCCTATTCAACCATTAGGATAACTCTTTGTTTCACATAATTAGTATTTTTGGGTATATTAAGACAGATGATAATTTCACACTAAATGGTAAATTTTAGATGCTCTTCAGCTACTGGATAATAGAGTTAGATGATACAAATAAACAAAATACATTTTACAAGTTATGTGCTTAATCCAGATAACAACATAGGTTGGCTGTGGAAATAAAAATGCAATGTTATTATTCCAGTTTCCATATTAGTGCTGGCTCCCTTGTGCCCATTTAGTGAAGTTCAAGGAAAATATTAAATCCATTTGTTTGCTTAAAATGTCTAATATGAGTGCTCAGTCTTGCAAGCAAAATATTCTATAAATATATGCACTCCATATAAGAAAATTTGGAAGTTAACATCCATATTTTGACTAACAGGTTTCTTAGTTGTAGTAGAAAGACATTGAAAAAGTAAATTTAAAAAGGAAAAAGTAAATTTAAAAAGGAAAAAGCTCCCCTCAGAGGGAAGGTTGCATGACACAATAGTGAATACAACAGGAAGAAGGCTGTGTGACTTAGTATCTTTTGCATTCTGTGCGCCAACCAGGTCATTTCCCCCAAAATATCAACTATGTGATCAATAAGCCTTATGTCTTTTTTCAGTACTGTGACTAGATAGGACTACTAGCTCTCTCATTTGGTTGATCAATTGATCTATTGGTAAATAGTCAGGTGAAAGGGACCCAATCTACAATAATACCCAACTTTTCTGAAGGTTAGTCTTTTTCTAGGCTCAAATTTTTCCAGTCCAGAAAAGAGAACTCCTCACAGCCTTGGAAAGACTTACCTTTAGCCATTATAAAGGTGACAGGTTCTTACTCCAATTTGACAAACTTAGTTGCTATAGTGGGTTGAATAGTACAGCCACAAATTCATGTCTTCCCAGAATCTATGAATGTGGCCTTATTTGGAAACAGAATCTTTGAGATGTCATCAAGTTAAGAAGAGGTTACACTGGATTCAGGCAGGCCCTAAATCCATTATGACCTGTGTATTTGTAAGAAAAATTCAGACACAGAGATTCAGACACACAGAAAGATTGTTATGTGGTGGCAGAGGCAGATATTGTAGTGATGCATTTCCATGCCGGGAAATGCTAAGGATGGCTGTTAATAACCAGAAGCTGGGAGACAGGCATGGAGCAGATTCCCACTCTGGATGCCCAAGAAGGAATCAACCCTGCTATCCTCCTGACTTTAGACTTCTAGACTCCTGAACTGTGAAAGAACATCTTTGTATTGCCTTAAATCACCCAGTTTGTGGTAGTTTGTTATGGTAACAATAGGAAATAATATAGTAACTAATATAGATGCTTAGTAACCATTTTCCCATCCCAAAATTGACTAAGGAAGCTAATAAGAAGGGGTAGAAAAGTGGATTTCGAAATAGCCTTTAATGTTCAATAGGTGTTCCACTTCAGCACAAATGGAAATTTCCTTCCTGGTTCTTGTGACTGCTCTAGTATTTATTTACAAATTGATATGAGAACTTTTGCTTTTGATGGATGGAAGGATCCAATCAAGGCAAAGATATGCAGGGAGAAAGGAGAGGTGGACAATAGAAGGGAATGACATGGAAATTCTCCTCATCTCCTGGTCTGCTGGATTGTCCTTTAAAAGCAGAACTCAAGTTATTGTTTAATAAGCAATTTCATGAAACACTCGTGCTTTAAGGACCAGTAAAGCAAAAATCAAGGTGGAGGAAAATTTCTTCTTTCACAATTTGCTCTGTAGATCTTGTCCTATAGTTGTTGTGAGGACAATAGTGAATTAATGTAAGCCAGGCATGGTGGTTCATGCCTGTAATCCCAGAACTTTGGGAGGCTGAGGCAGGCAGCACTTGAGGTCAAGAGTTCAAGACCTTCCTGGCCAACATGGTGAAACCCTGTCTCTACTAAAAATTCAAAAATTAGCTGGGCATTTTGGCGGGCACCTGTAATCCCAGCTACTTAGGAGTCTGAGGGAGGAGAATCACTTGATCCCAGGAGGTAGAGGTTGAAGTGGGCCGAGATCACGCCACTGCATTCCAGCCTGGGCCATAGAAGGAGACTCTGTCTCAAAAAAAAAAAAAAGTGAATTAATATATGTTAAGTGCTTAGAACACGTCTGACATATAGTAAGTATAGTGTTTTCTATAATTATAAAAAGGGAAGAACATAAACAGATCTATTTCTAAGCACAAAAGACTTCCTTGGGGACACCCCAAAACAACTGGGAGAATTGCTGCTCATATATCTGTAACTACAGACAAGCCTAAGGAATTTGTCTTACTAATTCATATTCATTAATTTAATGAATATGTGTTGAATACCTTCTAAATGGATAAACTCAATGAAGGGAGAAATCATTTAGGCACTGCTACCCCGGTGACAGAGCAGACAGTAAGTGGTGACTGACTGAGTGTTCCTTGTACAGCACTGAGTGCCAAGAATACTCGGGGGAACAAGACATCATTGTCTCACAATCAGCAGAGCCAAGAGGTGCAGGTTAGAATGATGAACTTGATCTACATGGAATGTTCTTAACAAAGTTTTAATTTTTTCCCAATGTCGCCAAAATAAATAGTTTTGACTAATTACCTGGAAAACTAACTGGTGTGGAATAGTTTATTTCTTCCAAACTTTCAGATAAATTATATGAGAATGAAATTAGGAGGAAGAACAGAAAAATCAGTCATTTCAAGCAACTGCATGGAAAAGAATGTATTTCCTTTGAAAACTCTGGGAATGTAAATTCTTAACCATTTATGGGGATTTTAGTAAATGCAGGCAAGGCATTTCATTCTTACAGCTTTCTTTGAAGACAGAAATACATAATAGCCTACTCCGTAACAACATTTCAGTAGTCTTTGAGATTTATTTTTTCTATAACTTGTAGAAGAAATAGGATCATTTCCGAAGCAGTATGACTAGGAATATTACTTTGAAAAAGTCCAATAACCATTTCTGATCTTTTTCAAACAGAAAAAGTAGAAAACGTCACCTAGTGTACTATCCTTTAGGCTTTTGGTTGAACTCAAGCTATTCTGGAAAAGTCTTGCTTATCCCCCAACCTTGTAAATATTTAGTGTTTCCAGTTTCCCATAATGTAAATGCAGCATTACAAACAGCATGACAACTGTGTATACAACAAATTTTGACAGGACTGCTGAAGATAGAAGTACAATTCTTTGAAGACAAATGAAGTCCCTTATAGAGTTTTAATGATAAATAGAAGGGTACTTAGTCTTCCAACTCCCATGTCAATCAGTGATAAATTTTCCTCCAAGCTTACCATAAAACGGCCAGGTTCTGAGGTCTGGGAAGGGCGTACTCAGTGCCAAACCTTATCTTAAAGAAGGGAAGTCCAATGTCATAGTGCAGAGTGTGATTCAAACTGATTTCTCTGTCTGTTTCATAATGGAGATATAATCTTAGGCCTGGTGCAGTGGCTCACCCCTGTAATCTCAGTACTTCGGGAGGCCAAAGTGGGCAGATCGCTTGAGCTCAGGAGTTCAAGACCAGCCTAGGCAACATGACGAAACCCTGTCTCTACTAAAAATACAAAAATAAGCTGGTGATGGTGGCAGGTGCCTGTAGTCTCAGCTATTTGGGAGGTTGTGGCAGGAGCATTGCTTGAGACTGGGAGGCAGAGGGTGCAGTGAACCAAGACTGCGTTACTGCATTTCAGCCTGGGCAACACAGCCACACCCTGTCTCAATAATAATAATAATTATAATAATAATAATAGATATATAATCTTGTTAAGAATATATGTTACTATACTGAAGCAATGCAGTGCAATGTACCTCAACATTGCTCAGAATTCAGAGGGTCATCATATAGTTCCAAATGAAAAACCTTAATTGCAACAGAGAGAAAAAAGATGTTAAGCGTCTAGCATTGTTGCCTAACTAAAGTACTTGGTATATATTGTTCCTTTTCTTCTTTTTCTCTTTTGTCTAACTTACAAAACATGAATATTTATTTCCAAGCTTTTTTAAAAAAAACTTTTTAATTCTGTTTTGTATCTGAGAAGTAAAGAGATGGTGAAGTGAGCACAATTGTAAGTAATACTGGATAATTACTTTGGAGGAGATTGCTAGGTAGTGAGACAAGTGGATAATATCATAAGTGCTAGGGCTGAGTATGAAGTTCCGTGGGAACACAAAGGAGGAAATAGCTATGAATCTTAAGAATAGATTGTTATTTAAACTAAATTCTTTCATGGAAAAAAATAGCCTTTTAACACATTATCTCTTACAGAAAACCAATTAATAAAAACAAAACAAAATGAACATTTTCCCTTTTGTTGGTTTCCCTTAATTCTACTGACATTTCTGTAAACAGACATTTTATTAAATTATCTGCAATTACCCTGTTTAGGTGTGCCATCTGTTTTCTACCAGGACTCTGGTTCATTCTCCATTTTTTCTTCCTTTAGTTCAATTCTATTTTAGGAAGTTGGAGGGTGCTCACTATATCTATATATGATATACCTGTCATATATAACATATATCTTAAAGTTTTATGAACTGACAGTGGTCAACATTCACCGTTGATAAGATATGAAGAGTGAAGTAGGGAACAGAGAAAATATCTGATTTCTAATTCAAGTTTTTGTTAAACATCAATACTTTATAGAGAAATGCAGCATGACCACAATTAATTTCTATATTTTCCACAAATTTAGTGGGATCACCTGCTGATCTTGCTTTCCTTTTTGTTCCCCATTTGTGAACAATCCAATATCACCTCTTTGGCCAAGCTGGAGGGTTTAGATGAAGGCCTAGTGCTGACTGTGACTGAATACAGTACTGTGTTAGTCCATTCTCACACTGCTGTAACTACCTGATACTGGGCAATTTATGAAGAAAAGAGGTATAATTCACTCATGGTTCCACAGGTTTAACAGGAAGCATGACTGGGAGGCCTCAGGAGCCTACAATCATGATGGAAGGGTGAAGGGGAAGCAATCATCTTCTTCACATGGCAGCAGAATAGAGACAGTAAATGGGGAAGTGCCACACACTTTTAAACCATCAGATCTCATGAGAACTCACTCACTATCACATGAACAGCAATGGGGAAATCTGCTCCTATGATCCAGTCACATTCCATCAGGTCTCTCCCCCAACATTGGGAATTATAATTCAACATGAGATTTGGGTGGGGACACAGAGCCAAACCATATCAAGCACATTATGAGAAAAAAGAGTACTGGTAAAGTCCAGGATGCCTCTGGCCCTGGGAGGAAGAAACACATCTTGGGAAATAGAAAAATAAAAGGCAGTGGCATGCAAATCTCACTTATCCATTCAGGAGGCATGTTGTTTTTCTGAAATGAATATTCAGAATGCTTCAAAAGGCCTGCCAAGATGAACTCATTTGATGATAGCTATCTACTTCCCTTGATTCACATGGGACTTAGTAATATAAGAAGGGCAGAAAGAAGGAAGTCCC
The DNA here is from genome assembly GCF_000001405.40 of Homo sapiens. Classification (NCBI taxonomy): domain Eukaryota; kingdom Metazoa; phylum Chordata; class Mammalia; order Primates; family Hominidae; genus Homo; species Homo sapiens. Next base: position 42,192,689 of record NC_000005.10, read on the forward strand.
TTCTGCACTGGGAAATTTTGGGCAGAAAAGTGAGGGTCTCCTGGGTACACAAGTGCTGTGTTTTACTCTTTCTTCCAATCAAAGAATGAATCTACTTCATAGTTATTATAATCTTTAACAATGATTGAGGATCATAGTGTATGTTTGGAGTTAGAGCAATTGCTTTAAATATATTGCCTCATCATCCACCACACTCCATTTATGAAATAGAAACTCTGATTATCCCCTTTCTACATGAGGAACCTAAAAGACCTCGTGTTTAAGTATATTATATGAAGCTGGACTGAGTATGCAGAGAATCCAGGATTTAAATCCAGCCACCTTGATTCCAAAATTATGCTCCTAACCAGTATGCTATAGTACTCCCAAAAAGTAAGAAGATCTATGAAGGGAAAAGCCAGAGGATAAAACTCAATAGAATTTAGGGAATTTATAACTATGCCTATATTAGCAAAAAGAGTCTAGTTGATTCATATTTTAAGGATGCATATATGACTTAAAGCCTAGTTGTTAGAAAAGTGTTAGCTAATATATTGTCACTAAATTTATTGCACTACACTCTGGGATTATTCAAACAGCCCACAGAAAACAAAATGGGCAATCATAACACTAATCTGATAGTATTTTAATTTAAAAATTTTAATTACTAAAATATTAGTCTTTTGTCAACTGCAAGAACAACGATTTATCTTCTCACTCAGAATAATGTAGCATCACAATAGCATTTTTTCCTGTTCAGAAACTCCAGGAATTCACCCTGTGCAAAAATGTGATCTTGCCCAAAATATTAGTTTAATTTGAAAACTTCTGATCTCTCTTTCTAAAGAGAGGGATGACTACTGTCTTAGCTTTATACATTCATAAAATTTAATTCCCATAGAATTGTGTCTCATTTTCTTGTAAGACCTTGAGAAAGCATTAACTTATATGATCACTTCTCAGTTAGCTCCCCAGGAGGCATCTGATTTCTCCTGATTTTGACAAATGCTCTTATGACTTAAAAATCAGATATTATGACCAACATCTTCTAAAACATGAAAAAGAAGCATAAGGTAGAGGACATTATATGAGAAGATGAATATGTGAAAGCATTGACATATTTGGAAGTCATGGATCCTGAGAAATATACATGCTGCACTACAGGATAGGAGAAATAAATATAATTCATTGGAATATCAGTCATAACAGAGTAGAAAACAAGATATTATTACTATTATTATGTATTATATAGAGTTGACTGGCTAAAATAAAATAGAAATATGACAAATGAAGGTGTACATTATTCAAAATAATTGTCTATTAGAAATAAAGATGAAATAGCACTATATGTCAAGAAGATATTGGCCAGGCGCGGTGGCTCATGCCTGTAATCCCAGCACTTTGGGAGGCAGAGGCAGGCGGATCATGAGGTCAGGAGATCGAGACCATCCTGGCTAACATGGTGAAACCCCGTCTCTACTAAAAATACAAAAAAATTAGCCAGGCGTGGTGGCGGGCGCCTGTAGTCCCAGCTACTCGGGAGGCTGAGGCAGGAGAATGGTGTGAACCCAGGAGGCGGAGCTTGCAGTGAACGGAGATTGCACCACTGCACTCCAGCCTGGGCGACAGAGTGAGACTCTGTCTCAAAAAGAAAAAAAAAAAGATATAATTAAAACAGCTTTATTACTTTTTGTTATTTTTTTGTTTATTAAAGTAATATGTTGGTTTTGCTCAACCCCCTCCAACATCCAAAAATTAAGAACAAAAAATAAAAATATCACCAATGCCACTATCATATATTCATTTATGTCCTAAAAGATGACATACACATTCACATAAACCTCTATATTTGACAAAAATGAAAGTAGTTTAATAGAGAAAAAACAAGAGGCCCAAAAAGGAAACTGCTGTCAGAGGTGGCTAGCTACTGCTTAATTGAAGAAACTGGATATGAAAGCTGACAGATCACAAGCTGGTTGAAGCAAGATACAGTATTAATGGAAATAGCCATAGAATCACTAATAGAAATGTAACAACAGCAATAATAATAGCTGCCATTTATTACAGTCTAACCCTGAGCTAGGCACCATGCAAAGTGAATATCTCTTCTAATGAATTATCTCTAGTAATCCCATGTATCTATAAGCTAGATACTATTATTTCCCTCAGTTTACAGTTGAGAAACTAAGTCTCTGAGATACTAGGTAATTTGCCACTGCATGCACAGCAAGCCCTTTAAGGACTCCAAATCCTGATATTTAGAAGCAGTTTTATTCAGCACAGCACATTAAATGCTCACTAGACTGCTGACAGTCTCATAACCCTTATTGACAGGGAAATCATCAGGAAGCTTCTGACCAGGAAAGAATTTGTTGTTCAGATGATAAGAGAATTAGCAGCCATGGGGAAATGGCATATCTGAACTGTTCTTGCCTTCACTGTATGGCTTCTTCTGCTTCTCTGGGTCATGAGAATCTTACATCTTGCTCTGAATTGGAAAGAGCACATCTAGCTGCTCCCAGAACCACACTCCAGTGGAAGATGGCATCTGACTTGTTTGACTGTTAGGTCAGTGGCCATCTATGCCTTCCACAACCGTGGCACAGAGTGAGGACTCCCTAACACCAGAAGGAGGCCAGACTCTAGGCTATCAAAAACCAGCAAAGCATGGAGTGATTTACAGATTTAGGATTACAATACAGCTTGAATTGTCAGCTCATATTATAGCCATTAACATGTCTAAAAGTTATTAATTTTTTAACTAGACAAGCTGAGTTTATGTTTCACTCAAGTCATATCTAATTATTTTGAGGTAGAGTAAAAAGATGTGTATTCTACGAAAGATTTGAAATAGTCTTCAAAACTGACTAAAACCTAATTCACTGTTTTGTTCCTTCTCATCATAGGAATGTATACAGTATTTGTTTTCTCCCTCATTCTCCATGTAAACCTATCATGCTGTCAAACAATTTTGTACAGCAGTGCCAGCTGAAAGAATAGGCATATGATGAAATGCCGTAACACTAGGAAATAACTTTTCCAATGTAAATAACTTTTCCAATGGAAATAGTTCTATGTCTATCTTTTATAGACTACTGAATTTTCCAGTGTTTTGTTGTTTTGCTTTTCCAGATAACAGAGCATTAATGCAGCTGCAGACCATTCTACACAGAAAATCTTTAGATTTGTCTCCCTCACTGGACATAATTCACATGCTCTATTTTATTTCCCATATAATAGTATCATACCTTCACAGTTTATTTGATTGGTGCCAAGCACCCTTATGTATATCACTTAGTCTCTATGAAAAATACCTTCAGTGACAGCAGAATTTAATGTCATGTTTCTTGCCACAGCTTTACTCCCTGTAGCAAAAGCCTTCTTTTATGAGTATGTCAACATTATTGAAGCATTTTTGGGATTTCTGCAGTAGATTTTTATCTGAAGAATGTAAAAGCAAGCATTAGACTGGTTTATTTTTCATATGCACAAATAATCTAGTCCCTTAAAATATGGTAGTTTACACTGAGTTGCAAACTAAATTCTTATTTCTTCCTATTTCTATGAGGCTCAAGGTTAGTAGACTTGTGGGATAATAGACTGACATATAGTATTGGTAAATTCAAGTTCATTGATGAGATATTTTATTCTTCCACTCATTCAAAAAGGCATTTTTTCCAGTGGAACCACGAGAAGCAACTGAAAATATCTAAATAAATTCCAAATAATTGCTACAACAGCCATTTTTATGTGGGAGGACAAATCATTTAATATAAAAGAGTGACCATCCATGTATCACCAAACTAGCCATCTATGTAGTTTGGTGATGGTGATAATACAGAAGATTAACTGTAAGCAATTAAAAATTTTGCATTACAAGTTAATATGGCAAGTTTCCAGAAAGATAAAACCTCTGTTCCTCCCTATATTTCTGGATGTTTTAGGAAATGAAACACAGTAGGATATTTTTATTTGGAAAGTCTGATCTTAAGGTAAGAATTGAAATGAAATGAAATTTTATTTAGAAGTAAGCCAACTCCTAACCAAATAAACAACACACACACACACACAGACACAGAGAGAGAGAGAGAATATAAAAATTCTAACACTACATAGAGATACACAGTGAAAACTTTTTTGAGGAAAAGATCCACCAACTAAGCTCCTTAAATCATCCGTAGGTTTTGCCAGCCGCCACCTGTTAGTACATATAGATTGCTGCTTATGTTTGATTCACTCTATTTCTCTCCACTTACAGTAGCCTAGTTACATATGCATTGTCTTTCTGTTTCACACTCAAAAGGACTAGATAAAGCTCATACTCAGCATTGAATATCAAGTTACATGATCTAGTGGAGAGAGTCCACAAATAATCTGAAACATATCTTATGCCATGCCATGACATTTACATTGAGGTATAATATAGTTTGGCTCTGTATCCCCACCCAAATCTCATGTTGAATTTTAATCCCCAGTGTTGAAGGTGAGGCCTGGTGGGAGGTGATTTGATCATGGGGGTGGTTTCTAATGGGTTAGCACTATACCTCTAAAGCTGTCTCGTGACAGAGTTCTCATGAGTTCTCGTTGTAAAAAAGTGTGCACCTCCTTCTTCACTCTCTTCCTCTGCTTCGGCCATGTAAGATGTGCTTGCTTCCCCTTAACATTCTGCCATGATTGTAAGTTTTCTGAGGCCTCCCCAGAAGCAGAAACCTGTACAGCCTGCAGAACCATGAGTCAATTAAACCTCTTTTTTTTGATAAATTACCCAGTCTTGTGTACCTCTTTATAGCAGTGGGAGCATGAACTAATATAATGTATCTACTTTTTTTATATCAGAACTTTTGCATAAATGGTAGAACATTTGAAATTTCTCTTTCTAAAACTATTGAAATTTCAAACTCTCAGGAAAAAAAGTCATCTTTTTATATTGCACAGAGCATTATAGGGTCTCTCATCCAATATGCTTTGTGAATGACTGCCACCGAGAATGTTTCTTCTGAAATGGTTGTTCTTCCTCTGAATTCTCATCCTTTGAAAGAAAACAAAGCTTGATTTTGGCTCCCAATTTATAATCAACTTTCTGTAAGACATTAAACAAGCCATTTTGGTTATATTTGTTGTGGTTATATTTGGTTATATTTGTTTGGTTATTGTTGTGTTTCTTAAATAGCAAATGACTTGGAAAGATATAATGAAAAAGTGTTAAACTTTCGAAAGCAAAATAATATTATCTTATAATTTTATAATACATCTACATCTAAAAAGATTTCCTCAAGTATTTTTAATTTCATATCTTTTTGTAATAAATGGGTACTTAAAAGTTTTGTTTAATCTTCTAAAAATATAGCACAAATGTTTTATCTTTTATTGACTGTGGACTGGTCTCCTTAAGTAGAATATCAGGAAGTTTCCAGATAGTCTTTGCCAGTTTATCACTTACATGGCATTGAGTGGATAAAAAGTTAAAAAAATTCTGTATAACCAAATTTGGCTTACAGAAGAATGTAATTTTCATTCTTGGCTCTGTCTATAATTATGTCATCTTCACCAAGTCAAATCTTCTCTGAATCTCTGTTTCCTCATTTAATTAAAAGATTTGACCACATAATTTTTAAGATCTATCCAGTTTTTTTTCTTGAGACAGGATCTCACTCCACCCAGGCTGGAGTGCAATGGTGATACCAAGGTTCACTGAAGTTCAGTTTCTGGACTCAGATGACCCTCCTACCTCAGCCTCCCAGGTAACTGGGACTACAGGCATGCATCACCACATCCAGCTAGTTTTTTATAGAGATGAAGTTTCGCCATGTTGCTTAGGCTGGTCTTGAGCTCCTGAGCCCAAGCTGTCTGCTCACTTTGGCCTCCCAAAGTGCTGGGATTACAGGTGTGAGCCATACCCAGCCTCCATCTGATGTTTAAATTGCTTTTTAAAAAAATTTCACCTCTTCATTGATGATTTAAAAATATTTTCAGTCCACAGTCAGTAAGTCTATGAGGAAACTACAGTAAAATGTTCTAAAATTACTCTGTTTTCCTTATAATATATTAGATTCTTGCCATATTTTGTCGGATGTTCATAATACATTAACCAGACTGGAGATCAAATGTTCATCATCAATGGGATGAATGAATCAGTTGTGATATAGTCATACCAAAGAATACTAATAGCTATGCAAAACAATATGGCTGAATCTCACAGTGATGTTCAATTAAAAAAAATAGGGCACAAAAGAATACTTACAGCTATATTCCTTTTGTGTAAATTTAAAAACCAGGAAGAACTAAACTCTATTATTTAGGGATGCACATATAGGTTATAAAACTACACACCCACACCCACACCCCTCCATATACATATATATTATACACACACATATATACATACATATATGTGTATGTATATACATATAGATATGTATATATACACTTATATGTGTATATGCATACACGTGTGTGTGTATGTATGTGTGTCTGTGTGTATTTAGGGAAGCTATTATTCTAAAGGTCAGAATAGTGTTTATCTCCAAGGTTCAAGGAAGGGAGGGTCCCCAAGTAGCTTTTAAGGTACTAGCAATGTTCTATAGGCAGTGATTAAATGAGACTTTTGTATTACTTATTAAGTATATGGTTCATAAATTTTTCTGTGTATGAGTATTATAACAAAAAATACTAATGCCAGAACCTATAAGTGTAGGAAATTGTCTTCTATTAAGACTTTTGATTTTGTCTGTATGGTATCTGTGAGTTATGTCCATACCTTAGATAATGTTTATTTTTCTGTAAACACTGTGGCGCCTCACCTAGGGGTATATCAAATTGACTGGTACCTGAGTGAAATAAACAGAAAGGAATAATTCAGTAATATTAGCATAGCCATGACTATTAGATTCTGTCCTTACTTGTAAAAGACAGACAATGACTTAGATAAGTCCGTATTGTTTCCAATTTTAATTTGATGGTTCATTTAGAACATATAAAAATGTAAGTTGTGTTTGATTGGTAGGGACAACTCAAAAAACAAATTTAACTTACCAAGATTTTAGGCATTGTCTGACAAAACAGACTATAGTGAATTTTCCTACAAGATATATAGTCAACCTCAGTGATCTCATATTGTATAATGTGAAAAGGGAATTCATAATATAATTCCACCTTTCTTTCCTCTCTTCTTTCTAAAATGTAAAGATAGGGATTAGAAAATGTAGAAAAAAATAAAGACAGCTAAGAAACTGTGTGAAACACATATATGGGGCCTGGCTAACGTAATTTTTACAAAATGAATGATGACAAAATCTTCACCTTCCTTCATGACTTCATGATTTTAAGAAGTTATTACGTGATAGTCCAGAGTCTCTACTTTGATGTCCTATCTGTCCAGGTAGGCCCATATTCCTGCTCCCACTCCCTTAAAAATCCCACTCCATCAGGAACGTGATGTCTGACAAGACTATATGGTAAGTTAATTTGCACTAAGGTGTTAGTAGATAAATAGTTACATCATTCTATTTTTCCCAGGTTGCATTTACATTTTAAGTACCTTTAATAGCCAAATCAAACTATACACTAATATTGGGAATTTCAACCTCTGAGGCTAGTTGATAAGAGATTTTTTTTCCCAAAGACCCTATGTTGAACACTGCAGAGGTAAAGATTAAGACATGATCTCTATATTCCAAGATTTCACTGTGCGGTGGAATTCAGAAATAACTTCAGTGAAGTATAAGTGCAACTGTACAGATTGAGAGCACTGATGGCATGAAGTGTTGGGAAATGAGGTCATATATAAACAGCATTTATTATGCCCACTTAGCACCTAGTAGACTTCTCAGACTACCTGCAATCTATTTTCTTTCTGTCATTAATTAGTTTATAGGTCTTAAGCAAGCAGCTCAACACCTCGAGGCTTTAAAAGACATATACATAGAATAAAGGACATAGGAAAGCCGTCTCTGAGATCTTTATAAGCTTTAATACACAGCATAAGTTTTAAGAGGAAGGATTATATAAATCATAATATTTTTATTTTGCTGAATCTGAACCCTGACTGTTGTTATCCATAATGTCTCTGAGAGGTATTCAAGGTAGACCTGCAGGTGTCTGATGAATGCATTTTGTTGCCTACTGTTTGGTATCTAACATTTTCTTCCCTTCTGTTGACATAGTCTCTTGATAGTAGTCAGAATAAGAGAAGTTATGCTATAGTAACAAACCCTGAAATGTTAGTGGCCTTGTACATGAAATTTTATTCTTCCTCAAAAATCATGCATAGTTCACTGAGGATCTGACAGCCCTCCTGGGAAGGTCTCCTGCAAGTTGTGACTTAGAGACCAAATCTAACAGGGATTCCACCATCTAATGTTTACAACTAAACAACTGATCTGAAGGGTCATCAATACAGGGGAAAAAATATCTAGAAGATCTTGCATTGGCTCTTGAATGCTTTGGCCTGAAAGTAAACAGACCACTTCTATTTACAGAGCATTAACCAGAAGTAGTCATATTGTTTCACTTAATTGCAATGGGACTGGATAAATGTGAGTAGTATATGAATATTTTGCAAGAAGTTATTGCTTCTGGTTCATTCTCCGTGATAGCTTCCATGACCATTGCTGCCACGGATTCTTTGCAGCCTCGAAATATCAGAGTGGTGCTATGTTGTCTGCACACTCAAAGCACGAGACCCAGTGTTCCATCCTACAGTGTGGAAGAGCTTTCTGCCCCTTTTATGTTATACATTATCCCTGGACACCAAACAATGCCACTTGTGAACTAAAGACAAAAAGCATTTAATGTGAACTTTTTTCAGCTTCTGCTTATAAGCCCACACAAGTGGTATTAATTGCCGATTATCCAGAAGACAGAAATAATATTCTCCTTTCGAGGTGATACATTTTCCTTCCTGTCTTTCAATCATTCTCATCTTTCTAGAGTTCATATTCGGGGCATATGACAAAAGGCTTGTGTTTCTCTGCAGAGCTCAGGCCATAGAAATATATCAAGCCATGTTTGTTTATTCTTTCTCTTTCTCCTAACTTTTAGATCATTAGCTCTTTGAGGACAGAACAGAACTTTTTAATACTAGGTATGCAATCTATCCTGATGTGATTACTTAATAAATTAATATATAAATAGGCCAAAATTGACATTATAGTTTAAAAATGAGAAGCAGTCTGTATTAGTCAGTGTTGTCCAGAGAGACAGAACCAATAGAAGATAGATAGATGATTAGATAGATAGATAGATAGATAGACAGATAGATAGATAGATAGACAGATACATGGTAGATGAGAGGGAATTTCTCAGATAAATTGGCTCATGCAATTGATCAAACCATAAATCCCGTAACAGGCCATCTACAAGCTAGAGAACCAGAGAAGCCAAACTCTCAGTCTGAGGCCAAAGGTCTGAGAACCCAGGAAGGCCGCTGGTGCAAGTTCCAAACAAATTATTTACTGTAACCTTGTGTTTCTAAAGGTTTCTGTATCAAGCCCAAAGCTAAAACAATGAAAAACATAGTCACTCTCCATAGAATTAAAATCATAGTAGTTGGTGGAAATGCTGGTAGCACCAGGTTCTCTGTTAGGTATGACCAAGTTCAGTCTTTACAACGCCACAGAAGTGAAGTAATTGGCTGTCAAAGGTTGACTGGCAGTTTTCATATCATCCATTCATACCAATAAGCAACATTGTCAATATGTTCTACTTTCTAAAATTAAATAAACATAACAGTATTACCCTTAATTTTATTGTAAATGATATATTTGTAAGATTTTAATTAAAGAATAAATCCTCAAGGAGTTAAGAGTGTTTCTAATGCTTCAGAAGATAAAGAAAAATCTCTCTCATGGCCTAATAGAGGTTTTTATTGTTCAGGAAAAGAAGAGGGGAAATGAGATAACAGTGAAGATAGAAGGTGAAAGGAAGGGAAAAGAACTTGTGGTATCAGTGAAAGCAGGTGCTTGCTTAGAGAAGGGGCAAGGGAAATCCTCAAGGCAAAGGTAAAGAATAGTCCTTTTGACAAGAAGACTATTTTTTTTTATATGTTTGGTTTCTTCTTCTTCTTCTTCTTCTTCTTATTATTATTATTATTATTATTATTATTATTATTATTTTACTTTAAGTTCTAGGGTACAGGTGCACAACATGCAGGCTCCTTACATAGGTATACATGCGCCATGCTGGCCCACTGCACCCATCAACCCGTCATTTACATTAGGTATTTCTCCCCATGCTATCCCTCCCCCCACCCCTACCCCACGACAGGCCCTGGTGTGTGATGTTCCCCACCCTGTGTCCAAGTGTTCTCATTGTTCAGTTCCCACCTATGAGTGAGAACATGTGGTGTTTGGTTTTCTGTCCTTGTGATAAAAGAATGACTTGTATTTAGAAATGCTTTGTGTCAGTGTCATTTGTGAAAAATGGTGAAAAAGATGAACAGAAGTAGGAGTCTGGAAGCAGAAGGAACTCTGGGTATGTAAGTGACAAGATGTTGCAAAAATTGTAGCAGAGCTGTGGTTTCCTCAAGCTGTGGTTCGGGGGGTGGGGGATTAATGCAATTGTACCTATAATTTAAGGGCCAGAGAAACCCCACCTGATATCTGGGTTACATGTCAAGTGTCTTAATTCACTATTTTGTAAATTATAGGCTGATAAAAATAATTTAGGGTTTGCTATTGTCTGATTATTTATGTCCTCCCAAAATTATATGTTGAAACCTAATCTCTAGTGTAATAGTATTAGGAGATAGGGATTTTCGAAGTTGATTAAGACATAAGGGATCTATCCTCATAAATGGGATTAGTGCTCTTACAAATGAGGCCCAAGAGAGTTTGTTTTCCCCTTCTACCATGTGAGGACACAGCAAGAAGTTACTATTAGGCAGAAGGTGAGATCCCATCAAACACCAAATCTACTAGTACCTTGATCTTGGACTTCCCAGCCTCCAGAACATTTCTATTGCTTATAAATACTAAAGTATTTTGTTTTTGTTAGCCTACATGAACTAAAGACAAAGTGCTTATACTCTCCCACATCCATCCCCTGAAGATTTTATTCTGTAAGTCTCTGATGGGAGGCAAGTATGGCAGACACTGTTCTTCCCTTCTTTCTGATTTATCTGGTCTAATATAATTACAATGCAGTCAAGAAAAAAAAATGGCAAGTAGAACACCATAAGAAGATAAAATAATGAACAAAAATTCCAATCACTGGGCTGATACTTTTAGACTTTCAGCAGTAGTTTTTGAGCATTCAGTTATAATGATTTTTAAGTTTTCCTATTTCGGTTCCAAGACCATGACAAAGTGAGATGAAAAATGAATCACTCAAAAAAGTGGGAAAGAAATAAGAACTCCCAAACCAGCATCAGAGGAGAAAACAAAATAACTATTCAAATCAGATATAACCATATAAGCCAATTGAATTTCCAGCTATGACAGATTAATTAGGGTCAGATTATCCTTCCTTCTATAAATAACTAGAAAATGGGATGGCATACCTTTTAAAACATTTTTAGACATTGGTCAAAAGGCAACACTGGCTGTAATTTCTGAAAAGGAAATCCAATTAAGAATATCCTTTTATTTCAGCTTTTGCCCAGAGGTACCTTCTGAACTGTAGCTCTGGAAAGATAAACTAAAGCAGTTTGGCAGTCTTTCTGAGTTCAAGAAGCAAAGATTAGAGTTGGGTCAGAGGAATGAAAGGAGAGAGTTATTTAAAAAAAAAAAAAGCATTCCAGAAATCTTTATGGGATTTTCCTTTAATCTATTGGTGAATACAAAGGTGTGTGTGTGTATATATATATGGTGAATCTCAACATGGTTTTAAGAAATGAACTACAGGGATCTATAAATTGAACAATTCCAAGAACTTATGTGTGGTTGAGAGACATTTGACTTCTAAATAGCCAGATTGGGAAGACCTTACCGAACTCCTAGGATATTTAGTGGTGACCTCATTAGAATCATAACTTAGTAGTAGGACTAAATTAGACCTAATCTTAAAAGGCTCAAAACTAGCCTTAAAAAATGAAATTCCTTCATAAGTAACTTTAACACATGCCTCAAAACCTCAAAACTCTTTAAATGAAGACAAATCTAGAAACTCAAAAATGTCACACATTAAAATGTACAAAATAAAACATAATACAACAGTAACACAAAGAGCTGGAGGGAAAAATGGACATATATATTTGCAAGGGTCTTATATTATACAAAAGTTATACAATATTATTTGAAAATAGGCTTCAATAAGTTAAAGAGACTTAACATAAACCCAATACCATCAACAAAATATAAAACAAATCAGTCAATAGTAAAGGTAGAGTCCCAAAATGTAAATACATAATCCCAAGGAAGACAAGAAAGAGGAAAATTGAACAAAGTACAGAGAAAACAAATGGTACATGAACAGAAAATGATAGATTTAATAGCAACAATCATAGTGGTAATTACATTAACTATAAATGATCTAAACATGCTTTTTAAAAGGCACAGATTATTAAATGGGAACTGCAAAAAAAGATTTGTATAATGTCTATTTTAAAAATCAGATAGATTAAAGTGAAAAGTAAAAGAATGGAAATAAATATACCCTTCACTCAGTAATGTAAGCATAAGAAAGTTGGCATGGCTATATTAATATTAGACAAAGCCGACTTTAAAATGAGAAAAATTACCTGGTATACATATCAGCAAAATCTGACAGAACTTTAAAAACAAGTAGGTAAATCCAGCATTACAGTTTGATATTTCAATATTCATCTATTGTTGATAAATAGAACAAGTAAAATTGAAATCTGTTGAAATCAGATGACAGATATAACCTGAACAATCCTATCAACCAACATGACCTCATTAACATATATAGGTAAAGAAACATAGCCAAGAACATTTCTTCCAAGTGCATGTGAAACTTTCACCCAGCTAGATAATATGCCGAATGGTAAGAAGGCTTGATAAATATAAAAGGACTGTAGTAATACAGAGCATGTTCTCTGACCAAAATTAAATTAAGTTAATCAAATAAAATTGAGTTAGATATCATAACTAAAACATATTTTTAAATTTTCAAATACTGTAAAAGTAAACAACATACTTCTAAATAGTGTATGGGTCAAAGAAGGAATTACAAAAGAAATTGCAAAATATTTTGAAGCAAATGATAATAAAAGCAAAACATATCAAAACCCATACACAGATAAAGCAGTGTTTAGAGGTAAGTTAATGTTTATATTAAAACAATGAGAAGAATAAAAAATACAAACAAAACCCAAAGTAAAAGAAAGAAGGAAATGATCTATCAATAAAGAAAATTAATAAAATAGAAAATGTACAAATAAAAGGAAAATAAATTTAACCAAAACTGTTTCTTTGAAAAGAAGGATTAAATTGATAAATCTCTAAAAATGTTGATCAAGGAGAAAAATACACAAATTATGAATATTCAAAATAAAAGAGATCCTATAGATATTAAGTAAATAAGGAAATATAATGAACAACTATATGCAAATAAATTGAAGCAACATGGAGAAAAATGGACAAATTTCTTACACAAAACAAATTACCAAAACATACACAAGAATAAATAGAAAATTTAAATAATCCTAGTTGATGTAAAAAATGAATTTGTAATGTAAAACCTTTGAACCATGAAAACTTCAGGCCTGGAGAACTTTACTAGTGAATTCTGCTAGACATTTAAGCAAGACCTATCAATCTTACACAAACTCTTTTGGAAAATAAGGAAAGAAATGAATATTTTCTAAAGCATTGAATGAGGCTGACACCACCTGATAAAAAGCAAAAACAGGAAAAGATATTTCAAGAGAATAAAACTACGAACCAAACATGTCTCATGAATAAGAATACAAAAATCCTCAGAAAATTTTCTTGGCAAATTGAAGGCAGGAATACAGGAAAATACATCATGGCTAAGTAGTTAATACAGAAATTGAAATTTGGTGTAACATTTGATAACCAATTTTGTAATTGACTATTTTATCAGAAGACTTATTTTTTAAAATACGGTTAACTCAATAGATGCAGAAACTGCATTCTACAAAATTTAACACATGTTCATAATTACCTAAGAACTAAGAAGAACTTTCTCCACTTGACAAAGTATGTCTACAAGAAAATTACAAAGCAAACATTTCGCTTATGATGAAAAACTGAATCCTTCTTCCCCACTAAAATCAATAACAAGGGAAATATATTCATGTTCACCATGTCTATTTAACATTGTATTGAGGGTAGCCATTGTAATAAAATAAATAGAAGGGGAACAAAGATATATAATTTGGAACAAAATAAGTAAAATTGTTCGTGCTTACACATATGCTTGTGTATGCAGGAAATCCTTATGAAGCTGAAACTTAAAGCTCCTATAACTAATGAGTGAATTTAGAAAGATTGCAGGCTACAAAATTGATATACAAAATAACTACATGCTACAAGTGAACATTTGGAAAATAAACATTGAAAGCAATATCACTCAAAATAGCATCAAAAAAACAGACATACTTAGGGATAAATTTTTTAAAATATGTGCAAGTTCTGTAAATTAGAACCTGTAAAACTCTTTTTTAATTTAATTTAATTTAATTTTTATTATTTTTTAATTTTTAATTTTTGTGGATATATAGTAGGTGTATATATTTCTGAGGTACACAAGAAGTTTTAATACAGGCATGCAATGTGAAATAAGCACATCATAGAGAATAGGGTAATCATCCCCTCAAGCATTTATTCTTTGAGTTACAAACAATCCAATTACAGTCCTTAAATTATTCTAAAATGTATCATTAAGTTAGTATTGACTACAGTAACCCTACTGTGCTATCAAATGTAGATCTTGTTCATTCTTTCTATTGTTTTGGACTCATTAACCATCACCACTTCTCCCCTGGCAGCCCCCAACTACTCTTCCCAGTCTCTGGTGCCCATCCTTCTACTCTCTATGTCCATGAGTTCCAACATTTTGATTTTTAGATCCCACAAATAAGTGAGAGCATGCAATGTTTGTCTTTCTGTGCCTGGCTTATTTTACTGAACATGATGGTCTCTAGCGCTATCCATATTGTTGCAAATGACTGGTCCCTTTATTTTCATGGGAATAGTACTCCATTGTGTATATGTATCAAATTTTTTTATGCATTCATTTTTTGATGGACACTTAGGTTGCTTCCAAATCTTAGATATTGGGAACAGTGCTGCAACAAACATAAGAGAGTGCAGATATCTCTTCAATATACTGATTTTCTTTTTGGGGAGCTATATATCC
Organism: Homo sapiens; assembly: GCF_000001405.40. Taxonomy (NCBI): domain Eukaryota; kingdom Metazoa; phylum Chordata; class Mammalia; order Primates; family Hominidae; genus Homo; species Homo sapiens. Next base: position 42,207,950 of record NC_000005.10, read on the forward strand.
AGCAATGGTATTGCTGGATAGTATGGTAGCTCAATTTTTAGTTTTTTTGAGGAACCTCCAAATTTCTCTCCATAGTATTTTTACTAATTTACATTCCCACCAACAGTACAAACGTTCTTTTTTCTTCACATCCTTGCCAGAATTTCTTATTGCCTGTCTTTTGGACATAAGCCATTTTAATGGGGGTGAGATGATATCTCATTGTAGTTTTGGTGTGCATTTCCCTGATAATCAATGATGCTGACCACATTTTAATATACCTGTTTGCTATTTGTATGTCTTCTTATGATAAATGTCTACTCAAATCTTTTGCCATTTTTGGATCTGATTATTAGATTTTTTTTCCTGTAGAGTTGTTTCAGCTCCTTATATGTTTTGGTTATTAATCCCTTGTTGCATGGGTGCTTTGCAAATATTTTCTCCCATTCTGTGTATCTTTTCACTTTATTGATTGTATCCTTTTCTGTGCAGAAGATTTTAACTTGATGTGATCCCATTTGTCCATTTGTCCATTTTTGCTTTGATTGCCTGTGCTTGTGGGGTATTTCTCAAGAAATTTTTGCCCAGATAAATGTCCTGGAGATTTTCCCCAATGTTTTCTTGTAAGTAGTTTTATAACTTGAGATCTTAGATTTATCTCTTAATCAATTTTTATTTTTGTGTATAGTAAGAGATGGTGTAGTTTCATTTCTCTGCATGGATATTCAGTTTTCCTAGCACCATCTATCAAAGAGATTCTCTTTTGCCCAGTGTATGTTCTTTGTACCTTTTTCAAAAATGAGTTCACTGTAGATGTGTGAATTTGCTTCTTGGTTCTTCATTTTGTTCCATTGTTCAATTTGTCTGTCTTTATGCCACTACAATGCTGTTTTGGTTACTATAGCTCTTTAGTATAATTTGAAGTCAGGCAATGTGATTCTTCCACTATTTTTTTTTAAGGGAACATGTTTTTTCTTTTTGCAGGTTTGTTACATATGTATACATGATACATGTGCCATGTTGGTGTGCTGCACTCATTAACTCATCATTTAGCATTAGGTATATCTCCTAATGCTATCCCTCCCCCCTCCCCCCACCCCACAACAGTCCCCAGTGTGTGATGTTCCCCTTCCTGTGTCCATGTGTTCTCATTGTTCAATTCCCACCTATGAGTGAGAACATGCAGTGTTTGGTTTTCTGTCCTTGTGATAGTTTGCTGAGAATGATGGTTTCCAGTTTCATCCATGTCCCTACAAAGGACATGAACTCATCAATTTTTATGGTTGCATAGTATTCCATGGTGTATATGTGCCACATTTTCTTAATCCAGTCTATCATTGTTGGACATTTGGGTTGGTTCCAAGTCTTTGCTATTGTGAACAGCACTGCAATAAACATATGTGTGCATGTGTCTTTATAGCAGCATGATTTATAATCCTTTGGGTATATACCCAGTAATGGGATGGCTGGGTCAAATGGTATTTCTAGTTCCAGATCCCTGAGGAATAGCCACACTGACTTCCACAATGGTTGAACTAGTTTCAGTCCCATCAACAGTGTAAAAGTGTTCCTATTTCTCCACATCCTCTCCAGCACCTGTTATTTCCTGACTTTTTAATGATCACCATTCAGCTGGAGGCATCATGCTACCTGACTTCAAACTACACTACAAGGCTACAGTAACCAAAACAGCATGTTACTGGTACCAAAACAGAGATATAGACCAATGGAACAGAACAGAGCCCTCAGAAATAATGCCGCATATCTGCAACTATCTGATCTTTGACAAACCTGAGAAAAACAAGCATTGGGGAAAGGATTCCCTATTTAATAAATGGTGCTGGGAAAACTGGCTGACCATATGTAGAAAGCTGAAACTGGATTCCTTCCTTACACCTTATACAAAAATTAATTCAAGATGGATTAAAGACTTACATGTTAGACCTAAAACCATAAAAACCCTAGAAGAAAACCTAGGCAATACCATTCAGGACATAGGCATGGGCAAGGACTTCATATCTAAAACACCAAAAGCAATGGCAACAAAAGACAAAATTGACAAATGGGATCTAATTAAACTAAAGAGCTTCTGCACAGCAAAAGAAACTACCATCAGAGTGAACAGGCAACCTACAGAATGGGAGAAAATTTTTGCAACCTACTCATCTGACAAAGGGCTAATATCCAGAATCTACAATGAACTCAAACAAATTTACAAGAAAAAAACAAACAACCCTATCAAAAAGTGGGTGAAGGATATGAACAGACACTTCTCAAAGGAAGACATTTATGCAGCCAAAATCACATGAAAAAATCCTCATCATCACTGGCCATCAGAGATTCTTCCACTTTTGCTGTGGATAGCTTTGGCTATTTTGGGTCTTTTTTGGTTCCGTATAAATTTTAGGATTTTGTTTTTCTATTTCTGTGAAGAATGTCATTGGTATTTTGATGGGGATTACATCTAATATGTAGATTTCTTTGGGTAGTTTGGACACTTTAACAATATTGATTCTTCCAATCCTTGAACACAGAACATTTTCCCATTTTCAGTGTCCTCTTCAATTTCTTTCATCAGTGTTTTATAGTTTTCATTATAGAGATCTTTCACTTCTTTGGTTAATTCCTAGATATTTAATTTTATGTGTTACTACTGTAAATGATATTACTTTTTTGTTTTCTTTTTTCAGATTGTTCACTGTTGGCATATAGAAATGCTAGTGATTTTTGTATGTTGATTTTGTATCCTGTAACATTGCTTATTTTGTTTATCAGTTCTAATAGTTTTTTTTTGGAGTCTTTAGATTTTTCTAAATTTAAGACAATATCATCTGCAAGCAAGGATAATTTGACTTCTTCCTTTCCAATTTGGATGCTTTTAATGTATTTCCCTTGTCTGATTGCCCTAGCTAAGGCTTCCAGTAGTATGTTGAGTACCAGTGGTGATGGTGGGCATCCTTGTTTTTTCCAGATCTTACAGAAAAGTCTTTTAGTTTTTCCCCATTCAATATGACACTAGCTGTAGGTCTGTCATTTATGGCCTTTATTAGGTTGAGTTATGTTCCTTCTATCCCCAGTTTTTTTAGGGTTTTATCATGGAGGGGTGTTGAATTTTATCAAATGCTTTTTCACCATCAATTGAAATGATCATATGATTTTTATCATTCATTCAGTTGATGAAATGTGTCACATTGATTGATTTGTGTATGTTGAAGCATACTTGCATCCCAGGGATAAATCTCACTTGGTCATGATGAATGGTCTTTCTAATGTATTGTTTAATTATATTTGCTAGTATTTTGTTAAGGATTTTTGCATCAATATTCACCAGAGATATTAGCTTGTAGTTTTTTTTTGATGTGTCCTTGTTTGGTTTTAGTAATCAGGGTAATAATGTCTTTGTAGAATGAGTTTGGAACTATTTCTTCCTCTTTTTTTGTATATTTTAGAATAGTATGAATAGGATCAGTATTAATTCTTCTTTAAATATTTGGTAGAATTCAGCAGTGAAGCCATTGGATCTCAGGCTTTTCTTTGCTGGGAGACTTTTTATTACAACTTCAATTTGTTACTTCTTATTTTCTATTTAGATTTTGTATTTCTTCCTGGAGCAGTCTTGGTAAGTTTTATATGTCTAGAGATTTGTCATTTTCTTCCTTTTTTAACTTTTATTTTAAGTTCAGGGGTATATGTGCAGGTTTGTCACATAGGTAAACTTGCCTCTTGGGGGTTTGTTGTACAGATTATTACAGGTATTAAGCCTAGTATCTATTATTTTTCCTGATCCTTTCCTTCTTCCTACCCTTCACCCTCCAACAGGCCCCAGTGTGTTTTTCTTCTCTTTGTGTCCACATGTTCTCATCATTTAGCTTCTACTTATTAGTGAGAGCATGTGGTATTTGGTTTTCTGTTCCCACTTTAGTTTGCTGAGGATAATGGCCTCTTTCAGATTTTCCAACTTATTGGCATATAGTTGCTGGTAGTAGCCACTGATGATCCTTTGAATTTCTGAAGTATGAGTTGTAATGTCTCCTCAGTTCTGATTTTATTTATTTGGATATTCTCTTTTTTCTTAGTTAGTCTGGCTAAATATTTGTCCATTTTGTTTAACTTCTCAAAAAACCAACTTTTTGTTTCATTGGTCTTTTGTATTGTTTTGTTCATTTCAGTTTCATTTATTTCTGCTCTGATTTTTATTTCTTTTCTTCTACTAATGTTGGATTTGGCTTGTTTTTGCTTTTCTAGCTCTTTAAGATTCATCATTAGATTATTTATTTGAAGTATTTTCTTCTATTTTTTGATGTAGGTACTTATAGGTATAAACTTCCCTTCTAATATTGCTTTTGCTGTATCCCACAGGTTTTGCTATATTGTGTTTCCACTGTCACTTGTTTCCAGAAAGTTTTCAATTTCCCTTTTAATTTCTTCATTGAACCACTGGTCATTCAGAAACACATTGTTTAATTGTCATGTATAATTTCCAAAATTTCTGTTGTTATTAATTGCTAGTTTTATTTTATGTGGTCAGAAAAGATGCTTGATATTATTTCAATTTGTTTGGAATGTTTTAATATTTTTTGTAACATAACATATGGTTTATTCTTGAGAATAATTCATGTGCTGAGGAAAAGTGTGTATTCTGCATCCATTGGATGAAATGTTCTGTAAATATTTATTAGATCCCTTTGGTCTTTAGTGGAGATTAAATATGATGCTTTTTTGATGATTTTCTGTCTGGAATATTTGTCCCATGTGGAAAGTAAGGTGTTAAAGTCTCCAACTTTTCTTGTATTGGGGTCTCTCTCTTTACCTCTAATAATATTTCCTTTATACATCTGTGTGCTCCAGTGTTGGGTGAATATATATTTAAAATTGTTATATCCACTTGATGAATTGACCCCTCTATCATTATATGGTAATCTCCTTTGTTTTTTCTTATAGTTTTTATCTTGAAGTCTATTTTGTCTGATCTTAGCATAGTGACTTCTGCTCTTTTCTGGTTTCCGTTAGCATGGAATATCTTTTTCCATCCCTTTGTGTTTAGTCTATGTATGTATGTCTTTATAGGTGAAGTGTGTTTCTTGTAGGCAACAGATTAATGTGTCATGTTTTTTCATCCATTTAGCCACTCTGTCTTTTAAATGGAGAATTCAGTCAGTTACATTCAATGTTACTATTAATAAACAAGGACTTACTCCTGCCATTTTGTTAGTTGCTTATTAATTGTTTTTGTTGTCTTCTTTCCCTTCTTTTTTCTCCCTGTCTTCTTTTAGTAAAGGTGATTTTCTCTGGTGATATAATTTAATTTCTCACTTTTTACTTATTGTGTGTCCATTGTACATTTTTGGTTTGAAAGTACCATGAGGCTTTAAAATACTATCTTATAACCCATTACTTTAACCTGATACCAACTTAACACTGCATAAACAAAGAAGCAAAAAGAAAACTAATAAGAACTACTGCCTTTACTTCATCTCCCCCAGTTTTAGTCTTTTTGTTGTTTCTATTTATTTATATCTTGTTGTACTGATTGTGTCTTGAAAAGTCGTTGTAGTTACTGTTTGTAATTGGTTCATTGCTTAGTGTTTCTGCTTAGGATAAGAATACTTTACACACCACAGTTACAATGTTATAATATTCTGTGTATTTCTATATACTATCAGCATTGAGTTTTGTACCTTAAGGCGATTACTTATTACTCACTAATGTACTTTTTTTCTGATTGAAGTACTCCCTTTAGCACTTCTTATAGTTCTGGTATTGATGAAGTTCCTCAGCTTTTGTTTGTCTGGAAATGGCTTTATTTCTCCTTCATGTTTGAAGGAAATTTTTGCCTGGTATACTATTGTAAGGTAATTTTTTTTCTTCCACACTTTAAATATGTCATGCCACTCTCTCCTGGCCTATAAGGTTTCCACTGAGAAGTCTCTGCCAGATGTATTGGAGCTCCATTATATGTTATCTGTTTCTTTTATGTCGCTACTGTTAGGATCCTTTCTTTATCCTTGATTTTTGGGAATTTGATTATTAACTCCCTTGAGGTAGTCTTCTTTGTGAAAATCTTCTTGGTGTTCTATCACCTTCTTATACTTAGATATTGATATCTTTCTTTAGGTTTGGGATGTTTTCTGTTATCATTGCTTTGAATAAACTTTCTACCCCCATTTCTTTCTCTATCTCCTCCGTAGGGCCAATAACTTTTAGATTTGCCACTTTGAAGCTATTTTTTAGATCCTATAGGTGTGCTTCATTGTGTTTTATTTTTTTCTTCTATCTTCTGTGATTGTGTATTTTCAACTAGCCTATCTTCACGCTCACTGATTCTTTCTTCTGCTTCATCAATTCTGCTATTAAAGGACTCTGATGAATTCTTCAGTATGCCAATTGCATTTTTCACTCAGAGATTCGGCTTGATTCTTTTTAATTATTCCAATCTCTTTCTTAAATTTATCTCATAGGATTCTGAATTCCTTTTCTGTGTTATACTAAATTTCTTTGAATTTCCTCAATACAGCTATTTTGAATTCTCTGTCTGAAAGCTCACATGTCTCTGTTTATGCCAGGTTGGTCCCTGATGCCTTTTCAGTTCATTTTGTGAGGTCACAATTTCCTAAATAGTGTTGGTTCTAGTAGATGTTCCTCCATGACTAGACATTAAAGGGTTAGTTATTTATTATGGTCTTCACTGGACTTATTTGTTGCTATCCTTCTTGGGATGGCTTTCCAGATATTTGAAAGGACTGCTTTAGATACCCCAAGAACCTCTATGAGTACCTCCATGAGACTGCAAGAACACCCCAAGCCCAGTCGTTCTTGCAGACTCATAAAAGTACCACTTTAATGATCTTGGATAAGATTCAGGAGAATTCTCTGGATTACCAGGCAAAGACTCTTGTTCTATTCCCTTACTTTTACCCAAACATACAGAGTCTCCCTTTGTTCTAAGCCATCTAAGGCTAGGGGTGGAGTGACAAAACCACCCTTTTGTCCATCACCACTGTGACTGTGCTGAGTGAGACCTGAAGCTAGAATAGCTCTGGGTCTTGTCCAAGGCCTACTGTAACCACTCTCTGGCTACTGCTTATGTTCACTCGGAGCCCTGGAGCTCTACAGTTAGCAGATGGCAAAGCCATGCAAGCCTGTTTCCTTCCCTTCAGGATAGTGAAGTCTCCCAGGACCCAGATGGGTCCAGAGGTGCCATCTAGGAATCAGGGACTAGAATAAAAACTGTAGAAGCCTACCTGGTATTCTATCGTATTGCAGCCGAGCTGGCACTCAAACCATAAGATGCAGTCCTTCTCACTCTTCCCTCCACTTTCCAAAGGCAGAGGAACCTCGCTTCATAGCCACCACCACTCCAGGCCACAGGGAATACTACAAGACTACCTCTAATGTTCCTTTAAGTCCCAGTGGCTCTTAAGCCAGCTTGTCATGAATGGTAGCTGGCCTGGGACTCACCCTTCAGGGCAGTGGGCTCCCCTCTGGCTCAGGGCAGGTCCAGAAATGCAATCCAAAAGTCAAATCCTAGAGTCAGGGACTCCCTTCCTGTGGCCATGCTGGTACCAGAAGCAAGTAAGTCTCATAGGCTCACCCAAGGCCCTCAGCATGGTATCTGGGTATTACTGCTGGTTATTCAGTGTCCAAGGGCTCTTCAGTTAGCAGTTGATAAATGCTGCCAGGACTGGATCCTTTTCCTTGAAGATAGTGGGTTCCCTTCGGGCCCAGAACATGTCTAGATATGCCATCCAGGAGCTAGGAAACATGGGCCTCACAACTATGGCGGATGCCCTATCCAGATGATAGCTGGTATCAAAGTGGATAATCTGGTATCCAAGTCTTCCCCACTCTTCCCTCCTTTCTCATGTGAAAGGAAGGGATGGAGGTGTGAGCTGTGCAGCCTTGGGTTAGGGGAGGAAGGGTGATGTCAGTACTTCCTTAGCCACCCCAGCTGGTGTCTCAGTAGTTCACATGCCCCCACAAACTACTGTCTCTGAGCCTAGTTCTGCACTAGGACCTGTCTAAATGTTGCAGTCTCTATGGTCTAGACTGACTTTCAAGTTTATTTGGAGACACAGAGCACTGTAGCCCATGGTGATGAGGTTTTTTGGGATTGGCAATTTCCCTCTGGCCAGAGCTGGTTTAAATGCTCCCTCTCTGGGTGGGCATCAGCTGAGTTTGATCTGGTTTTCCTTTCTGCTTTAACAGAACAGCACTGAGTTTAGTGCCTCACAATTGCTGTGTTCTCCTTCCCCCTGCACCCAGAGAGGCTCTCTGCACTACACAGCTGCACTGCTGTGGAAGGTCGGGGAGCAAGAAGGGGAGGGATCCACAATTTAGAACTGTTTTTTCTATTTCTTCAGTGCTTCTTTCAGTGATGTTGAGATAAAGCCAGGTACTATGAGGGCTTATCTGATTTTTGGTTCTTCTAAAGGTGTTTTTTTGTGTAGATAGTTGTTAAATTGGTGTCCTTGAGAGCGGGGGCAGAGAAGATAAGTGGAACCTTCTATTCCATCATCTTGCTCCACTTCTCCAAGAAGCTGTGAAACTTTGCTGCAAGAAATTTTAAAAAGCATAAATAAATGTAGAGATATAGCATATTCATGTGTGGGATGACCCAATATTGTTAAGCTGTCGTCTTTTCACAAATTAGTCTATCGTTTCAATATTATCCTAATCAAAATCCCAGTAGTCTTTTTATTTTGTAAAAATTGACAAGTAGACTCTAAAATTTATATGGCAGTACAAAATATCTAAAGTAGCTTGAATAATTTTTAATAGAAGAAAAAGAAAATTTACTCTAAAGCTATGGTAATTAAGACTATGGCACTGGCACAAAGACAGGACATATGTGTGTGTGTGTATATGTATGTGTGTGTTTGTGTGTGTGTGTACCCACCTATATTTATGGTATCACTTTTGTTGAATTTAGTCTATGGTAGAGTTTTCTAAAAATAATATAAGAAAACAAAACAAACACTCGCTCCAGGTTTCTGATTGCTTTCTACTAGAGCACTTTCTAACAATATGTTAATTAACATTACTTCCTAAAGTTACCAAATATAAGAGAGGAGAAATTGCTCAGTTTGCAGAACTTTCCATTTTTGTAGAAGGCAAGGCCCACATCATGCCATTGTCACTGGGCTGACACTTTACCCTGTATGGTATTGAAACTACTGAAATGGAGACTTTCATAACTCCCCTCACAGGACATGTGACAGGGGTGTGGCTCATCTGTTTGATTGCTGCATGCTCAAACCCCTTTTGGGAGGGGGAGCATGCAGACGGGCAGGTGCAGGAGCTGGGGTGGGCGTTTCTGGGCTCCCGCCTCACAGTAGTGTCTAGGGGTGGTTGACTGTGGGCCACAGTCAACCCAAAGCCCCAGTGGGCATGTTACAGTGCTCTTTTTGCTCTGCTGTCCGCAGACGGCTTAAGTGTTAACCAGCTCAGTGACTTCTTGATACCTGGGTTCTTGTCTAGCATCTAGGAAGAATCAGGTCACACAGACAAATTGAAGGATGGTAAATGTGGATATTTTATTGCCAGATGGAGATGGCTGCCAGCGGGATGGATGGGGAAGCTGGAAACGGGATGGAGTGGGAAGATGATTTTCCCCTGGAGTTCAGTTGTCCCGCGGTTGATCTCTCTGACCACCCCCAGCCAAACTCGTCTGTACGTTCAGATGCTCCTTCTCTTCTCTTTTTGTCTGCCGCACCACTCTTCTGCTCCTCTACTCTTCTGCTCATCTGCTTATCTGCTCTTCTGTTCTTGGAGCCTGGGGTTTGGGGTTTATATGGGTACAGGCTGGGGGGCATGGCAGGCCAAAAGGCTACATTTGGGGGTGAAAGCAGAAATGCCTGTTCCTATTTAGGGTCAAGGGTTTCCAGGCTTGAGGGTGAGGCCTTTGCCAGGGAACCGCCCTCTTCTATCCATTATTTCCCTCTCTCCTGTCTGTATCACCACTAATTAGAAAGTGGTGAACTGTATACATTCTGTGGGTTATTCTGTCATCCTTATGTGCCCTGATATGACTTCCTTCAGATCTTGCAATCCTTTCAGTTAGTCTGTTTTCACTTTCCCATCGGTGAGTTTCTATCCTGAGTCACACTGACTCTTGCCTTACCTGAAACAAAGAGGGGACCAGCTTTGTTGCTTGGGTTCTTGTGAACATGTGGGAGGAAATAGTGACATACTTCTCAGTGTCCAGTTTGCAGCCTCTTAGAAACATCTTTTATTCAGAAAAGGCCTCCCATCAATATCTTTGCACTATGTCTTTTTTTGCCCATCACTTTTATCCCACCAAAGAAAGACAGTACAAATAAATGTTTCTTGTGTAGAACCTGGGAGATCAGCAGGTTTCCTAATACTTCCTTTGACCTTTACAGTATGTGTCCTCTAGTTTAGGCTAAGAGTTCATGGCCTGACATCTGATCACATTCTTTATTCTATAGATCTAAAAAACAACTCCAGCATATTTTACCAAATATAAGTAACTTGTTATCTCATGTATTTGTGTCTCACTCTGCCTTAGACTTCTGAGAGATTTAGCCAGATCATCAGCTATTCCAACTATGCCGTCAAAACACCATGGCCTAAATAAACAAAGGCCTTTTTTCCCTTTAAAATATGGGTGTTTTTTTTTTTGCGGGGTGGGCGGCAGGCAGGAGGAGATGGCAAGTAAATTCAGCTTAATCACTAAACCTGTTTCTTTATTCATCCCATATGTTTGAAAGAAGAAAAGGAAGTTGGTTTCAAGATATGAATTCACAAAATTATAACTGTTCTCTCATTTAATAAATGATTCCCTAACAAATTTCTACTGCCTTCTTCTGAAGGATCATGCTTTAATTTGCACAGAGGCCAGCCAACAAGCAGTTGACAAGGAGGGACTTTTCTAAAAAAGCAATCTCTGCCCAGCTTACAAGAAACAGCCTGTGAAGTGTTTCCAAACCACAGCTGCCAAAGAAACACTTTGCCAGCCAGTTGTGGTTCCCTAGTGTCCAGGGTTCTCAAGATCTCTCCCTCACAGCTCACCAAATGCACAATGGACACCTCTGAATTTTCCAGGGGCAGGTTTTGGCAGATACAGGATGGAATATGGGATGAAAACAGGAAGGAAAGGGAAAGACATAAAGCAGTGTAAAAGCCCAGGGAATTTCAGATTAAGCTGAATGTATTACATAGATGTGAACGTTTATAGTAGGACATAAAATAAGACAATTTAGCTGTGTTTGAGACACATTTAGGTTGCAAATGGAGCATGTGTAAGGGGGTCCAAAGGTTAATCTTGAAAGTCAGCGTAGTCTGGAGAGCCTTTAGGTGAAGATTGTATGCTTATGGGTCTGAGATGAACCTGACAGGAAGGGAATGAATAAGAGAAACACTATGGAAAAAAAGATTGCAAAGTGCTTTGGGATTTATTTGGATAGAGAGTTTCAGACAGATGTCAATAAAGATTTAGGTACTGAGCAAAGGAAACTGGTCATGCTGGTTTTATTGGACCTTACGTTTTTTAAAACATAACTGAAAGTTTATAAATATTTGTCTAAAAACAGTATAACTGAGTTTCTACCAAATTAGTATCATTTTAATGTAGACTGTCATTATTTTAATACAGTATGATATGATGGTCGCATTCCTAAGAAAACTTGTGTTATGAAGCTAATAATAACATTGGAGAAAGGGAAATAAAGACTGTAGAATTTCAATGCTTGAACCAGCTGGTATCTCCAATCCATTCACTATTGACTTTTTCATTAATATGAATATATATTTATCTCTTTATCCAGTTTAGATCCCTTTATCTTACTATAATTACTCCTTTTCATGCACTCCTAATTCTGCTGCCTTTCTCTCCTGTCACCATATTCATTGGCAAGCAACAGCCTTGGTTAAATCCAACTGTCCACTTTTTCTGCGCCCATGTCTGAGAAAGTGGTTGGAAGAAAGAACAGAACCATGCTATGATTTCCCAGCACTATCTGGCAATACTGCAACTTCTTCTAGTCAGTTCATTCTCCCATTCTCCAAGACCACTATTTCACATCTCTTCCACAACTTCCCTTTCATTCAACTCACTCTGATGCCCTTTCTTCTCATTTAACTAATAAAATAATGACAAACAGAAGAGACCTTCTTCATTTTTCCCCACCAAAATTTACAAAACGACCTGTATCTATACTGGTGTACTCTGCCTTCTTTCATATTTTAGTAGCTGAATTATTCATGCTTCTAATTGTAACTGATATATCACTTGTACACTTTGATGCTACTCTTCTACTCAAGGACTTTGCTCCTAGAGTTATTCCTCCTTACCACTATACTATCAGTTTTCTCTCTCTATTATATTATTCTCAACAGCATATGAACATGCTGCACTATATGTCATGTTTAACAACAAAAAAAAACACACACACATTTAACTAAACAACAACAAAAAACACCCACAAAACCAAAACACTGAACCCCACATGCTCCTCCAGCTACTGTCCTTTTTCTCTTCTCCACTGTTTTTGCAGAGCTACTAGAATTGGTTGTTTATTCTCTGTCCCCAATTTCTCATTTGTCATATATTCTTGACTGATTTCAATTAGAATTTCATTTCCAACAGCAATATCACTTTCCAGGATCATTAATAGATATAATGCTGCAAAACCCAATAGGCAAGGCTGTCATCTTACTTGAATTCTTAGTATCATTTGATAGAGTTGATCGTTATTTGGGGAACTTATCTTTAAATGCTTTCATCCCTTGGCTTCTGAGACACTACACTGTATTCCTGCTTCCCTGACTCCACCATCTCTCCATAGGATCCCCTTGACTCAGTGCTTCCAATTCTCAGTCCTCAGAAATCTCAATCTGAACTCTATCTAATGATCCCATCTAGTTCTCTGACACCCAGTTGACTTTCATATTTCTATCTCTGACTCTGCTCACTCTTCTTTCAGTCTAAGATGTATAACTGTCTATATGATATCTCCACTTGGATGAAATTTCCCCTTAAATTTAATATTTCCCAAGCCAAATTCTTTATTTCTTTTCCTTAAACCTACTCTTACTATTTTCCTCATCTCAGGAAGTGACTGCACATTTCACCCTGCTGCCCAGGCCTGAAGTTAGGATTTACCTTCTTTCTTTTACAAGTTCTCTTCCAATTCTACTTCCAAAATGTAACCTAAATCTAATACCTGTACCCATTTCCATGACTACTATTAGAATCTAGCTTTGTGTTAATTTGCAAACAGGAGATGAGTGAGAGCTGGCTGATCTCTCTTGTAGAGTGTTAGGTTTGTAATTTTCTTTGCAAGACTGTGTCTACCCTTTAGGTTAGTCTCATTTCTCTTTCAGAGTTAAATAATACCTTCAAAGAGTATCAAGGGTGAAAATTTGAAATTTAGGGGAAATTAAGAGCACATTTCAGCTAATCAAGGTTTTTAGCTGTTAGGACAAAGAGGTAAGAAATGGTACCACACACACATTTTAAGGACCTAAATCAATCTAAGTGGTGATTGATGTTCACAAATGTATTAGTGACTTGTAGGTAATAATGTTTAGTAGAAAAATGGTCTTAGGCCACGTGGTGAAAGAGTCAAATGCCAAGTGACAGAAGTTCTAATTCTGTTCTTGCCAAGTAAGCAAGTCACTTAACCTTTGTATGTTTTCCCTTCTATGCGCTGAGAACAGTAACTGCCCATTATTACAGCAAACTGTTGTGCAGATGGATGATGAATATGTGTGGAAATGTTTTGCATGCTTTTAAGGAAAGAAGAAATTTTAAAACCTAAATTTCTTAAAACACAACTAAAGGTTGCCCATCTATTATTTATTTATCTATTGATTACCCTTTTCTTCTTTGTATTTTTTAAAAATTGTACTCATATAATAAATATGAAAAAAACTTTATAATAGAAAAAATAACTTGGGTTAAATATAAAGAAGTCTTCAATCACTTAGTCTTTCTGCATTTCACTTTACAATGGATGGACCAATCATGATATCAATAGTAATAGTAATTTTACATTAATAGAACATTTTTATTGTGGGCTAAGCATTGTGTTGAGTGTTTTACAAAGGTGCCTGTAGCAAGAAAAAACATTTCTTTTCTTTCTTTTTTTTTTTTTTTTTGATGAAGTTTCACTCCTGTTGCCCAGGCTGGAGTGCAATGGCGTGATCTGGGCTCACCAGAACCTCCACCTCCCAGGTTCAAGCAATTCTCCTTCCTCAGCCTCCCAAGTAGCTGGGATTACAGGCATGCACCACCAAGTCTAGCTTGTAAACTCAGTTAATATAAAAATATAAAAAGAACACATGTAATTCCCTGAAAATTTTGATTAGCTAAGATTTGGGAAAGATTATAATTTTCCTTCTTTATTGGTCTATATAGATTATCTGGAAATTTCCAGACTTCAAGCACTCTTAGCTGAGGTTGCATATCATTGATGTTTCACATATTTCCAAGGAGAATATTTTAGAGTTCATAATTTCTGCACTAAGTGACAGAGTCCCAATATTGTCAAGTTGAATTTAATGTAATTAATTGGTTACTTTGCATTTACTCTTATCCTTTTATTTTTTACAGTAGCTGGTTATATTAAAAGTTACATAATAGGAATTGTCACAACCAGTATGAACTTCTACCATCCTATTTCCTAATATCAAGCATTTTGCTTTTGCTATACAAGGAAATAGTTTCCTAGGCACTCTTGGCCTCATTTTAATAGGCTGTGTGGTTTTCTAAGTATGTAAATCATTCCACTGTCTCGATCACATGTTCTTACCCAATAATATTTTGTTTTATGTCTATTGCTTTACTTTGTCATATATTCTTACACCAAGATTTGATATAAAATAACACAATATCTATATCTCTCCCACATAGCTATTTGGAGTTTATACTATGCATACTTTAAGAAACTTAAAATGTTAAACCCATATTAAAGCAGAACAATTAATGATAAAAAGAAGTGTCATATGCAACCCTTTTATAGATATAATATTTTATTGGAATCCATGAATAAAATTGTTGCCACCCATAAAACTAAATTTAGTTTCATGCCTCCTAACAGCTAAGGTGAGACTCCCAGGTCATCAGGTGGAATTTACCTTTTTTATTCATTCAATTAGCAAAAAAGAGTAATATGTTGGTGAGGATTTAATATAATAAAAATATATTACAATAACTAAAATATGATTTGGGTGTCACAGCAAGACAAGTGTCCCAATAACAACCTTAGGCAGTCCCAGGCTAGTGACTCAGTTTACTTGCCAGTCCCTTTAGAATTCCTGCCCCACTCTATCTCCTGGCATATGCTTATATATATGTGTGTGATTCACCCTCTCATTACCTTCTTTCTCTTTTCACCTTCCTCTGTTGCTCCTACTTCTGTTCTTCAAAGACCTGTTCATACTGGCTTTTGTGTGGAACTCTGAACTTCTGCTTCTGACTTGATTGAGCAGTACTCAGCATAGAGTATCACTGGATAGATTTCTCATCCATTGCCTCTGATAGCTCACCTGCCTCCCTCATGTCCTTTCTGGAGATAGTTGCCTTTGCATCTGATGTTATCTCAATTCAATCAGTTGGAATTCAGGTTATAGCCCAACATCTGAACTGGCTGGGTTCAAATCTCCATCTGCTATTGTCTGTGCAACTTCACACTCTGAGCCTCAGTTTTTTCATCTGTAAAAATAAGGATAATAATAGCATCTCCATCATACGGTTGGTATAAGAATTAAAGTAGTTAACACAGGCAAAACTCTTATGGGAAAAATATGACACATTTTAAGTTCCCACAGTATAATAATCATCATCATTATCATTCTCATCATTATCATTATGATTATCATAGCATTTGGATTGTGATAGACTGCACACTATGCTTTCCTTAGAACAAAATTGTAGGAGGACCTTAACCCATAGATACTTATATATGGGTATTGCAGAGGCTGTTGGAGTCCCGCCGAGATCTCAGGAATCATTTTCACTGGTTTGCATCCCCAAATCCAGCTGTTGTAGGTGTTGCTGGTAACAGTCTTTTCTGGAGGATTGCTCATGGACAATTGGATCCATTTCTCCAAGGTTACCTGAGAGTTACATGCCTCCCCTTCAAATAGCCTGTATCCAGTCACTGATGGATACAGTGTATAAAAGCCCAGGCTCCCTGCAACTCCTACAATGTGTCTAGGCAGGGCAAATTCTGTGGTATAGTTTATGCTTCAGATGGCCACATGGGTTCAAGCTGTGGCTAAGCTGTATCAGAAATCATCTCCTTACTAACTTGCTTTCCTTTACTATCCTGCTTCCCTCATTCCCATACAGAATTTTCCTGAGAGTATCCTTTTAATAGGCAACAGGCACAAAAATCTCATCTCACACTCTGCTTCTGAACAACCTGACCTAAGAGAATGAAAAACATAAAAGACTCTATTTTCATTTGTGGTTTTATATAACCTTCTGTATTCAAATGTCATATCTGGTACAAATGTTAATACATATGTGCTTGTGACACAGGATTAATTCTTTTTTAACTTTTAGTTATCTATTTGATACATAGTTATGTTTCTTTCTATTTTTTTGCCTTTATTGTTGATTTTAACTTTTTCAAGTACCTAAAACAATAATATAATTCAGAATCCTAAACTCTATAAAGAGGAATATTTGAAGAAATTCCTTTCACATTTTTGTTTACATTATTTTAACTTTTATTTTAGTTTTGGGGTACACGCACCTGCACAGGTGGGTTCTATAGATAAATTGCATGCCACAGGGGTTTAGTGTACATATTATTTCATCACCCAAGTAATAAGCACAGTACTCAACAGGTAGTTTCTTTTTCCTTTCCCTTCTCCCAACCTACACCCTCAAGTTAGCCCCAGCATCTCTGTGTTCCCTTCTTTGTGTCCACGTGTACTCAATGTTTAGCTCCCACTTATGAGTGAGAACATGCAGTGTTTGGTTTTCTGTTCCTGCATTAGTTCGCTTAGGATAATGGCCTTCAGCTCCACCCATGTTGCTGCAAAGACATTATCTCATTCTTTTTTATAGCTGTGCAGTATTCCATTGTGTACTATGGAATTCACGTTTTCTAGGTATAAAATTATATCATCTGCAAACAGAGACAATTTGATTTTTTTCTCTTCCTATTTGGATGCCTTTTATTTCTTTCTCTTGCCCGATTGTTCTGGCTAGGACCTCCTTTACTATATTGAATAGGCATGGTGCAAGTGAGCATGCTTGTTTTGTTGTGGTTCTCAAGGGAAATGCTTCTAGCTTTTTCCCATTCAGTATGATGTTGGCTGTAGGTTTGTCACAAATGGGTCTTTTTGTTTTGAGGTATGTTCCCTCAATGCCTAGTTTACTGAGGGTTTTTTACATGAAGAGATGCTGAATTCTATCAAAAGCCTTTTCTGCGTCTATTGAGATTATAATGTGGTTTTTGTTTTTAGCTCTTTATATGTGACAAATAACACATTGATTTGTGTATGTTAATCCAACCTTGCATCCTAGGGATAAAGCCTACTTGCTCATAGTGGATTAGCTTTTTGATGTCCTACTGGGTTGGGTTTGCTAGTATTTTGTTGAGGAATTTCGCATCTATATTCATCAAGGATATTGGCCTGAAGTTTTCCTTTTTTGTTGTGTTTTTGCCAGGTTTTGGTATCAGGATGATGCTGGCCTCATAAAATGGGTTATGGGGGAGTCAAACCTTCCTCAATTTTTTGGAATAGTTTCAGTAAGAATAGTACCAGCTTTCCCTTATTCATGTGGTAGAATTCAGCTGTAAATCCATCTGGACCTGGGATTTTTCTGGTTGGTAGGCTTTTTAGCTTTTTATTACTGATTCAACTTCAGAACTTATTATTGGTCTGTTCACTGAATTTCTTCCTGTTCCAGTATTGGGGGGTTGTATGTTTTCAGGAATTTATCCATTGCTTGTAAGTTTTCCAGTTTGTATGCACAGAAGTGTTCATAATAGTTTCTGATGATTTTTTGTATTTCTTTGGGGTCTGTGGTAATGTCCCCTTTTGTCATCTCTGATTGCATTTATTTGGATCTTCTTTTTAAATTAGTGTATCTAGCAAGCCATCTATCTTATTTGTTCTTTCAAATAATCAATTTCTGATTTTGTTAATCTTTTGTATGTTGTTTCACATCTTGATTTCCTTCAGTTTGGCTCTGATTTTGGTTATTTCTTGTCTTCTGCTAGCTCTGGGGTTGGTTTGTTTTTTCTCTAGTTCCTCTTGCTGTGATGTCAGGTTCTTAACTTGAGATCTTTCTGACTTTTTGATTTGGGCATTTAGCATTGTAAACTTTCCTATTAACACTGCTTTAGCTGTGTCACAGAGATTCTGGTATATTGTATCTTTGTTTATATTAGTTTAAAAAAATCTTGACTTCTGCCTTAATTTCATTGTTTACCCAAAAGTTATTGAAGAGCACATTGTTTAATTTCCATGTAATTGTATGGTTTTGGGTGATCTTCCTAGTATTGATTTCTATTTTTATCGCACATTTTATTGGTCTGAAAATGTGGTTGGTGTGATTTTTTCTTCCCAAGAATTCTTTTATAGCTGATCATACGGTTGATTTTAAAGTGTGTGCCATGTGCAGATGAGAATAATGTATATTCTGCTGTTTTTGGGTGTGGAGTTCTGTAGATATCTGTTAGTTTCATTTGGTCAAATGTCGAGTTCAGGTCTCGAATATCTTCATTAGTTTTCTGCTTTGATAATCTGTTTTATATTGTCAGTGGGGTGTTAAATACTCCCACTATTATTGCATGGTTATCTAAGTCTCTTTGAAGGTATCTAAGAACTTATTTTATGAATCTGGATTATTTTATGAACTTATTTTATGCTCCTAGTTTGGTGCATATATATTTTGAATATTTAAGTCTTATTGAATTGAACACTACCATTATGTAATACCCTTTTTGTCTTTTTTTTATCTTTGTTGGCTTAAAATTTAAAATCTCTTTTGTCTGAAATTAGCATAGCAACTTCTGCTTTTTTTTCTTTTTTTTTCCATTTGTCTGATAGATTTTTCTCCATCCCTGTATTTTGAGCCTATGGATGTCATTGCATGTGAAATGGGCCTCTTGAAGAAAGCATAGAGTAGGGTTTTTGTTTTTTTTTTTAATCCAACTTGTCACTCTGTGCCTTTTAATATGGACATTTCTCCTGTTCACATTCAAGATTAATATTGATATGTGTAGATTTGATCTTGTCATTGTGTTGTTAGCTAGTTATCATGCTGACTTGATGGCGTAGTTACCTTATAATGCCAATGGTCTGTGTATTTAAATATGTTTTATTGGTGGCTGGTAATGGTCTTTTGTTTCCATATTTAGCACTCCATTAAGGACCTCTTATAAGGCAGGTATGGTGGTAACCAATTCCTTTAGTATTTGCTTACCTAAAAAGGTTCTTATTTCTCCTTTGCTTATGAAGCTTAGTTTGTCTGGGTATGAAATTCTTGGTTACAGTTTCTTTTCTTTATAATAATGCTGAATATATTAATAGGTCCCCAGTCTCTTCTGGCTTGTAAGGTTTCTGCTGAAAGGTCTGCTTTTGGCCTGATGGAGTTCCCTTTTTAGGTGACCTGCCCCTTCTCTCTAGCTGCTTTTAATATTTTTTCTTTCATTTCAACCTTAGAGAATCTGATGACCATATGTCTTGGGGATGGTTATCTTGTATAATATCTCACAGGGGTCCTCTGCATTTCCTAAATTTTAACATTGGTCTCTCTAGCAAGGTTGCAAAAATTTTCATGGACAATATCCTCAAATATGATTTGCAAGTTGCTTGTTTTCTCCCCTCTCTTTCAGGGACAACAATGAGTGGTAGACTTGGTCTTTTTTCATCATCCCATATTTCTCAGGGATTTTTGTTAATGTCTTTTATTCTTTTTTCTTTATTTTTGTCTGACTGAGTTAGTTTGGAGAACCACTCTTTGAGCTCTGATATTTTTTCCTTGACTTGGTCTATTCTGCTGTTAATATTTGTAATTGTATTATGAAATTCCTGTAGTGTGTTTTTCAGCTCTATCAGTTTAGTAGGTTATTTCTTAAAATGGTCATATGCTCTTTCAACTCCTGTATTATTTTACTGTAATCCTTAGATTCTTGGATTGGATTTTGACTTCCTCCTGAGTCTTGAAGATCTTCATTCCTATCCAAATTCTGTTTCTATTCTATTTCTGCCATTTCAGCCTGGTTAGAAACCATTGCTGGGGAACTAGTGCAGCTGTTTGGAAGAAAGAATGCACTCTGGCTTTTTGAGCTGCCAGAGTTCTGGTGCTTGTTCTTCCTCATCCATGTGGGTTGGTGTTTCTTTAACTGTGGTATTATTTCAGTATAGCAAGTTGGCTTCTTTTCTGGATGTTTTCAAGGGGCTAAGGCTTTGTGTTGGGTCTTTATTTGTAGCAAAATTGTTGTCCTTGGTTTCACAGTGGGGGACATATTAGCAGAGTATTTTTGGTGTTGATGTTTGGCCTGTGATCCAATAGGTGGCACTTAAGCTTAACAGCCAGTAGGCTCTTGCTCAGCCTCATAAATCCTCTATATTTCCTTATGTATGCAGCTGTGCTCTCTCTCTCTCTCAGTGTTCTGAGGGTGTGGGCTCCTCTGCAACTCTAGTGCTAGCTGCAGGTCTTGGCTTAGCCCTCCTGGGCTGCACACCGCAGCCCTGAGGTGAGCTCATGCTTTATGTTCCCTCTCAAGCTTGAGAGCAGCTAGGGTAGGGACCTTTGCAGAGGCAATGGCAGAGGATCTTTCACTTGTCCCTTGGGGATCCACCCAAAGAAATGCAGAGCCACTACCAATTGGGGTGATCAGCCCGGGGTGGGGCAGCTGTGTTGTGGGCCCAAGTTAGGGGACCCTGTCTAGTGATGAGCATGGGGGAAGGGGGCTCAGGGGGAAGACAGACTGTCCACTTCTCTTTAGGGAAGCTGTGGTGTGAGTAAAATTTTCAGGTTTCTTGTTCCTTTCCTAGTCTGAGGGCAACAAGGGCAGTACTGTTAGTGGTGGAAGGTATCCCAGTTACTGGCAGCAAGTCCCTGTGGGTCTGCAGCAACCTCAATTCTTGCCTCCTCAGAAGAAAAAATTCAAACGAGGGGCATAAAGTAGAAAAAGAGACTGAGGCAAGTTTCAGAGCAGGAGTGGAAGTTTATTAAAAAGCTTTAGAGAAGGAGAGACAAGAAAGTGTACTCGGAAGAGATCCAAGTGGGTGACTTAAAGTACAAGTGTCCCGTTTGACTCTGTTCCTAGGACTTTATAGGCTGGCCCACCTCTGGCGTCTTGTACCTTTTCCTGGTGATTCTTCCCTTAGGCTGGGCTGCCCACATGTGCAGTTGCCTCCTTGCCCTTGAGAAGTCAGCACACGCAGTGGGTTTAGTAAGTTGTATTCATGCCCATCTGAGGCTTTCTTCCCTTTTCTGGTGGAGTGCCCCTGGAAGGTCATACTCCACCATTTTGTCATAATGCTTACTTGCCCAATACCTGAGATTTTTTTGGAAGTCATTTTTGCTTCTCCCATGCGCCTGCATTCAATTAACACTTTAATGTTAACAGCTGTGGATCAACAGGAGATTGTCTCTCCCTGGCACCAGCTGCTGAATTATCATTTTTAGAGAGGCAACGTGATCATTGTTGAAACATCACCTGATGCCTGACATTCCTGATTAGTGGGGAGACCTCTCCTGCCCCACTCATGCCTGTCTACATGTAACATTCCCCCCTCAAGAGCCCAAGACCCCAAATCTTTGGGGGAAAAATGGATGAAGGTCAATCTTCTGTAACTGCTTCCTGCTGACAGAGGAACAGTGGTGGTTCTGTGGGTCTTGGCCTCTTGCTAGCTCTCAGGGCAGGAGGTTGACTCTATGGGTTGGTAAAAGCAGTATCTAACCAGGTTCAAGGGAGTCAGGGGCAGGATTTTGCCTCCTTCCTGTCACACTGATGGGCAGTCTAGGGGTCCCTTGTAGAAGGGTGCCTCTTCAATATTGAGAGGATGGTATCCCTCACTGAGGATCATCCAGAACTTGATGGCCTGAAGGTGAGAGGAGACACATCAGGTTATTAGATTTAGAAGACATGAATCAAAAAGGAGCAAAAGTCAGAGAGTAACAAGTGGTCCTAAAAAGGGAAGAACCCAGGAGAACCATTTCCAGGTTGCTTCCCAATCTAACCAACCTTGAGAGGCTCATTCCTATAACCTGGAGGCATGATTTAAGAGGAGTTTGATGTTGTCTTGTACTTTTCTTGATTGATTTACCCAAAAGCAATACTTTTCATCCAAGGCTAAGCAAATTCCTCCCTGTGCTGCCATTAACATATCTTGTCCTCAATTAATTTACTTATCTTAAAACCCATGGATCCTTTTATATTTGTGGCCAACCAGTTCACCAGTGCCTCCCCACTAACTGGACTAGAACTTGTACCATAGGCTATGTATCCCCTGACATCTTTATAGTCCCTGGCAACGTCTCTCTTCAATCCACAGGTAGCCCATCCTGCCCAGGGTGAAAAGGGCTATACAATTAATTCCTCTTGTGGAACTTGTGTTTCATCCCAGGGAAACACAAAGCCACTACCCGTGGGAATGTTCAGTTGGGGATGAGGGTTGTTCTGGGGTCCCAAGCCAGAGGCACTGCCTGGCGATGAGCAGGGGGTCGGGGCTTATGGAGAGGACTCAGCTCCACTCCATAGGGTGGCTTCAGTGTGTTGCAGGTGCCAGCAATGCAACCAGGCCCTTTGTTCCTTCCCTAGCTGGAGGCTAATACATGCAGTATCACTGCAGATACAATGGGAGAGGGACTGTGGGTTGACTCTGGGATTTTGTCCCCAGAGAAACGGAGAGCTAACACTGACTGAAGTGTTCAGGGAGGGGCAGAGTGCTGGGGGACCCACCCAGTGAAGAGTAACAGGAGGAGGGACCTGCATGGAAAACTGGCCACTTTTCCATAAGGCAAATGTGGTGTGCTTGGGGCTCCTGTTAATCCTTAATCACTTTGCTCCTTCCTGAGGCTGAGGGCAGTAGGGGTGGTTGCTGCAGAGCAGCAAAAATTGCTGACTCGCCTGCTACCACAGGAAACCCTTCTCAGAGAAGTGCGGAGCTGCTACCAGCCAAGATCTGAGGCGGGGGTAGGGTGGCTGGCATCCCCGGTCAGAAAGCCCTGCTGAGTGAGGAATATCAGGGACATGGGCCCACATGGAAAACAGCCTGGCCACTTTCTGTAAGGTAGCTGCACTGTGACAGGGGTCTGCTTTAAGTCCTTAATCACTTTGCTCCTTCCCAATCCTGAGAGTAGTAGGGGTGGGAGCAAAGGAGCAACAAAGATGGCAAGCTCTGTCCCAGAGAAGCGCAGTGCTGCTACTGACTGGAGAACTCAGGTGGAACTGAGGTAGCCATTTTAGGGTCCCAAGCCAGTGGGCCTTGCCCGGCAAAGTATAGTGGAGGCGGGCCCTGCAGTACCTTCTCCCCTTGCCCCGTGCATTTAGCCCCTATCTTGGGTGCATGTGAGGAAACCTGGCCTACCCTATTGCTGGAGCTGCAGCAGCTGATGTTGGTGTGGAATCCAAGGACACCAGGACTCCATGTATGCCTGTGCAGCAGCTCTGCCCAGACTCCACGCATCTCTCTGTGTCAGTCTGAAGGCCCTGGTGAGGTGAAGATTGCACAGGAGCTCCTGAGCCCAGGGTTGCTGTGATCCATGGCAGAAGAGTGGGTTCTCAGGGGCTCTCACTCACGCATCATTTTCCCATGGTAGGGAGCCACCCCTCAATCTACATGAATCCTGGGTGAGTAGCTGTCCTGTCTTGCTCCTCTCTGTTCTCCATGGGTCACATTACTTCCTTAATGAATCCCAGTGTGTCCACCTGGATGATTGAGTTGAGGAGCTAATGTTTACTTACTATACTTTCTTCTTTCCATGAGAGTAGCACACACTAGCTGCTTCTACCATCTTGGCCCCAACCCCTGTTTACAATTTTGTGGAATTTATTTGTATAGAAGTATTACGTTTACAACAAAGTTGAGTGAAAGGTGCAGAGATTTCCAATATATTCCCTTCCTCCACACTTGCATAGCCTCCTCCATCCATCACCAGTGTGGTACATTTTTTACAACTGATGAACCTACATTGACACATCAGTATCACCTAGAGTCCATAGTTTACATTAGAGTTCATTGTTGTTGTACATTCTATGAGTTTGAAAAAATTTATGACATATATCAATTGTAGCATCATATAGAGCAGTTTCATGGCTCTAAAAATTCTCTATGCTCTATGCCTACTTATCTCTCCCCAAAACTCCTGGCAATCACTGATCTTTTCGCTATCTCCACAGTTTTTTATTTTCTAGAATATCATATAGTTAGAATCAAACAATATACAGCCTATTCATATTGCCTTCTTTGACAGAGTAATATGTATTTAAGCTTCCTCCATGTCTTGTTATGACTTAATAGCTCATTTCTTCTTACCTCTGAATACTATTCCATTTTCTGTATATTCCATAGTTTATTCCTCCATTCACCCACTGAAGGCCGTCTTGGTTGCTCCCAAGTTTTGGCAATTATCAATAAAACTGCTATAAACATTTGTGTGCAGGTTTTTGTGTGGACATACATTTTTAACTCTTTTTGTAAACACCAAAGACTGTAATTACTGGATCATAGAGTATGAACAGGTTCAATTTTATAAGAAAATGCGAAACTGTCCTCCAAAATTATTTTATCACTTAGCATTCTCACCAGCAATGAAAGAGTTCCTGTTGCTCCATGTCGTGAGCAGCATTTGCTGTGGCCATTATTCAGGATTTTGGCCATTCTAATAGGTGTGTTGTGATATCTCATTGCTATTGGAATTTGCATTTCCCTGATGGAATATTATATGAAGCCACCTGGATCTGCCATCTGCATATCTTCTTTGGTGAGGTGTTTGTTGAAGACTGATATAGTTTGGATATTTGTCCCCATGCAAATCTCATGTTGAAATGTAATCTCCAGTGTTGGAGGTGGGACCTAGTGGGAGGTGTTGGGATCATGGGGGCAGATTCTTCATGAATGATTTGTGCCATCTTCTTAGTGATGCTTAATATCTCTTGCTCTAAGTTCACATAAAATCTGATCATTTAAAAGTTGGTGTCACCTCCCCCACCAACTTTCTCTCTCTTGCTCCTGCTTTTGCCATGTAATGTGCCTGCTCCAGCTTCACCTTCAACCGTGAATAAAACCTTCCTGAGGCCTTCCCAAAAGCCAAGTAATGTTGGTACCATGTTTGAACAGCCTGCAGAAACATAAGCCAATTAAACTTCTTTTCTTTATAGATTACCCAGTCTCAGGTATTTCTTTATAGTAATGCAAGAACAGCTTAATATAAGATTTTGGGCCCATTTTTTAATCAGTGGTTTGTTTTCTTTTTGTTGAGTTTTAAGAGTTGCTTGCATATTTTGGATAACAGTCCTTTATCAGATATGTCTTTGCCAACATTTTCTCCCAGTCTACGACTTCTCTTTTATTCTCTTGACTGCATCTTTTGCAGAGTAGAACATTTTGATTTGAATAAAATTCAGCTTACCAATTCTTTCATGGATTGTGCATATATGTAATTGAATAGATTGCTGCTATCATTATTTTGAATAAGCTCTTAGATTAAGGAAAATAAAAATTTTAATTTTACCTTTACTTATTCCTTCTCTTATGCTCTTTATTTATATAGATCTGAGTTTCTTTTCATTCTCTCCATGGAACTTTATAAAATTTTATTGCAAGGGAGGCCTACTGGCAACAAATTTCCTTAACTTTTGTTTGTCTGAGAAAGTCTTTATTTCTCCTTCACTTTTGAAGGATAATTTTGCAAAATACAGAGTTCTAGGGTTGGTGTTCTTTTTCTCCCAACACTTTCAATATTTTATTCCATTCTTCTGTTGCTTGAAATTTCTGAAGAGAAGTCAAATGTCATTCTTATCTTTATTCTTCTGTAGGTAAAAGGGTTTTCTCCCTCTGACTTCCTTCAGTGTTTTCCTTTATTTTTGATTTCCTGTAGTTTGAAAATGATATGCCTAGATGTAGTTTTGTTGTTGTTGTTGGCAGAGAATACTATGAAATCAAATGTATCCACAAGAAATATATTTTTTCTTTTTTGTTTTAATATTTTATTGCATATATTTATGATATACAATATTGGTGTTTTGATATAAGTATACCATTACATGTAAGCTGCACCTTTTGTAGGTGTCTCATGGTTCTTGAGTTGTTTGTTTTTTTTTTCTATTTTTTCAGTTTAGAGCCAATGATAGAAGTGCTCTTGTTGGCTGACCACACACAATCTAAAGCTAATCCCCACTTTCTTGAACCCACTCTAAAATTACCTATGGTGTGCTTTCTCCATTACTGCAGTGAGTAATTAAACCAAATTTATTTCAATGGCATCTGTGTTCATGGTGGTCTTTAGCTGGAGGTAACTGACAAACAAAACATCAAAAGTACATAAAATACAATAATGTTCACTGTGGCAATGTTTAAATAACAAAATACTGTAAAGCAAACTAAAGGTCCATCCTTTGGGTACTGAAAATAAATTTTAGTCTCCCTTTTAAGGGAATACTATGTACCTTTTCAAAAGAATGAGGTATATCTGTGTGTGCTGATATGGAAAGATCTCTAAATTATGAAGCAACAAAGCCAAGTATAAAAAAATGTGGACATTATAACTCAATCTTTATGCATCTTTAAATGCTGCATAATACCTTTTGCTGTTCTCAACTGCCTTTTAGAAGAAGCAGAAGAAGGAGGCACAGGAGTAGAAGAAGATCTTAGAAAGAAAACAAAGAAATATATTTGCCTTTTCATTTTCTACAGAGGCACCATGTTAACACAATTCAATAAGAATTTACTAGACACCTACTAGACACGAGATATTTTGCTAGGTCACACAGGAAAAGAACAAGATAGGATCCCTGTCATTTAGGTACACAAGATTTGCAAGCAGAAAAATATATGTTAAAAAGTGAGAAAATCTGGAATATGATAAACTCAAATAAAAATGCACAGTTCATGGATATAGAGTAAGATTTATTCTGTTTGGGGCATCATTGAACATTTCATAGAGAAATGGAATTTGAGCAGGACATTGAAAACAGAATAAAATCGGGTGATTGTGATAGAGAAGAAAGTGTAGGTGAAAATTAGTGGACATAGGAAAAGCATTGTGAGTGCTCTGGAAATGAGCACTTCAATTACACAGTACCTGGCACATTGCAAAACACAATGAATATGTGTTGAATAAACAAAATGTGGAAATGAATTAATGCTGTACAAAAAGAAGAAAAGGGGCCAAGGTGACAGTTTGCCCACTCCTACCAAAATGATATGAATAAGAACAACAAAATATTGTTCTGGAGTTGTGAATCCAGCTAAGTATTTTTCAAGGGCTTATATCTGTTTTCCAGTGTTCCCTTGAAGAATTCACATTTTGCAATTTTAAATTATTGCTACTGTCTAAGGAGTTTGAGTCAGATAATTAATGGGTACTATTGGGAAATAAAACCCTGTGGCATAAATTTAAAGTTTCACTTATTTTGAGGCAACTTTAGAATCACCTGACTTATGAGAACACACAGGTCAACTCTTTCCCACCTATCCCCAAAGAGTGCAGGGCAGGCATAGCCTGGATGTTCAATATTTGTCAGATAGAAACTAATATAATCAAAATCCAGGTCCTTTGTCCACAGAATCACGTTTGTTGTGCTCTGTAAATTAATCATTTATGTGGTGACAGGATGAATAATCCAAAAGCTTAGTTCATTTCCTATCAAGTAGAGAAATAATGATATTTGAAAAATGAACACAATAATATTTGATGTTTCGATAATCAGTCTTATTTGATCAAATTTCCCATAGATTCTGGAACAACTAGTGATAGAGGAATTATTTCTAAAGGGGACAGAAATTGTGGCAGCTTTGTCTGCTTTATTGACATTAATGGTACCAGAAAAACCCATTGTATGTGCCCAGCCAAGCCACTTCCTCTCTATCATGTCTCTGGACTTCTGACCCAGCACACTCACACCGGAAGTCTCAGGACTGCATAACAAGCCATAGTGAACATCGAGTCCCCAGCTCAAGATATTTCTGGAGTTTGCCACTACACTGTAATATGTGCCAAGCAGAACCAGAAGCTTTTCGCAAATAGTACATCCCATTTCTTCCTCCCACAGGAGCCCCTAAGCAACCCTTAGTTCATGACCTGCTTGCTTTTCACTGATCTCTTTCTGTCACCATCAGATTAGGTAACACTGCCTCTCAGCTATATGCTCTCTGACTCCCCAGATGAGGTGCAGAACTTCTGCATGCAGCCCAGGCTTGGTTAGTCTGTATATGCTGTTATAACAAAATACCTGAAACTGGGTAATTTACAAACAATAGGTATATAGATCTGGAGGTTAGGAAGCCCAAGATCAAGGCACCAGCAGTTGGGTGTCTAGTGAGGGCCAGGGATCTGGCTCCAAGATGCCACCTTGAATGCTGTGTCTTCACATGATGGAAGGGATAGAAGGGCAAAAGGGCCTAGCTGGTTACCTCCAGTCCTTTTATGATCACATCCTGTTCATGAGGGCTGTGCTCTCCTAATTTAATCAGCTTTTAAAGGCTATACTTTTTAATACTATCATATTGGTGATTAAGTTTTAACATGTGAATTTTAGGGGACACACTTAGACCATAGCACCAGTATAATCCAAGATCTAGAAAAATATGATTAAAAGTGTCCTGGTTGGTCTATACTAGGCTACCTAAAAAAAGAGGAGGGCCAGAGAGGCAGTCCTTATTCTTAAGAACCATTTGAATATGACATCCAAGAACATGAGAGAAACACCTGGGAACATCTAAGGCTGCATGTCCCCCGGATAGGAAACCAAATATTTTGAGAAAGAGTATCAAGGCAAGCATAGTGACCCATGTAGTACACTGGGGTTTCACCCAAGTGGTTTAGAGGCTTAAGCAGTGGCTTTGAAATGTAGTTATATATGTGCTAGCATGTTTTTTTCCAAATATGCATGCCTGGGCTTACCTAGAAAAGTAACCTGGATCTCTGATAGTGGAAGGTAAGTAATTTGTATTTTCAGAAAGCTTCTCAGATCTGATTGTTGTTCTTGCTTAAGCACTGGACTTGAGTAAACTAGAGGTATTGAATATAAATATCATGGTTAGTAGCTTTATCCATCCGCCTGGGGGAATGGTCTGGATTGTGTTTCCCAGTAGAGGGATCAGTACCTATATCATTTGGATTGCTTTGCAAGGGAGTAGGAAGAAAGGAGAAAAGTGGGGAGAAAAGTAGCTTACCACTGGGATGCCCTGCGTAGAGCTAGGTATTGAAATTATAAGGCTCCAGGAAAGATCTTTATCTTGTGTGCTGGGGTTGAATTGAGTGGTCGGGGAGCAAGGGAATGGTTATTTGTGTAACCCCAGTTTATAATTCCCTCTGGATTACAACTGTAAAGAAAAGTTTCTTTCAGTGGTTTAGGTTAACAAAGGCTTTCTTTATGGTGGTGGTGGCAGGGATTCTGTAGCTACCACTAGTGACAATGATATTGTATAATAGAGCTTCTAATTTTTTTCCTATGTCCATTCCTGGGCCACAGATACTAAGGAAGCTGAAGTGACCATGAAAGCTATACCGGGTGATTTGCTTTGGGAAAGATGGCTCCACATTGGTGTGGGAAAACTGATTCACAGAATTGTGGGGTTCTTACAAGGTGTTCCAGGCCATTCAGTTCTCTTATATCTTCTTGGTATAAAAAGTGCTTTTTTCTTTTTTTTTTAAATTCATCAATAAAATTTGAGGTGGTAGCAGTTAGTTACTCGCCCACATTCGAGGTGGTAGCAGTTAGTTACTCATCCACATTCTTGCCACTTGGTTTTTGAAGAAAGCCAGTCTCAAATAAAATGTTTTCACACATATAAACATTTTTAGACAAATATTTATTAACAAAGATAATGGTTAAGAAATCCTTTCTGTAAGCTTGATGAAGTCCCATTTCTCTGTCCTTTAAGATGCTCCAAGTATACCAGAGGTACCAGAGGTTCATGAGGCAATTCCCAAGTGTGTGTCTTCTAGTGGGCATGAGGCAAACAGATATTCTCAAACCAATGAATGGCTGGACACAAGATCTATTAAGGAGCAAGCCTTGGATGTCATTCATAATGGGTTCAGGATACAAGCCTTCGTGGATCCTTACATTTACATAATGCAAAATTGAGAAAAATTCTAATTTCAGTAATGAGAGTTACATGTAACATCTATTGTTAAAAAAGCCATTATTTTTAGTAATAAAATCCATTTTTTTACTTTCAGTATGTTAAATAGATAAGTATGGGTTATCTCCATATGGATTAATCAACATATGGATTGCCATACCAACGTATGGGTTAATCAACATATAATTGCCAACATGGGTTATGGTACTTGACTCAATGCTGGCTGAGCACTGCCAGGCAGTGCATTCTTGACCACATGCTAACTGACTGCCTGCAGATGTGAAACTTAAACTAAGGCCATATATATCATATTGTGTAAAACAAAGCATTTTAAAATAAATTGCCTATATTGATATAGGAGTCTTTTTTTTTCCAGTGAAGCATATACCTACAGACCTAGGATGGAGGCTTGCTTTACTCAGGACACTGATAGACTCATAACTTCTCCTATAAAACTATGGACCTAAAACCATGTGACCTAAAAATAATCCACTAAAAATAATAATTATAATACTATTAACATTTGTATGTATATTTATAATTATAATACTACTTAACATTTATCAAGAATATTATATTTCAAACACTGTGCTAAATATTTTACATCTACTTTCTAAATTATTACAGCAACCCATGAAGAGTACTTTTAATTCCATTTTGCAGAGGAAGAAATTGAACCAAAGGAAGAATACATAGTTTGACCAGGATCGCACAGAGAGTATTTCACAGAGGAGTCCAATGCCCAGACTCTTTTGTAGTACTCTGTTGCCCCAAGGAAGTGTGTGCTGTTTGCTTTTAAGGAAGCTCTACTTTCCTTTTCTAAAACAGTTATCAAATCTGGTCACCTCTCTGCATCTCTACTTCCATTATCCTGTCCTAGCCACCATCCTTTCTTCTGTATAAATTATTGTCATTTTAATTAAAGTCTTCGCAGGCTGAAGATTATTACTGACAATATTAAAATTTTATTATTCTTGTGAATGGCACTTTTTCTGTAATATTTTCTGATTAGTTATTGATTGGTTATTTAAAAGCATTTCTTTTGGTATAATGTTTTATCTTACTAAACCCTGCTATCAATCTAGTGCTTTCTATTGATTCAGTTAGACTAAGTAGACAATAATATATATTTTTTCTATCAATTTTAACATCTTATTTCATTTAAAAGAATGTATTGTATTTGTTAAAACAAGGATTAGCAACCGCTTTCAGTAAAGGGCCAGATAGTACTATTTTAGGTTTCTGAGACATATTGCCTCTGTGTCAACTACTCAACTTTGCCATTATAGTGCAAAAGTAGCCATAGATAATATGTTAATAGAAGGCCATGGCTGTGTTTAAACAGAACTACTTACAAAAACAGGAAGGGACCAGATTTGGCCTACAAGATGTAGTTTGGCAACCCATGGACTAGAACCTCCAGAAAAGCATTGAATACTATAGTGATTCAGTATAGTATTCAATCAGTATTCGTTTGCATCATGAATCATTATCTTGTTTCAGACTACAGTGGCCATGCTCCAGTGTTTTCATATTAAGCATGATTTATGTTTTGATAAAAAGACTCATTATTACAGTAAGGAATTTTCTTCTTTTCCTAGCTTACTATTTTATCTTCATAAAACATTAACATTTTTATAAGATATCGGTACAATTTATAAAGCCGAATAAAATGTTTTATTATTTTTACTTAATGTGGTGAATTTTATCAATAATATTCCAACAGTGATTTACATTTATATTTATGAAGTAAATCCAATTTGGTCAAGGTACATTGTACTTTCGGTATACTGACACATTTGGGTTGCTAAATTTTTAAAGACATTTGATTCTGTATTCCTAAGTGACATGACTCTATTTTCTTCCTTTTTTCCTCCTAGTCTTGTGGAGTTGTGGAATTATATTTTACTAGACTCAACAATTAATTAATACATTTTCTCTCTTTTTTCATCCTAAAAAATTTTAGTTACAAAGAAGCTATAATCCAATCAAATAGTGGTTCAATTCTAAAGTTAGAACATAGTAGAATAAAGATATCTTAGAGACAATTACCAAAATGGTTTACTCTTTAAAATATTTTAAATCATCCATAAAAATTATACATGGTTTGGCTATATTCCAGTAATGGTGACTAAAATAATACTAAGCCTTCCAATGATGCTAGCTAAAAATCTAAATGAAACATTTAAAGCATATACGCATAGAAATTATCAATAGTTAACAAAATTTAAAAAATGAAAAGATTTAGGAGTGGCAGAATTCTAGTTGATAGCTATAAAAACTCGTAATATGCATCATACTTAATCTGAAACACTGTGCATACATATCCTTCAAGATAAGGAACAACCAAGGGTGCCTGTTATTCCCACTTTCAGTTCAGTGTTGTCTAGAGTTCCTAGCCAGCTTAGTAAGGTGGAAAAAGAATAAAAGTGTAAGAAAGAAAAAGGAGGTAACAAATATTGTATTTAATAAATGCTATGACTATAGCATATAGGAAAATTACACATGAATTCAAATTAACAAGACTAACAAGCAAAATTGCTAGATCCAAAGTTGATATCAAAATAAAAATTGCATTTCCATATACAAGCAATAAATAAAAGAGAAATTTTGAAACCAGCCACCAATTTTAGCAGACAATTTAAAAAATTTAAGAATAAATCTAACCAAGGGTGAATAAAACCTCTACTCAGAAACCTAAATACATAATTGAAGGAAATTAAAGGCAACTAAACAGAAGGGTATTCCATGCTCTTGAATTTGAAGACCCACTATTATAAAACTATGAATTGCCTCCAGATTAATCTACAGATTCAATGCAATATCAATTGAAATCTCAGCTGCTATTTTTGTGGAAATAGACACAATGATTATTAAATTTATGTGAAAATGCAGAGTGAAGACCAGTTCAGATAATCTCAAAGAAGGAAAATAGAAAACAGTGGAGGAAAGACTTATTTTACTAGATACTAAATACCACTTACAAAGCTACAGAAATTAAAACAATGTGGAACTAGTACCAGATTAGACAAATTAGCCAATGAGACAGAAGATCCCCCACCACCACCTCACAAAGACCTACAAACATACAGCCACTTGATATATGATAATGGAGGCACTACAGAGCAGAAAGAGCAAAACATGTTATTTTCTATAGACTGTACTGAGACAATTGGTTTTCTCTATGGGGAAAAATGAATCTAACCCTAACTTATACCACATAAAAATAAATCCTAAGTGATAACTGAATGTGAGAAGTAGTGTGAACGTTGTATTAAAAGAGAAACAAGCTATACTAACAATAAAGGAAAAGCATAGTACATTTGATTACAATAAATTTTAAAACTTCTTTTCATCAAAAGATAAGAGTAAGAGTGTGAAATGGTAAACCAGATAGTGGTAGAGAATATTTATGATGCATATACTTGACAGAAGGCTATCACACATAATATTCCTACAAATCAATAAGAACACAGAAACCTAGTAGAAATCTAGTAGAAAAATGGCAAAGGGACTTAAAAGGGATTTATTACAAAGAAAAGCAAAATCACTAAAAACATCATATGAAAAGGTGTTCATTCTCTTTAGACATCAGAAAAATTCAAAATAAAACCACAAGAAAATACTCTTCCCACCTCACCAGGATGACTCAACTCGGAAGACTAAATATCAAGGGTAAGCCAGGCTGTGGAACAAGATTTAATAAAAAAACAAAACGCATCTATGTGCTAAGAGACAAATGCAAGAAAATTCATAGTGATATTATTCATAATAGTAAAAAACTGTAAACAACTCTAATGTCTATAAGAAGTATAATAAACTAATTGTGGCAACTTCATTTTATTTACTAGATAAACAAACTACATCTATATGGAGCAACATGAAAAAAATCTCATAAGCAACCTGAGAGAAATAAACCAAATAGAATATACATAAAGCATGAGTCCATTTATCTGAAGTTCAAAATCAAGTGATACTAGACAATACAGTTTAAGGATAAATTACTTGAAGGGTAAATGTATAAAGAACAGCAAGTAACGTGAGATACCTGGTATACAATCCTTTCCTACTTATCCACTGGTCATGTCACTAAAATTCTCATCATCATTTGTAAAATGAGTAATGTTATTTACCTCTCAAGATTGTTGTAACAGTAAAATGAGATACTGCATGTAAAACTCTGAGTATACAGCCTGGGGGTTTAATTGGTGGTTTCAGTCTCTGAGGGGGCCATTTGACTGCTATCCTTCATAGTTCTGCATCAACTGATGTTGGAAAAGAATCAAAATATGAGCATAATGACTCATAAATCTGATAAACATGGTTCAACCACACTAAAGCAGCATATTCCTAGCTCTTTGGGAAAGGGAGTTCCCAGCACCAAACTTAAAGTCCTTGGAGTTTTGTGAATGGGGAGAGAGAAAGTGCAGGCATAATACTTCGTTATTCTACCTCTAATGAAGAAACAGTGGCCAAAAGATATCAGAATCTTTCCATTCCAACCATCAGATAAACCGATCCCCCTCCCATAGAGGAAGTGTTATATCATTGAAGCCCACCCTCATGGAAGGAGAAGGGTAGTTTCCCCTGAACACCTGATACATACTAAAGACTTACTGCTAAGATGATGATGAGGTTAATGATAATTTAAAAAATTAAAATAACATGTACCCATTCAATAAAAGACCTATAAGCTATAGCTCTTCAGTTTAATTCCAAAACAATCTTAGGAGCCAATTGGCAGAATATTTCACAAACACAAATGTTCTAATCATACCTTAAGAAAGAGCTTTGCACAATCGGTGT
Organism: Homo sapiens; assembly: GCF_000001405.40. Taxonomy (NCBI): domain Eukaryota; kingdom Metazoa; phylum Chordata; class Mammalia; order Primates; family Hominidae; genus Homo; species Homo sapiens. The sequence continues at coordinate 42,242,987 of NC_000005.10, forward strand.
AAACAGTCATCTGGTGGTGAGAGTTCCAAGAAGAGGCCCTACTGAAAATAGCATCTTAACTCCCAGTCCAACAGCCTATTGCTGTGTGTGTGATTGCTTTGAGTTTGAAGATCACGGCACTAGAAAACTCTTGTTGAAAGGGTCACTAACAAGGTTCATTCTTTGCTGTACTCACTTCCACTTGAAAGTTTTGTTAGTATACTAAGAAATTAGCCATTAGAGTGTTTTAGAAAAAAAGGAGCCAAACCCAGGGGGGTGGTAAGCCTGAAGCTGAAAGCTGATGAAAGTAGAGAGTCGGAAAGTTTTGGAGCTTGGAAAGCTGCCTGTTGGGAAGTGTGAGGCCCAGGGGAGGACATCCTGCAGAGAATCCAGAGCAAAGGAGAAATGAAGGCGAACTTTATTTACTTCAGCGTTTGGCCAAGGGCTATTCCCACTTTGGGTTATCAGTTTTTAATGCCTTGATGTTAATAATGATGTAACTTTACATAGACAATAAATCCCCTATGAACCCAAGGAGGCAGAGCTTATGGCATCCCTGGCTTATAATGCACTGCTGGGAAATATATAGAACCCTTAAGACCAAATACCTAATCTTTCCCAGAGATGGGTAATGGAATAACTGACTGGGTTACAAATCTATTTATGGGACATTTTGAAACATACATAGTGGGTTTAAATCCAAAAGGCAAATATAAACAGTTACGATTGTGTGCGTTACATGTATTTTATTCAACCCATAGATTTGTAGGTACAAGAATGAAACAACAGCAACAAAGGAAAAAAAATCAGCAAACCAAAACAATAGTAGAATTTATTTATTTGCCTGGGAACAGGCATTGTGAAGAAATTCACTCAATAGTTCTCTAAGAGGAAAATGTCAGTGTTTTTTAAGTGCTAGCATATGGACAGGCATTCATGGCGCTTACACATCACGACATTAATTGAAACCAGTACTTTGGACAGAATAATGAGTCCCTACCTCTGTTCATAATTGGTTAAAATAAATCCCATTGTTTACTGGTCAGGAAAGGGTCTTCTGTTTGTTCCAGTGAAAATCTGGTGTGCTGTAGTAGCCCAACATTCACAGCCATTAATCAGCTTCTGCTGGTCAGAACCAGTTGCTTTGAAATGCAACATTGGTTTTGATATCTCATAGGAAAGCATGACTGTAAGTAGATAACTTTCCCTATACACAGGTAATTGTGCCTTTCTGCTCCTTTTAATTTTGTTAGGAGAAGCCCCAATCTAGATGGACATGTCTGCTCTATTTGTTATCCAAGACAGAATTCCCCCAAGTCCATCACGCACTGAAGAGTCTTTCATTGTACCAAGGCCAGAACTTCATATTTTCCCTTGTTCCTGTCACTGTTACACCCCCAGGGGCTGTTCTCCTTCCCAGGAACTTCACCCTGTTCCTACTGCCTGTCTGGAGTTAAATGGAGACAAGCATGATTAAAACTACCAGTAAGACAAGTTTAGAAAATGAACTTTTTCTTGGTTTCAAGAACATGTACAAATGCTTTTGATATAATAGTAAGTTAAAGAATAAGAAAAATTTACATGATGTGCTTATTTCACATTGCATGTCTGTATCAAAACATCTCATGTACCCCATAAGTATATACACCTACTAAGTACCCACAAAAATTAAAAATAAAAATAAGAAAAAAAATATCAATGGTATGGTGTCAACTACATGGTAAAAAGACTAGAAGGAATAAAGCCCTGTGGTTAACAAGGTAAACCATGGTCTCTTTGGGGTGGTAGAATAACATGTGACTTTCTTCCACTTTATCATACTCCCCAATCCTGTCCCTTCTTTTAAACAGTATGTTTAGTACTCTAATAACCAGGAAGAGAAAAAGAATCTGATCCAAAAGACTGAAGTCAATTCAGTGAAAATAGGTTGAAACATTATAATTCAGGATTTGGAATCTTATTTAATGATATACTACATAATAGTAAAAGTTAAAACAAAAGAAATTAACATTAATACTTATTTAACTTAAATACATTTATGTAGACTTATAAAGTTTTTTTCATATTTTTTCAAACATATGAAAAGAGGAATTTGCAATGCTGATTTTTATAGGTATTCAAGGATCTCAAGAGTTTTATTGGTCTTGGTAATGTTTTCACAGCATGGTTTGTCATTATCATAGTTGTGTAGACCCATCCTACTTTGGATATTTCACTCTGGGAAATAAATATGTTATTTTTATCAGCTCACCACAATCTCTTATGTGCTACCTATATTTGATATTGTAACACATATTTAGTTCCATTTTGGCCATTAAGGGGTCTCTCTTTTCTACACCATCTTAACTCCTCTGCAGGGGTCCACAGACTCCAGGAACTTAGGTCTTAGGCTTTAAAAAGTGGATTTGTCTTAAAGACATAAGCTGTTTGAATAGCTAAACCCAATCTTTGGTCACAGGCAGGCCTTATTCCTACTGGACATTTAGTGGGTGATAGAATACTGTTGATCAACCGATGCCACTAGATGGGTGGTCTCTGGGTTCTGTTTTGCATCTATTTTGCTCCCTGCCTCGGGAGACTCTTGGTGTCTTCTTGGAATTTAAAGGTTTCTCTGTCAACATGGTCTCTCTCCTCTCTCCTTTCCTTAGAAAATTATTTTTACTCAGACAAGGCATTCAGAAAACAAGATAGTCAGAATACAAGACACTATATTCTGTTTATATATGTACACATCAGAATATTTCTGTTTTACACCTAGACCAGTGACTTTTAAGAGCTAGGATTTGTCATCTATGTTTTCCTGGTTATTCAGTGATGACTTTTTCACAACATCAACAAATGAAGGCTATACAGAAAGTGTATATGCAGCTGAATCCCTCATTGCTTTGACCTAACTATTAGAAACTGCATAATGTATTGATCTGGCATCCCCTCAGCCCCCTGCCTTGTAGTCTCACTTCTATTATGCTATCACAATGGACCATTTGCAGCTGAGTATGCTGTGCCTTACATGCTTATATTCCTTCTTATTTGCTCTTCTCTTTACCAGAATGTTCTTCCCCTTTCTCATCTTGCAAACCCCTTGAAAGCTCAGCTTCAATATCTTCCCCCAGAAAGCCTTCTCTGGATACCCCTGCCTTTCTCTGCGATTCAAGAGCAAAAAGAAGCAAGCTTAGATGGCCTATGAGGAGCTATCAGGGGAAGATACAGTCCCCTTGGTAGCTTGTCAAGTTGCTGGCCCAGCAAGTCTCAGTAGCTCAGCTGCAAAACAGGCTGATCCAGAGCCTGACCTCTGTAAGCTTCTCTCTTCACCAGAATGCCTCAGTGTCATGCTCCCATGTCACCTAAAGGGCCCTGTCTTTCTCTATGAATATGAACAGTGTTTTAGGGACAGAGTCCCGTGGACTCTCCTATCCCACAATGACCAGCCTAGGTGTACCACTCCATGAAAGAACAAGAACTCAGGGGATCATGTAGGTTCTACTACTTCCCTGATTGATTATTTACTAAATTTATCACTAATAAACTCTATATTTCCATCACATGGTGGCTGTGGTGTATGTGCCTAGGTCTATTATGTGCACACCTAGCCTGTTGTAGTCATCACTTTATGCACTTGTGTCCCCCACTAGAATGTAAGCTTCTTGAAGAAAGATAATGCTTTGACTTTGCATCCCAAGAACCCAGCACAGTTCTTACATGTAATAGGTGCTCACAAGGTTATTGAATATCTCCTTTTATTTATTAAACTCAACATGTATTTCTCTCATTTGACTTAGCCAATGAATACCCAGTGCTTTTGAATATCATTTTTGAATGAGGGTCAATTCCAGGAGATTAAGGTAATCTGTGTGGATAAGGGATGCTTCTAAATCAAACTGGAAACTTCAGAGATGTCCCTAATTATATAGTTAATAATTTTTCATAAATTTGTGTCCAAGAGTCACTTTTCCTTAAAATTAATTACATGGTGCCGGTCCAGCAAAAATGACTTATTTGAACCTATAACTGTGTGGCAGGGGTTACATATGACAGGCTTGTTTTCTTTTTCTTAAGACTGAGACTACTAAAGCTCAGATGGTTTTATCTAAGACAAAATACAGGGTCAGATAGAGTGTGACACCAATTGGGAAAATGTCTAACTAGCTTTGCCCATAAAACCATTTTTCCCTCCTAGACCTCCAGGCCTGAGATGGGAGGGGTTGCTGCAAAGGTCTCTGAAATGCCCTGGAAGCATTTTCCCAGTTTCCTTGGCTATTAGGAATAGGCTCTTCTTTACTTATGCAAATTTCTGCAGCCTTGAATTCTTCCCCAGAAAATTGGTTTTACTTTCTACTGCATGGTCAGGCTGCAAATTTTCCACAGTTTTAGGTTCTGCTTCCCTTTTATATATGTTCTAGTTTGAGGTCCGTTCTTTGTTTAGGCAAATGAGTTTAGGCTTTTAGAAGCAGCCATGCTACATCTTGAATGCTTTTCTGACAGATATCCTGAATCACCTCTCTCACCTTCAAAGTTCCACAGATCTCTAGAGCAGGGGCACAATGCCATACGTTTCTTTGCTAAAGCATAGCAAGAGTGACTTTTATTCCAGTTTTCAATAAGTTCCTCATATCCATCTGAGACCTCCACAGTCTGGACTTCACTGTCCATATCACTATCAACATTTTGGTCACAACAATTCAACAAGTCTCTAGAAAGTTCCAAACTTTCCCACATCTTCTTGTCTTCTTCTGCGCCTTCCAAATTGTTCCATCCCTGCCCATTACCCAGTTCCAAAGTCACTTCCACATTTACAGATATCTTTATAGCAATGCCCCACTTTTCTGGTACCAAATTTCTGTATTATTTACTTCTCACATTGCTATAAAGAACTACCTGAGACTGGGTAGTTTATAAAGAAAAGATGTTTAATTGACTCATAGTTCTGCAGGCTGTATAGGAGGCATGGTGAGGGAGGCCTCAGGAAATTTACAATCATGGTGGAAAGTGAAGGGAAAGCAGGCATGTCTTACATGGCTGGAGCAGAAGGAAGAGAGAGAAGAGGGAGGTGCTACATACTTTTTAATAACCAGATCTCATGAGATCTCACTCACTATCACAAGAAGAGCAAGGGAGAAATCAGCCCCCATGATCCAATCTCCTCCTACCAAGTCCCTTCCCCAACATTAGGAATTATAATTTGACATGAGATTTGGGTGGGAACACAGAACCAAACCATATCACAGGTCTCAAAGAGATATTCGTACACTCATGTTCATGATAGTACAGTATTATTTATAAGAGTTAAAATGTGGAAGCAACCCAAGAGTCCATTATCAGATAGATGGATAAGCAAAATGTGCTATATACATACAATCAAATATTATTACACCTTTAAAATAAAGAAAAATCTGACATATACTACAACATTAATAAACTGTGAGGACATTAGGCGAAGTGAAATAAGCCAGTCACAAAAACATGAATACTATATGATTCCACTTATCTGAGATACTTAGTCAAAACTATAGAGATAGGCTGGGCATGGTGGCTAACACCTATAATCCCAGCACTTTGGGAGGCTGAGACAGACAGATCACCTGAGGTCGGGAGTTCAAGACCAGCCTGACCAACATGGAGAAACCCTGTCTCTACTAAAAATACAAAAAATTAGCCGTGTGTGGTAGCACATGCCTGTAATCCCAGCTACTCGGGAGGTTGAAGTAGGAGACTCGCTTGAACCTGGGAGGCAGAGGTTGTAGTGAGCTGAGATCGCACCATTGCACTCCAGCCAGGGCAACAAGAGTGAAACTCTGTCAAAAAAACAAAAAACAAAATAAAACAAACAAACAAACAAAAAAACACTGTAGAGATAGCAAATAATATGGTAGTTGCCAGGGGCTTGAGGGAGAAGAAAATGGGAAGATTTTAGATATAGAATTTCAGTATTAGAATATGAAAAAAGTTCTAGGGATGAATGGTGGTGATGACAGAACAACATCATGTATGTAATGTCACTGAACTGTACACTTAAAACTGGTTACAATGTTAAATTTTATGTGCATTTCACCTACTTGAAAAAAATTGTAAAGAAAAAAAAAGTAGGTGGGAATGTCAGTGTGCAAGTAATGACCAGAGGCTTTAGAAGCATGAAAGTTCAGCTCATTTTCTTCTATAGCCTCCACTATGAGAATCACATGTTCTAGATGGTGGCTATTCCACTAGCCTGGATTCCAGAATGAGAAAACACATGAAGCCAATTCAAGCCAAACCCATTCTAATCTATTTGACCTGCCTCCCTTATGTAATGAAAGCAAGACATCAATGTTTGTGGTTGTGAACCAATGAATTTTTGAGATTGTTTGTTACTGCCACAAACTGGACTAATACACACATTTTCTGCTATAAGTGTTTCTGAGCCAGCTCTGTTTCTGTAGTAGACTTGGAGTATCTTTCCACCCCTATGTATTCATTCAAGGTTTTCTTTAAAACCAAGCCTCTCACAAAAAACAGAAAAGGAGATAACTTCACCTTTCATAAAGCTTTGACTACTATTGAAACCAACAATTGCCAATCCACCACCAAATTCCCACTGATGACTTCACATAATATAAACATGTTATTTAATAACTGCCATATTCAATACCTGTACAATTGCTTTTCTATATATCTTTCTTCATCCACATTAATCTATTTCCATTTGTAAACCCTTGGGCTATGAGATTTCTTTTAATGAATTGGTGCCAAACTTTGCATACGGGTACTTAATGATTTATTTATTCAGAAGTGAATTTACCTCACCATCTATTTCCATCTACTTTTTTCTTCTATAAGAAAATATTCCTGGTGGAATTTCAGATGGGTTAGGCACTTCTGATTGTCCATGTCTAGGCATTTACCTTCACTCTAGTCTGGACTCAGTGAAGTATATTGGATCCCTGTTATATGTCAGAAATTTCATCTTTTTCTCTGATATAATACTACGTATAATGAGGCTTCCAATTCTCATTTCAAAAGAATGAGATCTCATAATTTGGATTAGAGAGCAGAATAGTTTGATTTTTAAAGAAAATTTAATTTTATCTTGTTTTGCTGGAGGCACAGGAAACCGCCAAGTTAAAAAAACAAAACAAAACCAAACCAAAAAAAAAACCTAATTAATCTTCCAGTGAGATTATTCCTCCCAATCAAAACATTTTTAAAATTTGGGCCAAATTTTGAAGGACCAATAAGCCCAGACATAATCGGATGGTGACTATAAGTATAAAAGTGACTGGGTTGCTGACAGGCTTTTTTAAATGTGTATTTGATTCACAACAGAAATTATTTATAAATTCAGCTCTGGAATTGTACTCTATACACACATTTTTTTTTCTTTCTTCATTTCCTTGTTTCTTTTCTTTTATTTTTTGAATAAGCTTGTTTAAATACTTGTTGGCCTTTGAGTCCAGTAAATAAAGCTTGTTCTCATTTGGAATGTACTCAGATATACTTTACTCTTTGCTTAGAATCACTTTAGACAATAGGAACATCATCTGTTTGGTATTTGAATAAAACCCAGACCATGATAAGCATATTCCTTTATATTGTCCCAAAATCTCACCAAATACGCAGTCCTGTGATTATGTTACCTTCTGTAGTAAGTCTCCTAATTTTCCCTCAGAAAAACATTTTGCAACTGGGAAGTTTGCTTCCACCTTAGAAAAATCAGTTTTAACTATTACATTTCCTATTCTTTCCAATTACCATGAATGATAGAAACCTCACTTAATATCATCAAAATGGGGAAAACAACAGAAATAATTATAAATATTCTTATTATTTTAATGTGTAAAATATATAAAGATATTGTATATACACTCTCAAAATAAAAAGATACCTGTTTAAACAATGACATTAGAAGAAATTAATTGCATCTTAGAAAAATGCAACACGACTGTAGCGACCATTTCTATTAATGAAAAATGAAACTGTCTAGACGGAAGACCTTCTAGTGCTTTTAAAGGGCACCCTCTGTGAATGCAATGGGCCTGAGAAGGGAACACACTTCTGGAATGCCTGGGGGAGCCAGCTTCTATAACCTGGACCACAAAAAAAGGGGTTTCAATCAATCAGGAGTAACTCACAATGAAGCTTCATGGCCCTGATCCACATCACGGTGCTAATCTTTTAGGCACCATCAGTTTGTGCTTTAAAGAGTCGTTCCCTGTGCAGAGGTCATTGAGGTTGTCATGGGTATCCTATTAAAATGAGAGTTAACTGCTCTGGAAGCTCCATGGATGACTGAAGGGAACTCTTTTACCACAACGTTGGTTCTAGCGGTTTTAAGGGGATGAAACGTCTGTCCCCTACGTAGCAGAGGACTCACAGATGGAGGATTTAAGTGGTGTACCACTGTGCACCACTTACTGGAATTGTCCTGTCTTTTTTTTTTTTTTTCTTACTGGAATAGTTTCTTGTCTAGAAGGCGTTTTTTTTTTTCTGGCTTCACTATTTTGAGTTGGGTAGCATATAGACCTATTTCTCTAGTCTTCCTGGAGATTACATGAGCTAATTAACGTTCTGCAGTAAATTTCTCATTGCTTAAACCTGCTTAAATCAGGCAGAGTAGAGTTTATTGCTACTAGAACCTTGACCTATGCAATGCTCTCTATTATGCTGAATAGTCCTAAAGTAATAACAGGAGTTTCTTTAAAAAATGTGCTCCCTTTAAAGAGGGAAGATGAAAAGTGTCTGCAAAGAACTCAAAATTCAAGTAAGGAAACTAGTCAGACACAGCACTCTAGTATACATCACTCTAGTACACACAGCAGCAAGAGAATGCCAAGGATTGTAGCTTAGTCAACACGTCTGCAACAGTTATGTGCTGAACAAGGGCTAGTGTAAAAAGCATTGCACTATCTCAGGAAGCCAATGAGAAGAGAGAAGATAAAGAAAGCAGAGATACCAGTATCCAATGTAAGGTAAAGAACTCTGAATTGGGAGTCAAGAGTACTGAATCACCTCTCTTAGGAACTGACTCTACCTCTGAGCCTCACTTTCCTCATTAGTTCAATGTAGTGGCTGAATTAAATGACTGCAAAGACCGCTTTGAGCTATAAATCCCCATAATCTAAAAAGAAGGAGGTACAGCATATATCAAGGAAGACAGAGATGTAGAAGTAGATGTTTCTAAATTATTTCCACAAATATTGCCGTTTAATCATACACATGAAAATGTTGTGTGCATACATATTGTAAATTTTTTCTCAATTTGAATTTTGAGAATCAGGCTAAGGAGAAAAATTGGAGGACAAGCAAAGTTGTTTTTACATCAATCATAAAATCTCACCTGTAAAGACTTCTCTTTTTTTAGTTTTATTTTCCTGTTGACATGTAATCATTATACATATTTATGAGGTACGGTGTGATATTTCAATACATGTGTACATTGCATAATAATCAATCGGGATAATCAGCACATGCATTACGTCAAACACCTGTCATTTCTTTTTGGTGAGAACATTAAAAATCCTTTTCTAGCTATTTTGAAATATACATTATTAACTATCATCACCCTATTGTGCAATAGAACATGAGAATTTATTCCATCTAACTATAATTTTGTATTCATTGATCAATCTCTCCTCATCCCTTCCTCCATCGTACCCTCCTCAGCCTCTGATAATTACCTTTCTACTCTCTACTTCTATGAGATTAACTTTTTTAGATTCCACATATGAGAGAGATCATTCGATATTTGTCCTGTGTTTGGCTTATTTCACTTAACATAATATCCTTTATCCATGTCATTGCAAATAAAAGGATTTCATTCTTTTTATGGCTGAATAGTACTCCATCATATATATATTTCACTTTTCAAAGTGCATTCATCTGTTGATAGACTCTTACATTGATTCCATATCTTGGCTATTGTGAAAAGTGCTACAGTAAACATAGTAATGCAATGTCTCTTTGACATGTTAATTCATTTCCTTTGGATATGTACCTAGTAGTGGAATTCTTGGATAATACAGTAGTTCCATTTTTAACTATTGAGGGGCCTCAATACTCTTTCTAGTCTGCAATTGCTGTACTAATTTACATTCCCACCAATAGTATATAAGAGTCCCCCTTTCTCCACATTCTCACCAGCGTTTTTCATTTTTTGTCCTTTTGATAATAGATATTCTAACAGGGGAAAAGTAATATCTCACTGTGGTTTTAATTTGAATTTCCCTGATGATTAGTGATGTTGAACATTTTTTCAAATACTTGTTGACTATTTGTATGTCTTCTTTTAGAATGCACACTTTTTAATGAGTTTATTTTCTTGCTATTGAGGAGTTTGAGTTTCTTATATATTCTGGATATTGACTGTTTGTCAAAAGCCTAATTTGCAATGTTTTTAAATTTTGTAAGTTGTCTCTTCATTCTGTTCATTGTTTTTTGCTGTACAGAAGCTTTTTAGTTTTATCTAATCTCATTTGTCTATTTTTGCTTTTGTTGCCTGTGCTTTTGAGGTCTTACCCAAAAAATCCTTACCCAGACCAATATCGTGATCCTTAAGGAAAAAAAAAAAATCTTAACTCTGCCCTTTAAGGAAAATAACTGTTCCAAACATTTGCAATAATGAAGGTATTCAACAATTTTAAACAATTGCTTGTTGAAATACTGATGGTTCACACTTAGTTATGATTACCCAGTGTAGCATCAGTGTGGCTTAAGAATTGATTTATTTGAAAGAGAAAACACCACACTCATTATATTATCTCTGTTTTTTTCCAGACTTGAGTTTTAAAACTGATAAAATTTCAGAGACATATAGGTCATTCATTCTTATAACCTGCCTGAGGCTTGAATTCCTACCATAAAACACCCCTGCCAAAAGATTGACCAATTTAAGCTTAAACGCCTGTGGAAGAGAAGCCCTTCAGGAAGATTTTGTACAACCAAATCAAATTATTTCTCTCCATAGTTTTTACCTGCTAATACATATTGAATTATTTGAAATCACAAAGAATGAGAATATTAGTTCTTTCATAAGTCCGTTTTCATGAACTTTCGTATACCCTAGAGACTCTTCCCTGAATGCTTTTGAATCTGCATCCAAAACTAAATTCAAAATTCCATTTGTAGTCTTTAGAGGTTGCTGAACAGGGACTTCTTAATTTTGACATTATTAATACAACCTAATATATTATTAAGCTTTCAAAGTACACTCATTGAGCTCACTTTTAATTGTAATAAAAATTTTTTTCAGATCACTTAGTCTTCATTCCTCTATCTTGTAGTTATGAGATACATTTTTTTTCATTTTATTACTATTATACTTTAAGCTTTAGGGTACATGTGCACAACGTGCAGGTTTGTTACATATGTATACACGTGCCATGTTGGTGTGCCGCACCCATTAACTCGTCGTTTACCATTAGGTATATCTCCTAATGCTATGCCTCCCCCATCCCCCGACCCCACAACAGTCCCTGGTGTGTGATGTTCCCCTTCCTGTGTTCAAGTGTTCTCATTGTTCGATTCCCACCTATGAGTGAGAACATGTGGTGTTTGGTTTTTTGTCCTTGCGATAGTTTGCTGAGAATGATGGTTTCCAGTTTCATCCATATCCCTACAAAGGACATGAACTCATCATTTTTTATGGCTGCATAGTATTCCATGGTGTATATGTGCCACATTTTCTTAATCCAGTCTATCGTTGTTGGACATTTAGGTTGGTTCCAAGTCTTTGCTATTGTGAAAGTGCCACTATAAACATACATGTGCATGTGTCTTTATAGCAGCATGATTTATAATCCTTTGGGTATATACCCAGTAATGGGATGGCGGGGTCAAATGGTATTTCTAGTTCTAGATCCCTGAGGAATCGCCACACTGACTTCCACAATGGTTGAACTAGTTTACAGTCCCACCAACAGTGTAAAAGTGTTCCTATTTCTCCACATCCTCTCCAGCACCTGTTGTTTCCTGACTTTTTAATGATCGCCATTCTAACTGGTGTGAGATGGTATCTCATAGTGGTTTTGATTTGCATTTCTCTGATGGCCAGTGATGATGAGCATTTTTTCATGTGTTTTTTGGCTGCATAAATGTCTTCTTTTGAGAAGTGTCTGTTCATGTCCTTTGCCCACTTTTTGATGGGGTTGTTTGTTTTTTCTTGTAAATTTGTTTGAATTCATTGTAGATTCTGGATACTATCCCTTTGTCAGGTGAGTAGGTTACAAAAATTTTCTCCCATTCTGTAGGTTGCCTGTTCACTCTGATGGTAGTTTCTTTTGCTGTGCAGAAGCTCTTGAGTTTAATTAGATCCCATTTGTCAATTTTGGCTTTTGTTGCCATTGCTTTTGGTGTTTTAGACATGAAGTCCTTGCCCATGCCTATGTCCTGAATGGTATTGCGTAGGTTTTCTTCTAGGGTTTTTATGGTTTTAGGTCTAACGTTTAAGTCTTTTAATCCATCTTGATTTGATTTTTGTATAACGTGTAAGGAAGGGATCCAGTTTTAACTTTCTACATATGGCTAGCCAGTATTCCCAGCACCATTTATTAAATAGGGAATCCTTTCCCCATTTCTTGTTTTTGTCAGGTTTGTCAAAGATCAGATAGTTGTAGATATGCGGCATTATTTCTGAGGGCTCTGTTCTGTGCCATTGGTCTATATCTCTGTTTTGGTACCAGTACCATGCTGTTTTGGTTACTGTAGACTTGTAGTATAGTTTGAAGTCAGGTAGCATGATGCCTCCAGCTTTGTTCTTTTGGCTTAGGATTGACTTGGTGATGCAGGCTCTTTTTTGGTTCCATATGTACTTTAAAGTAGTTTGTTCCAATTCTGTGAAGAAAGTCATTGGTAGCTTGATGAGGATGGCACTGAATCTATAAATTACCTTGGGCAGTATGGCCATTTTCACAATATTGATTCTTCCTACCCATGAGCATGGAATGTTCTTCCATTTGTTTTTATCCTCTTTTATTTCACTGAGCAGTGGTTTGTAGTTCTCCTTGAAGAGGTCCTTCACTTCCCTTGTAAGTTAGATTCCTAGGTATTTTATTCTCTTTGAAGCAATTGTGAATGGGAGTTCACTCATGATTTGGCTCTCTGTTTGTCTGTTGTAGGTGTATAAGAATGCTTGTGATTTTTGACATTGATTTTGTATCCTGAGACTTTGCTGAAGTTGCTTATCAGCTTGAGGAGATTTTGGGCTGAGATGATGGGGTTTTCTAGATATATAATCATGTCCTCTGCAAACAGGGACAATTTGACTTCCTCTTTTCCTAATTGAATACCCTTTATTTCCTTCTCCTGCCTGATAGCCCTGGCCAGAACTTCCAACACTATGTTGAATAGGAGTGGTGAGAAAGGGCATCCCTGTTTTGTGCCCATTTTCAAAGGGAATGCTTCCAGTTTTTGCCCATTCAGTACGATATTGGCTGTGGGTTTGTCATAGATAGCTCTTATTATTTTGAGATATGTCCCATCATTACCTAATTTACTGAGAGTTTTTAACATGAAGCATTGTTGAATTTTTACAAAGGACTTTTCTGCATCTATTGAGATAATCATGTGGTTTTTGTCTTTGGTTCTGTTTATATGCTGGATTACATTTATTGATTTGCATATGTTGAACCAGCCTTGCATCCCAGGAATGAAGCCCACTTGATCCTGGTGGATAAGCTTTTTGATGTGCTGCTGGATTCGGTTTGCCAGTATTTTATTGAGGATTTTTGCATCGATGTTCATCACAGATATTGGTCTAAAATTCTTTTTGGTTGTGTCTCTGCCAGGCTTTGGTATCAGGATGATGCTGGCCTCATAAAATGAGTTAGGGAGGATTCTCTCTTTTTCTATTGATTGGAATAGTTTCAGAAGGAATGGTACCAGCTCCTCTTTGTACCTCTGGTAGAATTTGGCTGTGAATCCGTCTGGTCCTGGACTTTTTTTGGTTGGTAAGCTATTGATTATTGCCTCAATTTTAGAGCCTGTTATTGGTCTATTCAGAGATTCAACTTCTTCCTGGTTTAATCTTGGGAGGTTGTATGTGTCGAGGAATTTATCCATTTCTTCTAGATTTTCTAGTTTATTTGCGTAGAGGTGTTTATAGTATTCTCTGATGGTAGTTTGTATTTCTGTGGGATCGGTGGTGATATCCCCTGTATCATTTTTTATTGTGTCTATTTGATTCTTCTCTCTTTTCTTCTTTAGTAGTCTTGCTAGTGGTCTATCAATTTTGTTGATCTTTTCAAGAAACCAGCTCCTGGATTCATTAATTTTTTGAAGGGTTTTTTGTGTCTCTATTTCCTTCAGTTCTGCTCTGATCTTAGTTATTTCTTGCCTTCTGCTAGCTTTTGAATGTGTTTGCTCTTGCTTTTCTAGTTCTTTTAATTGTGATGTTAGGGTGTCAATTTTAGATCTTTCCTGCTTTCTCTTGTGGGCATTTAGTGCTATAAATTTCCCTCTACACACTGCTTTGAATGTGTCCCAGAGATTCTGGTATGTTGTGTCTTTGTTCTCGTTGGTTTCAAAGAACATCTTTATTTCTGCCTTCATTTAATTATTTACCCAGTAGTCATTCAGGAGCAGGTTGTTCAGTTTCCATGCAGTTGAGTGGTTTTGAGTGAGTTTCTCAATCTTGAGTTCTAGTTTGATTGCTCTGTGGTCTGAGAGACAATTTGTTATAATTTCTGTTCTTCTACATTTGCTGAGGAGTGCTTTACTTCCAACTGTGTGGTCAGTTTTGGAGTAGGTGTGGTGTGGTGCTGAAAAGAATGTATATTCTGTTGATTTGGGGTGGAGAGTTCTGTAGATGTCTGTTAGGTCTGCTTGGTGCAGAGCTGAGTTCTATTCCTGAGTATCCTTGTTAACTTTCTGTCTCGTTGATCTGTCTAATGTTGACAGTGGGGTGTTAAAGTCTCCCATTATTATTGTGTGGGAGTCTAAGTCTTTTTGTAGGTCACTAAAGACTTACTTTATGAATCTGGGTGCTCCTGTATTGGGTGCATATATATTTAGGATAGTTAGCTCTTCTTGTTGAATTGATCCCTTTACCATTATGTAATGGCCTTCTTTGTCTCTTTTGATCTTTGTTGGTTAAAAGTCTGTTTTATCAGAGATGAGGATTGCAACCCCTGCCTTTTTTTTTTCCATTTGCTTGGTAGATCTTCCTCCATCCCTTTATTTTGAGCCTATGTGTGTCTCTGCATGTGAGATGGGTTTCCTGAATACAGCACACTGATGGGTCTTGACTCTTTCTCCAATTTGCCGGTCTGTGTCTTTTAATTGGAGCATTTAGCCCATTTACATTTAAAGTTAATATTGTTATGTGTGAATTTGATCCTGTCATTATGATGTCAGCTGGTTATTTTGCTCATTAGTTGATGCAGTTTCTTCCTAGCCTTGATGGTCTTTACAATTTGGCATGTTTTTGCAGTGGCTGGTACCAGTTGTTCCTTTCCATGTTTAGTGCTTCCTTCAGGATCTCTTTTAGGCCAGGCCTGGTGGTGACAAAATCTCTCACCATTTGCTTGTCTGTAAAGATTTTTATTTCTCCTTCACTTATGAAGCTTAGTTTGGCTGGATTTAAAATTCTAGGTTGAAAATTCTTTTCTTTAAGTATGTTGAATATTGGCTCCCACTCTCTTCTGGCTTGCAGAATTTCTGCTGAGAGATCAGCTGTTAGTCTGATGGGCTTCCCTTTCTGGGTAACCTGACTTTTCTCTCTGGCTGTCCTTAACATTTTTTTCCTTCATTTCAACTTTGGTGAATCTGCCAATTATGTGTCTTGGAGTTGCTCTTCTCGAGGAGTATCTTTGTGGCATTCTCTGTATTTCCTGAATTTGAATGTTGGCCTGCCTTGCTAGATAGGGGAAGTTCTCCTGGATAATATCCTGCAGAGTGTTTTCCAACTTGGTTCCATTCTCCCCGTCACTTTCAGGTAAACCAGTCAGACGTAGATTTGGTCTTTTCACATAGTCCCATGTTTCTTGGAGGCTTTGTTCATTTCTTTTTATTCTTTTTTCTCTAAACTTCTCTTCTCACTTCATTTCATTCATTTCATCTTCCATCACTGATATTCCTTCTTCCAGTTGATCGCATCAGCTCCTGAGGCTTCTGCATTCATCATGTAGCTCTCTTGCCTTGGTTTTCAGCTCCATCAGGTCTTTTAAGGACTTCTCTGCATTGGTTATTCTTGTTATCCATTCATCAAATTTTTTTTCAAAGCTTTTAACTTCTTTGTCATTGGTTCGAATTTCCTCCTATAGCTCGGAGTAGTTTGATCATCTGAAGCCTTCTTCTCTCAACTCGTCAAAGTCATTCTCCATCCACCTTTGTTCTGTTGCTGGTGAGGAGCTGTGTTCCTTTGGAGGAGGAGAGGTGCTCTGATTTTTAGAGTTTCCAGTTTTTCTGCTCTGTTTTTTTCCCATCTTTGTGGTTTTATCTACCTTTGGTCTTCGATGATGGTGATGTACAGATGGGTTTTTGGTGTGGATGTCCTTTCTGTTTGTTAGTTTTCCTTCTAACAGACAGGACCCTCAGCTGCAGGTCTGTTGGAGTTTGCTGGAGGTCCACTCCAGACCCTGTTTGCCTGGGTATCAGCAGCAGTGGCTGCAGAACAGCAGATATTGGTGAACCGAAAATGCTGTTGCCTGATCGTTCCTCTGGAAGTTTTGTCTCAAAGGAGTACCCGGCTGTGTGAGGTGTCAGTCCGCCCCTACTAGGGGGTGCCTCCCAGTTAGGCTACTTGGTGGTCAGGGACCCACTTGGGGAGGCAGTCTGCCCATTCTCAAATATCAAGCTGCATGCTGGGAGAACCACTACTCTCTTCAAAGCTGTCAGAGAGGGAAGTTTAAGTCTGCAGAGGTTACTGCTGTCTTTTTGTTTGTCTGTGCCCTGCCCCCAGAGGTGGAGCCTACAGAGGCAGGCAGGCCTCCTTGAGCTGTGGTGGGCTCCACCCTGTTTGAGCTTCCCGGCCACTTTGTTTACCTAATCAAACAACTAGCTGGGCAATGGCGGGCACCCCTCCCCCAGCCTCGCTGCCACCTTGCAGTTTGATCTCAGACTGCTGTGCTAGCAATGAGTGAGACTCCACGGGCGTAGGACCCTCCGAGCCAGGTGCGGGTTATAATCTCCTGCTGTGCTGTTTTTTAAGCCCATTGGGAAAGCGCAGTATTAGGGTGGGAGTGACCCGATTTTCCAGGTGCTGTCTGTCACCCCTTTCTTTTACTAGGAAAGGGAATTCCCTGACCCCTTGCGCTTCCCGGGTGAGGCGATGCCTTGCCCCGCTTTGGCTCATGCACAGTGTGCTGCACCCACTGTCCTGCACTTACTGTCTGGCACTCCCCAGTGAGATGAACCTGGTACCTCAATTGGAAAAGCAGAAATCACCCGTCTTCTGCCTCGCTCACGCTGGGAGCTGTAGACTGGAGCTGTTCCTATTCAGCCATCTTGGCTCCTCCCGAAATACATTTTTTAACCTAAATGAAAAACTGTATATTTAATCTTATATTTATTCTAATATATTTGATTTGCCTTTAAAATAATGTTTATACAAAGAGATACATATATAAGACATATACAAAGAAAATCACTACAAATCACCTAAAAACAGCTACAAGGAACCTACAGTCTTAATACCCACGAATAAGTTCATGATATATGCTGAACATTATTCCAGATATATCTCTATGTATATGTTCAGTTGAGTAAATGAACAAGTAGATATAGTTAGGAAAAATTAATGGGAATATAATCATACTATGCATATGACTTTAAAATTAACAGTATAAAACATATTTTCTTGAACTTTAAAAAGGAAAGAAAAAATTAAAACTGAATTATAAACTTTAAATAAATATTATTTATACAAGATATTTTTTAAATTAAGAAAAATAAAAGCTATGAGGGATGAAAACCATATAAACATTTTAATATGTGTTTTATGTAGTAGCAATTAAATTATTTGCTTTAAAAGACTATGGAATAGTAAAAAGATTAGTGGTCTCCAGCAAAATGAGGAAGGGAGAGCAGGACAGATATATAGGTGGTGACAGGAGATATTTAAGACAGTAAAACTCTCATGAATGATACTATAATGGTGGATACATACCATTATACATTTGTCAAAACCCATATAATATATACAACACTGAGAATGAACACTAATTTAAACTGTGGGCTTTAGTTAATAATAATTTATAAATATGGGTTTATCAGTTGTAACAAATGGACCACACTAATATGAGATGTTAATTATAGGGGAAACTGTATTTGAGGGAAGAGGTATGTGAAAACACTATTCTTCCTGCTCAATTTTTCTGTAAGCCTAAACCTAAAGTTCATTTTTATTTGAAAAATATGTTAATTAAATAAAAACTAACAAATAAATGAAAAAGGCCTAAGGCATTTAAAAATGAAAATAATTATGTGTTATTAAGAGGATCATGCACCGTGATCAAGAAGAATTCATCCCAGAGATGTAAGGCTGATTCAATACACACAAATTAATAAATGGACATAACACATTAACAGTAAAAATCATATAATCACATCAATAAATACAGAAAAAGCATTTGACAAAATTTGACATCCTTTCATGATAAAAAAAAAAACTCCCAACAAATTAGGTATAGAAGGAATGCATCTCAACATTATAACGATCATATATAACAAACCCGCAATCAAAGTCAAACTCAATGGTGAATAACTGAAAGCTTTTCCCCTAGGATCAGAAACAAGCAAGGATGACCACTTGCACCACTTCTATTTAACACAGTAGTGGAAGCCCTAGCCAGAGCAATTAAGTAATAAATAGAAATAAAAGACATCTAAATTAGAAAGGAAAAAGTGAAATTGTCTTTGCAGATTATATGATCTTATACACAGAAAACTCTAAAGGCTCCACCAAAAAGTTTTTACAACTGATAGATTCAATAAAGTTGCAGGATACAAAATCATAATACAAAAATCAGTAGCATTTCTAAACAATAATAAACTATTTAAGAAAGAAATTAAGAAAATAATCTCATTTACAATAGCATAATTAGGTTAAAATATTTAGAAATAAATTTAATCAAGGAAGTGAAAGATCTGTACATTGAAAAGTATAAAATGTTGACTAAAGAAATTAAAGAAGACACAAATAAATGGAAATATATTTCATGTTCATAGATTGGAAGATTTAATGTTAAAATATCCATACTATCCAAAGTGATCTACAGATTTAATGGAATTTCTATCAAAATCCAAGGGCAGTTTTCATAGAAATAAAAAAAATTCTGAAATTTGTATGAAACCACAGAAGACCCTGCATAAGCAAAGCAATCTTGAGCAAGAAGAACAAAGCTAGAGGCATCACACTATCTGTCTTCAAAATATACTACAAAATTATAGTAATAAAAACAGTATGGGACGGGCCCAAAGACAAACATACAAACCAGTGAAACACAATAGAGAGCCTAGAAATAGTCCATGTAAGGTCAATTGATCTTTGATGAAGGTGCCAACAAAACACATGGGGAAAGCACAATTTCTTCAATAAGTGGTGTTGGGAAAACTGGATATCCACATGCAAAAGAATGAGATTGGACCCTTACCTCATACCATATACAAAAATGAACTAAAAATTGATTAAAGACTTAAACATAAGACCTAAAACTGTAAAACTTCTAGTAAAAAAAAAAAAAGGAAAAAAATTTCTTGATGTTGGCGTGGGCAATGATTTTTTTGGGTATGACCCCAAAAGCACAGGCACAAAAGCAAAAATGAACAAATGGATTTGCATCACACTAAAAGGCTTCTGCACAGCAAAAGAAATAATCAACATAGTGAAGAGACAACCTATAAAATGAGAGAACATATTTGGAAACAATACATCTGATAAGGGGTTAATATCCAAAATATATAAGAAACTCAAATGACTCAGTAGCAAAAAATCAGTAACATATATATATATACTAAAACTATATATATATAGTTTTAGTCCTTTTTGTGCTGCTATAAAGGAATAGCTGAGACTAGATAATTTATAAAGACGTTTATTTGGCTCATGGTTCTGCAGACTGTACAAGAAGCATGGTGCCAGCATCTGCTTCTGGTGAGGGCTTCAGAGAACCTCCAATCATGGCAGAAGACAAAGGGGACACAGGCATGTCACATGGCAATAGAGGGAGCAAGAGATGAGGTGAGGTGTCATGCTTTTTTAAACACCAGCTCTCATGTGAACTAATGCAGCAAGAAGTCACTCATTACCCTGAAATGGCACCAAGCCGTTCATGAAGGATCCACCCTCCTAACACAAACACCTACCACTGGGCCTCACCTCCAACACTGGTGGTTGAATTTCAACATAAAATTTGGAGAGGACAAATATCCAAACTATCTATCTACCTGTCTATCTTTCTATCTATCTATGTAGAAATAATATTCCATTATATTTATATGAATTGTATGTGATCAGTCATTCCACAGTTTTTTGGGGGGATTAGTTCCGGTACTTACCATGGATACCAAAATCCATGGATGCTCAAGTACCTGATATGAAATAGTGTAGCATTTGGATATAATCTATGCACATCCTCCCATATCTTTAAATCATCTTTAGATTACTGAAAATATCTATCATAATGTATGTAGTTATTATACTGTATTTTTTAGGGAATAATGACAAGAAAAAAGTCTGTACATCTTCAATACAGATGCAACTTTTTTGGTCATTAGTTTGGTTTTTGGATGCATAGTATTTTTGATCTGTGGCTGAATCCATGCATATGCATATATATGTATATACATATAGATATACATATATGTATATCTATACATATCTACATACATATACATATGTATATATATACATATCTACATACATATACATATGTGTATATATATATCAAGTAATCACATTGCACAGATTATACAATCTTTTTTTAAATTATACTTTAAGTTCTGGGGTACATGTGCAGAACATGCATGTTTATTACATAGGTCTACATGTGTCATGCTGGTTTGCTGCACCCATCAACCCGTCATCTACATTAGGTATTTTTCCTAATGCTATCCCTCCCCTAGCTCCCCAACCCTGACAGGTGTGTGATGTTCCCATCCCTGTGTCCATGTGTTCTCATTGTTCAACTCCCATTTATGAATGAGAACATGAGGTGTTCTGTTTTCTGTTCCTGTGTTAGTTTGCTGAGAATGATGGTTTCCAGTTTCATCCATGTCCCTGCAAAGGACATGAACTCATCCTTTTCTATGGATGCATAGTATTCCATGGTGTATATGTGCCACCTTTTCTTTATCCAGTCTACCATTGATGAGTATTTGGGTTGGTTACAAGTCTTTGCTATTGTGAACAGTGCTGCATTAAACATACATGTGCATGTGTCTTTATAGTAGAATGATTTATAATCTTTTGGGTATATATCCAGTAATGGGATTGCTGGGTCAAATGGTATTTCTAGTCCTAGATCCTTGAGGAATTGCCACCCTGTCTCCCACAATGGTTGAACTAATTGACATTCCCACCAACAGTGTAAAAGCATTCTTATTTCTCCACATCCTCTCCAGCTCTGTTGTTTCCTGACTTTTTAATGACCGCCATTCTAACTGGCGTGAGATGGTATCTCATTGTGGTGTTAATTTGCATTTTCCTAATGACCAGTGATGATGAGCAATTTTTCATGTGTGTTGGCTGCATAAATGTCTTCTTTAGAGTAGTGTTTGGTCATACCCTTCGCCCACTTTTTGATGGGGTTGTTTTTTTCTTGTAAATTTGTTTAAGTTCTTTGTAGATTCTGGATATTAGCCCTTTGTCAGATGGATAGATTGCAAAAATTTTCTCCCACTCTGTAGGTTGCCTGTTCACTCTGATGATAGTTTGTTTTGCTGTGCGGAAGCTGTTTAGTTTAATTAGATCTCATTTGTCTATTTTGGCTTTTGTTGTCATTGCCTTTGGTGTTTTAGTCATGAAGTCTTTTCCCATGCCTATGTCCTGAATGGTATTGCCTAGGTTTTCTTCTAGGGTTTTTATGGTTTTAGGTCTTATGTTTAAGTCTTTAATCCATCTTGAGTTAATTTTTGTATAAGGTGTGAGGAAACAATCCAGTTTCAGTTTTCTGCATATGGCTAGCCCATTTTCCCAACACCATTTATTAAATAGGGAATCCTTTCCCCATTGCTTGTTTTTGTCAGGTTTGTCAAAGTCAGATGGTTGTAGATGTGTGGCATTATTTCTGTGGCCTCTGTTCTGTTCCATTGGTCTATGTATCTGTCTGTTATGTAAACCATGCTGTTTTGGTTACCGTAGCCTTGTAGTATAGCTTGAAGTCAGGTAGCGTGATGCCTTCAGCTTTGTTCTTTTTGCTTAGGATTGTCTTGGCTATGAGGGCTCTTTTTCGGTTTCATATGAACTTTGAAGTAGTTTTTTCCAAATCTGTGAAGAAAGTCAATGGTAGCTTGATGGGGATAGCATTGCATCTATAAATTACTTTGGGCAGTATATCCATTTTCACGATATTGATTCTTCCTATCCATGAGCATGGAATATTCTTCCATTTGTTTGTGTACTCTCTTATTTCCTTGAGCAGTGGTTTGTAGTTCTCCTTGAAGAGGTCCTTCACATCCCTTGTAAGTTAGATTCCTAGGTATTTTATTCTCTCTGTAGCAATTGTGAATGGGATTTCACTCATGCTTTGGCTCTGTTTGTCTGTTACTGGTGTATAGGAATGCTTGTGATTTTTGTGCATTGATTTTGTATCCTGAGACTTTGTTGAAGTTGCTTATCAGCTTATGGAGATTTTGGGCTGAGATGATGGGGTTTTCTATATATACAATCATGTCATTGGCAAACAGAGACAATTTGATTCCTCATTTCCTAACTGAATACCCTTTATTTCTTTCTCTTGCCTGATTGCCCTGGCCAGAACTTCCAATACTATGTTGAATAGGAGTGGTGAGAGAGGGCATCCTTGTCTTGTGCTGGTTTTCAAAGGGAGTGTTTCCAGTTTTTGCCCATTCATTATGATGTTGGCTGTGGGTTTGTCATAAATAGCTCTTAAGTTTTTAGCATGAAGCGGTGTGGAATTTTGTCAAAGGCCTTTTCTGCATCTATTGAGATAATCATGTGGTTTTTGTCATTGGTTCTGTTTATGTGATGGATTACATTTATTGATATACGTATGTTGAAAGAGCCTTGCATCCCAAGGATGAAGCCAACTTGCTCGTGGTGGATAAGCTTTTTGATGTGCTGCTGGATTCTGTTTACCAGTATTTTATTGAGGATTTTCGCATAGATGTTCTTCAGGGATACTGGCCTAAAATTTTCTTTTTTTGTTGTGTCTCTGCCATGTTTTGGTATCAGGATGATGCTGGCCATATAAAATGAGTTAGGGAGGATTCCCTCTTTTTCTATTGTTTGGAATAGTTTCAGAAGAATGGTACTGGCTCCTCTTTGTACCTCTGGTACTGAAGGAGATAGAGACATGAAAAGCCCTTCAGAAAATCAATGAATCCAGGAGCTGGTTTTTTGAAAAATCAACAGTATAGATAGACCGGTAGCCAGATTAATAAAGAAGAAAAGAGACAACAATCAAATAGATGCAAAAAAAATGATAAAAGGGATATCACCACCAATCCCACAGAAATATAAACTACCATCAGAGAATACTATAAACACCTCTATGCAAATAAACTAAAAAATCTAGAAGAAATGCACAAATTCCTGGACACGTACACCCTCTCAAGACTAAACGAGGAAGAATCCGAATCCCTGAATAGACCAATAACAAGTTCTGAAATTGAAGCAGCAATTAATAGCTTACCTATCAAAAAAAATCCAAAAAAATCCAGGACCAGATGGATTCACAGCTGAATGCTACCAGAGGTATAACTTTTATTTGTCAATTATATATGTACCTCAATAAACTTCAGAAAAAAAGGTTATGTGATTAGTTTTACCACTTATAATTATGTATTCTCTCTCCTTAATTCCAAATTTTTATTTCTTATTTTCTTATTTTTAAAGAATTTATTACATTTATAGTCTATTTGTTGACCATCAATGTATTAGTTCTGAGATTTCTGTTTAAATGAATTCAATGCTTTCTCTCAGGTCTTTTTCACACATCCCCAGATCGAGTTATTTATTTTAAGTTCTTTTAGTTTGTTAGATTTTATTTTCAGAAGAATTCACAGGTGTGAGTTTTCTTCATATCTTCCTTTTCTGAGAATGAAGTTTCTCTTCCTTTATACTCACTCAACAACTTGGCTGTAAGTAAAATTTCTGGGTCACTCTCTTCTTCAAATTTGAGAACAAGTCTTGTCTTTGGGAACTGAGTGTTCCTAGAGAGAAAACTGAGCCAGCCTGATTGGTCTCACTTGAAAAACAAGTGTCCAACTTTC
This sequence comes from Homo sapiens, assembly GCF_000001405.40. NCBI lineage: Eukaryota > Metazoa > Chordata > Mammalia > Primates > Hominidae > Homo > Homo sapiens. Next base: position 42,267,326 of record NC_000005.10, read on the forward strand.
TTCCTCAGTTTTTCCTGGCAAACATTGTAAAAAAAATTGTCTCTTCATTTTAGGAAAAACAAATCATATACTACAACTCCACATATATTTCCTTTTACATTTATTAGAACATCTACTTTGAGGATAACATTATTCTTATGTTACATATTTTTTATCTATCAGTTATAGCATCTTTTTTCTTATAGCTTTGATTTGTCTGTTTTCTTGTAGCCTGTGACAATCTTTGGAGCTTCTAATTTTATCTTTTAATACTCTATCTCTCCAGACTGGTTTTTTCAACCTCAAGTTAGACAAACATACCTTCTATAATCTTCATCTAAGTTATGATAAATATTGACCAAAACAGAATCCTGTTGCAAGTTTAGATACTTTGATTTTTTTAAAAAATTGATTCAATTACATAAATTGTACTTTAATAAATACCATATTTTTCTATCTGTTGTTTTGCACAATGTTGTAACAATAGATTTTGTCAAATGTCTTGTGAATTTAAATTTCCATTAATGGCTTTCTCTGTTCTATTAATTAAATAATCTTATCAAATAGGATTTAATTTATTTTTGGTGAGCCCCTAGTAATCTCTGCTTCCACTTCTAGGTGCTCACAAAACTTCAATAATGTTTCCTAAAAACCTACTTAACTTTGACATCACATGTACTAATTGATATTTTATGAGAATGACACCTAGTTTTTTAGATAATCTGAAGACATTTCCCTGTCTTCAGTCTCCTAATAATTCTCCCATTCTACAAGAAAAATGTAAAACTCAAAACTATAAAAACTCTGGAAGACAACCTAGGCAATATCATTCTGGACATAAGAACCGGCAAAGATTTCATGATGATGATGCCATTAGCAATTGCAACAAAAGAAAAAATTGACGAATTGCATCTAAATAACTAAAGAGCTTCTGCACAGCAAAAGAAACTATCAACAGGGTAAACAACCTACAGAATAAGAGAAAAAGCTCAGTATCACTGATCATTAGAGAAATGCAAATTAAAACCACAGTGAGATACCATCTCTCACCAGTCAGAATGGCTACTATTAAAAAGTCAAAACAAAACAAAAAAACCAACAGATGCTGGTGAAGTTTTGGAGAAAAGGGAACACTTATACACTGTTGTGGGGAGTGTAAATTAGTTCAACCATTGTAGAAAGCAGTGTGATGATTCCTCAAAGAGCTAAAAGCAGAACTACCATTTGACCCAGCAATTCCATTGCTGGTTATGTAAGCAAAGGAATATAAATTGTTCTGTCACAAAGACACATGCACACATATGTTCACTGTAGCACTATTCATAATAGCAAAGTCATGGGATCAACCTAAATGTCCATCAATGGTAGAACGGATAAGGAAAATGTGGTCCATATATACCATTGAATACTATACAGTTATAAAAAAGAATGAGATCATGTCTTTTGCAGAAACATGGACAGAGCTGGAGGTCATTATCCTTAGGAAACTAATCCATACCACATACCACATACCACATACCACAAGTAAACCACATACCACATACCACAAGTTCTCACTTACCACATACCACAAGTTCTCATTTATAAGTTGGAGCTAAATGATGAGAACACATGGACAGAAAGAGGGGAGGAACAGACACCATGGCCTACCTGAGGGTGAAGGGTGGGAGGAAGGAGACGAGCAGAAAAAATAACTATTGGGTACTAGGCTCAGTATGTGGCTGATGAAATAATCTGTACAACAAATCCCCGTGACACAAGTTTACCTGTAAAACAAAACCTGCCCATGCATTCTAAAACCTAAAATAAAAGTTTTTTTAAAAAAAAAACAGTCTCATTTATAAGTTTGTTCTTTATTTTCTTTAAACACCAATGAGGCTGGGCAGGAAATGAAGACTCCTTATTTCCCCCTCAGCCTAAATCGATCAAATTGAAAACTCATTTTTATTAGCCATGTCATAAAAGTAAGAAGATTCAGATTTTGAATCTTCCCCTGAAAAAACATTTATATTAACATCTCCCAATTATATGGTATTTCTTGTCTCCCCACTAAACTATAAGCTTTTTGATAGCAGGCATAGTTGTTTTTTTTTTTATTTGTGGTGGTATTCTCAGTGCTTATCACATCACAGTGCCTTACCCATCACAAATACTCAACAGGTAGTTGTTGATTAAATGAATTACTCAAGAAGTTTGGGAATATATAATATAGGCTTTTTTGGATTAGGCCAGCTGCTGACTGAACAACCACTACTGACGGATCAACTATCTAAGTCATCATTACTTTAAATAAATTATTTTCAAAGCTCTAACCAACTAACTTTCAAAATATAACTAATTTGTCTTCTGAATATTTTCACAAATTTATTTGGGGACATTTGAATTCCCTGTTTTTTCATAATTTTTGCTTTATATTAGCCCAGGGATAAATCAGCAGTATAATAACAGAAGGGATGGACAAGTGGCAAAGGAGAAAATGAAGAGAATCAAGACTGACTGCATTGTTTGGTGAAAGAGCATTCTAACTGCACAGAACTCTATGCTAACTTTGAAGACAAACCAAAACATAAAACCAGGTTGCTAAATAGTCTCACTAGGCCGTCAGACTACCTCAGATCATGGATCTTGGGTTGTGTGTGACTTTCCAACATCCAGTGCTTTTTTACTTTCATGACCTTTAATCTTGGCATTGTAATACTATGCAAAACATTATTGAAAAACAGGATGCTCAAACATGTATTATGAATTTGTCTCGAGAACATTCCAAATCTTTTCTTCTAGGTATTTTGAAATATACAATAAATTATTGGTAGTGTGTGAGGTAATAAATATCCCAATTACCCTGATTTGATCATTTCACATAATATGTATGTATCAAACTATCATATGCACCCCATAAATATGCATGATTATTATGTATCAATTTAAAAATAGAACCCTATATAGTATCCAGAAAATGTCTTTTGGCAAATACAAATTGTAGCAATTATTCTAAAGGGATGTAGCTGTAGGTACCACAGACATGTCTTTTTGAACTGTTGATTGAAGTCATTTGGAATCAGATTTCAGATAGACCTCACTTTGTCTAGAAACTAAGGTTGGCTTGCTGCAGACTGCCTTCCTTCTAAGAACAAGTCTTAGTCTGAAACTTTCATCATTTGTAGTTTCTCCAATATTATCCACTTAATATGCAAGTTCTGAAGTGCTGTCTTGACAGGTAGGAAAGAAGAAATTAAACAACAGAAAATTGAGAGCAAGTTTCCAATTTATAATAGCCTTAGCTAGAAAAGATTGCTAACTGGTGGCTCAATAGAAAAGCTCCAGAACCTAACTTTTCAGTGCCATTCTAGAGCTCACTTACCTCTCAGTAGCAAATGGAAAATATGCTTCACACCCAATTTCAGACCACAGCTCCTTCTCGCACAGAAACAAACTCTTCTGCTGATAATAAAACCAAATTGCTGCTGTAGATTGTTTGCTATGCAAAGTAATAAAGAACATTTTTGGAGAGTTATGAGTCCAGTGTTAAAAGCAGATCTTGTAGCCAGCCATGGAGCCCCGGGAGGCCTCTTTCCAGCCCTGAAAAGCCACCTGTAGAACCTAGTGAATAGGATGGAAGTATTTGGAAATGCAGCTGCAAGGAAAAGAAATAAGCCTGATGACACAACAAGGGCTCTGTGTGGGAGTGTTAAATTAATTGGAAATGTGGAAAGCTGTAGACAGTTTGTTGAAAGGGGATGTCCACAAATCCTGCCAAAGCTGTATATTTTAAAAAGCACAGTTCAGAATAATGTTTATTTTAATGATTATTATTGCTATTTTGTGTTCTGAGTAAAAAAATAAAAGCCAAACTACGAGACAAATTTGGTGAATTATAGATTATTCTCAAAGAAATGAAGCATTGTTTCTTTCAGACCACTTAATTTCATAGCTGCCAGGCTTGCTTGTGTAAATAAATGAGGGCCATTTACCATTCCCACATCAAGGCACCACTGGCTCCACAAGCCATTTTGTCCATAAGTAGGGACTTTTCACTGCCTGAATGATCACAAATTCCAAGTAAAAGAAGGCTAAAGCATAAAGTGGAACAGTAGCTACATAAGGTGACATGCTTGCCAAGCCTTGCATATTTTAAAGCATTATATAGAAAGTGTTATGAGCCTGATGTTCTATAAATTTGACTTGGATTGGTTAAAGTTCAGATCTTAAAATAGGAAGAGGCCTTAATGTAATTTTAATTCAAACAGATACATGATGCAGGACGTAACACTCTATCCTTAAAAGTAGGTATCTCATTTCTGTTCAAACATCTATTTGTGCTAGAAAATTTACTCAACCATTTTTTTCTTTTTTAGAGAAATTCTCTGTCACCCATGCTACAGCACAGTGACACGATCATAGCTCACTGCAGCCTTAAACACTGTAGCCTCCTGAGTAGCAGAGACTACGGGGGCACCACCACACCTGGTTACTTTTTTAAAATTATTTTTTATAGAGACAAGGTCCCACTATGTTTTCCATGTTGATCTCAAACTGCTTACCTCAAGCAGTTGAACCATCTTTGGCCTCCCAAAGTGCTGGGATTACAGCCATGAACCACTGGACCCGGCCTACTCTCTCTTTTTGATTGTTTGTGATTTTACAGACATTGAGCAAAAGTATTATTTTTATAAGCCAGGCATTCTTCCATATATTTTAGAGATAGCTCATTTGATCCTCACATCACTCTGAGGTAGATCGTAAAATTATCTCCATTTTACTGAGGCACAGTGAAGTTAAGTAGCTTCTCTGAGGATATGCAGCTAGTAAGGACCAGAACTGGGACTCAAAACAGGGTGGCCTACTGTTGGTATAGCAAAACAATATGAATAAATGCCACAATAAAGTATTGCACTCCTAGGGTTTCTCCAGGGGGTGTGTGCATCAGAATCACCCTAGAGAAGCTATTTCAGGAGGTGGCCTCCAGCATTTGCAGTTGTAAAAGATCCTCAGCTGATTCAAAAGTACATCCCTCATTGAAGTGTAGTGTAGATTCTCCAAAGAGCCAATTATATTTCTCTCTTAGTTTCAGCCCCTAGCAAATTAAAATGAAAAACAAACCCAAACAAATTCTTCCAGATGATATACATCTTAATACCTATGGCTATTGAAATTTACAGACTGAGTAAATAATAATCAATTATAAGAAAGGTGAGCATGTAATTAATATTTGATTTAATAAATATTTGATTAATACTTTACAATCTTTTATGCATCAATGATTTCATGTGGTTCTCACAGCAACCCTATGAGGTAGCTTGTTGTTATCATGAATAAAGATGAAGAAAATAAGTATCAAAGACACGAAGACTTACTCATGGTTTCATAAGTAGAAGGAGAAAATGACAATTGTTTCATTATTTTAGGTAAAAATAATTTTTAATGTTTATTTCTTACAGCTTTTTAAAAATTTCTAATTACTATGTCACACTTCGTTTGTAAAAACACATCATCTCACTTATAATAAAATATTCACTGTGTTTAAGCAAACAAACAAAAAGCAGGGTGGCCTGGCCCTAGAGTCTGTGCTCCCAAGTACCAGGCATATTGTGAAAATGTATCACCCTATACCCTTGACATGTGTTGCCACGGTAGTCTTCATATCAATATCTGTTATTGCTTTTAATGAATTCTGCAATTACATCACTGTTACATGCATATTAAACAATTCTGTAAGAAGTCTAAAAAGAAGGAACAAGCACAAAAGAACAGCTTTTATTTTTTTCACACTTTTTATTTTCTTGTAGAGATTAAAGGATAGAAGCACAAAAATATTTTAGCTCAATATGATGAACAAATAAAATATAGCTTTTTAATATTTATCAATTTATTTTATTAATATTAATATTCTATGCTGTGCAAACATACAGTGAATCACTTGAGAAGTAAATGTGCCCTCCTTCACCAAAATATCCTAAACAGAGGTTTGAATATTAATTCAAGAGATGCTGTTGAAGGCATTACAGTGTTTGGTCATAAGTTGGGCTCAGTGAACTCAGAGGTTCATATGACATAATTTTCTGGCTATACCCTCATTGGGTATCAGGAAGCTTTCCCTCATTTATCATCTTGCTCCATATTTGTCAGTTTTGATATGTCCACTGTAACATTTTTTCATTCAGGGTGTGCTGGGATATCAGAATAAAAACAACAAACCAAAATAGATCACAAATTCCAAAAAGGTTATGGCAAATTAACAGTACCGTGTTTTGGTATTCTTTTGAACACAATAAACTAGACAGACTTCAACAATTCCTTAGATTTCTCACTTATAGCAAAACTCTTTTGCAACTCCATTTTTGGGACTTAACTGCTGTTGCTAATATGCACACCTAGATGTCTAGAAATTGTAGTGGTCTGTTTTGGAAATAGGCTCTAGTTTGGTAATTCTTCACTCGGAGTCTGAGAGACTTCAAGAGTCTTTTTAATTTGCTAAACTTTGGGCAAATTATTGTACAGTTGTGCGCTCTTATTTTTGCCACCATCAGACTCTCAGAGAGGAGGCTCAGAAAAGTTTGGGAATCACTGTAGTGTATTAGATTTATACAAATATTTGATGTCAGGTTCAGCATGTTCCAGGGTAGAAAGAGCTGCTTCCAGTTACCATGGAACTTTATCTAGAAAGAGACAACTTCAGATGAATGTTTCAAGGTAGTCACATTTACGATGTAGTAGGAGTGCAAGTTCAGGCCCTACTCTATAAAATTCATGGGGAAATGTGGCAAGATGAGCAAACGAATGAAGAAAACATGTGGCCCTTGGGTCAGAAAGACTAAGTTGCCCTTAGAGGTGTCAGTAAATTAAAAAAGTTCAAGGGTAATTAGGCCAAAGGCTCAAATTCCCTTCTTTGATAGAAATATTTCTGTTAAGGAACACTAAAAATCCAACTTTCAGTTGAAATTAACCTTTGAAAAGAAGTACTTGAAAAGGGGAGTCCTGGATTCCAGCAGTAGGTTTTGATTAGGTAGTAGTAGGTTCCAGTAACTTAATTTGATTAGGTCTTATTCAAATGCTAAGATTAACTTCTAATTGCTATCACTCTCAGGCTGCTCACAAATGTAATATTTTTGTATGCTGAGGAATTAAAGAGGGATTTCAAGTCATTTTTTCTGAAGAGTAACTGAATATAAAGGCTCATTTGTTTTCTAAATGTTCTCTAAATAGTAAATTTTGTTACTTTTAGATTTGGAAAATATTTCTTTTTCTTGTATTTTTCACCTCTGAAAAGACTCAGTTTGCTAGGTCTACAGTAATAATGAATGTAATTACATTTCAAGATCTAATTTTACCTCAATGATGTCACAGCATAGATAATGTTTCACAATCTGTTTTGATAACTAGAAACATCTTAGACTCCTTAGGACTCATGAAATGACTAAATTTTGCGTTAAGTGCTCATTTTACTCTGTAATGTCTACCATTGTCCATAAGTCTAAAAGAGATAATTTTGTCCGACTAAAAAGAGACATCTAGGGAAATATTCATGGGTAATTTGGTGCAGCTTTTAAAACCCAACATGTATTTCATTTAACTTGGTCTCATAATTTGAGGCTTCCACTCTGTGCTTAAATCAAGATGACTAGATGGCATTTAAAGAAGGATCTGAGCCTATGATGATGCCAAAAGAATTGTGTACTGAGAGATCCAGGCATTAAGCACATCCATTCTGCAATACATAGGCAACAATCATGAAACAGAATGGCAGTGCTCAGTCCTTAAGATCCCCATGGCCACGTGACTGTAACTGGATACTAGCTGCAATAAAAATGACCTAAATGTTAAATGCCTTTACAAAGACAACCACAAGTAGCCTGGCTCAAATTTCTCTCCAGTTCCCTTGTGCCAGCTCATTCTAACATATGCTTCTTTCCTTGCCAGTTTCCCTATGAAGTCCCATCATCCCTTGAGGATGAGGTTACAGGGTTCCCACAAATACAAAATCAACTAAAAATACTGGTCAATCCCTTACTATAATTTAAACCTAGGAAAAAGTTTGACTAGTCATGGGAAAAAGAAAATTAGATAGAATTACTTTTATTTCTAAATTGTCTTTACAAAATTTATATTTCAACTGGATGAGTATCCATGCCATCAGGGCATTTTCATATACTTAAAAGAGAAGAATGTCTTGAGATGTGCCTGTAGTCACAGCTACTGAGGAGGCTGAGGCGGGAGGATTACTTGAGCCCAGGAGGTCAAGATTACAGTAAACTATGTTGTGCCACTACACTCCAGCCTGGGTGACAGAGTAAAACCCTATCTTTAAATAAATAAAATAAAATAAGAGACTTAGCTCTAAAGTGAGGGAGTAGAAGTCTTAGGAGAATATTGTCCTTGGAAATTGCCACTCTGATGCCCATTTGCAATCTTTAACTTTTTTCTTCTTTTAACCTGCATGCACTCAGCATGCCAGAATATTTTTCCCAGTTCTTCCTTCTCTTCCTTCTTCTCTTCTTTCTCTTCTCTCTGTTGTTCTCCTTTGCTCAAACATGGTTAAGTTTGAACAAAAGGGAAATAAGGAAACATTCCTTTCTTCAAGTCTTTGGTTTCATCTTTTACAATAAGTCTTGGACAGAAGCTCTTCAGAGGGCATGGATCATGTATTCCTAGAGAAGCTACTAGCATTTTTGTCTCTGAAGCGCATACATGTACAGGTTCATGGATTCATGCTTTCAAATACTTTCAAATTGAGTGCCCCTCTATTTCCAGGGATACATAAGGATACATGCTGCTGCCTAAGAGGTGCACTGCCTAATATCTCTTCCATAACATGAAAACCAGGTCTTAAAATAAGGAACAAAGAACAACAAATATAGAATTGGTATGATTGCTTATTTCCCCTCCCCTCAGATATCAAATCTCTCCATGTCAGCATCTACTACCTTGGAGTTTGGAGGACACTGAATGAATGGATGGATGGATGGATGGATGGACGGATGGATGGATTAATGAACATTGTTGACTGAGATTCAACATCCTTGACAGTTAATCCTGCTTCTTCCAAAAGGGAGCCTAAGCTTGTGAGAAATCGGTATAGAAAACCTCAGAGCTTTCTGATGGCATTATAAATATATATATATATATAACATTATAGATATAAATATAGATATGTATGATTATACATACCTGTACAAATATATAAACACATGTATTTTTTACATGCACATTTATGTATTCAGGTATATATAGGCATATATAATTGCATAATAATTTCTAATACTCTATAGTTTATGGAACCAGTTCTACTCCTCAATTTTTCAGGAGTTTTAGGTGACTTTGTCTAAGAAGACAGAGTTAATGTAAAAGTTGAGACTACAGTCTGATCTCTGGGCTTAATAACACAATGCTTTTACTTCTAGTTGTGTCACCTGCATCACTTTGGACAGGTTTTCTCCTTTTTGAGAGAAAGGAGAAAATTCCTGGGGTCTATCTCAGGCCCCCTTAAACATATTTGAGATAAGTTAATAATTATGATTCTTCTAATTTGGCCCCAGAAAGATAGCAGCTGATTTTTTCAAAGGCATGCAGATGATGTAGAATTAGAATTTCTCATGGTGGAAGAAATGGACAATTCTTTGTCACAAAGAGAGAATATTATGTCTGGGACATTTTCACATTTTCACAAGTCTAAATAAAGCTGGTCCTTCTCAAAAGGATGTGGTGTGGAATAGGAGGAGAATAAGTATTTGTCATATTGAGACATGAGAATTGTTGGTATCTCATAGGCTTTTTCTAACCAGCTACAAAACTTATGAAGGAAAAACTGTATAACTCTATTGAAATGTATCTATAAAGAAGTCATTTTAAAGTAAGCAAGATTTGAGGTCTTAAAGCCATCAGAGTGTTGCAATTGGCAGAAAGGTACTGAAACAGTTTGAAATCGCACACACTTACCCTGAATTCTACAGAACTAAATAAAAGCTATCAAGGGTTACTTGTGCAGATTTAATCCTGAGCTATACCAATTTATTGACATCTAGGCTAAAAATAATGGAATCTGACTGCCTCACTGAATCTCAGTCACTGGACAGTGTCCTGTCCAGATATCAGGGCTCTAGCTCCTTAATTCCTAGCCTGACTTCCTGTTTCTCCTATGTGCTACAGCATGAGAGGTCAAGTAATATCAAGTTCCCAGGTGAAAACTAATGCTGATGTAAGCAGTTACATTAAAAATAGAAAGGTGCAAACATGTTTACTCTGCCTGTCCCTTGTCCATCCTCCGTAGTGTAAAGAAATCTGTCTCTCCCAGTACCTTCCTTCCTAAGCAGCCATATTTTGAATCATGTTGCTGTCCTCCTTCCCATTCGGGTTCTCACCCACTCCCAACACAATTTATTAGACCAGAGATGGCAATCTGACCCACAGGATGGCCAACTTGGAAAAACACAAGCACTCAAACACGCAAACAAATGACTGACTTAGCTAGTCAGATTCCCAGTTTGGAAAACTGAATGGAAACCAAAGAAAGAAATAGCTATTTAAAAGCAGGAAAGCTAGACTATACAAGACAGGTGGAGCACTACTTTGTGTTACTAAAAAAAAAAAATTGAAAAAAAAAAACGAAAAACAAACAAACAAAAAAAACCCTTTTTATCTCCAATATCATACACTGGCATTTTTGTAGTTCATCTACTTTTTACTCTGACTGTCCTTATAGTAAACTTTCCTTTTTTTGAGCTAGCCTGAATGGTTCCTTCTTTCCAATCCAAAGATCACTGATTAAGACAATGAGAAGGAAGTTATCTTCCAAAATGCATCTCATTATCCTGTGACTGAACTCTGACTCTAAGAGTGAACCTTGCAGTTCTTAAGTTCCTCCTTCTTAGATTGCAGCCCTTTGAACTCCCAGAGAGATATATGTCTTCTTGTGAATACCTCTCACTCATGCTCACCGTGTGCCCCTTACTCTTGCATGACACACTGTGGAGCAAGTCTGTCTCTCATAGTATAAACCTGACATTCTATTGTCTTCATGCTCTGCCGGGCCTGAATCTTTAACATGCCTGATAGGGTAGCCAGTCCTATAAACGTTTTTGCTTTAACTTTGATTCTTTGTTGCTTTACTGGGAACAGAACTTAGTTTTCCAGGTTATTCTCAAACATCAGGGACAGAGCTAGTTAGAAACTGATTTTTATAGGTCTCATCCCACAGATTTTGAACCTATAAGCCTGACATGGACCCCAGAAATCTTTTTTTATCTTGTCTCCAGGTAGTGTTGACACAAGTGATTCTTGAATCAAACTTTGAGAAATACTGCTCTGGGACATTGAATCCCAAATCCAGCAGGAAACCAGTGGATTATTATCATACCCAGGAGAGTGTTTTAAGTGATCTCTTTCTGGGTCACACCATGGATGTTCTAACTAAATAGTTCTGAATACAAAGATGGAATCATGTTATAAGGTATAATTTCTCCTGTATGTCTCAGATTGTGGACAATTTTTCTGTGCCATGCTTATTGCACACAGTCTTGCTCTTCTCTGGACATAGCGGTCACTATTTCTGGCAGAAGGCAGAGAACTTGCTCATTTGAAAGGTTCCTCAGCCCAAGACTTATATGGTCCTGTCTTTCCCTTCTTGCAGTTGCTAATCATCATTCAAGCATGAACATTACTGCATTTATGGGTTGTTCCTGAATTTGAAAATGTCTCACTTGGCCACATGAAAACCATTAGAACTGAATTCAACTTTCTCATTTCATGAGGTATAATTTATGAAGTATCCATCTGGATCCTCAGAACAGTTTCTACTTAAATGCTCTTATCAACATGAATAATGTGTAATTAGTCCTGTCTGGCTTGAAAGGATACTTTAGTATTTCACAAGAATCTCTTGGAAGTGTATTAATTTATTGTGGCTTGCTCTTCTGCACAAACATCAACAGAGCAGAAAATGTCACTGGGCAGAGGTGGATATGAAGTAGTTCCTCAGAGAAGATTATATTTGTTCAAATATTGCTAATTTTTCCTTTCTTAAATCTATTTTAAGGAAGTAACAGTACAGGTTGACTTTCAAGTTTACAAAATTACAAATGGTGACAACTTTCAAAGAACACATAATTTATATGCCACTAATTTCTTGCCGTGTAGCCAGCTCTCAATTTTTTTTTCTATGTATCCTTCCCAAAGAAGCTCCAATATCTGGTTTCTTGAATTACAAAAGACGGAATCACCTTGGGGGTTCACGTATGCAGCCTAGGGCAGACAGGACTTCCGGTTTCCCAGGACAGAACCAGGAATTGGGTTTAATTTTTCGTCAGACAGATCTTAAGACCTAGTTATACAGATCTTTCTTAATTTTCTTCCTTGAAATTAGAAACATTTTTCTCAACAATTAATGGTCAAAGGGAATGATCAAGAAATAGTGATTTGGGTAAAACATCTTAAATTAGTGATTCATGTTTAACAGCGGTGATGACTGAGAATTTAGTTTAGCTCACTGCAGGATTCAGCCAAATCTGAACAAGTCTGAAGAATCCAGTGACAGGTATGACCAGACTCTAGGGAATTTGAAATGAGATTCTGAGAATTGAGAACTTCTGCCCCAACAGAAGACTGTGGACCACTTTTATCAACATGACTGAGTTGTTTCAGAAAATCCTTTTTTCTGGGAAAGATAAGACTGTAAGCCAATAAATCCCTTTATTGTTTACTTTAGGACATTCCCACAGATCAGTAACAGGACACACTAATCTGTTCACCTTAGTTATAAAGATTTGCCTCATTTATTTATTCTAAACTATTTTATTATTTATTCTAAACTATTTTATTATTAATTTTTCCCCATCCTAATTAGTTCCTTGACTTGAAAGATCTACTGTAATCCATTTGAACCCAGATGCCATCTGACTTTCCCCTTCTGATATGCTGCTAAGACTCTGTCAAGGTACTTTTCACCCTTACTGTGGCATGTTATAATAAATGTAGCTGATTTAATGGGTTTCCTGGTGACATATTAGGTAATTTGACCATTCTTAATTCAGCATAGTTTCTATCATTTAGATAGTCCTTCCAGCATAGAACACATACTTTGACCCATAAGAGATGCTGGAAAATGAGATCTAGCTACGTTAGTAAAAGGAAACCCAGTTAGGTAAGTGCAGCATAACATTCTGAGAATACAGTGGTACATAATCCAGGTGATCAGTTGATTTAATAGCAAAGCACATCAATTATCCCTCCAAATGGAGATAAGAGGATGGTGTCAGACAAGTTCCCAGGTGGACAGCAAGCATAATCAACAGAAATCCACATGGTGACCAGTGAAAAGGAAAAGAGCAGGGGCTGTTGGTCTAGAATGCCAGCATCCAAATCCTAACTCTGTCATTTACTAACCATGTGACCTTACAAATTCAATTTCATGCAGATAATTGTTGTACCTGCCTCATAGGGTGGTTATGAGATGTGTGTGTGTGTGTGTGTGTGTGTGTGCATGCACATGTTCATTCACGTAATAAAAAGTACTATATAATGTTTGACAGTATTTTATATTGTTTATTGGCAAATATCAAATCTAAAGAAATCTTGTATTTGAACAAAATAAGGAAAAAAAATAAACATTTATAAGGTATCTTGGGGTAGGGGACAACTGATGATAGTGAAGAGACACACCATCTTTATTATTTATAAGAAGAATGAAACTCTGAAAACAATTTTCTGTAGGAACCAGAACAAGTATCTAGAAGGCTATTAAGGATCCCTCTCATGAAATGCGGCACACAGCACCCTGCTGACTATAAGCAGCTCCTAGCAGAAAGCTACTGTCCCTATCTAGTTGAGAAGGATGGAGTAGCCACAGCATCACATGGCGTATTATAAATACTGTAGAAATAAACACAGCATCTCTGGGGGATTCCAGAAGTACCTTGGAATGGGGACGATTAGGAATTCTTCAGGAAGTTGCAGACATATATTAGGGGTCAATGCCAGAAATATTTGGATACAGGTGCTTCTATAACATCATTTGTATCCAGACTGATAAGTCCTGAAAACATTTTGAGTATGCAAAGATTATCGACACGTTTATTTAGTACGTTTTAGTTTTAATTTGATGACTACTAACTTTCACATTTTTCATATTATATGTCATATAATTCTCACCCATTGAGGTAGTGATAATTATTATTAGAATTTACTACAGTTATTAAAATGAGAATATTGAAACTCAAAGATTGTGACAGATGTATTTTCTTAAAATGAACACAATGCTATTTCTTGCCCCATATGCTGTCTAGGCCCTTGCCCCACTTCCTGGGGCAAGAGGTGGTGATTAGTCTCTCCCCCTTCCAGAAACTGAGCTGGCCTTTGTGGCTGCCTGGACATATAGGATGAGACAGAGGTGAAACTGCATAACTCCCAAGGTGGGATCACAAAAAGCAATATGGCTTTTCTCTAGCTCTCTCTGTCTCAACACTCGTCCTTGAAATCCAGCCACCATGTCTCAGGGAAGCCTACACCACATGAAAAGAAGTCCATATATAAGTGTTGTAGTCAACAGCCCCAATTAAATTCTCAGTCAATAATCATCAACTGCCAGACACATGTGTGAGAAAACCTTCAGATGTTTCCAGCTTCTAGTTTTCAGGCTGCCTCAGTTTACACCAACTATAACTATCTCCACAAAGCCCAGCCCTAATTGCAGGTTCATGAACAAAATAAATGTTTAAGCACTGTTTTGAGGTAGTTTTCTATTCATCTTAAACACCTGGAACAGAGATCAAGCATTCGTATTTGGAAATCTGAGAACAATGTATTTGTAGGGGGAAAAGTATTTGTATTGAAATATAGGTCAACACAAAGTGCAGCATCTTTCTGTTATGGCTCTTCTAGCATATACTATGCATACCATTTATTGATACTTAGCCTATATGTGATGTGTGGTACTTGTTTATTTTTATTTTTAGGCACTTACATTTTATTTTTCCAGTTACATCATTAGTTCTTTGAGGAATAAACTGTTACTTTTTAATCACAAAATATCTGGATTAATATCTTAAATACAAAGCAGCCCTTACCCTATTTACTTTTCTTTCTTTCTCATAGCATACTTAAATACATTGTATAATTTACTTATTTATGTTTGTATTGTCTGTCTCATATCATGAGCTTCTTAAGTGCAGAAGTCTTTGTTTTGTTCACTGACATACTTCATTTAACTAAAATAGTGGCTGGAAAATAGTAGGCACTCAATATAGTTTTAATAAAAAAGTGAATAGATGAATTTGTTTTCAGAAGACCTCTCTGCATCAAAATAAAGTAATACCATGGTCATCCTTGGGAAATTACTGAAAGAACTTGAATTCTTTAACTCTCAAAACCTTTACTAATTGGCTGTCAGGAGCTTGTTATTAACACCTATCTGTGTAGTTTGAAAACATCTTTTGTTATTCTGTAAGGTGAGAGTAAAAGTTTTTATAAAAATTTTCTTGGTCACAGCAATTTTTTTTCTACATGATTAAAATAAATGTAACCAAAAAGGTGAAGAATAAGGGAAGAATGTTGAAGAAATGTTTGGAGGAGGCAAGCCAAAAAACCGTGTGTATCATGCCATTTTTATTTAAAGTAAATACACTAATTGTAAGTATGTATTTCATAGCTTTTTTCCCTCATTTTTCACATCATGCTAGAGATAACTCTGTTTACAAAACTTACCTGAGACACCACAGAAACTGAGTCATGATCTGCAAATAGACAAATGCAGAGACTGGGATAAATATGAAGAGAAAAGAGTGGGGGGAACTCAGCATGGAACATAGAGGGAGAGAACAAAGTAACATGGAAGTGCCCAGAACCCAAGAAGAAATGTGACTCAATGTAGAATTCCCACTTGTAGGATGGCAGAAGGACATTTAAAAATGGAAACACAATAACATTCATTCAAAGATGTTTGTATTTGTGAAAAGCACACCCCCTCATATGTCTCAAATCTTCATTAAAATCTGTCAGCATTTGCATAAGTCCCCATAGGGTAAGCCAGGA
The DNA here is from genome assembly GCF_000001405.40 of Homo sapiens. Classification (NCBI taxonomy): domain Eukaryota; kingdom Metazoa; phylum Chordata; class Mammalia; order Primates; family Hominidae; genus Homo; species Homo sapiens. The sequence continues at coordinate 42,283,322 of NC_000005.10, forward strand.
TATTAAAGAGAGAGAGCATTTGATTACAAAGCAAGAAAATTCTCAGACTTGGTTTATTTAACAGAAGCAGGAACTGCACATTCCTTTTGGAGTCCACTGGACTTAGAGTCCACTGCATTTGGAGTCCACTGTATATGACTCCAAGAAATGCAGCCCTTGTCTCAAGGAATCCCTGGAGAGAATAGGAAAGGAGTTGAGTCTCACAAAGCATGTATGATTGATTGAGCTAATTCCATTTGAATTTCAAATTATAAGGTAGTGTCAGGGGCTTAGTTTTCTCCAGGTATTATACATTTCTTTCTATTTCCCTATGGCCCGTGTTTTAGAAATCTCATTTTTCTATTTCCATACCCTCTACCTAAAACATTTTATACAAAATTAGCAAATCTGATATTTTTGATAAATATCCCAACAATGGGCACAGTATTCAGTAAAATCTCATTTACCTAGGCCCCAGGTAACCATCAATTCACTTTGCTTTTCTACATTTAATAATAGAAGGAAGAGAATGCTCAAAATTAAAGCTGTAGAAGCCAGAGATTTTCTAAAAGTAATTTTTCCTGGCCGGGTGCAGTGGCTCATGCCTGTAATCCCAGCATTTTGGGAGGCCAAGGCGGGCAGATCACCTGAGGTCAGGAGTTCGAGACCAGCCTGGCCAATATGGTGAAACCCTATCTCTACTAAAAATACAAAAAATTAGCCAGGTGTGGTGGCGGGTGCCTGTAATCCCAGCTACTCAGGAGGCTGAGGCAGGAAAATCGCTTGAACCCGGGAGGCGGAGGTTGCAGTGAGCAGAGGTTGCACCGTTGCACTCCAGCCTGGGCAACAAGAGTGAAACTCCACCTCAGAAAAAAAAAAAAGGGAAAAGAAAAAGAAAATAAATTCTTCCTGCTATATGCCAAGTCTTAGGGAAATAGTTGTAAATATGGTAATTGTGGATTCTAGACACATGAAGTTTACTAGCCATTGCAGAATTTGTCTATCTTGTACAACTTCAAACCTAGGATTGTACAAAATACATCCAAAATACTCCATCAATGGACCAATTAATTTTTATTTCTACTGAGACAGAAAGAAAAATCATTGAATGAATTTAATGCAGAAATAGTATTTTTAAAAGCTTTAGAGACCAAGTCTCAAGCTTAACATTTCAATTTTCATTTCACTGAAGAGTCACAAAAGACAAAAATAATAAGTTTAATTATTATTAGAATTGTGTAGAAAAGATAAGAATGTACCATTCTTTCAAGTTACCTCTAATTAGAAAGTTACCTTTCAAATTAAGTACTGGCTACTTAACTTGTGGACCAGTACAAAATAAAAATACAGGGATTTTGTTCAAAAAACCTTATTTAAAAATTTAAGACAGTGACAGCAGAGCATTTAAGAAAGCAAATAGTCCTTCTAAGCACAGAGCCCTAATGCAAATGCAGAGCTTGCACAACCATGAAGCCAGCTCTGTCTCTAAGCTCACAATTCATTTAATCTGTTCTAGCATTGTATTTGATGTTTAACAAAGCAAACACCTAATGGAGGGGAAAATCTAGCTGTAACCAAAAAGGCAAGTAAATAGTAACCAAAAAGGCAAGTAAATAGTAAGTAAGCTTAGGAATGCATTTCATGGACATGTAGAATCTTAAGGTTTAATGGGTAATCAGTCTGCAGATACTTACTCTAAAACAAGAAGGAATTATTAAGTATATCCCTAAATGCAAATGAACCTAATGTATTTTACTTTGTACTAAAAAAAGAAAAATTATTTTGGAAATAGAAGTTTGTCAGACAAATTCATAACACAAGAAGCCATCCTGTAAGAGAAGTTGATTGTTAACAAGCAAGGTTTCTTAATTAATTATGGGCAATTTACTGTGTAATTGGATTTAGGTAATTGCACAAAACAGACTGGAAATAAGTTGTACTTAAGTCTTTTTTTTTTTTTTTTCATTTTAATTTGTGCACATTTTGTGGTTACTCCGTCTATAAATAATTCATTTCCTATCACTCAGGGCTTCAGTTTCTTCATCTGAAAGATGAGAAGTTTCAGCTAATAGAGTTCTGAATGCTTTCCCAGCCCTAATTAAATTCAGCATTATTTGTTAGTAACACACTGCCTACGAATTCCTGCACTGCAGAATGTATGAAGAGTAAGCCTCTGTTTCTTAGCACAGACAGTTTATAATCCAGAAGGCAAAGCAAGCAAGGCAGTCAGAATTATAATGCAAGACAGCTGCAAAATTCTTAATCTTTTATTTTAACAAAATAATCTTACCAAAGATACACAGAAACTTTCAAGGTTTGGGAAGGAGGAAAAATTAATAGGCTGGAAGCATCTAACACAAATCAGTATCCTTAAAAAATGTAGATGTACATGCCAGAGGCTTGAATGAGGTTTTCATGCTAGTTTATAGACAGCGTTTGTGCTGTTGTGTTGTCATGCATACAAATACCCAGAGTCAATCTTACCTTACAAGTAAGCTTCCTATATATTAGGATGTGTTGATGAAATGCATAACATGGCCACTGTTTCAGAACACATTTATCACTGACTATTGCAGTAAAATGACCATAAGACAAAACGCTGACTTTCTTAATCCACTTGTTTTGTACCCTGGGAAATTTTATTTGGTTGGCAGCTTTTTCAACATACATTGCTTTCATCTCACATATTTGGTCCAGCTGATTGAATCAGTGACATAGGATCATCATTCATCTTTTAATAAACAATGAAAATCAGTAAGATTAAAAAGTGACAGCTTGAAACAGAGCATTAAATAGATCTGAAGTAGCAGAAATTGAGTTATCATGGCTTTAACTCTTTAAAGATTTTCAAAGGTCTCCAGTCTGTCTTTGGGGCCCCATTTCCTGGCTTGTTTAAAATGAAACCAAGGATTTTAAATGATGTGCCAGAGAGGCCAAGAGTCAGTACCTGAACTAGCTGGGCCTGTGAGCAGAGAGAGAGCAAGAGACAGCAAAAGCAATATATGTTCTGAAGTTCAAAAGAATTAAGAGTAGAATTTTGATAAAAAATTAAATTCATAAAAATGTGCTTATTTGGTTTTAGGATTTGAAACGTTACGTCCCTAGTTATCAACTTGAAAAATGTTGTAATATTGAATATTCTAGTTTGAGAACCCATGAAAATAGACACTGGAATAGAGAATTGTAAGCTGGTGGCTTGTTGTAGAGTGTCTTAGAGAAGACAGAGAAGGAAGCAGGACTAGGCTAGGGGAGAAGTCAAACTGTGATGTCTTTGCAACAGAGGCCTCAGCCATTCCCACATGGAGTCCAGAGGCTGGTTTGGTTCTTCACATATGTCCCAACTTGAAGGAAAAGGCTAGGCCTTTCTGCCCCGGGAAGGCCTCAGCTGCAAGCAATCAGCAGGCAACACTACTGACAGGTGGGGGTATGGGTGCCTTGGTACTAAAGAGGGGATCTGGGCCATGCATCCCTGCATCCATGATATTGTTGGGCTCTGTGTCCCTACCCAAATCTCATCTCGAATTGTAATCCCAACATGTCAAGGGAGAGATGTGTAATCTCCACATGCCAAGTGAGGGAGGTGATTGGATCATGGGGGCAGTTTGCCCAGTGCTGTTCTCATGATAGTGAGTGAGTTCTCACAAGATCTGATGGTTTTATAAGCATCTGTCATTTCCCCTGCTTGCACTCACTCCTTCCTGCTACCTTGTGAAGAAGGTGCCTGCTTCCTTAGTCTTCTACCATGATTCTAAGTTTCCTGAGGCCTCCCCAGCCATGTGGAACTGTGAGTCAATTAAATCTCTTTCCTTTATAAATTATGCAGTCATGGGCATTTATTTATAGCAGTGTGAAAATGGACTAATACAATCCATTAGAGTTGTGAAAGAAAAATATCTTGGGTCCTTTCAAGCTGGGAACCGCTCAGGGCAAATCTGCCTCCTATTCTATTCAAGTCAGCCCTTTGCTCACAGAGATAGATGCATTTTCTGATTGCCTTCTTTGCAAAGACTTATCAAAAACTCAAAAGAATGCAACCATCTGTCTCTTACCTACCTGTGACCTGGAAGCCCTCGGTGGGGGGGCCTTGCTTTGAGCTGTCTCTGCCTTTCTGGATGGAACTAGTAAACTTCTTACATACTGATTAATGGCTCATCTCCCTAAAATGTATAAAACCAAGCTATGCCCCGACCACCGTTAGGAAACATGTTGTCAGGACTTCCTAAGGCTGTGTCACGGGTGCGTCCTCTACCTTGGCAAGATAAAATTTCTAAATTAACTGAGACCTGTTTCAGACTTTCTTGTTTCAGAGTTCACCCATTGCATTGTTCAGATCCACTTGCTTCATCCCATCTGGGAATTGCTCCTCTAGGATTGAGGTCAATCTCTCTTCCTGGGAAAACTTATACAAGGAAGGTTAGTAGAATGAACTACAGCCTCCATAATTACAACTGGTCTCAGGGCTATAAATAATACTCATCATTTTCTTGCTCAACTACCCACTTTAGATTACTCTCACCCTCATCTAGCACCTCTGCTAGTCTGAAAGATTTACCTGAGGAGGTGACCCTGACTCTCATCCCTAAGTTTTACAGCCCCATGATCTTTTCAAAACATTGTTTTTGCCCTTGTCTATTTACTATCAAAATTAGAAAAGAAACAAGAGAAGCAATTAACTAGTTAATCCTGGTTAGAAGAGAAGCAATTAACTAGTTAATCCTAGTTAATCATATGCATGCCAAATATATATTTTTCCCTGCCCCCATTGATTAACAACAGCCCTGTCTCTTGATGATTACAGTCAATTATCACAATTAGGATAGTGTTTCTTCTCATCAGCTGGTGGTTTTGGTACAAGGGGGCCAAAGTGTCCAGGGAGTACACTAGCTGTGTTTTCTCACTGAAGCCTTTTCCCTCATAGAACCGGATCCTTTGGACCAGTAGAGACTTGCAAAGAAGAAAAGCACAATTATCCAAGTGCATCTCTGAAATTAATGGTAGCACAAAGAAGGAATAAGAGGAAGGATTAGTACAGAGATTGTTTGTATATAATAATATGAGTATTAGTATAAAATAAAGTCAAAGATTGATAGAAAAGTTAAAATGATTATTTTAGCAATCCAGGCAAAAAAACGATGAAAGCCTAAAGTAGGGCAGCAGCAATGTGGAAGAATGGTTGGCATTTGAGAGTTTCACTCGCGTCCGTGTGAAGAGACCATGAAACAGGCTTTGTGTGAGCAATAAAGCTTTTTAATCACCTGGGTGCAGGCTGGCTGAGTCCAAAAAGAGAGTCAGTGAACGGAGATAGGGGTGGGGCTATTTTATAAGATTTGGGTAGGTAAAGGAAAATTATAGTCAAAGGGGGGTTGTTCTCTGGTGGGCAGGAGTGGGGATCACAAGATGCTCAGTGGGGGAGTTTTTGAGTCAGGAAAAGGAATTTCACAAGGTAATGTCATCACTTAAGGCAAGGACTGGCCATTTTCACTTCTTTTGTGGTGGAATATCATCAGTTAAGGCAGGAACAGGCCATTTTCACTTCTTTTGTGATTCTTCAGTTACTTCAGGCCATCTGGGCATATACGTGCAGGTCACAGGGGATGCGATGGCTTAGCTTGGGCTCAGAGGCCTGACAGAGACATTTTTAAAAATGGAATAAACCAGATTCATTCATAGAAGGAGGGTCCTAAGATAATTCCCATGATTCTAGCTTAGATTATCACAAACAAAGATGGAAGATACAGGATAAAGAGTAGATTTGGTCCTTTATTTGGTTTGTTTTCAAGGTGCCACAGGAGACTCTTGATATTTTAGTGTCCTATACTGATCAGTGAAAATGGGGAACCCCTTGATTCTTTGCTAGTTTCAAACTTCAGGCCTCCTTTACATGACCCACACATGAAAGTTAGCTGTGTCTGAATTTCAGAAACCGTAACAAGCATAACTTCATATTTTATATCTTTTAAATTTTCTATTTAGATTACATTCCTATAGAAATTAATTTAGAGTAAAACTAACATGTCAGCACTATGATGACTACTCCAAAATTTATATTTCTATCCTGTTTTTTCTTCCAGCTCCAACTGCATATTCCAATCTGCCTGCTGGACATTTTCTCATGGGAAGCCTGCCGGAGTCTCAAACTCAGCACATCCAAATTCAGTTCAGCTTCACCTCTGCTACCTCTTCGCCTCATCTGCAAGCAGGCTGGAGCTCTTTTTCTGATAAAGAAACCACCATCCTCTGAGTCAGGTCAGCAAACTACAGCCCACAGGCCATGTTCAGCCCACTGCCAATTTTGTAAGTAGAGTTTTATTGCGATATAATCCCACTAATTCATTTACATATTATCTATGGCTGTTTTAAAACAACCGTGGCAGAGGTGAATAGATGTGACAGAGGCTACATGGCCCACAAAGCCTAAAATATTTATTATCTGAACCTTTACAGAACAAGGTTGCTGATACCCACTCAAAATCAACTAGGATTAATTTCTCAAAATTAAATTAAACTTACCACCCCCTTCTCATCTCATCAGCTCCCTGCCCCTTTCAGTGTTACTACTACCGGTGTTTCTCACAATTGTCTCCCTGATTTAACCAAGTCTAACATATTTCTGGACATTCTGAAGACTGTTAACATGGTTTCCCCCAGCTATACCCTTGCAAATCTGTCCAGCTTCCATCTCTATTCCTGGTGATGTTACAATTATCTAAAAAAAAAAAAAAGAGAGAGAGAGATAATGAGACTAGAGGCAGGGAGGACCATTCTAGAGGCTTTGTTCAAGCTATTTTTCTACCTATTATCAGCCCCAGCTTTTAATCACTGTTCTATGCTCAGCTATGACACCCTCTCTGATTTCTCCCAGTCAAGTCTGCCCTCCTTCCGCTGGACTCCGATAATAATCCTAATCTCTCCCATAATCCTAACCTCTGCCATTTATCCCTTTCTAACTTGGGTGGCAATACTGCAGAATAAAGGTCCAAGATTTGTTATGAGTAGATTGAGTACAGGTAGTAATTCTCCTCCTTTACTGCCCAAGGGATGGTCAGCAGTCCCCTCCTTTTCCTAGGTCTCAGATTCTTCACATACAATTTGGTAACACCTTAGGAAGCAGATGAAGCTACTGTAAACTGTAAAGTGCTAAAGACATGAAAAATAACAGTGGTGTGGTATTTAGTAGAGATTTATAACTGGAAGAAACACTTCAGGTCCTATAAGTTTTCAGAGTGAAAACTTTGTTGTTTGTGTCCATTACTGGACTATGAGATAATAAGAGGGCAGACAGCAATTGTTCTTTGTGCATTTTTATATCTTCAGCACATAGAGTACTCAGTACATGGTTATTATATCAAATTGTCCCATTGAAATGAATACAAGATCTGATCATAATAGCACTGATTATTTGTAATACATGCACCAAAAATTATGGTTCAGCTCATATTATTTCTCTCTCAATAATGACTTTAGAATATTCAAGATACTCAAGGATATTCAAGTGGCATCTTAAATTATATTCTCATTGATCAAAATAATTTTGAAACTCCTCTTTTGAGTCCCTTGACAAGGATATGGCACATTTTTATAAGACTATCTTGAGTGTCAGAAAATATTCATTCTATGAGGATGAATTTATTTTTAGGAAAATAACAAAAATGATTACAAGCCAAGTATGATTAATAAGGTGATTTATCACAATACATGATAATAAGTTAGTTAGAAATGACACTTTAGAATGAAATAATAAAAATGATATTATTTCTTGCAAGCCTGATTGAAAAGCAAGTCCAATACAGAAACATTTAAACGTTTGAAGCAACAGAAACAACATTGCAATAAGCACTTATTTTGAAGCATTCAGGATTTCTTTGGAAGGCTAAGAAGCATCTTTGTAAAATTCTAATCCACTCCTTTAGAGTCACTCATCTTTCTGCTAATGAATAATCCATGATAGCCTGCTCCAACTGACAAAGTTGACTAGATGGAAATCATCGAGTACAGAAATTTTGGTAAGGAATCTGGTCTGGCCTAACATCGCAGAATTTTCAGATAATTTGATAGTAGGCAAATATTGACTTTGTTTTTAAGTGCATCTCTGGGCCTAATTCTCAGATCACAAACCCCTCCTCCATCATGATTCCTATTGGTTCTCATAACCCTCTCACAGTGCTAACATCATAATTTATATCTCTGTAGCCAGGAATCTCTGACATATCTCTCTGTACCTTCGAGTCTTCCAGATATTTTTCTGCCCAGTCCTGACTTCTCTCTAGAGCCATACTGTCCAATACAGGAGTATAGTAGACATCCTCCCCTACAAGGATGTCTGCATCTTCATCCTCAGAATCTGTGACTACATTTTGTTACATGGCAAAAGGGACTTTGCAGATGTGATTAAGGACCTTAGGATGAGGGGGAAATTATTCTGGATTATTCAAGTGGGCCTACTGTAATCATAAGCATCCTTACAAAGGAAAAAAAAAGAGGCAGGAGAATTAGAATCAGAGAAAAATAATTGGGACAATGAAATCAGACATTGCAGTGATGTGGCCATGAGCCAAGGAATGCGGGCAGCCTCCAGAAGCTGAACAGATTATCCCTGAAGTCTCTGAAAAGAGCACAGCTCTGCCAACACCTTGATTATAGCATCATAGGACTCATTTTGGACTTCTGACCTCAGAACTGTAAGATAATATATATGTGTTGTTTTGAGTCACTGCATCCATAATGATTTGTTATAGCAATAATGGGAAACTAATACAGGCAGCCATTGTTCTCATGGTGCTATTTAAATTTAAATAAATTATAAGTTTATAAAATTAAATCCCTCACTCTAGTTATATTTCAAGCCCTCAATAGCAACCTGTGACTGATGTCTACCATATTGGACAGCACATATCCAACAGCATTGAATTGTGCTGTTATAGAGGTCACTTCGATTTATCCCAGATATCTCACCACTACTATAGATTTAATAAAGCTAAACCAAATGCCTCCCCTTTAATTTTAAACCTCCTTGTCAATAGTGGTGTCCCAGAAGGCTATCCTAAGCAGTAGACACTATCTTGGCTCAAAAAGTTGTTTGTTTGTTTGTTTGTTTGTTTTTGAGACGGAGTCTCACTCTGTCACCCAGGCTGGAGTGCAATGGTGCGATCTCAGCTCACTGCAACCTCCGCCTCCCAGGTTCAAGCAATTCTTCTGCCTCAGCCTCCTGAGTAGCTGGGATTACAGGTGGCCGCCACCACGCCTGGCTAATTTTTTGTACTTTTAGTAAAGATGGGGTTTCACTATGTTGGCCAAGCTGGTCTCGAACTCCTGACCTCATGATCCACCCGCCTTGGCCTCCCAAAGTGTTGGGATTACAGGCATGAGCCACTGCGCCTGGCTTGAAAAGTTATTTAATGCAGTTTTTTTCAGGAATCAAATGACAGCCTCAGATAAAAAAAGGAAGAGGTGGCTCAGTTTCACTGCAAGTTGTGCTCTTTATTATCATTGGCCACAGAAAAACACATTATAAAATCATAGAGAATGTTCAAGTGGGGTGGAACTTTACAGATCTCATGAGGAACCTCTCCTAGCTTTAATTTCAAAGATTTTTCTTTTCCTTTCTATACTGCTGTAAGAGTTGGGTTGTTTGATTATTGATGTGCTGACACTGTTTTTAAAGCAGAACATGGGATCAATTTTATTTGTGATAATATATCTTGATAAAATATAAGGATACAATATTACAATATCTTGGTATCCTAAGACTAAAGGGAGACGTGATGGACTTTTGATTATCCAATTATGCTCTGAGTAGAATAAAAACTGGAATAACAATTTCTGGAATTATTTTCCACTGCATCCTACAAAAAAGGAACCTTTGTCTGATTAGAATTTCTTTGATGTGTGAGAACACTTTACATTTAAAAAAGTAGCTGAGAGCCATTAAGCAGTAGCTGAAACCAACTAAATTTTATTCTCATTTAATATGTTTCTGCCACAGGACACTTTCTCCCCACAGTAAATACAAACTAGGAAGACTTGCTGTCTTAAGAGAAATAAGACAGTCAAATTCATTCACAAAAACTGAGTTGAACATGATGTGCTAAGCAATGGAAAACGTTCTTTGAAAGGTTATGAAATACCTAGTTAAGTAGGACAATTATATAAAAAGTTTATAGAAATCCATATTGTAAGCCTTATTAATACAAACATTTGTCAACACACATATGATTATGGAAAAAGACCATTACTGTAAGTACCTACTCCTAGTTCATCTATTTTTATATAGGTATAGCACTGTCTTGTGACCTTTAAAAATTTCTTTAGACTTTGTCACTTAAATAGTATTTTCAAATAGCATTTTCCAAACTATCGCCACATATTTATCTTACAATAAATTCATAGTTTTTTCTTTTAATGGAAATAAATGTCATTGCACCTTTGTCCTCAAATCTGTTCTCTGCACTCTCCTTGTTCCAATATGGACTATTGTATACTCTGTTCCCCAGGCTGTCTTACCTTCCACTTAAGTTTGGCCACTCAGAGGCTGTGGCAGGAGATTGCAGGGTTGGAGGAGGGGAGAAACCACACTATTTCTCTACTGCCCTCTGCTTCAGGTGACATATCTACCAGTGGCTGTGTCTTTTTCATTTCTAGTATCTAGCTACCCCGTGTTTTCCATGAGATACTCCTGAATCATTTAAATAAATGCCTACTGAAGTTTGAGTGTATTTTTATCACCAGTTATTGCAATGACCTTGTCCTGGACACTTTCTTAATTTTTCTAATGCTTAACCATACTCCAGTGTATCATCAGACACTCACCTTCTTCAGCAGGAAGTGATTTATCATTCTCTGGCCTTATAGTAAATGGCAAGAGGAAAAGTTGATTTACCCTATGAACGTCAGTTCATGTATTTTCATAACAAGCTTATTTTTCTAACTCTGAGCTAAAAAAAAATGGTTCCATCTTTCATGTGTTCCCATATCTTATAATTCCCCAATGACTCTTCATAGAAGACTATTGGAGAAAGCCTATTATAATTCATAATGGAGCTGAGGAAGAAAAATTGGAAGTCATTAAATAGCCTTAGTATAGGTCACATGAGTGGAGATGAATTTCTAAACTCTTGAAGAAAAGCATAAAACTAGTATTTTACATTATTTTTTGTTTATATGTTTCTAGGAGCTATTAGTGCCTGGACAGGATCAGTTGCCTTCAATAATTGTTTTACTACATCAGTCATAGGACTCTGCCAAAATGCTTTCACCTATAAAAAGTGATCACTAGTTGTAAGGATCCTTTTCTCAGGCCCAGGCAGGGGTGAGGCTTGAGGGACAGCATTATCCGAGTTGAAATACATATGCAGATTCCTAAGTATTTCAAGGCAAAGTAGAAGGCAAAGGTGGTTCCTTTGAACTAGGTGTATATCTCCTGCGGATATGATAAAAGAGATAACTGGGAGGAGGGAGAAAAAGGAAAGTCTTATATGGAGCTGAAGAGTACTAACTAAAAGGACAGGAAAAAGGCTTCCGCTTCTGACTATTAGTGAGTTATCTCATTTTATATCAAGTCTCCCAATGAAAACAACTATAAAGCTAAATAAAATATTTTTAAGGAAATTTGCTTGAAGGCATAAAGACTTGGAAGGCCATGATTCCAGAAAGATGTTCAGAGAAAAAAGTGCAACACCTAGCTCTGCTCTTCTTTTCTAGGTAGAGTATTTCCCCACTATTCAATGGAGATACGTTCTCAGTGGATGCCTGAAACCACAGGTAGTACTGAACTCTAAGCATACTACGTTTTTTCCTATACATACTTACCTATGACAAATTTAATTTATAAATTAGGCACAGTGAGAGATTAACAATTGAAACCAAGTGCTAGCCTGATTAAGCCTGTCCAACTTAACCCAGCTTGCCTGTTTTTAATTGCTTACTTCTAGTTGATCTTAAAACTTACAGCTAAAAGTCATATCGCCAAACAATATATAACTAAACTCCCACTAGCTTCCTTGTAGATAACATCTCTGACATACATGTATGGTAACAGTTGCTTAAAGCTATTTTTCAGGACTTTGAGGGCTGCTCTTATTCAGTTCAAACTAGTTGGAACCACTGACCTGCCAAATGGCCTGTTAAGGTGACTGAGGAGTGACCTTTTGACATCAGAAGGCCCAGAAGCCCACTCTCATATTATGCTAATGCCACCGTTTTTTGAACAAGCATCAGGGTTCTGCAAGTGTAATCAAGCTACATGTGAAGAACCACATGGCTTGATTACATTTGCACAACCCTGATTTTCTTACCTTTCCTACCTGCAATAACCTTCTCCATGCTTTAGACGGCCCCATTTTTTTGTCCCATAAGTATCCTTAAGGCCTATTTTCAGAGAAGTGGATTTGAGAGTTGTTCTCCAATCTCCTTGCTTGGCAGCCTCACCAATAAACCTCTTTCCTTTGCAAAATCTGTCATTACGGGGATTGGCTTGCTGTGTGCTGGCAGAATGAGCCTGGTTTGGCATCACAGTAACTAATAATAAAATAGAACAATTATAACCATATACTGTAATAAAAGTTACATGAATGTCTCTCTTTCTCTCTCTCTCTCCCTCTCTCTCTCCCAAAATATCCTGTTGTATGTAATATTTTCAGACCATGGTTGACCATGGGTAACTGAAACTGCAAAGAGCAAAACCACAGATAAGCGGGGACTAATGCATTTGACAATTCATACATGGAGCTAACAGCCTGGGAATCTGGTGAGGGTTTGGCAGTCTCGAGGGATAGAGAAGGAAAAAAAAAATTGAGGTCTGCTAAGGAGGAGAAACCCTAATAAATTATTTCAGGTTTTCAGTTGGGACTCCTAAATAACAAAACCCAAGTAATAAAGGAAATTGACCACCTCCCTGTTGACTCAATTAAAAACAGATGAAGTGACCTGCCCTCATCTGACTTTCTTCAAGAAGCAAAAAAAATTTTTTTTTTAATTTTTCTGGCTGGGCCCGGTGGCTCACGCCTGTAATCCCAGCACTTTGGGAAGCCGAGGTGGGCATATCACAAGGTCAGGAGATCAAGACCATCCTGGCTAATACGGTGAAACCCTGTCTCTACTAAAAATACAAAAAAAATTAGCTGGACGTGGAGGCAGGCACCTGTAGGAAGCTGAGGCAGGAGAATGGCGTGAACCCATGAGGCGGAGCTTGCAGTGAGCCGGGACGGTGCCACTGCACTCCAGCCTGGGCCACAGAGCGAGACTCTGTCTCAAAAAAAAGAAAATTTCTGAGGAGAAAAATAATGTGATCCAGAACCTCTAATTATCTCTTCAATTTTCATACACAATGTTAAGCATACACTCAATTGCCAGGCACACAACAACACAAGGACAAATTATCTAAAACCTAGAGAAAAAAGAGATCATGAGAAAATGACTACCAATGAATAATTTCAGTAGAGAACTAGAACCTATTTTTTTAAAAGACTCAAATAGAAATACCAGAACTAAAAAAATATAATAACCCAATAGACAGTTTATAACAGAAGATCAGGCATGGCAGAAGAGAATATTTTTCAAACTAAGATATAATCCCAGTTTGTTATATTCAGACTTAAGTACAGAAAGAAAAAATGATACAAATATAGAAAGCTATTAAGAGACATATAGGACACAGAGAGGTCTAAAACACACAATTTTAGTTCTAGTAAAAGAAGAGAGAGGATGAGTAGAAGCAATATTAGGTGACGATGGCCAAACATTTTCTGAAATTAATGAAAGACATCAAGCCACAGATTCAAGAAATGCTGCAAATAAACAAGATAAATATAAACAAAATCTACCTAGGCCTATCATAGTAAAATCACTTAAAATCAAAAGAAATATCACTGGGTCAATTGGATATTTAAATGCAAATAAAGGACAGAAAAGATGTTGAACCCTATTCAATAAAATGTATATAGAAAATATCTTCTCCCATAATCTTTTCACTCTTTTAATGATGTCTGAGTATGAGTTCTTACTTTTATGCAATTCAATTTACCAATCTTTTCCTTTTATAGTTAATGCTTTCTATAATCTGTTTAAGAAAACTTTGGTGATTATATGGTCATAAAAACATTCTCCGACCTTATGGAAGATTTGAAGAACTAAAATTAAGTAGTTTTTAAAAAATTATGTTATTACTATAATACATTAGAAAAGAAGGGTAAAGAGAAGTCACCAAGCCACTTTAATGAAAAGCTGCAGACCTGACCTAACTGAGATGGGGCTGGTGATAAAAAGACACTGCCAACTATGACACAATAACAAATTGTTTCTTTGATGCCCCTACCCAACCTGGTCAAGGGCAAAGGGCCTGGACTGACTACTTTCCTAGGTGTAAGTTTATTAATTTGCTCCCCAAAATGTAAAAGAAAATTTGTTGGTCCCAGACTGCCCCTGAGAGTTTGGCAGAGGCTTCATTTGGATGGAATTGCTGCTAGACTTCTCTTTCTACTCAATTTGGCTTCATTTCCTTACTCTTCCCAGACATTGACCCCTGACAAACACTTTGTGCCTCAAAGCCCATCTCAGTGTCTACCTCAAGAGACTCTATGCTCTAACACTAGTTTGCCAGCTACCCCCACTTCAAAAAAAAGAGGGCAAAAATAAAACTTACTATTCTTGGACTTTCTGCAGATTTCTCATTTTCTCTATTTTTATAAAACCATGCTTGTGTTATGCACATGTATATTCATTGCAGCACTATCACAATAGCAAAGACTTGGAACCAACCCAAATGTCCATAAATGATAGACTAGATTAAGAAAATGTGGCATATATACACCATGGAATACTATGCAGCCATAAAAAAGGATGAGTTCATGTCTTTTGTATAGACATGGATGAAGCTGGAAACCATCATTCTCAGCAAACTGTCACAAGGACAGAAAACCAAACACCGCATGTTCTCACTCATAGGTGGGAATTGAACAATGAGAACACTTGGACACAGGGTGGGGAACATCACACACCGGGGCCTGTCGTGGGGTGGGGGGAGTGGGGAGGGATAGCATTAGGAGATATACATAATGTAAAAGACGACTTAATGGGTGCAGCACACCAACATGGCACATGTATACATATGTAACAAACCTGCACATTGTGCACACGTACCCTAGAACTTAAAGTATAATACAAAATAAATAAATAAATAAATAAATAAAATAAGACCATGCTTGTGTTTACTGATAACAGTCTAATGACAGATATCACTTGTACATATGTGAGTAAAATATTTTTATGCCAATACTAACTAAAAACCTAGCAATTGTTCTTTTACACTACAGATTTGGAGAAAGAAAAACAAAATATATACATGAGCCTTTACAAATCTATATAATAAATACATAATGCAAAAGAAAACAGGCAAAATATTCATTAGATACTTCACAAAGTAGTATACCAAAAGGACAACAGATGCGAAAAGGTGACCAAAATTATTAGTCATCAGTGTAAATTGAAACCACAATGTAATACCACTAGACATCCAACAAAATGGCTAAAAGTTAAAAGCTCAACTATAACTGTGTTGGTAAGGATATGGAGCAACTAAAATACTCATACAATGTTAATGGAAATATAAATTGATTCAAACATTTTAGAACATTATTTGGCAATATCTACTAAAACATACCCCATGACCCAAGTATTCTACTACTGAGGATATACAAAACAGAAATGCGTGCATATGTTTACTAAATGACATGCACACGAATGTTCACAGTGGTTTCATTTAAAATAATGCAAAGCTGAAAAAAACTAAAATGTTCATTGACAATAGAATGGCTAAATTCAGAAACAAAACAGTACATACTATATGTTATAAACTGAATTTTGTCTCCCCAGAATTCTTTTGTTGGAGCCATACTCTCCAATGTGACTATATTTGGAGATAGGAGGCAATTAAGGTTACATGAGATTATAATCTCCTAATCTAATGGGACTAGTGTCCCTGTAAGAAAAGGAAAAGATAACAGGAGTGCACATGCACAGAGTAAAGGTCATGTGAGGACATATTGAGAAGTTGGCTGTCTTCATTCAAGCTGCTATAACAGAATACCACACATCCGAAGGTTTAAACAGCAAACATTTATTTCTTACAATTCTGGGGGCCAAAAGCCTGAGATCAGAATGCCAGCATGGTCAGGTTCTAGTGAGGGTCCTCCTCTGGGCTGCGTACTGCCAACTTTTCCTTGTATCCCCACATAGCAGAGAGTGAGCCAGCACTCTGGCCTTTTCTTCTCATCAGGACACTAATTTCATTTATGAGAGCTCCACCTTCAGAACCTAATCATCCTCCATAGGTACATCTCAAAATACCATTACGCTGGAAATTCTATTTTAACATATGAGTTTTCAGGACACAGACATTCAGACCATAACAATAGCCATCTGCAAGGTAGGAAGAGAGCACTCACCAGAAACCAGCCCTTCCAGCACTTGGATCTCCAGCCTCCAGAACTGTGTGAAAATAAATTTCTGTTGTGTAAGCCACCCAGTCTGTGGTATTCTGTTATGGCAACCCAAGCAGTCTAATATACTGTATGAGTCTATTCATATATCAAGTATTTTTTAAAGTAATATATGAAATTGGAAGTGAGGTTAACTCCCTTCAAGGAAGGAAATTTATAAAGACTGTGAAAAGTCATAGTGGACTTCTGGAGTGCTGCTAATACTTTATTTCTTGGTCTTGGTGGATACATGAGCACGTTTTTGTGGAAATTTTAAGGAACTTTAGATTTATGGTATGTGGTGTCCATTCAATATTTAATTTAAATTTTATTTTAAAAATAAACAAGAAAAGCAGACTCATTGGGTGAGGGTGGATGACAGACACCAGAAAGCTTCAGGGGGAGTGGATAAAATAAAGCACCCCAATCCCCATGGGAACTGACACAAAACAGTTTCCTATACTCCTTTACTCTTCCATCTCCTTATTTTTCTCTTACTCTTCCAAGTATATGTCCCTTTAGCGTAACCTATGCAAGCAGTTGTCAGTGATGTTGGTTATGAAAGGATGAGATGGGAAAAGGCAGTCACCCACCAAAGAGTGTAAGGCAAATTGGTATTTTTTAGCATAGTAACATTTCCAAAAACAATTTGCAAAAGTGGATGCTGTCCAGACTGATTTAATAAACAGGGACCTCTAAATAAGTTCTCAATAAAAAAGAATTATTTTAAGAAAATACCAACTAAGAATTGATCACCATTTTGGATTCTACATGCCTTATAACGTATATGTTTTTTCTTTAGGTAAAGCTCTGGGGGGTGGCATGAGGAGCTGCTCTTTTTTCTTCTGAATGATTACAAGAAGTTTTGGCAAGAATTTTCATAGATCAGAAAAAACATGGCACACATTGGGTGTGTAAATATAAACATATGCCAGCTTCAGGAGAGCATCTGTTCTTCACACACCTCTACTTGAAGCTGCATTCAGCTTCACAGTTATCTCTAGGAACCAATTCCTTTTGAAGGCATCACTCAGCAATGCATATTTTACTGAATATTTGGGAAAAAAATGGGAAAGCAGTTTTGTGTTAAACGCCATAAGCAGGCATTCAATAAACATCCCATTCAATCCATCTTTTCTGCACTCAGGCCTCTCTTGGTTTCCTACCATCCTGACATCTTCCCACCCCAATTCTTTCCCCATTTGCTGGATAAATATATTTTGTTCCATGTCCTTCCAAAAGCTCAACCTGAGACAGCTAACCCTCCTGACAGATACACAGCTTACTGGAAAATGTAGTCAAGTCTTTGCCCCACCCCCATTTATTTCTCCCCATTTTACTACTGGCTTGACTAGCCTTCCATACCCCACTGGAACTTTGGGTGACAAATTTTTGTCCAATGCATTACATGTATAAGCAGAAGGGTAGAAAACATCCTTTGCACACTTGGCCTGATTAACAAAAATTTAGCTTAGTATCAGGATTCCTTGGGCCTTAACTTCTCAGTGCTACACATTCCACACAAATTTGAATAACATCTGTGAAATATTTTGGGACACTTAAAAGTTGTGGTTATATGAGAATACAAAGTGTCATTATTCTTCTCTCTCTTGCTCCCATAATTCTGGCCTAAATGCGGAAAAGCAATACAGAATTAGCTAATAACAACACTTGGCCATAGTTAACAGTACAACATGCATAGTGTGCAGGCAAAAGAATCTCCTTTTTATATGACATGCATATGAGAAATATCACCGTCACAATTTGGCTCATATCCTTGTGATGACTCCCAAACATAGCAATGACTAAGTTGATAAATGCTTTTCTTTTGGATAAATCAAAATGCCCTGTGACAATATTGCTCTGGCCTAATGCAGTGCAGAGGGATCTATTTACATTCTGTGTAAACTGCCATTCTCGGAGGAAAAGTGTTCGTACTTGAGTTTCTGCCATTCATTCTGTTTTGAAAATTTGGGCTGATTGCTTTCTTTGGTCCCATCTATGTACTAATTCATTACGGCAGCCCCATGTACTTGCACGGGTTATATCAAAGGCACATTTGGCTTTGTCCTGTCATTTCAATCATCTGTCTATCCAGGCATTCATTCACAAAATGCTTGTTGGCTACCTATTATTTACAAGGCACCTCACAACAAGGCATCTTTGTACCTTCTTATAGGGGTTATAAAGATACATAAGGTAATTCCCCATCTTCATTAAGTGCACATTTAATCAAGGAAGGCATACATACACACCAAACAACAGCAACAACAAAACAGACAACTATGAACAGTAAAGACAAAATTGAAATAGAAGGGGAGGTTGTTTCTTGCCTGAGGCAAGTACGGCAGCCAGAATAATCTTTCCAAAAAAGCACATCCAATAATGTCTGCCTTCTACCTAAATCCCTCATATGATTCTCCATCATATTAAGAAAAAAAACAAAAACAAAAACAAAAAAAACCTAAGCACTTCAAACCAGTATGCCACTTCTTAGCCAGCCTCAAGTTCTGCTCTTCTCTCTTATTCATTACACTTCAGCCACACCGGCCTTCAACTCAAAGAGGATGTTGAACATAGATTTTTGTAAAATTGCTCACCTCTTGCCTGTCTTGTGTTTACTATGTCAAAGGGGCCCCACCTGTAACATGTCAACACAGTGGAGTCACCATGAAAATACATTTGGTAAAGAGTTTAAATTCCTAACAGATGTCAGGGAAAGGAAGGAAGAATTTATGGCATGACTTTTGATCACACCCATATCATTGTACTTTGGTTTTAAAGTGGGGCCCACAATAGCCCCAGAACTCAAAATTAGGAAAGAACTGTCCTGGAAAAGCCTTCTCTGTTTATCTGTATTTTAGAAGTTTAACATTTTAGAAATGAAATGGTGTTTTTTATAATAACAATAGCCGCTGATCTTTTTGAGCACTTTGCTATGTGTATGTGTCAGTCTTTACACATATCATTTAGTTAATTCCCCCAATACCTGTGAAGTAGTGCTACTATTATCATTATCTTCCAAATGAGGCAGCACACTTAGAGAGATCAATACTTTGCTTAAAAAATAATTTGTTACCTGGAGTGAGTTTTAAAAACTATACATCATTTAATATTGATAAAATAAATTTTTGTTAAACCATAGAACAGCTGGATTAGCTAAATCCTTCTGGACTGTTTATAATTCCAAGCAGCATTTGCACCTGCGATGTATATTGAAAACCTAGAAATATAAAACTATTGCAAATGACAGTTCTTCTGTAGGCTTCGGCCTAGAGTTGAGCACACAAACAAACAAACATGTTGGCAAATTATTTGGATAGATAAAAACTATACCTCGGATGTTTTTTACAAATTTAATTAAATACAGGTGTATATTTTGATAATTTTTAGAAAGGCTTTAGAAATCAATACTTTTATTTTAAATAATAAATAACATGACAAAAATTTAATAGTCTCTCAATTCTATCAGATCTTAACATTTCCTCAGTGTCTCCACTTGTTGAGGCCACCATTACTCAAGGTAATATGATGCAGTGAGAAAGGACACTCACATCAGGCTTTAACTGAGGCACAGATACCCTAGGTCAGGAGTCCCCAACCCCAAGGCCATGGATTGGTACCCGTCTGTCTCCTGTTAGGTACAGAGCTGCACAGCAGGAGGTGAGCAGAGGGTAAGTGAGCAAAGCTTCGTCTGTATTTACAGCTGCTGCTTGTTACTCACATTACCACCAGAGCTCTGCCTTCTGTCAGATCAATGGTGGCATTAGATTCTCACAGGAGCATGAACCCTATTTTGAACTGTATATGGGAGGGATCTAGGTTGTGCACTCCTTATGAGAATCTAATGCCTGATGATCTGTCACTCTCTCCCAGCACCCCCAGATGGAACTGTCTAGTTGCAGGAAAACAAGCTCAGCAATCCCACTGAGTCTATTTTATGGTAAGTTGTATAATTATTGTATTATATATTGCAATGTAATAATAATAGAAATAAATTGCACAATACATGTGATGTGCTTGAATCATCCCCAAATCATACCCCCACCCAACAAGTCTGTGGAAAAATTGTCTATAAAACTGGTCCCTGGTGCCAAAAAGGTTGGGGACTGTTGCCCTAGATGTCATTTTTATCTCATATTTACAGTGTGTAAGACTTTTATGGGGTGCTTGAGAATCTTATTATTAAGCACGACTTAGCTAAGACCCATAAATTAGCATTTTAATCAGTATCCAGGTGATTTAATTTAGTGACCAGGGAGAGCATCTTGAAAAATATTGTTCTAGGACATACTCAAAGTACTTCTTTGCTAAGAAAAAGAAAAAAAAATAAACCAAGCAACATCTTCTCATTTGATTAGAGGAATAGAAAAACAGGGACAGAAAGAAAAAAATCCCATCTTTGGCAGAAAAGGGTTGCCAGATTGAGCAAACAAAAATACAGTACATCCAGTTAAATGTGAACTTCAGGTAAATAGCAGCAAATGTTTTTACTATGCATATGCCCTGTGCAATACTTGGGAGATACTTGTAGTAAAAAAATTATTCGTTACTTAATTAAAATTCAAATTGAACTGGGTATCTAGTTTTTATCTGGCAACCCTACAACAGAGATTCCAATCAAGTTTTCATTCAGTGGATTTTTAAGGCTGTGCTCATGTTTGTCTAGGTCTAATTGGACATTTAAAAGGAAATGAGAGCATTGTTTTATTTTTTACAAAAAATATTCAAAAAGAAACACAGAAAAACAAAAACAAAAACAAAAATTCTGTGCCATTATAGGAGACATGTTGCTAGGTGCTTTCCTCCAGTTGAGTGTAGCTCAGTCTGATAAAGCGTACTGAGATAGAATTCACCATCTTGCTTCAGGTTACCTAGGAGATGATCTGTTTTACGAACCAAGCTGGGCTTTCCTCCTCATTACCAGGAAGATACCAAAATAAGCTCTCATGAGAGAAGACCTTGACGCTTTTCAAATGGTAAATTTGAAATAAATTTATTTTTTGATTAAAATAAAAATCCCACCTAAACTTGACACAAGACTTTCAGCCAGCTATTAAATAGTTGTAAATTCACAATTAAAGGAGAAAAGACTCAGAAGTAGAAAATAGCTGGCAAATGTTCTGTAGCTATTGGCATGTGAGTAAACTTACTCTCCCTGCCTTTAAAAATGGGGTCATGATTTGTTCTGGTCTGTGGCTTAGATACAGCAGAAAGGTTGCTGGTTGACTGTGAGAATCCAATACACTGAGACATTGTCAGGGTGGAAAAGTCTGCAAACCGAAGACCATCCCATGCTGGTTGGGGTGGGAGCATTAAGCTTTTTGCCCTTTAGTGACCCTGGAGGACTCTACCCACTTAGAGTAAGATAGAACTTCGGCAATGGGGAAATGGCTACCTGCACTTTCAGGTTTCCCAGAAGCTAACTCAGGCTTCATTTCCTGATTGAACCTCCTATTCCTCTCCTTGCCAGTATGAGCAGGGAGGTAAGTGGAGGTGTTGCATGAGCACCCAATCTGGGTCCCCTGACTTCGCCCTGGCAGCATCTCACTGCTCTCACCTTGCCTGGCCCTCAGCTACCTTGCCTGGCTCAGCTCTGTTGGAAGTAACCTTCAGACCCTAGCCAGTTTTACAATCACCTCCTACTCCATTTGTCTCAGAGAATCTTTGTAGATGTATTAGTTTGCTAGGGCTGTGTAACAAAGTATAGAAAATGGAGTGGCTTACACAAAATAAGTTTATTGTCTCACAGTTCTGGTGACCAGAAGCCTGATATCTAACAAAACTCTGAAGAATAGTCAGATAAACAGTGGTCAGAGCCTTGTACTCCTGGCATACTCAGTAAAAATGTGCAGCAACTCTCAGGACTCACAGCAGATTGCCTCCCTCAACAGTGGCAATAAGTCCTGATCTGCATGACACAGTCCTAGTTTATCATTATTGCCCATGCATAATTATTAATGTGGCCCCCTTACATTTTCAAAAGCAGCGTGGACTCAGAATTTGTGAAACCTAAAGATTATATAATGGAGGAAACTTTGAGAAAATAAAATACAATTTTGAATACAAAATGATATGCAAAAGTAAATACATGTGGGAGCAAATGAAAATTGAAGCTAGATTGTATATCCTTCTCTTAAATGATAATTTCTATATTCATTGTATTTGAGGACACTCACCATGTGTCTAACACTGTGCTAAGCGTTTTGTGTATATTATTTTATCCTCGTAACAACTTATGGGCAAGTATTATGATTCCCATTAAAAAAATAAAATGATGAAATTGAGGTTCAGGACTTGGAGATGAAAGCTACCCAGCTAGGCAGCACTGGAAATGGCAGCAGAAGTCTAGGTGGGCTACCATGGTCTTATCCACTATGCACTGAGGAGGGGTGAATGTGGGCAGGGTGAGTGGAAGATAGAAAGAAACAGCGACAGAGAAGGGGACAGCTGTAAAAGACATTGAAAAAGAGGAATTGAGAGAATTGGGAGCAAGCTAGGTTTAAGAGCGAAGAAAAGATTGGCAGAGTTTACTCTGAGGTTTTGAGCTTGTGGGACTGGAGAACGATGATAACTTTGACAGAAATAAAAAAGTCCAGAGAGGGAGCAATTGGGGGCAGGAGGTGGGAGAAGAGGTTGAGCTCTATTTCAAACATGCCCAGTTTGGACCTCATAGTCCCAGGAGTAATAGCCTGGGAGACCACAGTGCCAGCAGTCCAATAACCCCCAGGCAGAGATGCAGAGGAAAAGTTAAGTGTTGCAACAGACAAAGGAGAAGTTGGAAGGAAGTGAGAAACATCAGGTTTAAATTTTCCCAGGCTTGAATTTTGAGAACTTTTTCTTACAAGAAGCCATTTCAATCATGCTTACTGATGATTGATGAGAGGGTGGGGTGTGAATTATATTTGCTCACTGCTGCCTGGTTCAATTTATTCTTTGGAGATTAGATATTATCCCCCCACACTTTTTTCCCTCAAGAAATGCAAAACAAGGTAAATTACTAACTAGCCAAGAAAAATAAAATGCTATTCCTTATTAACTTCCCTTAATGTCTGCCTTATTCAGTAAGAATAAAGGGAACTTAACATTTTTCTTTGTCTTATTACTGGTTTGTTGTGAGATATTGAGTGCTTACTATAATTTCTGTTCCTCATTTTTCTGGTTGTAAAAGAAGGCTGTAACCATAAGAGGATTTTGTGGATTTATGAGCATAAAACCAATTGAGCTATTTAATGTACATTTTTGTGGAATAATTATTTAATGTGAATCCACATACATATGCTTTAAATTAACTCAGATGTGTATAAGAGGGAGAATATAGTACTAGATGATCTTGCACAACATAAATTCTCATGCTTACCTAGTGAATCTGGAACCTAAAATTACTGAGAACATATTGACATCTTGACACTTTGTAATATCTCCTGCCTGCTCTCCTACACTCACAAACACTCCTACCTTCTACTGTTGGTTGCCACAAACCCCCAGAATGAAAGCTTTCTGTATTATCTGTTCTTTATATCTGTCCTTGCTTCCTTCCAATAGTTTAATAACCAAGATTTAATCAATCTCATTTGTTCTTACTCTTCCTATTTGTTTTAATGGATACAGTGAAATACTGTAAAAGAATCACCTTGAAGAAGAATTTTTCCAATTATTTCTTGATCACTGTTTTAATAAACCATGATCAGGTACTGATTATTTCAGCTTTAGTGTGAATTGCCTATACATGAGAAAGAAAGACAGAAACTAATCAGTCCCAGTTGTATTCAAGCAATGGGTCTTAGTGTAATCTCTAAACCAGCAGTACCAGTTTCACCTGCAAAACTTATTAGAAATGCAAATTCTTGAGACCCATCTAGACCGACTGCATCAGAAATTTAAGGAGAGATTAATCCCAGAACTTTTCATTTTAACTAGCCCTCTAAGGTTAGGTAATTCTCATGCACACTAAAGTTTGAGAACCATTGTATTATAGTAACTGAATTTATTCAACATAAAATGGAAGACTATTCTTGACAGAGCAAAATTAATGTTCTCTGCCTTTCATCAGAAGGGACTGGTTCTCAGAGGAAGGGCCTTCTCTGGGTTTTTCTTTAAAAAAAAAAATAGTGCCTTGCCTCTGCCATGAGCTAAGTACTCTTGGGCAAATCTCTTTAATCTTTCTAGGTCTCATTTTCCTCATCTATAAAATTAGAACCTCAAAAATATAATCTCCATAATTTCCTAATAATTTATTTTCTAGATTTGAGTATATCAATCTCTTTTGTGGCTAACAGCATTTATTTGTAAGAGGGAAGACAAGAGTCAGCATTATATGGTTATACTAACATGTGCACATGGCAATGAAACCTGTATTCTTAGTCTCTAGACTACCATCAGGCTTATTTTGTGCCCCAAACAAACAAACAAGCAAACAAAACATTGAATCACATCTCTATAGCAGAGGTGAGCAACATTTTTCTGTAAAAGACTAGATAAATCTGTAAATATTTTAGGTTTAGGGGGTGATTAGTCTCAGTTATTACTACTCAGCTCTGCCACTGTAACACAAAACAGCCATAAATAATATGTAAAGGAACATGGCAAAAGTCCCCAGGAGAATTTACTTATGAAAACAGATGGTGGCTGAATGTGGCCCGTGGGCCATAGTTTTTCCAAAAGTTGCTTTATAAAGCCTCTATTTAAAAAAATAAAAATAAGGGATTTAACCATTTTGCAGTTGGTTACTTAGTATTAATCAGATATTTAGTAACACATCCTCTAGTAATCCATTCACTGCTGCAATCTTCAAAAGCAACCAGACACGTCTAATGTCCCTCTTTGGCTTTGCTAATGGTTGATATGTAAACAATCAAAGTATAGTATTGACTAGATCCAGCTTTATGCCTAATTCTCCTCTTTAATGTCCAATGGAAGAGAGTGTTCTGCTTTCATAGACATACTTTTAAATAGTTTGGGTTTACCATTCCTATTGTAACAAATATATACCCAAAGAGAAATTAATTTACCTCTGCAGCTTTGGTTCCTTACAATGATCATTTTGATTGTACATTAGCCACTGGTTTACTGTACAATTCTTATCCAAAACTGCCTCTGCAGAATAGTGTGTAGGAAAAAAACAAAAACTCAATTTCTCCTATTATACTCTCACCACATGGATTACTTCTGTGACATTTGGTCACCAAAATGTGCATGGAAATTTCTCCCCACTAGTAACCAATTCTGCAGCTGACACCAGATGAGTGTCCTGAAATTTAATTCAATTCTGACACTATCTATCTGGAGATAATGTCAGATCCTACAGGTTGAGGGCACAGTCTCCAAGACTCCCCCAATTTAGATGCCAGTTACTACTGCAAGCCTGTGGACCTTCTGGCCAACAGGCTACAAATTAGTTCTCACAACCCTCTCCTCAGGTTCCACTAATTGGCTAGAGCAGCACACAGAACTCAGAGAAACACTTACCTGTGTCTACCAGCTCATATAAAGGCTATTACAAAGGATACAGACGAACAGTCAGACAGAAAAGATGCATAGGGTGAGCTACAGGGGAAGGGGTGCAGAGCTTCCATGACTTCTTCAGGCATACCACCCTCCAGGGATCTCATGTTCAGCTATCCAGAATCCTCTCAAACCCAGCCCTTTTGGGTTTTTGTGGAAGCTTCATTCTGTAGGCATGATTAAATAATTCATTGGCCATTGGTGATCAACTTAACCTTTAGCCCCTCTGCCCTTTCTGGAGGTTGTGGGGTGTGGCTAAAAATCCCAATTCTCTAATTATGCCTTGATCTTTCCAGAAACCAGCCCCCAATCTAAAGCTACCAAGAGGGTATGCCTGCCACCAATCTTCTCATTAGCACACAGAAGACACACTTATCTAATGCTTTCAGGAGCTACCTGTCAGGGAACAAAGCCCAAATATATATTTCACAACATCACAGTAGGTTATTGGTACTGTCTTATCAAACTTATTGAAAGGACATCTTTTACAAGCCTCCTTTATTTTAAAACCTTCAATGAGAAAGTCAAAGATACTATTGCAAGTCATGACATGCATGTAAATTCAATACCTGCTATTAGTGTCTTTTTCTAATTACTAGGTTAGTAAATGTGGGTAGAGAAGGAGAAAGGCCCAAGATAGTGCTTTAATTCTTAACTGTGTGAAGCCATCCCAGAAACACAGCAATTGGGCTCATTTCATAAATGGAAAAGAAAAGAAAAGAAAAAAAAACACTAGACATCTTTCCAAGTACAATAAGAAAACATGTTGGGTAATTTTGAAATTTCCCACCCTTCACTCTGGTCCCAAGTGGAAGCATATGCCAGACTAACAGCTTGAACTTATTCTGAACTTTGAGTTAGATTCATTCTAACTTCCCTTATATTGTTATTCTCTCAATATTATTTATATTACCCTCTGTGCCCACTTATAATTAGTCCTCAGTTGAAATTTTGCAGAATACAATGCTTAAAAGAGAGCCAAGTCTTGGACTGTTGGGGTTTCTACCAACTTGATAAACATCTTGTCACTGTGTGCTGACTGAAAAACAGACACCACAAAGATAATGGTCCACTGTGTTTTAAATGGTTATAATAGGCCATATTTCCAAAAAGTATATAAAATGAGAAATGGAGATGAGATTAGAATGATGTGATCGTGGCTACATGCATCTTTATGTGCTAAAAGGGGCCTATGGTCCACCTTCCCCTGCATTTTATTTTCTTTACTTTCTCTTCTCCTTCTTTTTCTTTTTCTTTTTTTTTTTTTTTTTTTTTTGAGACAGAGTCTCACTCTGCTGCTCAGGTTGGAGTGCAGTGGTGTGATCTTGGCTCACTGAAACCTCTGCCTCCAAGGCACAAGGGATCCTCCCACCTCAGCCTCCCAAGTAGCTGGGACTATAGGTGTGTGCCACTACGCCCGGCTAATTTTATAATTGTTTGCAGAGACTGGGTCTTGCCATGTTGCAGAGGCTGGTCTAGAACTCCTGGACTCAAGGAATCCTCCCACCTTGGCCTCCCAAAATGCTGGGACTACAGGCATGAGCTACCGTGCCTGACACCCCGGCATTTTCTGATGTAAAATAATCTATTTCTTAAAGAACATTTCATTAGATAAATATATCTTATCACATTAAGGCACCACTCTTATGACCTCCTTGAACCTTAATTACCTCCTAGGTATTTCTGATGAGAGCACAGGGAAGGTGATCCAAAGGATTGTTAGGGAACTCAAAAGATCATCCCAGACTGTAGCTGGTAGAAGGTTCTAAAAAGGAGCTGCTTTGGCAGAATGGCAATATTGCTTTGCCATCAGTTAATTTGCTGCTGTTGGTATTTATAGAACTTTGTTTCAAAACAAAAGTTAAATGGGATCCAGTTAAATTCCCTGCTCCTTGAAAATTCCAGTCTGTACCATACATGGGCTGAGAGAAAGCCATGTGGCAGGATATTGCAGTAGAATGCTGCCGATATGAACTTCATCAATGAGTTTGAAGGGAATATCAGTGATGCCCACTCTAGCATGCCTTAGGATAAAAATACTAACCACTGGAAAGCACCTGGCCCAAGAATGTGATTCATGGAACGGAGGCCACAGCTCTCCACTAGGCATGGCTGAAGCTGAAGGATAATAGCTTCTTCATCTGTCAGAAGTGATGAATTGAGGTGTGACCTAGTTCCTCAGAGAGATTGAGCTCCAGTGCTCCCAGCAATAACATGTTTAATAATGTACTTCCTTTCCCTCCCTGTCTTGTTTTCTGCTCACCTACTGATTCCCTTTGAGATCACCCCTCAAATAAACTATTTGCTCTCAACTCTTTGTCTCTGCATCTGCTTCTGGGGGAACCCAACCTAAGACACACACTTTGGAAATCTTTTATATATTCCTACAAGCATTCAGTAAATTTGAACTGGACTTTCTTCTCTTCTTGATGTTTTATTTTTGAGGCAAACTGAGAAGATGGATTTTATAATCTAAAAATGGTTTTCACTAAAGGGGTCTTGAATCTCGAATCTCTACCCCTGAATTGTCACAAGTTGAGATAGATGTTTTGCTGCTTGAAATGGTTGTGATAAATGCTACCTGAAACTCTGGGAGAAGATTCAGATTTCCAATTTCTATGTCCTAGTCAGATTTGACAAATCAAAACATCAGGACCAGTCTGCTAGTCAGAATTAATTTTGGTCTTCCTACCATCTATTTACTGAATTCTATTGGCCGAAAATAAAGAGGTAATCAAAATTAGGATTAGGGGATTATTCTGAAACACATTGAGTTTATATATGTGCCAGAGCCTCATTTGACCCTTATAGTGACCTGTAAATTTAGTGAGATTATAACTTCGATTTTACAGATGAGGAAACTGAGGCTAGGACAGGTTAAATAACTTGTCTAAAAATTACAGCCAGTAGAGCCACGTTTCTAAACCATCTTAGTCCAGGATGCAAACTCTTACCCACTAAGCTGTGCTGCTTCTGCAGAGGCTTCTTAACTATCAATAGTGATAAACTCTGTCAGCGATACATGATGAGAACAGTCTTATATGGAAGAACCATGACATAGGGAGAACAACTTTTGACCCAGAATAAAGAAATATAGATTTCAGGGCCAGTCCGTTGTATGATAGACAAATTTTTCCACTCTTCTTAGTCTTTTTTCTTCTATGCAAAATGAAGAAGTTAGAATAAATAACTTCTAGTTATGAAATTGTACTGTTCTACTCTAAGAAGCTTCTTTTCAAATTGCTATGGTTTTATTAATATAGCATAATTGTAGTAGTCATAGATTCAGGAACCCTGCCTAAGATGTAGCACTAAGTTAGAGAGTTAAAGAACACTTCTGTTGGATTGAAATATTAGGATGACCATAGATCAATAAGAAAACTTCAGGTATAAAAGGCAATTTAAATAGGCATTTAGATGGAGAAATTACCCCAATTGTCCCTAAATCAAAGAGAATTTTACATTTTAATTATTTCTATTAAACTACTCTACATTCACGTCACACTGTACTACCTACTTCAATTTTAATATGATTGAAGAGGAGTTAGCTAGCTGCAAATCTAGCTGAGGGACTGAGATACTGACAAAGAATTCAGAAGTCTCATCACTGGGTATTCTTACTGTGGCTTCCATGTATTTTAAGGTGATAAGAGATGAAAAACAGAAGCAACAAAAAAAATCTGACAAATGCTGATGCCCTCCCATTCTTGACCCTCCAGAGAGAAGGAAAATGCTGTCCCTAGTGAAAAAGTTAACCTGTTGTTTAAATCACATAATCCTTACCTGCACATTTCAGTTCTCTCAGAACTCAGATGTTTGAGGTTGGAATCTGGCAGCTCACAGGATTCATTAACATTAGAAATACATAGATGAGGCAGTAGGCCTGGTACAGAAAACCACCTGGATAAACTCCTTTTGCTAAGAAGAATCGGGAGTACTCACATTTTTATCTTCATGTAACAATGTAGTCTTGATTTCATTTTATAGTCACAATACCATGGCCATCTCTGAATATGGAGGAATCTTTAGATGATAGAATATTAGTATTTTAGTATTTTCAGGACCTCTGGCTCATTATACCTCTGAGGATACACCAGAATGGAAGCTTGGTATGCCAAACATTATAATCTTTTGAGAACAAGTTAAAAAGTAAGACAAGTAAGTTGAAAAAATCAGCTTTGAAACAAATTTAGTTATAATTTTTATTTTAAGTTCAGGGGTAAAAGTGCATGTTTGTTACATAGATAAAGTTTTGTCATGGTGGTTTGTTGTACAGATTTTTTCATCACTCAGGTATTAAACCTAGTATCCATTGGTTATTTTTCCTAATCCTCTCCTCCCTCCTACCCTCTACCCTCCAAAAGGCCCCAGTATGTGTTTTTCCACTCTATGTGTCCATGTGTTCTCATCATTTAGCTCCCACTTATAAGTGAGAATATGCAGTATTTGATTTTTCTGTTTCTGTGTGAGTTTGCTAAGAATAATGGCCTCCAGCTCCATCCATGTTCCTGCAAAGGCCACGATTTCATTCTTTTTTATTACTACATAGTATTCCATGGTATATATGTACTACATTTTCTTTATCCACTCCATCATTGATGGACATTTAGGTTGATTCCATGTCTTTGCTATTGTGAACAGTTGTGCAATGAATATACATATGCATGTATCTTTATAATAGAACGATTTATATTCCTTTGGGTATATACCCAGTAATGAGATTGCTGGGTGGAATGGTATTTCTGTCTTTAGGTCTTTGAGGAATCACTACACTGTCTTCCACAATTGCCGAACTAATTTACACTCTCACCAACAGTGTATAAGCATTACTTTTTCTCCACAACCTCACCAGCATCTGTTGTTTTTTGACTTTTTATTTTTAATAATAGCCATTCTGACTGGTGAGAAGTGGTATCTCATTGTGGATTTGATTTGCAATTTTCTAATGATCAGTGATGTTGAGCTTTTTATATATGTTTATTTGGCCACATGTATATCTTCTTTTGAGAAGCATCTGTTTATGTCCTTTCCCCACTTTTTAATGGTTTTTCTCCTTGTAAATTTAAGTTCCTTATAGATGCTGGATATTAGACCTTCACTGGATGCACAGCTTGCAAAAATTTTCTCCCATTCTGTAGGTTGTCTCTTTACTCTGTTGATAGTTTCTTTTGCTGTCCAGAAGCTCTTTAGTTTAATTGGATCCCATTTAACTTTTGCTTTGACACAAAGTTCTGTAAATACCAACAGCAGCAAATTAACTGATGGCAAAGCATTATTGCCATTCTGCCAAAGCAGCTCCATTTTAGAACCTTCTACCAGCTACAGTCTGGGATGATCTTTTGAGCTCCCTAACAATCTTTTGGATCACCTTTCCTGTGCTCTCATCAGAAATACCTGCGAGGTAATTAGGGTTCAAGGAGGTCATAAGAGTGGTGCCTTAATGTGATAAGACTATGGCCTAATAAGAAGATGAGGGGAATAAGATCTCTTTCTCCCTTCCTGCCATGTGAGGACAGAGCAAGAAGGCTCTGTCTGCAAGCCAGGAAGAGGGCTCTTACCAGGAATCAAATTGGCTGGCACCTTGATCTGGGACTTCCAGCCTTCAAAACTGTAGGAAAATAAATTTCTGTTGCTTAAGGCTAAAAAAGAAAGAAATAACCTTGATACGTAAAGCACACTAGCACATCTTCAGGCACAAACAACCACAAGCAGCTTATAGCAGAAAAAATATCTGGCTTCAGCTCTCTGGTAGGTAGATCCCTCTGCTTCTCATTTCAATATGGTTTGTTCCCAATTAACCAACATATAAAACACCTTGAG
Organism: Homo sapiens; assembly: GCF_000001405.40. Lineage (NCBI taxonomy): Eukaryota > Metazoa > Chordata > Mammalia > Primates > Hominidae > Homo > Homo sapiens. Next base: position 42,315,094 of record NC_000005.10, read on the forward strand.
AATTAAAACATCCTTTAGTAATTTATTTTCAGGACTGATTGGTATACGCTACAATAAACAATAGACCACATATTATTTCAATGAAGAACCAATGTTATTTTTATGTAGATTGATTAGAAGTATTAGGTTCTATTAATAGTTACTATTAAATGAATGTTGTTTATTTTTATATTAGCAAATGAAGCTATTGCTTTTTCCAGGATTCTCACAACTCAAAATTGATTTGGCTTTTCTTATTTGGGCATCAGATTGCAGAATTCATTTTGTTTGCACACTCGTGGGCTTGTTTGGCAATATTACTCACCAGGTGTACTTTTCCCATTAGAATATCTGTGGTGGGTATTTTTTTCAAATGTATTAGGTAATATTTTGCCAGATGCATTTCAATGTATTGTTTTCTGCCTAGGACACTTCTGTACGTCTGGGGCTCCAGCTACTTGCTGTTCTCACTTCAGACTGTGCTTTGGGACTATTACACCATTTTTCAGCAGCCCACTAATGAGCACATTCAGTGAATCTACCTTGCCTACTGCCCTCTTTAAAACCTGATAAACCCACACCACTAGACACACATGTTGCCTTTTCAAATTTTCTGTTGTTTGAGAAAATTTTCCTTTCCATATATTTAGATAGGCTCCTAGGGTGGTGAATTCATTCCTTGGATTTGGCATCTTCTAGAAAAAAAAATCCTGATAAAAATCTGAAGACTAAACGAAGACTCAGCCTAGGACAAAATGATGGCAGAGGAAGCTTCTCTTCTCCCCCATTCCCTTCAGTGCCTTTCTCCATTCTCAGTGTCTTTCTCTTCTTCTGATACCCTGGTCCCCACAGCATGGAAGGGAATGATCTATGAAAGGAAAATATCTTGGGCCCCCTAAATCACTAAGGAAAACTCAAGCTGGTAACTGCTTAGAGCAAATCTGCCTCCCATTCTATTCAAAGTTATCCCTTTGCTCACTGAGATAGATGCATATCAGACTGCCTCCTTTGGAAAGGCTAATCAGAAACTCAAAAGACTGCATGGATTCCTCTCTCACCCATCTGTGACCTGGAAGCTCCCTCCCCTTTCTGCCCTTGCTTCAAGATGTCCTGCCTTTCCAGACTGAACCAATGTACTTCTTACATATATTGATTGATGTCTCATGTCTCCCTAAAATGTGTAAAACAAAGCTGTGCCCTGACCACCTTGGGCACATGTCATCAGGACTTCCTGAGGCTGTGTCATGGGCACATCCTCAACTTTGGCAAAATAAACTTTCTCAAGTAAATGAGACCTGTCTCAGATTTTCTAGGTTCACAGATCTAACCAACTCTACTTTACTGTAAGGGCAGTGGTTCTTACCTGGGGTGATCTTGCCCTTAAGGGGACATTTGACTGTGTCTGTAGACACTTTTGGTTGTCACAACTTGGAGGAGGGGTGCTATTGGCATCTAGTGAATACAGAGACCAGGGATGCTACTATGCATCCCACAGTCCTACAATGCAAAGAACAGAACCCCATAACAAACAAAAATCCTACTCAAAGACATTAGTGATTTACCTGATACTCTTTTTAGAGTTTCTTCATCTTTTAAAAGGGACCTGGAGAGAGACATTATTAACCTTATAACCCTGTCTCCTATAGTTTCAGATGTAAAATAGGACACAAGGCCCATCAGCTTTCAGAGATTCAAACATATTCAGAGATCTTTATCACATATGCACCTGCTGGCCCCTGCAAAACACACACACACACACACACACACACACACACACACGTTTTAATCTCCAGAGAGGATAGGAGCAGAGACCAACACTGGCACTTAGAACTCTTATTCTCCTCATAAGTTCCACCTTCCAATCCAGTACCTCCTTTTGCCACGGTGGGGAAATTTTCTCTTAAAACAAAGAATTCTTCCAGAATTTGTAGTTCTACATCTCCGCATAGGGCTATAGAAGTTTTGAAAGTTCAAATAAGTTCAGAAATATAAAGATAACTATACACAGATAAATGGTTTTCTCTTAAATGCTTAGCTTTAGCAACATAAGTCAGCGATTTCAAAACTGTAGCTTCTGCTATAGGTTACAGATGGCTTTATAAAGAATCCAAAAATAAGGATTTGGATATTATTTTTGTGTGTCATTTCCATTCTAATGGTCACAACAATAGAACACCTTTACCACCATTATGTGGTGGGAGAAATGTAAAAGGAAAACGAATGTGGAAATATGTGTTTTAATAACAAGATTTACTCTATAAATTTTTCTTCTAGTTTGTCTATAAGCCACCACAAAGGATGCTTATCATCTAATTTCTTCCCTTCTAAGCAGGTGGAACTATGTTTCTTTCCAGAATCTGTTTCTTTAGAATGTAATGCTGAACTCACCAAGATTGTAGCAGCAAGTTCTAGATACTGGACAAAATGTTCACCTCCCTCCACTATGAGCCACTGCTGCTCGTTCCTCAGTGATTCTCACACCTGTCAGCTCCCCATCCCTCAGAGATCCTCAAGAGCCTCCACGTATGTGACTGTGACTCCACTGGCCTTCACTGACGGGGGTGAGCAAGTCACTGCTCAGATCCCAAGCCATGCCTGGTCTGACCCAGGACCAGGGCTGTATTGCCTAGTTTCCCTCAGGCTTCCAGAGACTTCCAGACACCCACTAGTTCCTGTTCAGTTGCCCATTCTCTTTATGATAAAACTGCTGTCAAAGTTTCATTTTCTCTTTAACAAACAAAAACTGAAAAGAAGGGCATACTACTGCTTGAAACTCTTAATGGTCATCATAGAAAGTTTCCCCCTCAAAGTCCTTCTCTCTTTTTAGTTAACATCATTGAAATCAGCCTTTCCTCTTAAAGGAAACTTCAATTCTTCTTAAACTTCACAGTCCAAGATAGAAGACTTGTACTTCCCCCCACTTCCATACACACAGTTTCTTACTTCTGCTGATTATTCTTTGGAAAGCTAAAACATTCTGCAGTAGATGTTCAAGCTAAATATTAGTATGTCCACTCCTCTAAATCAAAATGTGGCTCCTCTCTGCATATACACACCTTTTCTCTCCTAGAATTGAAGTCAGAGTCTCAAGCTGCCTTGTTCCAATTCTCATGCAGGGTTTGTGATAGTCCATGGCACCCAAGAAGCTTCAAAAAGCTGGAAGAAGCAGATGTGAAGTGGGGAAAAAGAGATTTAATCTTTTCCTATAATTGAATTAGACATAGCACAGAACTCTCAACCCCCTCCCCATGGGTCTGAAATTGTGAGAAAGGAGGGGTGCCCATAGGAAAATAAAATTTTTTGATGTTAAATGGTATTAAGTGATACTTTAGTGATGTTGATTCTAAATGACATGTTTTCTATTTCTTTTAAGTTTTTCTCCCATAATTATTTGATACTTCTCCCACCATTTAATTATCACTAATAGCTTTCTTCATTGTACTACCCACAAAAGGAGGGTGAGCACATCTGAAAACCAAGGGATAGACTGAATTTCTGAATGGACTACTGTTGAACACATGGTATGGAAACAAAAGTAAGAGAAGCTTTATGAGAAGAAAAGAGATTTTTGTTTGATTTGTTTGGTTTGGGAATTTTGTTTTCTGAAATTCAGAAGCTTGACTTTTCAAAGCAAGAAGAAAGCTAAAAGCTAGATTTTAGAATTTCAAAAATAAACAATAAAATGGAAGTGTTTACAGAATGATAATGTTTTCCAATCTTCACCCAAAACAAAAGTTCAATTAGAAAGTAGGAAGAGGGAAATTGGAAGAGGTGTGGCTATGATTTGGATCCTAGTGAGAGTATCCCCAAGAAATAAGGCAGAAGGATTAAACTTTTAGTTTTTCCAAATAGTTTTAGTACAGATTTTGTAGGAAACAGATGTCAAAATGGAATTAGATGTGAAAGATGTTTATTGGGAAAAAAATCAGTGGTGAGGGAATATAAGGAGGAGGCCAGGAGAGTTGTCAGACCATGATGAAGCCCTGAGTCCTGTTGGGGAGAGGAAAGGCAGGCAGGCAGGCAGGCAGGAAGGAAGGAAGGAAGGAAGAGAGGGACGGAAGGAGGGAGGAAGGGAGGGGGAGAGGGAGAGAGGGAGGGAAGGAGGAAATTAGGGAGAAAAAGAGGGAGAAATGGAGAACATAGACAGTAGTATGTTCTAAGATTTTGGTAAAGCGTGTACAGGGAGTCCTTGAGTCAAAATCACCCATCAGATGAGCACCGTGTCTCCCAGATGATATTCAGATATCAGGGAATCAGCCCCCAATATTTCAACATAGATTCTTTTCTATTTTCCCTAAGTGTTGGCCAGTCTGAGAAATAAAAGGAAAGAGTACAAAAGAGGGAAATTTTAAAGCTGGGTGTCCAGGGGAGACATCACATGTTGGCAGGTTCCATGATGCCCCCGAGCCGCAAAACCAGCAAGTTTTTATTAGTGATTTTCCAAGGGGAGGGGTGTACTAATCGGGTGTATGTCACAGAGATCACATGCTTCAAAGGCAATAAAATATCACAAGGCAAATTGGCAGGACAAGGCCAAGGCAAAAATAGAATTGCTGATGAAGTTTCATGTCCCACTGTGCAAGCATTGTCATTGATAAACATCTTTACAGGAAACACTGTTCAAGAGCAGAGAACTGGTCTGACTAGAATTCACCAGGCTGGAATTTCCTAATCCTAGCAAGCCTCGGGGCGCTGCAGGAGACCAGGGCGTGTTTCATCCCTATCTACAACTGCATAAGGCAGACACTCCCAAAGCGGCCATTTTAGAGGCCTCCCCCGGGAATGCATTCTTTTCCCAAGGCTGTTAATTATTAATATTCCTTACTGGGGAAAGAATTCAGTGATATTTCTCTTACCTGTTTTTGGCAATAAGAGAAATATGACTCTGTCCTGCCTGGCTCCCAGGCAGTCAGACCTAATGGTTATCTCCCTTGTTCCCTGAACATCGCTGTTATCCTGATCTTTTTTCAAGGTGCCCAAATTTCATATTGTTCAAACACACATGCTTTAGGAACAATTTGTGCAGTTAATGCAATCATCACAGGGTCCTGAGGCAACATACATCCTCAGCTTATGAAGATGATGGGATTAAGAGATTAAAATAAAGACAAGCATAGGAAATTATAAGAGTGTTGATTGGGGAAGTGATAAATGTCCATGAAATTGTCACAATTTATGTTCTTCTGCTGTGGCTTCAGCTGGTCCCTCCGTTCGGGGTCCCTGACTTCCTGCAACATTCAGACCTTAATATTTCTGCCATGGTCACTCATTGACTGGAAGGAGCTCCTGGGAAGTGTGGCCTCACTCAAACACAAGAATGCATTTCTGAACATGGCAGCTACAGTTATCAGTCACTATATACCTCACAGTCAGATCTGAGAGGCACATTTACATGACCCACACAGAAACTCAGATGGGCTTAGTATAAATCTTACAATATAAAGGACTTGGGCCTTGCCTCTAGCCTGGGAGACTACAAGCCTAGGAGTAAAGCCTCAAGTCCAAAACAGCACCTGGGTGGTAGAGTACCAATGACAAAGAAAGAGGTTAAGCTAGAGAGGCCTAGTTTGGTATAGTAGAGCATCCACAAAGCTGGCTAGGAATGAGTTAGGGACCCATAGGATTTTGGTGTCAATGTAAGTATGACACCAAATGACCCTGTGAACATACACAATAGCAGAAACCACTGATATTAGTCAACAATGCCAGTACACAATGTCTGAAAATCCAGTGGCACTAATCACATCTTAGTTGATATCAGAGCTCATCACCCAATGTTCAGCTAAGAAGAGAAGCTACACCACAACAAAGGTCAGTGCAGACAGGACACACCTCAATACTTGCAATGGTAGATACTCCATTAAGTGTTAGAGATAAGTAATTAAGGATAGATGCAGATACAGATACCTGAATGTGGAAGGTAGGGAGGCTAAACAAATGTTCTCATTTGGTGTAGAACTATATTTGTGTGTTTATGGTTTTTCCTCCTTTGACAAAAATGAGTTTTATACAATTGTTAGATGAGAATTTGATCCCATAATGTTTGGGAGGCTATTGTTAATCAGTGTCACATATGCAGTTAAACCTTCAGAGTACTAAGATAATTATGTTCATCTTAATTTCATTAATCAACAAACAGGGAATTTATTGCAATATTTATTTGTTTTTTCTTTTTTAATTTTATTTTAAGTTCAGGGGTACATTCTTTCTTATACTATATATGTTTTTAATTAGCTTGACGCTAATATAACTGAATTGTTTGTAAGTTGCTAATAGTAAACAGGTTTGATTTCAAGGAAAAAATCTATTTCAATAAGAGTTGACTCAAGTGTTTTCAGAAGAAGCTCAGTCTTAGCTCTATTTAAACATGATAGTTTTCATCAACTGGGGAAGGATTCTGACGTTTCAGGAACTAGTATGACAACAGAAATGAATGGGAAATAGAGTGTCAGGGCTCTCTCTGGGAAACAGAGCTAGGAAGAAGTCAAGCCAGCATGCCCAACTGTAAGCATGTGTTTCCATGGGCCTCACCATTCTGGTGAGAACAAATGAGCCCAAAGAAAACTTCACTTCTCCTGGTTCTATGCTATCCACAATTTTGGGGCCTCCATTGTCTCCCATTCAAAGCACTGTTTCTTCTGGTAAGATTATGTCTTCTAAGATAAGCACTAATTCCTCAATTGTTATATGATACTAGTCAGTATCAGCCACCCTCTTCCTTACATGGAAGTGCTTTGCTTAATGCTCCTAATAAAAGTGGAGTGGCAGCTTCCACTCCTGCCTCCCCACCTTAGTTCCAAGGAGAAGCATAATGCTTCCACTTGAGCTCTGTTTCTCCTCTCCTCCTCATTCACATTATAAAAAAACAACATTTATGTTGATTCTTGAAGAAAAGAATGTTAAGAATCTGTCTCTGCTAAAGCCACTGTTGCCTAGCATTGAGAGCTTGACTCTGCCTGAGCAGAGGCTTGAGCGGGTCCCAATGCAGTGAAACAGCAGTTTGTTCCTTAAAGAAGCTGTGCATTCATTGTTCTCTCCAGACATTGGAGAATTATGTGGTACTCACTAGAACATGGGCCCCAGGATGGTCTGAACTGTGTTAACTATTCCCACAGGAACTTCCATAAAGCAGTGTTTTTTATTTTTATTATCTCTCCTTTCTTCTTAGGACTCAGGACTATCTGAGTGGCAGGTACCACCTTAAGCTCAATTGTTTCTCTCTCAAATTCATGGCAAACTCCTCACATCAGGGTGTATCTGTAGCTTCCCTTCCTTGGGGACGAGTTTTCTGCAGGTAGAAGCCTCTGAGCTCAGGCTTCCTGCATGGAACCCCCACACATGCCCCTGTGTTCCTGAGACTAAGTGTAAACATGAGCTCCAGATGGAAGTCTGCTCCAATTCCTTTATCCTTTCATTTGAACACATTTAGTGGGGTTCCTCTCTAATAAATACTAAACTGTGTACAATATAAGAAAAAATGAGTGATTTCTTGCCTTCAAGAAATCTATGATCTTATCACACTGAAGAGCCCTGAGCATAAATGATTTCTGATCATGTGCAATGGGAGATCAGAGGAAGAAAAGATAATTTTCCATTAGAGACATCTGAGGAGATTTGTGAAAAATTTGACATTCAGGGCAGGCCATGAAAGATAGGTAGAGTTTGGATAAATTGCAACATTGTTGATGTCACCATCATCATAACTTTTCTCAAAAATATTTGTCCATGTTTAACATGGAGAAGAAGAAAGCCATGTGGGGGTATGACAGTGTTCTTTAAATATTTGAAGAGTTGTCAACATTATAGAAGGATTCGACTTCTTTGTAGCTGGAAAGAATGGAAAAACATCACTGGATGGGAGATATATGAAGACAGGATTCAAAAAGAACTTTTTTTAAAATCATATCTACTGTTTTTTAAAAGGCTGCCTTGGGAACTACCTTATTAAGCACATGCGACTTATTTAGGATATCACAGAGCAGTGGTTCTCAAAATGGGGTTTCGAGACCCAAAGGTCCCTGAGACGTTTTCAGGGCATCCAGGAGGTAAAATCAAATATAATAATAATATTGTAGTAGGCAGAATGATGCCCCTCACTCTAATGATTCCAGTTTCAATAATAAGTGAATATATTATAATACATTACATGGCAAGGGGAATTCAGCTTGTTAATCATCTGACTTTAAGATGGATTGTACAGGTGGGCCAATGTAATCATGAAGGTCCTTAAAAGTGAAAGAGGGAAGAGGGAAGGCGAGAGATGGTGGTATAAGAAGGATTGGGCCCAACGTTGCTGGCTTTGAAGATGCACAAAGGGATCATAAACCAAGGAATATTGAAGCCCTTTTGAAGCTGCAAAAAAAAACAGGAAAACTGATTCTCCCCAAGTCAACAGAAGAAAACAGCCCTACCAAAACCTTTATTTTAGCTCAGTGAGACCAGTTTCATATTTCTGACCTCTAGAACTGTAAGATAATAAATTTGTGTTGTTTTTAAGCCACTTTGTGGTAATTTGTTGCAGCAGCAACAGAAAACTAATACAAATACTAAAATGTTAATCTGGCTTTTTCACTCTCGTTTTCTCAGGAGTGTACAATGGGATTTTACAGGGGCTATTTGAATGCGGTAATACACCAGACTGAATTCAGAAGCAGATGTAAGAATCCAGCTGTCTTTCATTAAAAAGACATTAAAACGTTTTGTAAATATGTAAAACAGTACCACTCCTCTAACAAATTTTTGAAAAACATAGTTATTTCCTATTAAAAATATTATTTATATTGACATGTGATGGGTCTAGAATTAAAATTCTAATATGGTAAATCTTCATAGTTGTAACCCACATAAACAAAAGCTCTTTGGGGATTTCAATAATTTTTAAGTGTATAAAGAGGATACTGAAGCCAAAGAAGTGAGAACTACTATTATAATAGGAACGCCTAATTTTGATGGATAATTGTGTCCTTTCTATTTCCAGGATTATAAAATTATACAACAGAGACACAGCACAATGGATTTTCATGTGAAAGATGAACAGGAAACGTCATAAATAAAAGTGTCATGTTGACACAAGAAGACTAGAGAGATGCACCACATGCATAATTCTGAAAGGATATTGGGGTTTGATGGGACCATGGGAAGCCCCAGCACCAAGTTGTTTGAAATGAACAGTTGAGAGGTGAATGAACTGCAAATTACAGGTCACCCTTCTCGTACAAAATATAATCAACATCTTGAAGAAATGTTTTCTTGGGAACATTTAGGAGGTTCTAAAACTTTTATTCAGGAAAACTTAATCTTGAGAGCTGACCATTTATTTTCAATACTTCTTTACTCAGATATAAAAATGAGTGGCCTAGTGTGGAAGATTTCAATATTTCTAAGCCAAAACAGAATTACACTTTAAAACCATTCCAATGGATTGTTAAAGCTGTAGTAATGTGTTACTTGGACACAGACCATTTACAGACTACTGTAATCAGCTGAGCACCAGGAAAAACACAAAAGAAGTTTTTCAGCAGCCTTTAACAACATCCAAGTCACCTCCTGAATGCTTTGCTGCTTAGAAATTTCTTTCACTAGATACCCTAAATCATCTCGCTCAAGTTCAAAGTTCCACAAATCTCTAGGGCGGGGCAAAATGCTACCAGTCTTTTTGCTAAAACATAGCAAGAGTCACCTTTGCTCCAGTGCCCAACAAATTCCTCATCTCCATCTGAAATCACCTCAGCCTAGACCTTATTGTCCATATCGCTATCAGGCTTTTGGTCAAAGCCATTCAACAAGTCTCTAGGAAATTCCAAACTTTCCCATATTTTCATGTCTTCTTCTGAGCCTGCTAGACTGTACCAACTTTGGCCTGTTACCCAGTTTCAAAGTTGCTTCCACATTTTCTGGTATCTTTTCAGCAATACACCACTCTTCTGGTTCCAACTTACTGTATTAGTCCACTTCCATGCTACTAATAAAGACATACCTGAGACTGGAAAATTTACAAAAGAAAGAGTTTTATTGGACTTACAGTTCCATGTGGCTGGGGAGGCCACACAATCATGGTGGAAAGTGAAAGGCACATCTCACAGGGCCGTGGCAAGAGAGAGAATGAGAGCCAAGCAAAACAGTTTCCTCTTATCAAACCATCAGATCTTGTGAGACTTTCTACCAGGAGAACAGTATGGGGGAAACTGCCCCCATGATTTAATTATCTCCTACTGGTGCCTCCCACAACATGTGGGAATTATTGGAGTACAACTAAAGATGAGATTTGGGTGGGGAAAACAAGCCAAACCATATCATATCAAACAAGCCAAACCATATCAAAGTGCTGCTGATTTTTGTATGTTGATATTGTAACCTGCAAAATTCAGATTGATTACTGAATTTGTCACTTCTAACAGTATTTTGTGAAGTCTTTAGGGTTATATATATATATATATGATCATGTTGTGAGCTAATAGAAACAAATTTACCTTTTTTTTTTTTTTTGTAGATGCCTTTTATTCTTTTCCTTGCCTAATTGCTCTGGGTAGAACTTCCAGAACTACTTTGAATAGAAGTTGAAAGTGAAGATTCCTGTTTGTTCATGATTTCAGAGGAAAAGGTTTTAACTTTTCACTAGTAAGTATGATGTTATCGGTAGGTTTGTCACATATGGTCTCTATTGTGTTGAACAAGTCATCCTTCCATATGAATGGGATCAAAATTTGTGGATTTAACCAAACACAGATTGAAATATGTTTTTTAAAAGATGGTTGTATTTATAATGAACATATACATATTTTTTCTTGTTATTGTTCCCTAAACTCTACAGTATAGAGTTTAGGGAATAAACTATTTTTCAGTATAGAGTTTAGGGAATAAAACTATTTACATAGCATTTAAATTGTATTAGATATTATAGGTAATCTAGAAATAATTTAAAGAATAAAAGAGAATGTGCATAGGTAAATGCAAATACAGCACCATTTTATATAAGGGACTTGAGCATCCATGGATTTTGGTAACCTCAGGGTCTCTGGAACCAATCCTCCATGGATACCAAGGGACAACTCTATATTCCTTCTATACTTATTTTGTTGAGAGGTTCTAGTAAAATAATTGTAAACAAATATTGAATTTTCTCAAATGTCTTTTTTTGCATCTGTGGATTTTGTCCTTCATTTTATTAATATGGTGTATCGCATTTATTGATTTATGTATGTTGACTTATCCTTGCATCCCTGGGATTAATCCCATTGATCATGGTGAATGATTTATTACATCTCCCTTTATAGAAGGAATTCAGAGAAAAACTATTTAAATAAGAAGCAGATTATTTTAATAAAGCTATGTTTTAAAATACTGTATTTATTTTAACTAATTTGATCTCTTTTAGAGTTAGTTCAGAAATACTTTTCTTACCAAAGACTTACAAAGCCAAAATTTCTAGAGTTCATTGAAAAGAAGGGTAAAAGCCTCCAGTAAGATGCTTTGGAGAAAAGCCAAGTAAGTGGCCCAAAGAACGCAACCTGTACTCCACTAGAAAATGCCTCCAAGAATGAGGATAGAGCTGGATAGGAAAACGAAAGAGGACTGCCTGGTTTCTTTCTGTAATTTTTTTTTTCTCTTTTAGTGGCTGTTTTCTCCCCTTTGGTCTCAGAAAATCATTGGTTATTTCTGAATCCTCTTTCCCCCCGCCCCTCCAAACTTCTCTCCTTCTCTCTCTTCTCTTCCTCTCCCCTCCCATTCTTTTCCTTTTATCTTCGTTTCCTTCCAGAAGGCATTTCCTTTATTCTCATAAAGGAATATTATGAGAATATTATTTGTACTTTTTTTCACTTTTTTGTTTTTCTATTTTTTTTAGATGGACTCTCGCTCTGTCTGCCACGCTGGAGTGCAGTGGCACGATCTTGGCTCACTGCAAGCTCAGCCTCCCAGGTTCACGCCATTCTCCTGCCTCAGCCTCCCGAGTAGCGGGGACCACAGGTGCCCACTACCATGCCCGGCTAATTTTTTGTATTTTTAGTAGAGACGGGGTTTCACCATGTTAGCCAGGATGGTCTCGATCTCCTGACCTCGTGATCCACCCGCCTTGGCCTCGCAAAGTGCTGGGATTATAGGCGTGAACCACCGCGCCCGGCTTTTTCACTTACTTTTATGCCCTTTTTTTTAATTTGTATTTTTTGAGATGGAGTCTGGCTCTGTCACCTAGGCTAGAGTGCAGTGGCTTGATCTCGGCTCACTGCAACCTTTGCCTCCCCGGTTCAAGCGATTCTCCTGTCTCAGCCTTCTGCGTAGCTGGGATTACAGCCACCCACCACCAAACTCGGCTAATTTTTGTATTTTTAGTAGAGATGGGTTTCACCATGTTAGCCAGGCTGGTCTCAAACTCCTGACCTCAGGTGATCCACTTGCCCCGGCCTCCCAAGGTACTGGGATTACAGGCAAGAGCCATCACGCCTCGGCCTTAGGCGCTTTCATTTTTTTCTTTTCTTTGTCAAATGTCTTTTCTGCATCTGTGGATTTTGTTATTCATTTTATTAATATGGTGTATCACATTTACTGATTTTTGTATGTTGAATTATCCTTGCAAATTTCTATAATTTGGCCAACTGCAATTTTTAATTTAGACCAAAACACTGAAAAAATTTTAAATTGAAAAGGCTTTAAATTGCATAATAGTTCAGAAAAGAAATTGATTTAATTTTTTATTTATTTCTTTGCTTTTTATTTTAATGGTTAAGAACCTAAATGGTAAAAAATTATATATTATACAAGTTCTCTGAGCCAGATAACTAGAATACATAATTAATATGATTTTTAAATTGTACTTTTAGGAAAAAAGACACGTACAACACAAAATGCTAATAGGGAGATATTGAAGGAAACTATATCTGAATTCTAAGAATGTTTTGGTCAATATATACTATGCGAACAAGTCTATTCTAAAGCATCAACATCCAAAGATCACTGCTAAATACACTGGGAAATAAAGATCTCTACAGTTAATATGTCTGCCCTAAAATATCTCCCCATCTCTGCTGTGTGCACATATGCATGTGTAGTGACTTGCTCACTACAGGAATATGTGTCTCTTTGTCAAAATTACATTATAATCCTAAACTTTACACTATCCCTCTCTGTTTAAAAAGGATATTTCCCAACCTTACCTCTCTGAATCTACCCAGTAAAGTACTGAAATTTTTAAAAAGAAGGTGCTTCCTGGCTGGGTAATCCCCAAGTCAAAGAGAATAATGATTAATATAATTTTTCTTGTCCTCAGGGATGAACAGAAAACCAGCACACTGATGTAATACCTGTCTCATAGTTTTTGTAAAAACCAAATCACTGAGGGAAAAAGACACATTAATGAATCTGCCAGTGAGTGCACAAACAGCTGTAGGAAAAATTATCACAGGTGCCAATATGAAGAGACAGGATAATTTGAGTAGGTAAGTAGTTTTTTTGTTTGTTTGTTTTTGAGATGGAGTCTCACTCTGTCACTCATACGGGAGTGCACTGGCACTATCTCGGCTCACTGCAACCTCCACCTTCCAGGTTCAAGCAACTCTCCTGCCTCAGCCTCCTGAGTAAGCTGGGACTACAGGCACAAGCCACCATGCCCTGCTAATTTTTGTATTTTTAGTAGAGACAGGGTTTCGCGATGTTGGCCAGGCTGGTCTCGAACCCCTGATCTCAGGTGTTCCACCCACCTCCGCCTCCCAAAGTTCTGGGATTACAGGTGTGAGCCAACTCACCCGGCCAGGAAGTAGTCTTTTTAAAGATAAAATATCAAAGTCTCTTGAGTTCGCAAATATATAACAATATATTCTTTTTTCTAATCATTTAAAATCATTTAAATTATTAAAGCTAAAGCATAGTATCATAAGTAAAACAGAGAACAAAGCTCTATTTAAAGTTGTTCTGACCCTGGGTCTCAGGATAAATTCATACTTTTAAAGCCCATGAAATATTTGAGAATTTCTGTTTTACTCTTTTTCTTTTCTTTCTTTTTTTTTTTTTTTTAGACGGAGTCTGGCTCGTTGCCCAGGCTGGAGTGCAGTGGCGCAATCTCGGCTCACTGCAAGCTCCACCTCCCGGGTTCACGCCATTCTCCTGCCTCAGCCTCCCGAGTAGCTGGGACTACAGGCGCCCGCCACCACGCCTGGCTAATTTTTTGTATTTTTTTAGTAGAGACAGGGTTTCACCGCGTTAGCCAGGATGGTCTCGATCTCCTGACCTCGTGATCCGCCTGCCTTGGCTTCCCAAAGTGCTGGAATTACAAGCATGAGCCACCGTACCCAGCCTACTGTCTTTTTCTATAAATATAAATCATCATGCTACTAATATACCTAGGTTAGTCCGGGTAAGCTCAGTTGACCCAAGGCCTGCGATAAGGAGCCTTGTGTTGTAAAAGATTGGATTTGAGCCCTTTGAGGCCAGATTGCTCTTCTCTGTCCTTGCCACAGTCTGTACCATTTCCTGATACCAAAGTCAATATTCTTTTCAAAGCCTAATGATTCTGCTTTATTAACTTTGAAGGGAAAAGGGCCAAATGAGGATGAGCACTTAGCTTTTAAGAGAGTCACTGCAATCATCTTTATTAAAATTTAAACTGTAACCACCTTTATTAAAATTTGATTCCATTAGCCATTTATTGAGATTATGCCTTTTCTCTGAATAACCCAGGAACTATGAAAATGAGCTCCAGAAATGAAACACAAATTCAGTTAAAAACACAACAGAGGACAAGACAGGTGAAAATCCCAGAAAATGGAAAGGGGACTCAACAGTGGAATAGCAGCTTATTGTCCACAAGACACCATATACCCAGGATTAAAGGAATTCTGCAGCTCTGTCAAGTTTCTTCTCTGACATAAGACTCTGGATCCCAGAATAAAGTCTTCAGGGAGCCTTGTCCTTAGGATTTTAGGAATGGTACTCCTAGTATGCAGGAAATATATTCTGTTGTTTGGCAGATTAGGGTAGTTCTACACCCAGGGAGTACCAATAATTTTTTAAAAAATCTCTAAACAGTAAAATGACACTACATAGGGGACATTGCAGCAGAGACTCCTGGCAGTTCCCCAGTCTAGTCTCTTTCTACTGAAGTTTTATATTCCTATTTTTAACTTGGCAAATGACTATACTTAAAAATGACTACAGTTTTCAGCTACTCTTCTTTCTACCTAGGGAGGGAAATGCAGCAAAACATTTTGGTAAAATTCAACAATGTGAGGAAAAAAAGAATTCTCAGTAATTAAAAGTAGACATGAACTTCCTTAATCTGGTAAATGGTAGCCGCAAAAAATATTTAGAATCCTACAAGAAGCATTATAATTAGTATTAAAAATTTTGAATCTTTCTCTTTGAGATGAGGAATGAGAAAAGAATTTATGTTGTCACCACTTCTAACCAACATTGCATTGGAAGGCCTAATGAGCACTATGCAATAAAAAATTTAAAAAGAAAACAAATTGGAAGGAAAGAAACCAAAACTGCCATTATTAACAGATAATATGATGATGTGCACAGAAAATCCAAAGACGGTAGTAATAGAGTTGATCAAAGTCCCAGAATGAAAAATCAATATACAAAATAAACTATTTCACACAACACAATCAAACAGAAAATGAAACCTTTAAATTACCATTTGTAAACATATGAACAAATATAAAGTGCTTAGAATAAACCTGACAAAAGATATACGAGACTTTTACAGAGTAAATTATAAAAGGTTTCTTATTAAAAATATTAAAATAGTATTAAATAAATGGAGAGATATAATTTGTTTATGGAAAGGAAGAGTCAATATTATAAAGGGATAAATTTCCTTCAAATTGATTTATAAATTCAATGCAATCTTAATCCAAATACCAACCACTTTGTGTGTGTGTGTGTGTGTGTTTGTGTATGTGTGTCATTTCAAAAGTTGTTTCCAAAAATATGTATGAGAATGCAAACGGCACTTCAAAATAAGGACAAAGGTGAAAAAATTTGAATTACCGTACAGCAAGATGTATTACAAAACTGTGATATTCAAGACAATGTTTATTAACAAAATACAGACAAAAAGATTAACAGAACAGAATAGATATCCAGAAACTGTGCCTTGCGCGTATTATTTATACTAAAAGTGGCACTTCAGAGAATGGGGGAAGACAGAATTTTTTGTAATTTAATAGAGTTTTTTTCTTAGCAGTTTTAGGTTTACACAAAAACTGAACAGAAAATACAGAGTTCCTACATGCTATTTCATCCAATCCCTGGTTTCCTCCATTATTTATATCTTGCAATTATAACATTTCTTACAATGCTGAGCTAATATTGATAGATTATTATTAACTGAAGTCTATAGTTTATATCAGGATTCAATCTTTTGTGTTATACATCCTGTAAGTTTTGACAAATATATAATGATACGTGTTCATCATTACCATATTATTCTGAACAATTTCATTGCCCTGTGCTCTACCTATCATCCTTCCCTCTTTTCCGCTCACAACCACTGGAAACCTCTGGTCTTTTTACTAAAAGGCACATCTTTAAATAAACGGTCTCAAGATGCTTAGTTACTCATAAGTAAAAAAAAAATTTTAATTCAAAGCTTTTCTCATATCAAACACAAAATCAGTGACAAATGAATTAAAGGTCTAAATGTATAAGACAAAACTGTATGTTTAAAAATGAATGTAAGAGAATATCTTCATGACTTTGTGGTACAGGTGTATTTCATAAACACAATACCAAAGTACCAACCATAGGAAAATATTGTTAATTAAAATCAAAACTACTGTTTATCAAATGACATTATTAAAAAAGTGAAAAGATAAGTCAGCAACCAGGGGAAGAAAAATATTTCCAGCAACATAACTAACAAAGAACTACCAATACGTTAACAAGATATAAAGGACTATAAATCTGTTGCAAAGATGGTAAAACCAGTATTTAACTCCAAGAGTTCAATCAGGTTCTCATGCTAAATATTAGAGAAAAATCCCCTCTTACTTCAGGCAGTGAGAGAAGAAAAAGAATCATTTTCAAATACACAAAAGCACTCTGTTTAACATGGTCTGCTCCTAGTAAAAACTCCTTAACCAGAGAATAACCTATCAAGGCATTGTAAGAGTCCAGGAAGAGAAATACCCAACTTCACTCAGCTCTAGTCTTCCACATAAGAGAAGGGCAATACCCAAATACAGCCTACTCCAAGGAGAGAGAAAAAACTGAGAAACACTTATGAAGTCTACAGTCTAGAGGAATAGTCTCTCTAAAATTTGAGACCTAATCACAGGACTAGTGAATGCTTCCCCTCTCCCACACCTCACCACCCCATTACTAAAGACTTCTTTACAGCAATTTCTTTTACCAAAAATCACAATTTGAAAAGAGCAAGCAGCAGAACCAGACATGGCAGGGATGCTGTAATTATCGGAATGAGAATTTAAAATAATTGTGATTAATATGCTGAAGGACTAATGTTTAAACAGAAGAAGAGAAGAGCAATGTAGGCAGAAAGATTAAGTGTTAAGAAAAAACTAAAGGAATACTATAAAGTACTATAACAGAAATGAAAAAGTGCCTTTGATGGACTAATTAGTAGACAGAGCACAGCTGAGGAAACAATCTCTAATCTTGAGGATATTTTAATAGAAACCTCTAAAACCGAAAAGCAGAGAGCAAACAGTAAAGGAAAACAAAGCAAAACAAAAAACAGAAGACCTACAGACTGTGGGATAACTACAAAAGACATGAAACACAAGCAATGAAAAGATCAAAGGAAAAGAGAGAGAAACAGAAGATGAAACAATAATAACAATTGCTTCCAAATTAATGTCAGATACTAACGCACAAATCCAGGAACCCCAGAGAACACCAAGCAGGTTAACAAAAACAAACAAACTAACAAAACACCCACAAAAAACATACCAGAATGAGAATTTAAAATTAATTGTGATTAATATGTTAAAATCTCCAATAGTTAAAGTAAACAGAAGAGATGGACACTTTAAGCAGAAAGATTAAAATTTTAAGGAAGAAAAACTAGAAATAGTAGTACTATAAAAGAAATTAAAAATTCCTTCAATAGGCTCATTAGTAGACTAGGCATGACTGAAGAAACAATCTCATATAATTTTCAAACTACATTAAATCAAGGATAAAGAAAAGATTCTAAAAGAAGCCAGAAGAAAGAAAACACCTTATTTATCAAGGAGAAAAGATAAGAATCATATTCAACTTCTCCTCAGAAACCATGCAAGCAAGGAGAGTGAAGTAAAATATTTAAAGTGTTAAGAGAAAAAAAAAACACCAACCGAGAATTCTATACCGCGAAAAGTTATCCTTCAAATGTTAAGGAAAAAAATACATTATTAGACAAATGACAATTGAAGAAATTGTTGCCAGTAGAACTGCCTTGCAAGAAATTTAACAGAAGTTCTTTAGAGAGAAGAAACAAAATATGTCAGAAACACAGGTTGATCATTTTAAAAGAGAATTAAAGAAGGAAGAAGTGGAGGTCAAATAAAAAACTTCTATTTCTTATCCTAAATCAATCTAACATAATAGCTTATACAAAATACTGGCACCAATGTATTCAATTACATATGCTTATGCATATGCATATGGCATATATACACTTATGTACACATATATATACACACACACTTATGTATGCATAAATGTAACTGAAATGAATGAAAGTAATGATACCAAGGATGAGAGGTAGAAATTAAAATTATTTTATTGTTATAAGTTATACTATTTATAAAGTGGTATAATGTTATTTGAAAGGGGACTTGGATTAGTTATAAATGTATATTGCAAACCATAGGCCAACAAGCAAGGAAGTAAAAAACAAGATATAACTAACACATTGAGAAAGGACAGAAAAAATAAACATATAAAGTGCTAAATGACAATCAGAAAAAGAGTAGAAGACAAAAATAAGAGAATATAGGGACTGTTGGAAGGGCATGATTGTGTTTTGAAATGTGAGGACATGAGATTTCGGAGGGGCCAGGTGTGGAATGATATGGTTTGGCTGTGTCCCCACCCAAGTCTTATCTTGAATTGTAGTTCCCATAATACCCACGTGTCATGAGAGGAACCCAGTGGGAGGTGATTGAATCATGGGGTTGGTTTCCCCAGGCTATTCTCATGATAGTGAATAAGTATTCATGAGATCTGATGGTTTTATAAGGGGCTTCCCCCTTTGCTCAGCTCTCATTCTTCTCTTTTGCTGATCTGTGAAGAAGGATGTGTTTCCTTCTCTTTCTGCCATGATTGTAAGTTTTCTGAGACCTCCCCAGCCATGCTGAACTGTGAGTCAATTAAACCTCTTTCCTTTGTGAATTACCCAGTCTTGGGTATGTCCTTGCAGCAGTGTGAGAACAGACTAATACATGTATACATTATTTCACCTAACAACATCAGAATACACATTCTTCTCAAGCTCACATTTACCAAGATAGACCACATTCTGGGCCATAAAATGCACTTTAACAAATTTAGCATAATAAAAATCTAACAATGTCTACTCTCAGATAACAATGGAATTTAACTAGAAATTAGTAACAGCAGGAAAACTGGAAATCCCAAAATGCATGGAGATTAAACAAAACACTTCTACATAACATTTGATCCAAAAAAAATCTCAAGTGAAATTTTAAAAATTTTGAATTAAACATAAATGAAAGCACAACATATCAAAATGAATGGAAGGCAGTGCTTACAGAGAAATTTATAGCATTAAACGCCTATGTTAGAAAATTTAGAAAAAATAAGATTTAAAATCAATTATCTAAAGTTTCCACCTTAAGAAACTAGGAAAGAAGAGCAAATGAAATCCAAAGTAACCACAAGAAAACAAATAATAGGAATTAGAGCAGAAATCAATCAAATTGAAAACAGGAAATCAGTGAAGAAAATAAAACTAAAAGCGGAAAATATCAATAAAAGCTATAAGTCTCTAGGCAGGGCTAACCAAGAAATAAAAAAAAAAGGTTACAAATTACTAATATCAGAAATAAAAGAGCTGATATCACTGAAGATCCCATGGACATTAAAATGATAAAGGAATACTATGAACAACTTTAGTCCCCCAAATTTGATAACCTAGATGAAATGAACTAACTTTGAAAGATACAGACTTTTAAAATTTACACAAGAAATAGATAATCTGAATAGGCCTACGTCTACAGAAGAAATTAAATCAATAATTAATAGCCTCCCAAAATAGAAAGCCATAGGCCCAGATGCATTCACTGGTGAATGCTACCAAATATTTAAGGAAGAAATTATACCAATTCTTTATAATCTCCTTCAAAAGACAGAAGCAAGTGGTAAATCATTGTATGAGTTACCAAAACCAGATAGACATTACAAGAAGAGGAAACTATAGACCAATATCTCTCATGAACATACGTGCAAAAATCCTCAATAAAATATCAGCAAATTGAATCAAGGAATGCATAAAAATTATACACCACAACTCAGTGGAATTTATCCCAGGTATACAAGGCTGGTTCAACATTCAAACATCAATTAATGTAAAACATATCAATAGCTAAAGAAGAAAAATTGTGTGCTCATTTTAATGGATGCAGAAGAAGGATTTGACAAAATCGAACACCTATTTATGATAAAAACTGTTAGTAAACTAAAAATAGAGGGAGAACTTTGTCAACCCGATAAAAAGTATCTACAAAACACCTACAGCCAACACCATGCTTAATGGTGAGAAATTTGAAGCTTTCCCACTAAGATTAGGTACAGACAATGATGTTCCCCCTAATTACTCCTTTTCAACATTATCCCAGAAATTCTAGCTAAAGCAATAAAACAAGAAAAGAAACTGAAAGGTATGCAGATTGAGGAGGAAGAAATACAACTTTGTGCACAGATAACATGATTTTCTAAGTAAAAAATCTAAAGAAAACAACAAAAAAACTTAACTAATCAACCATTATAGCAAGGTTTTAGAATACTAGATTAATATGCAAATGTCAATAACTTCTCTATATAACAGCATTGAACAATTGAAATTTAAAATAAAAAACACACTACCATGTACATTAGCATGGCAAAATAAAAAATACTTAGCTAAAAATCAAACAAAACACATACAATATCTATATGAAGGAAACTACAAAATTATGATGAAAGAAATCAAGCAAAAATATAAACAGGTATTCCATGTTTATTATGGATAGGAAGATTCAATGTTGTCAAGATAGAAGTTCTTCCCAACTTAGTTTATAGATTTAATACAATCCCAATTAACATCTCAGCAGGTTGTTTTGTGGGTACTGACAAACCAATTCTAAAGTTTATATGAAAAGGCAGAAGACCCAGAATAGCCAATGGAGAGAGGAGAGGCTTCATGAAGACAGCTGACTAGTGGCATCTTGTACTGCCCATTTCCACAATGAAAAGAAACAAAATAGTAAGTAGATAATCACACTTCAAATATATCATCTAAGAGAGAACACTGGAATTCTACAGAGAAGTGACAGGAAACTCCTAAGTAAGTAAGGAGTGGAAAGCTAGACAGCCTGCTCAGTGAGTACAAGCTGAGAGCCTGGATGAGCTCCCTAATGCAGGGAAGTGATAAGTGAGTGACCCTCAGCAATCATCCAAGCCACAGGAAATCCTCTAGCCTCTCATGGGGCCCAATACTGATACAGAGAGCTGCCTGGAGATTGCACAAAAACATTTATTCAAAGAAGGAGCTCACACTGGGTCCCATATACTTCTTGAGCACTATACAGCTACAGCAAGGTGCCAGATTGAGAGCCCACCCTCCACCAGACTACTTCCTGCCTAGGGGCCCACAACAGCCTCTGCAGCTCCACATCCCTGGAGCCCAATAAACATTCCCACAGCCACTGCTACAGCTGCCTGCCACCTCTAGGGCTAAAGTGTGAACCATTAGCAAAGACCCTGCTGCCCCCAGCAGCAAAGTCACTACATCATTTCAAGCACACTAAGGACAGAGTTCTCCACCCACAGCAGCCACAACAGCAAGCTGCCACAACTGGGGCTGAAGCACAAGCAAAGTGAATGTTCTTCAGTCACCTGCATATAACTGCTGCCATTGAAAGATACCCCACCCTCCCCAGTAGCAAGGCTGCTGTGCAGCCACTGCTACTCCCACCCAAGCATTCTACCTTGGGCCTGGAGAATGTCCTGCTCCTGCTTCCACAGCCAGCACCCGCCAGCACCAACCGGAGGCTTGAGGACAGGTTCACCTGGCCCAGCTCTTTCCCCTACCCAACAAGCTATATGGGGGCCTGGGAACTATCCAGCCAAGCCCTTTACTGCTGGCACCTGAGCACTCTTCCTGGGGCCTGTAGGAACCACCAAACCAGGTGTTACCACCACAGGAGGTACCCATTAAAATGTACCACCTGTGAGCCGGATGACTGTCCCACCCAAGTATGTTGCAGCCACTGGCAACACCAGCACAGACCACTGGGACCCAAAAGTTAATTCTATCACTACTATAGTCATTACCCATTCCGGATCCACTGCCCAGGGACCCAGAAACCCACCAACTTCCTCAGCCTATCTCTCTGCCACTACCAGCCACCTGAGCAAATTGCCCAGAAGCTCAAATATAAGTCCCCCTGGACCCATTAACACCTGTGCATGTATACACTGCTATGGGTCCCTAACACAGCCATGCATGGCTCACCACTACCATACTGGGGCCCAAGGACAGGCCCACCTGTCATCTCCATCTCCAGCAAAAGTTCAATACGGCTTCTACTAAAAACAGCACACTAAGACACTGAGGAAACCACAGACACCACCAGTGCTCTTTACAGCCAAATAAAGCATACGAAATAATGCCTGTACTACTGAATGCACCCAAAACCACAGCGAAAGTACCCTACCCAACCAACATGATAGATACCTTTTCAGCAAAAAGACCTCTCCCACAAAAGCAAATTCAAAACAACTGTTACACCACATATGCAGATATCAACATAAGGACATCAGAGATATGAAAAAAAAAAAAAAAAAAAACAAAGAAAAATGACACTTACCAAAAAATATTCTCCAGTAATACATTCCAATAAAAAAATAAAATCCCAAATAAATAATTCAAAGTAATGATATTAAAGAAATTCAATAAAACACAACAGAAAACAGAAAAACAATACCAATAAATCAGAAAAACAATTTAGGGAGGATATACATCATAAAAAGAACCAAACAAATCCTGGAACTAAAAATTTCATTAAATGAAATAGAGAATACATAGGAAAGTTTCAACAATGATCTAGATCAAGCAAAAGATATAATTTCAGGATGTGAAGACAGGTATATTGAAACAACTCAGACAAAATTAAATAAAAGACTAAATGGGAAAGAGCAAAGCCTATATGACATATGGGACACCATAACACAACCATACGTTTAAATTTTCAGTGTCCCAGAAAGTAAAGAGAAAAATAAAAGACTTATAAAGCCTATTTAACAAAATAATATTTAAAAAATGCTCAAATCTAGCAAAAGATTTAGGCATTCAGATACAAGAATATCAGAGATTCTCAAACAGATACAATGAAATTATATCTTCTCCATGGTACATTATAGTCAAGCTATCAAAAGTCAAAGACAAATATAGAATTCTAAAAACTGCAAAATAAAAGTGTCTGGTCACTTATACAGAAACCTCCATCAGACTTTTAGAGTGGATTTCTCAGCAGAAACCTTACAGGCCAGAAGAGACTGAAATAATATATTCAAAGTACTGGAAGAAAAACTTGCCAGCTAAAGATACTGTATTTGTCCATTTTCACACTGCTATAAAGAACAACCTGAGACTGGGTAATTTAAAACAAAAGAGGTTTAATTGATGCACAGTTCAGCATAGCTGGGAAGACCTCAAGAAACTTATAATCATGGTGGAAGGTGAAGGGGAAGCAAGGTATATCTTCTCATAGTGGCAGGAGAGAGAGAGTGCAAGGGAGGAACTGCCAAACACGTTTAAACCATCAGATTTCATGAGAACTAATTCACTGTCACTAGAACAGCATGGGGGAAACCACCCCTGTGATCCAATCACCTCCTCCTAGGTCCCTTCTCTGATACATGGGGATTACAATTCGAGATAAGATTTGGGTGGGGACACAGAGCCAAGCCATATCATTTCACCCATGGCCTCTCCCAAATCTCATGTCTTTTTTACATTTCAAACCAATCATGCCTTCTCAACAGCCCCCAAAAGTCTTAACTCATTCTAGCATTAACTCAAAAGTCTAAATCCAAAGTCTCATCTGAGACAAGGCAAAGTCCTTTCTGCCTATGAGCCTGTAAAATCTAAAACAAGTTAGTTACTTCCAAGATACAGTGGAAGTACAGGCATTGGGTAAATGTTTCTAAATAGGAGAAATTGGACAAAACAAAGGGGCCACAAGCCCCATGCAAGCCTAAAACCTGGCAGGCACTTATTTAGTCTTAAAGCTCTAAAATAATCTTCTTTGACTCCATGTCTCACATCCAGAGCATGCTGATGCAAGAGGTGGGTTCCCACGGCCTTGGGCAGCTCCATCTCTGTGGTTCTACAGGGTACAGTGTTTCTGGCTGCTTTCACGAGCTGGTACTGAGTGTCTGGGGCTTCTCCAGGTGCATTGTGCAAGCTATCAGTGGATTAACCATTCTGGGGTCTGAAGGATGGTGATGCTTTTCTCTCAGCTCCACTAGGCAGTGCCCCAGTAGGTCTCTGTGTAGGGGCTCCAATCCCACATTTCCCCTTTGCATTGCTCTAGTAGAGGTTCTCCATGAGGGCTCTGCCCCTGCAGCAGATGTCTGCCTGTACATCCAGATGTTTTCATACATCTTCTAAAATCTAGGTGGAGCTCTCAAAGCTCAACTATTGTCTTCTTTGCACCTGCAGGCCTGACACCATGTGGAAGTTGTCAAGGCTTGGGCTTGCACCCTCTGAAGCTACAGCCTAAGCTTCACCTTGGCCCCTTACAGCCACAGCTGGAGCTGGAGCAGCTGGGATGCAGGGCACCAAGTCCTAAGACTGCACAGAGCAGTGGGGTTCTGGGCCAGCCCTGCCCATGGAACAATTTTTTCCTCCTAGGCCTCCAAGCCTGTGATGTGAGGGGCTGCTAGGAAGATCTCTGACATTCCCTAGACACATTTTCCTCATTGTCTTGGCTATTAACATTTGGCTCCTTATTACTTAAGCAAATCTCTGTAGCAGGCTGTAGCAGGCTTTAATTTCTTCCCAGGAAATGGGTTTTTCTTTTGTAGCACATGGTTAGGCTGCAAATTTTCCAAACTTTTATGTCCTGCTTCCCTTTAAAACATAAGTTCCCATGTCAGGTCATTTTTTTGTGAACTCATATAACCGTACACTCTCAGAAAAAGGCAGGTTACCTCTTGCATGCTTTGCTGCTTAGAAATTAATTCTGCTAGATACCCTAAATCATCTCTCTCAAGTTCAAAGTTTCACAGATCTCCAGGGCAGGGGCATAATACCACCAGTCTCTTTGCTAAAGCATAAGAAGAGTCCCCTTTGCTCCACTTCCTTATAAGTTCCCCATCTTTATCTGAGACCAACTCAGCGTGGACTTCATTGTCCATATCACTATCAGCATTTTGGTCAAAACCATTCAACAAGTCTCTAGGAAGTTCCAGACTTTCCCACATCTTCCTGTCTTCTTCTGAGCCCTCCAAACTTTTCCAACCTCTGCCTGTTACTCAGTTCCAAAGTCGCTTCCACATTTTTAGGTATCTTTATAGCAGTGCTCCAATCTCCCAGTATCAATTTTTTGTATTAGTCTGTTTTCACACTGCTATAAAGAATGACTTGAGACTGAGTAATTTATAAAGGAAAGAGGCTTCTTTGACTCAACTCATTGCAGCAGGAGAGATAGAGCACAAGGGAGGAAATGCCAAACACTTTGAAACCATCAGATCTCATGGAAACTCACTATCATCAGAACAGCATGGAGGAAACCACCTCCATGATCCAATCACCTCCCGCCAGGTACCTCTCCTGACATGTGAGAATTACAATTTGAGATGATATTTGGGTGGGGTCATGAAGCCAAATCATATCAGATACGTAGCTGGAAAATATTCTTCATAAATAAAAGAGAAATAAAGTTTTCCCCAGATAAGCAATAGCTAAGGGAATTAATCACCAATAAGCAGTTCTACAAGAAATGCTTAAGTGAATCCTACACCTGGAAGTTAAGGGACAATATCTACAATCATGAAAATGCATGTAAGTATAAAACCCATGGGAAGAGAGCACATAAATAGGAGAGAAAAAAGATTCAACTGTTACCAATACAGAAAAGACCCCAACTACAATGGTAAATAGTAAGAGAAAAACAAGAAATAAAGAATATTGAAAACAATCAAAAAACAGCTAACAATATGATATAAAGAAAGCCTCACATATCAACAATAAACTTGAATGTAAGCAGATTAGACTGTTCACTTAAAAGAAATATAAAGAAACACTGAATAGATTTTTAAAATAAAAAGAAAAGAAAAAGGCTCTAATTATAAGCCGCTCACAAGAAATTCACCTTAGTAGTAAAGACACTTATAGATTGAAAGTAAAATTATAGAAAATGATATTTCAAACAGAAACCAAAAGTGAGCAGAAGTAGCTATACTTTGACAAACTGACTTTAAGTCAAAAACAAGGGAAGTTTGTAGTGATAAATGAATACAGTAGAAAAAGTAGAAAGATTTTAAATAAGAAATCTAGCTATGCATCTCAAGGAACTAGAAGAGCAAGAACAAACCAAACCCAAAGATAGCCAGCAAGGAATTATAAAGATCAGAGTAAAACTAAACAAAACAGAGACTGAAAAACAATACAAGTAATCATTGAAACAAAAAGTTGGATGTTTGAAAAGATAAACAAAATTGATGAACCACTAGCTAAAATAACCAAGAAAAAATGAGAGAAGATACAAACAAAAAAAACTTAGAAATGGAAGAGGAGACATTATAATATAAATACCGAAGATTATCAGAGAACTATTATAAACAACTATAAAATAACAAACTGGAAAGCCTAGAGAATAAATTTCTGCACACATAAAACCTATGTAGAGAAAATCAGGAGGCAATAGAAAATCTAAAAAGACCAATTATGAGTAATGATATTGAATTAGTAATAGGAAAATCTCATCTGCCCAACCCCAAAAAAAGTCCGGGACCCAATGGCTTCACTACGGAATTCTCCCAAACTTTCAAAGAGCATATAACCTCAATTCTCCTCAAACTCTTTTAAAAAATTGAACAGAAGGGAATTCTCTCTAACTCATTCTACAAGGCCAGCATTATCCTGATACCAAAATCAGATAAAGACGCAACACCACCAACAAAACCTACAGGCCAATACCCTGATGAACACAGACACAAGAATCCTTAACATAATGCTAGCAAACCAAATTCAACAGCACATTAATAAACTAAAATACACCATGATCAAGTTGGATTTATCCTAGAAATTCGATGATTGTTCAACGTATGCAGATAAATAAATGTGTTATATTACATCAAAATAATGAAATACAAAAACTATATGATCATCTCAATAGATCAGAAAAATCATTTGATAAAATTCAACATCCCTTTATTATAAAAACTCTCAAAAACTAGGCATTGAAGAAACATACATCAACATAACAAAGGCCATGTATTATTACAAACCCACAGCTAACATCATACTGAATGGGGAAAAGCTGAGAGCCTTTCCTCTAACAATGAAACAAGACAAGAATGCCCACTTTCAAAACTCCTGTTCAACATAGTGCTGGAAGCCCTTTACAGAGCAACCAGGCAAGAAAAAGAAATAGACATTCAAATTGGAAAAGAGGAAACTCTATTTTCTCTTTTTGCAGATAATATGATCTTATATCTAGAAAATTCTAAAGACTTCACAATAAATTATTAGATCTTATCAATGAATTCAGTATATTTGCAGTAAAAGCAACATACAAAAATCAGGAGCATTTCTATACACCAATTATGAACTAGCTGAAAAATAAATTAAGAATGCAATCACATTTACAATTGCTACAAAAAAGATAATAAAATATTTAGGAATAAACTGAATGAAGGAGATAAAAGATCTCTACAAGAAAAACTACAAAACGGAACCAAACAAACGGACAGACATCTCATGTTCATGGATCAGAAGTATTACTATCATGAAAATGACCATACTGCCCAAAGCAATCCACAGATCCAATGCAATCCCTATGAAAGTGCCAATGTCATTTTTTCTCAGAAATAGAAAAAAATTATATCATTCCTATGAAATGAAAAGAGAGCCCCAGTAGCCAAAGCAATCCTGAAAAAAAAAAAAAAAAAGCTGAAGGCATCAAATTACATTACTTCAAAATATATGACAAAGCTATATTAACCAAAATTGCATGATATTTGTTTCAAAACAGACATATAGGCCAGTGGAATGGAATAAGGAACTCAGAAGTAAATCTACATATTTATAGCCAACTGGTTTTCAACAAAGATACCTAGAACATACATTGGAGAAAGGATAATCTCTTCAGTAAGTGGTACTGGAAAAACTGGATATCCATATGCAGAAGAAAGAAACTATATTCATATGTCTCATCATATACAAAAAGCAACCCAAGATAGATTAAAGACTTAAAAATAAGACCTCAAACTATTAAACCACTAGAAAAAAAAAGCATAGGAGGAAAACTTCAGGACATTGGTCTAGGCAAAGATTTTACAGCCAGATCTCAAAAGCACAGGCAACAAAACAAAAATAGACAAATAAGACTATATTAAACTAAGATGCTTCTGCTTAGCAAAGGAAATGATCAACAGAGTGAAGAGATAACCTGTCCAATGGGAGAAAATACTTGAAAACTATTCATCTGACAATGTAGTAGTATTCAGTATATAAAAAGAACTTAAACAACTCAACATTAAAAAAATAGATAATCCTATTAAAAATTGGGCAAAGTAAATGTACAGACATTTCTAGTCAAATGACCCACAGGTATATGAAAAAAAATGTTCAACATCATTAATCCTTAGGGAAATGCAAATCAAAACCATCATGAAATATCATCTTACCCCAATTATAATGCCTATGATAAAAAAGACAAGAGATAACAAGTACTAATGAGAATGTGAAGAAAATGAAATCATTGTACACTGATGTTGGTGGACTTTGTTCACTCTCTTTTATTCTTTTATTAATAAAGTATAAATATATTATATATATAAAGTATATAAATGAAAGTATTAATCAGTACAGATGCTATGGAAAACAGTATGAATATTTCTCAAAAAAAACCCCAAAACAGAAATATCATATAATCCAACAATCCCACTGCTGGGTATTTATCCAAGGGAAAAGAAATTAGTATATCAAAAGGATACCTTCACTATCAAAAGGATACCTTCACCCCAGTGTTTATTGAAACACTCTCCACATTTACAAAGATATTGAATCAACCTCAGTTCCAGAAAATGGATAAATGAATAAAGAATATATGGTACATATACACAATGAAATACTATTTAGCCATGGAAAAGATTGTTACCAAGCCATTTGCAGCAATATGGATAGAACTAGAGGTCATTATGTTAAGTGAAATAAGCCAAGCATAGAAAGACAAATATCTCATGTTCTCACTCTTATGTGGGAGCTAAAAAAGTTGATCTCATAGTTGTAGAGAATAGGATGATAGTTACCAAAAGCTAGGAAGGGTGTATGGGGAGGTGGTGGTAAAGAGAGGTTGGTTAATGGATACAAATATACAGTTAGATGAAAAGAATCTGTTCTAATGTTTGATGGTAACAATGTATTATACATTTCAAAGTAGCTAGAACAGAGGACTTGAAATATACCCAACACATAGAAATAATGAGTGCTTGATTTGGTAGGTCCCTCAG
Source organism: Homo sapiens (assembly GCF_000001405.40). Classification (NCBI taxonomy): domain Eukaryota; kingdom Metazoa; phylum Chordata; class Mammalia; order Primates; family Hominidae; genus Homo; species Homo sapiens. The sequence continues at coordinate 42,344,977 of NC_000005.10, forward strand.
ATACCCTGACTTAATCATTACACAATCTATGCATGTAATAAAATGTCACATGTACCCCATAAATATGTACAAATACTTATATCAATAAAATAAAATAATTATAATAATAATATTAAAGGAGAACAAAGTTGAAAGAGTGATATAATTTGAATTCATGACTTATAAAGATATGAGATAATACTGGTGAAATCATAAATACATCAACGGAAAGCAAAAGAAATCCCAGAAATAGGCATTATATAAATAAGAACTTATTTTTAACAAAGGAGCAAAGGAGCAAACGGCAAATACAATGAGGCAAAGATAGTCTCTTCAACAAATGACTGAAATAACTGGATGTCCACATGCAAACAAAATAAATAAATCTAGACACAGATCTTATACCTTTCACAAAAATTTACTCAAGATAAATTATACACCTAAATGTAAAATGCAAAAATATAAAACTTCTAGGAAATAACAAAGGAGAAAAACTAGAAGACCTTGGATATTGCAATGAGTTTTTAGATACAACACCAAAGGTATAGTCCATGAAAGAAATATTTGATAAGCTGGACTTCATTAAAATTTAAAAAATTCTCTGTAAAAGACACTGTTGAGAGAATGAGAAGACAAGCCATAGACTTGGGGAAAATATTTGCAATAGACACATCTGTTAGAGAACTGTGATCCAAAATGTATGAAGAACTCTTAAATCTCAAGAAAACAAAAGCAACCCAATTCAAAATGGGCCAAAAACCATAAGAGATACATCACCAAAAAATATATAGAAATGGTAAATAAGCCTATTAAAAGATGTCCCACATCATATGTCATCAGAGAAATGCAAATTAAAATAACAATGAGATACCACTACGTATATATCAGAATAGCCAAAATCCAGCACACTGACAACACCAAATTCTGACAAGAATGTGTACCAATAGAAACTCCTCTGTTGCTGGTGGAAATGCAAATTTGCACAGCCAATTTGGAAGATAATTTGGCAATTTCTCACTCAACTAAATAGGATATGACCCAGTAAGAATGCCCCTTCGCATGATTTGAAAGGGGTTTAAAATTATATCTACATAAAAACCTGCACATAGATATTTAAAGCAGCTTTATTTATAATTTCCAAAACTTAGAAACAACCATGATGTCCTTCAGTAGCTGAATGGATAAATGAACTAAGATACATCCAGATAATAGAATATTATTCATCCCTAAAAGGAAATGAGCTGTGAACCCATGAAAAGATGTGGAGGATGCTTAAATATATATTACTAAGTGAAACATTCCAATCTGAAAAGGATATATTACATAGGGTTCCAACTATACGAAAATTTCCAAAGACAAAACAATGAAGACAATTAAAAGCTCAGTGGAGTGGGCAATGGGATAAATAGACAGAGCCCATAGAATTTTTGAGGCCGTGAAAATACTCTGTATAATACTCAAAAAATGGATACATGTCATTACATTTTTGTCCAGTCTGTAGAATGTACAACTCAGAGACTCATCTCTAACGTAAACTATGGACTTTGGGTGACTATGATGTGTCAATCTAGATTGTAAAAAATGTATCAATCTGGTGGAGAATGTTGATAACAGGAAGTCTATGCATGTGTGGGGGCAGGGAATACAAGGAAAATCTGTATCTTTCTATTTTGCTGTGAACCCAAAACACCTCTAAAAAAAGTCTTTTTATAAAGTAAAGAAAGTAATTGAAAAGTAAAAATAAGTAAATAAAGTGCGGAAAATACATAAAATCGCCCCAAGTGCTTTTAAGATGAGGCAAAGTTTGATGTGTAAAAAACACCAATATACTACTGCTATTCTAGTTTTATAAAATGAGTAAAAGAGCGTTTCTTCTTTCCTGTTCTTGGAGCCTCTTTGCATAAAGAGAATACCTGTCCTGTGAATATTTGGTCATGCCTATAAGATCATTTGGGAGTACAAATCCCCACTGATATGGATTGGCTGTGTCCCCACCCAAATCTCATCTTGAATTGTACCTCCCATAATTCCCAAGTGTTGTGGGAGGGACTGGTGGGAGATAATTGAATCATAGTGGTGGTTTCCTCCATAATCTTCTCAGGGTAGTAAATAAGTCTCCCAAGATCTGATGGTTTTATAAGGGAAAATCTCTTTCACTTGATTCTCATTCCTTCTTTGCCTGCTGCCATGCTTTTTGACTTCTGCCATGATTGTGAGGCCTCCCCAGCCACGTGGACCCATGAGTCCATTAAACCTCTTTTTCTTTATAAATTACCCAGCCTGAGGTATGTCTTTATCAGCAGTTTGAAAATGGACTAATACAGTAAATTGGTACCAGTAGAGTGGGTGCTGCTGTAAAGATACCCAAAAATGTGAAGCAACTTTGGAACTGGGTAACAAGCAGAGTATGGAACAGTTTGGAGGGCTCAGGAGAAGACAGAAAAATGTGAGAGTTTAAAACTTCCTAGAAACTTGGAGGGCTCAGAAGACAGGAAGATGTGTGAAAGGTTGGAACTTCCTAGAGACTTGTTGAATGGCTTTGGCCAAAATACTGATAATGATATGGACAATAAAATCCAGGCTGAGGTAGTCTTGGATGGAGATGAGGAACCTGTTGGGAACAGGAGTAAAGGTGACTCTTGCTTTTTTTTAGCAAAAAGACACATAATTTTGCCCCTGCCCTAGAGATTTGTGAAACTTTGAACTTGAGAAAGATGATTTAGGGTATCTGGTGAAAGAAATTTCTAAACAGCAAAGCATTCAAGAGGTGACTTGGGTGCTGTTAAAAAGCATTGATCTTCAAAAGGGAAACAGAGCATAAAAGATTAGAAAATTTGTAGCCTGATGATGCAATAGAAAAGTAAAACCGATTTTCTGAGAAGAAATTCAAGTCAGCTGCAGAAATTTGCATAAGTAATAAGGAACCAAATGTTAATGCCAAGACAGTGGGGAAAATGTCTCCAGGGCATGTCAGAGACCTTTGTGGCAGCCCCTCCCATCACAGGCCCAGAGGCCTAGGAGGAAAAAATAGTTTTATAGGCCGGGCCTAGAAACCCCCTACTTTGTGCAACCTAGGGACTTGGTGCCCTGTGTCCCAGCAACTCTAGCCATGGCTAAAAGGGGCCAAGGTACAGCTCAAGCCAAGGCTTCAAAGGGTGCAAGTCCCAAGCCTTGGCATTTTCCACATGGTGTTGAATGTGTGGGTACACAGAGGAAACTCTGTCTAGATTTCAGAGGATGGAAACATCTGGATGTCCAGGCAAAGCTATGTTTCATAAAGAACCTCTGCTAGGGCAGTGTGGAAGGGAAATGTGGGGTTGAAGCCCCCATGCAGAGTCCCCACTGGGGCAATGCCTTGTGGAGCTGGGAGAAAAGAGCCACCATCCTCCAGACCCCAGAATGGTAGATCCACCAATGGTAGACCCACAGTGCAGCTTGCAATGTGCACCTGGAAAAGCTGCAGACACTCAATGCCAGCCCATGAAGGCAGCCAGGAGGGAAGCTGTACCCTGCCAAAGCACAAGGGTGGAGCTGCTCAAGGCCCTGGGAACCCACCACTTGCATTGGTGTGACCTGGATGTGAGACACGGAGTCAAAGGAGATAATTTTGGAGCTTCACAATTTGACTGCACTGTTGGATTTCAAAATTGCATGGGGCCTTTAGCCCCTTTGTTTTGGCCTATTTCTCCCATTTGGAATGAGTGTATTTCTCCAATTTCTGTATCCCCATTGTATCTAGGAAGTAACTAACTTAATTTTGATTTTACAGCTCATAGGCAGAAGGGACTTGCCTTGTCTCAGATGAGACTTTGGACTGTGGACTTTTGAGTTAATGCTGAAATGAGTTAAGACTTTGAGGGACTGTTGGAAAGGCATGATTAGTATTGAAATGTGAAGACATGATATTTGGGAGAGGTCAGGGGCAGAATGATATGGTTTGCCTGTGTCACCATCTAAATATCATCTTAAATTGTAGCTCCCATAATTCCCATATGTTGCAAGAGAGACCTGGTGGGAGATAATTGAATCATGGGGATGGTTCCCCCATATTGTTCTCATGGTAGTAAATAAGTCTCATGAGATCTGATGGTTTTATAAGGCGAAACCCCTTTCAATTGGTTCTCAGTCCCTCTTTACCTGCCACCATGTAAGATGTGCCTTTTCCCTTCCAACATGATTGTGAGGCCTCCCCAGCCAAGTGGAACTGTGAGTCCATTAAATCTCTTTTTCTTTATAAATTACCCAGTCTCAGGTATGTCTTTATCAGCAGCATGGAAACAGATTAATATACTCACCTTAAAAAATAATGCTGTAATCACATTCTTATGGGCTGGTAGCAGGTTTTCTTTGGAATATATGTGCAGTAGCAGAGATTCTGAGTCATGAGATATTCATACACTTAATATGACTAACTTCTGCCTGCCTACTCTTTGACATGACCACTCCAGCCCACATTTCACCAGCCAGGTATGAGGGCTAGAATAGTTCCCATGGCGCTACCAACACTTGACTGTAAAGGGCTTTCAAAATTTTACTACTCTAACAAAGTTATATCTCTATTGTTTTCACTTGCATTTATTAGACTACTAACAAAATTGAGCCTTCCCTAATATGCCTGTTAGTTTGTCAAGTTTCTCTTTTACAAATTCCTTTATTCATTTTTTTCTTTGGAGTGGCTTTCATATTTGTTATTGTTGATCTGAAGATTGTATATTCATCTTCCAGATATTAATCCCATATTCATTTTGATATTGCAAATATATTCATATTTTCTCATTTCAATATCAATCTATGCCTTTGACTATTTTCCAAACCTTTTTAACAGGAAACCTTGACTTTAATCAAGGTTATCAATCTTTTGCTTTAAATATTGATTAAGAAGTTTTTTTGTCCCAATTCATTAACCACCTTTTCATTTTGTTGATTGTTTCCTTTGCTGTGCAGAAGCTCTTCAGTTTGACGTAGTTCCACTTACTTATTTTTGCTTTTGCTTGCTGTGCTTTTGGTAAAAATACTCAAAAAATCTTCCAAAGGCCAATATCACAGAGGTTTTTTCCTATGTTTCCTTTCAGGGGTTTTACAGTTTCAAGTCTATGTTTAAGTCTGTAACCCATTTTGAGTTGATTTTTGTCTATGATGTAAGAGACCAGTTTCATTCTTCTGTGTGTGGATTTCCAATTTTCCCAACAGCATTTATTAAAGAGCCTGTTCTTTTTCTATAGTGTCTTCTTATCAGCCTTGTAGAAAAGTCAAAAATTAGTTGACTGCATATACTTGAGTTTATTTCTCATCTCTCTAGTGTTCCATTGGATTGTGCATCTGTTTTTATGCCAGTACCATACTGCTTTAATTACTATTGGTTTGTAATATAATTTGAGATCAGAAAGTATGATGCTTTCAACTTTGTTGCTTTTTGTTTCTTAAGTTTGTTTTGGCTACTTGAAGTTTTTTGTGGTTCCATACAAATTTTAGAATTATTTTTTCTATTTCTGTGAAAAATGTCATTGGAATTTTGATAAGTTTTACATCGAATCTGTATATTACTTTGCATAGTACAAACATTTTAACAATATTAATTCTTCCAGTCAAAAAACACAGGATATCTTTCCATTTATTTGTGTCTTCTTAAATTACTTTTATGAATATTTTATAGTTTTCAGTGTACACGTTTTTTACCTCTTTGGTTAAATTTGTTTCTAAGTTTTTATTCTTTTTGTTGCCATGATACATAGGATTGCTTTCTTGATTTCTTTTGTATTGAAAGAAAATATTTGCAAACCATATGTCAGATAAGGGGATTCAGATAAGGGGATAATATGTAAATATATAAACAATTCATACAATTCAATAGTTTAAAATCAAATAAACTTATTAAAAAATTGGCAAAGACCTGAATAGAGATTTTTTCCAAAGAAGACATAAAACCATCACTAATCATTAGGGAAATGCATATAGAAACCACAATGAGATATCACCTCATATGTGTTAGAATGGCTGTTACCAAAAAGACAAGAGATTAAGAGAGTTGGCAAGGGTGAGGAAAAAGATAACTGTTCTACAATGTTGGTGGGTATGTAGATTGGTGCAGTCACTGTGGAAAACAATATGAAGGTTCCTGAAGAAATTAAAAGTAGAACTACCATATTACCCAGGAATCTGTCTTCTGGGTATATACCCAAAGGGAGTTTACCATCTTGTAAAGATATCTGCACCCCCATTTCATTGCAGCATTATTAACAATAGGCAAGATATGGAAACAATTTAAGTATCTATTGATGGATGAATGACAAAAAATTGTGAGATATACACACAGACACACATATGACTGAATATTTTTCAGCCATAGAAAAAAAATAATGTCATTTGTGACAACATAGACCTGGAGAACATTATGCTAAGTGAAATAAGCCGGACACAGAAAAATGTATGACATAATTTCACTTATATGAGGAAACTTAAAGAAAAAAAAACTTAAGCCTTAGAAACAGAGAGTACAGCAGTGATTTTCAGGGGTGGGGTGATGGGAGTAGAATGAGGAGATGTAGGTCAAAGGGCACAGAGTTACAGTTACATAGGGTGAATAACTCTAGAGACCTAATGTACAGGATGAGGACTCTGGATATTTCCTGAGAGTAGATTTTAGGTACTTTTCACTTATACACACACAGAGACACAAGGTAACTATGTGAGATGAGGGATATCTTAATTTCCTTGGCCATAGTAATTATTTCACTATGTATATCAAATCATCGTGTGGTACAATTTAAATAAACACAGTTTTTAAAAAGTTCTTTTTGATTCAGGGTTATAAGAATATTCTCCTATACCCTACACATAAGCTACTCATTCACCTCAGTGCCATTCAAGATGATTTTGAAATAAATCCAAAACATCACATTATGAAATCCACAAATATCTTAGTATATATTTCCAAAATCGATGACTCCTGAAAAATAAATTCACAATACTGTTATTAAGCCTTAAAAAGCAATTCATTAATATCATCAAAGCAGCTTATCTTTAAACAGGAAAGATTAGGAAGTTTAGACATAGAGAGTTACAGCACAGGACTCAATGTGTTAATGGCGTACAAAAAGTACAAAGGAGCTATGGGAGTTCAGGGAAAGGGGAAATGATTTTCAGCACTAAAGAACAACTCACCCAGGGGAAAGAATCAATGTTTAAGAAATTTAACAACTGTTTGCTTTTGGCTTTTCTCAGAACACTGGTTCTGAAATAGTACACAGAAGGAGGTTTCTTTTCTAACAGAACACTTGCAGATTTTTGTGTTCTTTCTCTTTTCCCTAGTAAACAGGAAATAACAGGAAGAAGGATTCAGTTGAAGCAAAGAAGTTGTACCTTCTCACTTTTGAACAATTTCTAAGCATTCAAAGCCTCTGGATACTATATTAGAATCATCATCTTCCTAACTAAATGTACTTTCTTTTTCCTAGTTTTCAAAATTTTATCTCTAGCCATTGAGGGTATCTTTGAATTGCTTGCTTGAGCCAAGCTTCTCCAGAATTACGTATTACCAAAAGTTTGCCAATGTATTTCAGCTGCTCTAGCATTTCTGAAACATTCATTCAGGCCTTGCACTCAAATTTGGTATCTTGATATAGGTGAGAGGATCTACCTTTTTCTTATATAATTTTTGCCTTTTAGGAGCTCAGAATGCACGAGGTTAAAAAAATATAACCTGCTCCATCAAATGATGATAATATTGGACTATAACCTATAGAACAGGGGGAAAAAAATCCATGAATCCATGCTGACATAAATAAGTAAGTAAAACATATTGACACGATGCATTGGAAAAGATACAACATCATTTCTATACTATTTTTGCACAAAATGCACAACTTCAAAGAGGAACAGTCTATAAAAATACTTACCAGTTCTCCCCAAAAATGTCAAAGTTATGAAAGACAAGGAAAGACTAAGGAACTGTCACAGGTTGGAAAAGACCAGAGACGGGACAATTAAAGGTAACATGGGATCCTGAATTGGATCTTGAAACAGAAAATGAACATCAGGGGAAACTAGGTAAATCTGAGAAAGGTCTGTATAGTTTCATTATGGTATTGTACCAATGTTAATTGTCTGGTTTGGCTAATTTTACTATGGCTGTTTAAAATATTAACATGGCAGAAAGCTGAATAAAAGGTACATGGGCACTTTCTGCGTTATTCTGCAACTTTTCTTTAAGTCGAAAATTATTTCAGGAGGGAGGCTTCCAAGGTGGCTGACTAGGAACAGCTCCAGTCTGCAGCTCCCAACAAGATGAACGCAGAAGATGGATGATTTCTGCATTTCCAACTGAGGTACCTGGTTCATCTCACTGGGATGTGTTGTACAGTGTGTGCAGGCCACAGAGGGCGAGCTGAAGCAGGGCAGTGCATCGCTTCACCCAGGAAACACAAGGGAAGCCAAGGGAAGCCGTGACAGTCTGTACCTGGAGGAATGGTACACTCCTGCCCAAATACTGTGATTTTCCCTCAGTCTTCACAACAGGCAGTCCAGGAAATTCCCTCCCATGCCTCGCTTGGTGGGTTCCAAGCCCACAGACCCTTGCTCACTGCTAGCGCAGCAGTCTGAGATCGACCTGTGACGCTGCAGCTTGGTGGAGGGAGGGGTGTCCAGCATTGCTGAGGCTTGATGAGGCGGTTTTGTGTTCACAGTGTAAACAAAGAGGCCAGGAAGCTCAAACTGGATGGAGCCTACCATAGCTCAGCAAGGCCTACTGCTTCTCTAGATTCCACCTCTGTGAGCAGGACATATCAGAACAACAGGCAGCAGACAGCTTCAGCAGACCTAAACATCCCTGTCTAACAGCTCTGAAGGTAGCAGTGGTTCTCCTAGCATGGTGTTCAAGCTCTAAGAACAGATAAACTGCCTCCTCAAGTGGGTCCTTGACCCCGTGTAGCCTGACTGGGAGATACCTCCCAGTAGGGGCCGACAGACACCTCATACAGGCAGGTGCCCCTCTGGGATGAAGCTTCCAGAGGAAGGATCAGGCAGCAATATTTGCTGTTCTGCAGCCTCCGCTGGTGATACCCAGGCAAACAGGGTGTGGGGTGGACCTCCAGCAAACTTCAACAGACCTGAAGCTGAAGGCCCTGACTGTTAGAAGAAAAACTAACAAACAGAAAGGAATAGCATCAACATCAACAAAAAGCACATCCACACCAAAATCCCATCTGTAGGTCACCAACATCAAAGACCAAAGGTAGATAAAACCACAAAGATGGGGAGAAATCAGACCAGAAAAGCTGAAAATTCCAAAAACCAGAATGCCTCTTCTCCTCCAAAGGATCACAGCTCCTCACCAGCAAAGGAACAAAACTGGATGGAGAATGAGTTTGACGAGTTGACAGAAGTAGGCTTCAGATGGTTGGCAATAACAAACTTCTCTGAGCTAAAGGAGCATGTTCTAACCCATTGCAAGGAAGTTAAAAACCTTGAAAAAATGTTAGACTAATGGCTAACTGGAATAAAGAGTGTAGAGAAGAGCTTAAATGACCTGATGGAGCTGAAAACCATGGCACGAGAACTTCATGACACATGCACAAGCTTCAATAGCTGATTCGATCAAGTGGAAGAAAGGATATCAATGACTGAAGATCAGACTAATGAAACAAAGTGAGAAGACAAGATTAGAGAAAAAAGAGTGAAAAGAAATGAACAAAGCCTCCAAGAAATATGGGACTATGTGAAAAGACCAAATCTATGTTTGGTTGGGGTTTCTGAAAGTGATGGGGAGAATGGATCGAAGCTAGAAAACACTCTTCAGGATATTATCCAGGAGAACTTCCTCAACCTAGCAAGGCAGGCCAACATTCAAATTCAGGAAATATGGAGAACGCCACAAAGATACTCCTTGAGAAGAGCAACCCCAAGACACATAATCATCAGATTCACCAAGGTTGAAATGAAGGAAAAAATGTTAAGGGCAGCCAGAGAGAAAGATGGGGTTACCCACAAAGGGAAGCCCATCAGACTAACAGCAAATCTCTCAGCAGAAACCCTACAAGCCAGAAGAGAGTGGGGGCCAATATTCAGCACTCTTAAAGAAAAGAATTTTCAACCCAGAATCTCATATCCAGCCAAACTAAGCTTCATAAATGAAGGAGAAATAAAATCCTTTACAAAAAAGCAAATGGTGAGAGATTTTTGTCACCACCAGGCCTGCCTTAAAAGAGCTCCTGAAGGAAGCACTAAACATAGAAAGAAACAACCAGTACCAGCCACTGCAAAAACATGACAAATTGTAAAGACCATCAACACTATGAAGAAATTGCATCAATTAATGGGCAAAATAACCAGCTAACATCATAATGACAGGATCAAATTCACACATAACAATATTAACCTTAAATGTAAATGGGCTAAATGCCCCAATTAAAAGATACAGACTGGCAAATTGGATAAAGAGTCAGGACCCATTGATGTGCTGTATTCAGGACACCCATCTCGTGTGCAAAAACACACATAGGCTCAAAATAAAGGGATGGAGGAAGAACTACCAAGCAAATGGAAAACAAAAAAAGCAGGGGTTATAATCTAGTCTCTGATAAAACAGACATTAAACCAACAAAGAACAAAAGAGACAAAGATGGCCATTACATAATGGTAAGGGGATCAATTCAACAAGAAGAGCTAACTATCCTAAATATATATGCACCCAATACAGGAACACCCAGCTTCATAAAGCAAGTCCTTACAGACCTACAAAGAGACTTAGACTCCCACACAATAATAATGGGAGACTTTAACACCCCATGGTCAATATTAGACAGATCAACAAGACAGAAGGTTAACAAAGATATCCAGGAGTTGAACTCAGCTCTGCACCAAGCGGACCTAATAGACATCTACAGAACTCTCCACCCCAAATCAACAGAATATATATTCTTCTCAGCACCACATCACACTTATTCTAAAACTGACCACATAATTGGAAGTAAAACACTCCTCAGGAAATGCAAAAGAACAGAAATCACAACAAACTGTCTCTCAGACCACAGTGCAAATCAAATTAGAACTCAGGATTAAGAAACTCACTCAAAACCGCACAACTGCATGGAAACAAAACAACCTACTCCTGAGTGACTATTGGGTAAATAATGAAGTGAAGGCAGAAATAAAGATGTTGTTTGAAACCAATGAGAACAAAGACACAATGTACCAGAATCTCTGGGACACAATTAAGGCAGTGTGTAGAGGGAAATTTACAGCACTAAATGCCCAGAAGAGGAAGCAGGAGAGATCTAAAATTGACACCCTAACGTCACAATTAAAAGAACTTGAGAAACAAGAGCAAACGAAATCAAAAGCTACAGAAGGCAAGAAATAACTAAGATCAGAGCAGAACTGAAGGAGATAGAGACACAAAAAACCCTTTGAAAAATCAATGAATCCAAGAGCTAGTCGTTTGAAAAGATCAACAAAATAGATAGACTGCTAGCAAGTATAATAAAGCAGAAACAAGAGAAGAATCAAATAGATGCAATAAAAAATGATAAAGGGGATATGACCACTGATCCCACAGAAATACAAACTACCATCAGAGAATACAATAAACACCTCTATGCAAATAAACTAGAAAATCTAGAAGAAGTGGAAAAATTCCTGGGCACATACACCCTCCCAAGACTAAACCAGGAAGAAGTTGAATCTCTGAATAGACCAATAACAGGCTCTGAAATTGAGGCAATAGTTAATAGCCCAACAACCAAAGGAAGTCCAGGAGCAGACAGACTCATAGCCAAATTCTACCAGAGGTACAAAGAGGAGCTGCTACCATTCCTTCTGAAACTATTCCAATCAACAGAAAAAGAGGTAACCTCCCTAACTTATTTTATGAAGCCAGGATCATCCTGATACCAAATCCTGGCAGAGACACAACAACAACAAAAAAAAGAATTTTAGGCCAATATCCCTGATGAACATCGATGTGAAAATCCTCAATTAAATACTGGCAAACTGAATCTAGCAGCACATCAAAAAGCTTATCCACCATAATCAAGTCGGCTTCATCCCTGGGATGCAAGGCTGGCTCAACGTATGCAAATCAATAAATGTAATCCATCACATAAACAAAGCCAACGACAAAAACCACATGATTATCTCAATAGATGCAGAAAAGGCCTTCAACAAAATTCAACAACCCTTCATGCTAAAAACTCTCAATAAACTAGGTATTGATGGAATGTATCTCAAAATAATAAGAGCTCTTTATGACAAACCCACAGCCAATATCACACTGAATGGGCAAGCACTGGAAGCATTCCCTTTGAAAACTGGCACAAGGCCGGGCGCGGTGGCTCACGCCTGTAATCCCAGCACTTTGGGAGGCCGAGGCGGGCGGATCACGAGGTCAGGAGATCGAGACCATCCCGGCTAAAATGGTGAAACCCCGTCTCTACTAAAAATACAAAAAATTAGCCGGGCGTAGTGGCGGGCGCCTGTAGTCCCAGCTACTTGGGAGGCTGAGGCGGGAGAATGGCGTGAACCCAGGAGGCGGAGCTTGCAGTGAGCCGAGATCCCGCCACTGCACTCCAGCCTGGGCGACAGAGCGAGACTCCGTCTCAAAAAAAAAAAAAAAAAAAGAAAAAAAAAGAAAACTGGCACAAGACAAGGATGCCATCTCTCACCACTCCTATTCAACATAATGTTGGAAGTTCTGGCCAGGGTAATCAGGCAAGAGAAAGAAATAAAGGGTATTCAAATAGGAAAAGAGGAAGTAAAATTGTCTCTGTTTGCAGATGACATGATTATATATTTAGAAAACCCCATCGTCGCAGCCCAAAATCTCCTTAAGCTGATAAGCAAATTAGGCAAAGTCTCAGGATACAAAATCAAAGTGTAAAAATCACAAGAATTCCTATACACAAATAACAGACAAACAGAGAGCCAAATCATGAGTGAACTCCCATTCACAATTACTACAAAGAGAATAAAATGCCTAGGAATCCAACTTATAAGGGATGTGAAGGACCTCTTCAAGGAGAACTGGAAACCGCTGCTCAACAAAATAAAGGAGGACATGAACAAGTGGAAGATCATTCCATGCTCATGGATAGGAAGAATCCATATCATGAAAATGACCATACTGCCCAAAGTAATTTATAGATTCAATGACATCCCCATCAAGCTACCAATGACTTTCTTCATAGAATTGGAAAAGACTACTTTAAAGTTCATATGGAATCTAAAAAGAGCCTGCATTGCCAAGACAGTCCTAAGCCAAAAGAACAAAGCTGGAAGCATCATGCTACCTGACTTCAAGCTATACTACAAGGCTATAGTAACCAAAACAGCATGGTACTGGTACCAAAACAGATATCTAGACCAATGGAACAGAACAGAGTCCCCAGAAATAATACCACACATCTACAACCATCTGATCTTTGACAAACCTGACAAAAACATGCAATGGGGAAAGGATTCCCTGTTTAATAAATGGCACTGGGAAAACTGGCTAGCCATATGTAGAAAGCTGAAACTGGATCCCTTCCTTACACACTATCCAAAAAGTAACTCAAGATGGATTAAAGAGTTAAATGTAATACCTAAAACCATAAAAACCCTAGAAGAAAATCTAGGCAATACCATTCAGGACACCGGCATGGGCAAAGACTTCAAGACTAAAACACCAAAAGCAATGGCAACAAAAGCAAAATAGACAAATGGTAATTTGTCTAATTAAAGTAAAGAGCTTCTGCACAGCAAAACAAACTATCATCAGAGTGAACAGGCAACCTACAGAATGGGAGAAAAATTTTGCAATCTACCCATCTGACAAAGGGCTAATATCCAGAATCTACAAAAAACTTAAACAAATTTACAAGAAAAAAATGAACAACCCCATCAAAAAGTGGGCAAAGGATACGAACAGACACTTCTGAAAAGAAGACATTTATGCCCCCAACAGACATATGAAAAAATGCTCATCAACCCTGGTCATCAGAGAAATGCAAATCAAAGCCACAATCAGATACCATCTCACACCGGCTAGAATGGTGATCATTAAAAAGTCAGGAAACAACAGATGCTGGAGAAGATGTGGAGAAATAGGAATGCTTTTACACTGTTGGTGGGAGTGTAAATTAGTTCAACCATTGTGGAAGATAGTGTGGTGATTCCTCAAGGATCTAGAACTAGAAATACCACAAGACCCAGCGATCCCATTACTGGGTATATACCCAAAGGATTATAAATCATGTTACTATAAAGACACATGCACACATATGTTCATTGCAGCACTATTCACAATAGCAAAGACTTGGAACCAACGCAAATGTCCATTAATGATGGACTGGATTAAGGAAATGTGGCACATATACACCATGGAATTCTATGCAGCCATAAAGAGGAGTTCATGTCCTTTGCAGGGACATGGATGAAGCTGGAAACCGTCATTCTCAGCAAACTATCACAAGGACAGAAAACGAAACACCACATCTTCTCACTTATAAGTGGGAGTTGAACAATGAGAACACATGGACACAGGGCAGGGAACATCACACACAGGGGCCTGTCGTGGTGGGGGGGTCTGGGGGAGGGATAGCATTAGGAAAAATACCTACTGTAAATGACAAGTTGAAGGGTGCAGCAAACCAACACGGCACATGTATACCTATGTAACAAACCTGCACGTTGTGCACAGGTACCCTAGAACTTAAAGTATAATTTTAAAAAATTTTTCAAAATAAAAAGTTAAACATAAAAAAAGTCTGTTCCAATAATACACAGGTATACTGTGGCTTGGGTCCTCCTTACAAACATGTTACCCTTTAAATAAATACTGGGCCAGATTGTGACAGAGCAGATTTGCTACACAGAGGCCTTTTTCTTGGAGGCCCCAAAGTCTCTCCCACTACGTACTGTGTATCCCTCAGGATCAGCAATAGAAAAATTAAAGTTGGAAAAAATTTTTTATGCTTCATGAATGGCTTAGAGCACCTCAAATACCTCGTGGAATAATTTTTATTTGCTCTAGTTGGAGACAACAAATAATTGGAGACAACAAAAGATGGTTTTAGACATAACTGTGGACTAGAGGGAGCTTTCTATGACACATGCAGACTTCTCTTTCTGGTTCCTTATGCCTTGAGCATCTCTCCTTTACTCTTCCCTCTGTCCATGTTCTGCCTTCAATTAACAACACTCTCAAGACTCTATTCTCTGAAGTGAAATTAAAGCCAGCAGTCGTCAGAGAAACTCTAACAGTGTTATTTTACTGTTTCAAATGTATGATACTGGATTACACAAGCCATTGTGACAAACTGCTGGTGTCCGGACATTACTTATAACACTGTTCCTATGAGTAAATGCTTTCCAAGTTACACACAGCTGACTCACAAATAAACTTTTGGCCCACAATCCATTTATATGTTGGGGACTGTTTGTACTAATATAAGATCCTTGCCACAGGATTTTTAAAAGCCATTGCAACAAATAATTCTTTTAATTTCTAAGAAAACCCACCACTTCTGCAAGTTGTATGTTGTTTTTATCTCTAGATATCAAATTGCCTTAAAGCAAAACTTCCCAGTATGGATATCTAGTTGGGAAAATAGTCTGACAACAACAAAGAGAAGATAAATGAGAAAGCAAGATTGAACATAACTCATTTACAAGAAAAGGCCTTTGATTCTGTACTTTGTCCTTCAGCTTCAGAATTCAATTTTCCTACTCTCAATTTTCTGCTGTTCAAATGCTGCAGTCGTTTTGTTGCTTGGATATAAATGGTGGACTCCAGCTCTGAAAGAAACAAAGTTGGTGAAAAATTCACAGGAAGCCAACTCCTTCTTTCAGTTCTTTGTCAAAGCCCTTTGTATTTTCAAAGTGATCAAAGGCACTTGCAGGTGAAAAGCCGAGAGCTGTCAGTGGTGCTAGGGAGGGCGTGCTGTGGAAATGCTATCCTTTTAGGAATACAGTTTTTTTCTGAAGGAGGAAGAGTGAGGGAATTGTATAAATAATCCTAGAGGCCATTGGAGTACAATTTTAACTTGTCAGCCCTATTTAAATTTGGGTCACTCTTGTTACTGGTTCTGGTTATAAAAAACCTCCCTCAGGGGGTAAGAATCCTTTCCTCTCCTCACAAGATCTTTCCTAATTCTCCTGCCTCCCCTTGTTCAGGCATCATGCTTGGAGGAGAGCAACATCATTTATGTAGCAGCCCATTTCAAGCTTCTTTTAGATGGAGATAATTACAGATGGAAAATGTGCCACAGAAAGAGACCACCTGTGGTCAGTGCCTCACAAATGGAAATGTAAAAGGTGACTTGTATGGATCACAATGCTCTGCAAAGCTAACTTCCTGAGTAATTTTAAATTCTTTTAAGATGGAATATCTCTCTTCAATTAAGATTTGGGATAATCAAATATTATAAGGGAGCCTTGGGACATAGCATATTTAAAGAGACTTGCCTGTGTGCACAACTCATGCTGAAATAGAAGTAGATTAAACTCCATGCCATTCATATAAAATCTCTAACCTGTGAGAGTTTATTATTTATAGTAGTGGGTCTGCAAACTACAGCCCTCAAGCTAAATCTGACTCATCGCCTGTTTCTTTGTTGTTTTTTTCAGCTTACCGGTTAACAATGGTTTTTATACTTTTACGTGGTTGGAAAAAAACAAAAGAAGATAATGTTTTGTGACACATGAAAAGTATTTGAAATTCAAATTTCAGTGTACAGGAATATAGTTTTGTTGGAATATGGTAATGCCCACTCATTTATGTGTTGCTTATGGCTGGTTTTATCCCACAACTGCAGACTTCAGTAGTTGCAAGGGAGACTGTGTATGGTCTTCAAAGCTTAACATATTTACTATCCGGATCTTTCTGAAAAAAACTTGCCAATCCCTGTTTCATGTTCACTGAGAATTCACTTTTTCTAGTGATGTGCTGCAACGAGGTAGGGCATTCTTGGAGCAGGAGACAAATGTTATAAAGGAGAGGGGGAAATAATCCCAGAGAAGCATGAGGGCATCGGAAGGCACACCTGCCAGCATCACAGGTTGTCTCAGCTAGGGCTGTGATTTGCTTTTCTCTGAAGAACTTCATGCCTACAGCCTATATTTTTAATAGAGGGAACTAGGATACAGCGAAAGTTGGACAAATGAGGACACAGAAAAAGAGGAGAGAATAGTGGCAGCTATAACACAGACATACATTATTTTCTGTCTCTGACTCCTCTTCTCTCCCTCACTATCTTTAGTGGTCGCACTTGAGATATGAAGAGGATGGGGAAAAAGAGGGAGGAAAGTAGGAGGGAGACAGAGGTCAGGATGGAAAGGTGGAAAGTAGGAGGAGGAGAGAGAGAATTGTAGAACGAAAACTGAGTGTTAGAGTAACAGAGTAGAAAACAAAGCAGAAATCAAAGTGGGGAAGGTAGAGAAAAAGAGATTATGGAGTAGTGAAGAGAGCCTTCCAACTATCTATTCCTACCACAAGTTAACCTTTCTAAAAGGAGGCCATAGAGGCTTTGTTAATTAATTGATTGACTGATGATTGATTGAAATGAAGATCAAGACACTAAAGACAGAGGATATAGAAAGGTGATAGAAGAGAGATGTGACATGAAAAATTAACTTTAAAAACTATAACGTGTTCAAAACCAGCTTTTGAATTTTTTGCAATTGCACTTTTAATTCGAATAAAAGCTTATACATGGGCTTAATATAGTTAGATAAGTTCTGGCCTGACCTCCAGCCATGCACCACCTCTCTCCCTTTACCAGGGGTTTCCACAGAGTACAGTTCAAGGACCCCCTACCCTACTTTGAAATAATAATCATCACTTCCTCACCTGGGGTTAGGGGGTCATTCTGATTTTACAGGAGGGAGTCGTTTTGAATCTAATTACCTGAAAGACAGCGAACACAAACCTGTATTTGCAGTCTCTGTCCATATCGAACTTGTATAACAGTCATAAAATCGTTTACAGTTTGGTAATAACACAGATGAATTTGAAGCTCACACATTTTTAAGCTATATTGTAATTCTCACATGGAACCCGAAAACACTAAGTAAAGGGTTAGAGCATGACACATATGAAACCGTCATAGGTGTTTTTCCTGTGATGTGGGGCAATTTTTTAGGGCATCAGATATCTAGAAGAGAAGTAACATTAATTCTGAATTTTAAAACAACATTAGCAGCACGAGAACTACGTGAATAGGATTCCTTATAGCCTTAATCCATTACAAATTTGGATTTATAAAGGTGTTTCCCATAATATTCCTTTTATTCTTTCTTGTCTTTTTTTTTTTTTTTTTTTTTTTTTTTTTGCAGTGGCGCGATCTCGGCTCACTGCAACCTCCGCCTCCCGGGTTCACGCCATTCTCCTGCCTCAGCGACTCTAGTAGCTGGGACTACAGGCGCACGCGGCCTCGCCCGGCTAATTTTTTTTGTATTTTCGCAGAGACAGGGTTTCACCCTGTTTGCCCAAGCTGGTCGCGAACTCCTGAGCTCAGGCAATCCGCCAGTCTCGGCCTCCCAAAATGCTGGGATTACAGGCGGGAGCCACCGCACCCGGCCAACATTTGTTTTTCTTTGAAGAATTTTCCATCCTTGTCCACTCTGGCACACAGGTCAACTTGTTAGAAGACCAGGAGACATGGGGTTTTCTACACTCACTTTTGCCACTGTGTGGTTTGCTTCAGACCACACAAAGCACATTAGAAAACACAAATGTGCCAAGTGTGCCTGCCTACCTCTCCATCACATTTGCAGCCCCCCTTTCCTATTTGAACATGGAATGCCATAACCTTAGGACAAATCAGGACTACTTAAAAGGGCACCTAAATGTTCTAATGAAAATAAATTTGAATGTCACTCATAATTTTGCATTGAAAAATGTACTAGAAATATTTGTGGTCAAAGAGGAAGTTTTACTACCCTGAAATGTTGCCTTGGAAATGCACAGTGAGGAACAGGTAAATGAAATCTTTTCCCTCTAGTTTCATCTCTCCTCTGTGGCTAAAGGAAGTGTTATATAGAAATATAATCATCAGCTCTATCCCAAAATCAACAGAAAAAATGTTAAGGACTGGATGCAGTGGCTCATGCCTAGAATTCCAACACTTTGGGAGGCTGAGTGGGAGGATTGTTTGAGCCCAGGAGTACAAGGCCAGCCTCAACAACATAGCAAGACCCCATCTCTACCAAAAAAAAAAAAAAAAAATTTTAAAAATTAGCAGGCATGGTGGTGCAAGCTTGTAGTCCCAGCTACTTGGGAGGCTGGGGCAGGAGGATCTCTTGAGCCCAGGAGTTCAAGGCTGCAGTGATCTACGATTGTGCCACTGCATGTCAGCCTGGATGAAAAAGTGAGACCCTGATCTCTAAAAAAAAATAATAATAATAAAGTTAAGTACAAATTACAAATTGTCTTCTATTTACATAAATAGAAGTGGATCCTACTACTGAAAATATGAGTTATTCTAAAGCAAACCTTGCCCCTTCTGGGTAGGCAGGTTATCTTGGAAATCAACAGATGTCAGGTTAAAATAGAGAATCACAGCCTCACACTGAAACCGTCATGGTAGGATTAGTCAGTTCCCTTATAAGAAGAGACACAAGAGAGCTTGCTTTTTCTGTCTCTGCTCTCCTTTATGTGAGTATACCAAGAGAAGACAGCCATCTGTAAATCAGGAGGAAGGCCCTCACCAGACACTGGATCTGCTGGATTTTTGATCTTGGACTTCCCAGACTCTGGAAGTGTGAGAGTAAATGTTTATTGTTTAAGCTGCCCATTATATGATAATTTGTTATCACTGCCTGAACTAAGACAACCATCTTAACCATTTTTAAGTATACAAGTCAGTGGCATTTAAGTACATTCACATTGCTGTGCAACTATCACAGCCATCCATCGCCAAAAGCCTTTTCAACTTGTAAAACTGAAATTCTGCGCCCATTACACAATAATTCCCCATCCTCTCCTCCCTCATTCCTTAGGAACCACCATTCTGACTTCTGTTTCTATGAATTTGATTACCCCACATACTTCATGTAAGTGGAATCATACAGTATTTGTCTTTTTGTGACTTTATTTCCCTCAGCATAATGTCCTCAAGGTTCACCTATGTTGTAGCATCCATCAGACTTTACTTCCTTCTCAAAGCTGAATAATATTCCATTGTATGTATACACCACATATTATGTATCTATTCATCCATCAATTGGTGCTTAGGATGTCTCCAACTTTTGGCTATGGTGAATAATTCTGCTACAAAAAGATATTTATAAATGTATAAATACCTTTTTGAGATGTGGGATATTTTTTATTTTCATAATCAGTGTGAAGGTGGGGGGGCCATATGCCGAGGTAGGAGCAATAAGAAAATCATTTATTACCTTGGTGTCAAGGTGGAAAAAAATGTCCAGCAATGCAGAAGACAGTTTCCCACAATGAAGAACTTTCCTACCTAAAATGCCAATTGATACTCCCATTACAAAACACTGCAAGAAGAAGAAATATCAAGAAATAGGCCATTGCAGTAAATCAAGTACCAGGTGATGAAGCCCTGAACTATAGGGGAGATAGCAAAAAAGAGGAACAGGTAAGTCTGAGGACCCTTTGACAAGATTCAAGGCCAACAGTCTGAGATAAGAGTTCTCTGCATGGTTTAAGACAGTTTATTGATCATTACTGGGCCCCAATTTCTTATTTATTTGCAAGATGAAAATATGAATTATTTCAAGTTTCTATCAGTTCTCACATTCTATGGTCTTTTGACATTAGATTTTGACATTAAACATGACTGTCGCACACCTAAATGAGGACGTATAGATACTTGGCAATCCCTACTGAAAAACCTGATCTTTGGAGAGCTTGTGAAGTTGGTCAAGTTTGACTTGATAATCTCTCAGCTGTCCTTATGTCAGTACTTTCCCACCAAGCACCTGCCCATGAACATTCTTATAGGTTCCTGGCTGCCTAAAACTTCCTGAGGTGCTTTGAGAGGATTTGCCTTTCTAGAGCCATACCCATGCCCACAAATATTTTTCATGTTTCTATCAATTGATAGAAATAATTAGCTACTGCTGCATAACAAACTATTCTAAAACCTAGTGGCTTATATTTTAAGACTTAAAATAATAATCAGTTGTTACTTCTCATGAGCCATGGGTGGGCTGGGCAAAATTATTGAACTAGAATGACATAAGCTGATCTCAACTAGGCTCACTCATACTTCTGTAATCAACTAGCTAATCAGCTAGGGTTGGCTGGTCTAGACTACCCTGAGCTGTTTTCATAGGTGTGGGAGGGTTTCACAAGAGCAGAAACAAAGCCTCTTAAGGCGTAAACTTGGAGCTTGCATGCTGTCATTTCTGTTACATTATTAGCAAGTAACAAGGCCAGGCTCCGTCTCTTAATGAGAGGCACTTTCAAAGTTACACTGCAAATACATGATCACAGAGAAGAACAGAAGAATTGGGTCATTTTTGCAACAAATATACTATCAAAACTTCATGTGTCCTCCAGTCTACTCTCAGGAAATAGCTAAGTGACAGCTAGTACTATCACACTAATCAAGACCATGTATTCCTCAAGAATTAGGATAAGTCTTTTATCTTGGTAATCTTGGTTATACAGTATAAGAGTTAAGGCAAGCCCTGAAGAAATATTTGTTGAAATGACATGAAACCCATTTACAAAGGCATTTTAATAGTTACCACAGAAAATGTTTTTCTGACCCTTTCTTCTCTAAAAGTTAAGTAGGCAATTTAAGGATGTGCTTTATAGAATGCTATTGTGTTGATTTGGACTGTTACACATCATTGAAAGAACTAAGTCTGTGATTGTACTATACAGCATATTTTTTAAAATCTTATTTAGCTTGTAACTCTTTTATACCATGCAGAGGACTCAATATTTCTTCACTAATGAGCAACAGACTGCTGTCAGTTAATAGCTGGACAAAAGCAGCTAAACTAACATGACTAGGGAATTCTCAAAGCGAAGAGGTGGAACTACTCTAAATTAACATATCATGTGGCTTTAGGTTTCTTTGGTTTCAACCCAAAACTGGTTTTTCTTTCCTCCCTGCCCTGAATATTTTTAGAATATTTTACTCAGTGATGAAATATCTGTTGCAGTTTACTCAACCTGCATCTTTTCTCCTCTTATGATAGAGCCACCTTTAAAATCTTATCCACCACTTGGCCCTTACTGCCAATGATTGGATTAATTAGGGCTTGCTATTTTGATTAAAAAAAACAAAATGTCTAACAATGTGTCTTGTCTTTAACACACCAGAAATTATTCTTAAGGTCAGGTAAAACATTGAACTATTTGGAACAATTTAGTAATTCTCGGGTGATTATAGACACAATTACTATAAAAACCAAATAATTTAGGCAGACCATTTCCCATTAATTTTGCAAAAAGCACTTCTCTAAGTAACAATGAAGACACTGGAACAAATAGGATGTTAAAACATTTGGCCATATATTTTTCATTGGTGTGGTTTTGGTCATGGTCAAAACTAACTGCTGAGACTAGTATTACGCCTCTTCTGTGTCCTCTGGAAAATAGGATAATAATAGAACTTATCTCAAAGAATATTTGTGAGGGTTAAATTATCTAATTCAAGTAAAATATTAAGTAAGTATAATGCCTGGCACATAGTAACTAATCATCACTATCAGCTGGAGTTCCGTTAATTTGCTTCACTGATTAGTCATTGCTCTTACACAAAATCAACGCTTGATTCTTATTCTGAACAAATGATGACTTTATTGCATTCCAACTGAGCATAGAGCATGGCACTATTATTAATAATAGTAATAATTATAATATCAATAATGGTATTGTGAAAAATAAAAAATCAATTTATCCAAAGTTTCTTTTTAGAAGGAACTTACCTTCTAAACAGGGATATGAAATATTACTACACCATAACCCCCAAAAGTGAATATTTAATACCAATGAAAATTAATTATGAGTAAATATCAATATCCAAATGATGTTGATGATTCCCAAGGAGATCTAAAATTGATTGTTTACGCGGAAAAATAAAGTTAAGTATCTATGTCACAGTGCACGCATATATAAATGCCAGATGGAAAAACAAATCTCTATGACCTTGGGGTAGAAAAAATATCTTATTAAGAAACAAAAAGTGCCGATCAAGCAGGAGAAGACTAATATATTGAATTCTTCTAAATTTAAGAACTAAAAAGAACATTTTGTGTGAAGCGAACGGTGCCACAAATAAATTTTAAAAACAAATAATTGGCACAGAAAAGATAATTGTAACACAAATAATTGTCCAATAATTAGTATTCAAATATATATAAATAAATCTGCAAATGAATAAAAGGAAGTCAAACAACCTAATAGGAAAATATTGAAGAATATGAATATACAATTTACAAAACCAGAAAGCTGAATAGCCACTAAACATCAGAAAAAAAATGCTCTACTTCCCTGGCACATATTAAAACAATGGCAATCAGTAACACATCATCAGGGTAGCAAAAAATATTTAAGTCTGGCAAAATCAACAGTTGACAAGGAATTGAGAAAATGGGATTGCTCAGGCATTGCTAAAGGGAATAAAAATTGGCATCACCTTGAGAGTACTTTGCCATATCTAGAGATTTCTATAGCCTATCTATACCACTACCTACTATACACCCTAGAGAAAATCTCCCACATGTATAATAAGACATAATATACATAATGAGACAGGTTTAGGAATATTTATAGAAGCATTGTTTATAAAAGCAAAAAAAAAATTCATATTAATTATATTAGAGTCATGTAATGAAATATTACATAGCATTTAAAATTAAGAACTATAACTGCATGTTTATGTATTTTTTATAAGTTACACAGCCTGAATGAGCTGCTGTAACAAAATACCTTAGACTGGGTAACTTATAAACAATAGAAATTTATTATATACAGTTGGGGAGGCAAAAAATCTAATTTTCACATGTCAGTAAATTCAGTGTCTAGTGGAGGATTGCTCTTTGTTTCAAACATTGCTCCTTCCCACTGCATCATCATGTGGAAGAAGGAAAAAAACAAAACCCCTCAAGCCTGTTTCATAATGGCTCTAATCTCACACATGAGGGCAGAACCTTCATGACCTAATGGTGTCTTGAAGGCGCCACCTTTTAATACTATCACACTGGAGATTAGGTCGCATCATACGAATTTTAGGGGAGCACCAACATTAAGACCATAGCATGTATTGTATAGATCAACCTTGAAAAAATAATTCTAAATGAAAACAAATTACAAAATATTACATATAATGTGACATTCACATAAAATTTAAAAACATACAGCTATATTATATAAATGAACTGTGAATGCCTGCCAACTTTAGGCAAGTGGCTATATCTAGAAAAGAAGAAAGAGAAGGAAATCTGTGAGGAATTAAAAAAAAACTTTAGTTTCTATAACTTTTTTTTAATAAAAACCCTTAAGTAAATACAGTATGGGAGATATTAATATTTTACATAATCTGTTTTGGATATATACACATTAAAAATAATATTTGGGAGGAGCATTTCTGGCTTTTTTGAAATATTTCATAATAAAAGGAAAAGTAAACCTTACCAATCCTTTAGGAATACTCATAAAGCCATTAATAAACCAAAGCCCATTATGATAACATCACACCTCTAGAGCTGTCATTCATTGGATGATTTTGATCTTACAGAAGACAACCAAGACCAAGAAGCATCTAAGTTGTCAAACCAAGCTCCAAAACTACGTGTCCAAACTCTTAATTGTTATTCTTAACAGAGATTCTCAGTTCCTTATATAAAGCTACTAAATCTTACTTTATAAGCTTGGTTAAAAGTTGTAAAAAGCAAAATATTACTAGAAAGAAAAGGAGAAGAAATAAAAATATACTAAAGGGATATGAAATTATTTAAAGTTAAATGGTGGCTATTAAATATACATATACATCTATATATGTAAATCCATAAAGCCAATAGTAGTGTACAAAATGGCACAAGAATATATGCTGGTAATGATATCAAATAATTGATAACATTTGTCATCATGCTCTGTGTACTCTAAAAATAGAGGGACATCTGCAATACATTTTAGAAAAATGCCCATTAAAAATGCTAACATTTTTTGTTTTATGGGCTTCATTTCCATTGTGTACATGGTAATAAAAGATTTAACCCAAAAGTGTGACTCTAATCATGGCAATTTCAAACACAGTATAAAGTTGTCAGCTTTTTGGAGTTGTGGAACATATATTTCTTCTAGATGAGGTTTGCTTCTTTTACACATACAGCTTCCCTCAAAGTGTGACTGCAAGTAGACTATCTAAAGGACAGTGGAGGAGGATTGCTCTCAGAGAACAAAAAATAATTATAAAATTCTTTATGTACAGTACAGAAAGGATTTGTCAGCATTTTAACCCCTGAATGTCATACAATATATCTATGAATCTCAACAACCAAGATTAAACATAAATGCCATTAATGTTAATTTTATAAATTTGTTTTTTACCTCAAATTCTAGTTCTTAGTTTAACTGAAGTCATATATAATACACAGAGAAAATATTTTAATAAAGGAAAATGGATCCACAGATGATAATTTGCAAGAGATGGAAAGGAGATTATGATGATAACTTTGGTAGTGTTTTAAATTATTTTTTTAAGTTGACAGGAGAAAGGCTTGCCCTCTAATTCTCATGGTTAAGAGTTTGAAGAAAGCTGTACCTCTATCAGATAATGTAAAATCTAATGAAAGATTCTAGGATATCAATGGACTATTTTATTGATATGAAATCTCAATCTAAAACTTTTAAAAGTTTCTTCATTTTCTTTACTATAACACTCCATCGTTTGGCTATATAATCTTCAATAATATTTGACTAAATTTTCATAAATTTTAAAAAATCTGTTTTATAGTCCTTCAGAGTTAAATGCATAATCAACCAGTTTGCTTGCAACATGCATCTAAACCAGAATGAAGAGCCACATTCTTTGGTCTATTTCATGTTCTCTCCATCTTGATCTTAATTGCATTATTGCTAATATTAGTATATTAATTTTTTCATCTTACATTATTTTAAGTGGTGCAGAAATGTGTAATAAAACACTCAAATGTATCTGCAAACAAGTTCTATTTTTATATAATGATGGTTGCTTGACGGAGGCTGAAAAAGTTGACTAGTAGGCAGAGAGGGATGACAGTGCTTGATATTCACTTGCTGGATGAAAGTCTAAAAGAAATAAGAAAAGTGATTTAAAGGTAGCAGAGTAAAAGTTGAGGTCCCATAATACACATAGATGAGATTGGTTCTAGAAATAGCCTGCCTGTATATTTTGATTAAAGAGTAAGGTTTAAATATCCTGGCTGTTGAGAGAAGAAAAACTAAACACACACACACTTGTTGAAAGGTGTGGAAATCTCTGGTTTAGAATTTGATATCAGTTCCAAGAAAGTGGCATCTCTTATAGAATACTAGTAAGCTATACCACATAGTTTGATTCTGAACTTGGCATAGATATGTGACATGGGAATAAATGTACACGTGCAAACCAGCTCATTTGATGAGGTCAAAATGAAGCCTTTTGACTAAAACCACCAGCTTTTGACCAAAGGTAAGTTGTCCTTTCCCACTAGCTTTTTATCCAGTACTACCACCTTATTTTGGTTCCTCATTCTGGTGGACTGTGGTCATTAGTAAAATACTGTCATCAAGCAGAAATCAATGAACCCCACTTCAAGCAGTTGAATGTGAAGGATGTCTTCAAGGAGAACTACAAACCACTTCTCGAGGAAATAAGAGAGGACACAAACAAATGGAAAAACATTCCATGCTCATAG
The DNA here is from genome assembly GCF_000001405.40 of Homo sapiens. NCBI lineage: Eukaryota > Metazoa > Chordata > Mammalia > Primates > Hominidae > Homo > Homo sapiens. The sequence continues at coordinate 42,371,791 of NC_000005.10, forward strand.
ATAGGAACAATCATATGAAAATGGCCATACTTCCCAAAGTAATTTATAGACTCAATGCTATTCTCAGAAAGCTACCACTGATTTTCTTCACTGAACTAAAGAAAACTACTTTAAATTTCATATGGAACCAAAAAAGAGCCCACATTGGCAAGACAATCCTAAGCAAAAAGTACAAAGCTGGAGGCATCATGCTACCTGACTTCAAACTATACCACAAGGCTACAGTAACCAAAACAGCATAGTACTGGTGCCAAAACAGATATATAGACCAATGAAACAGAACAGAGGCCTCAGAAATAATGCCAAACATCTACAACCATCTGATCTTTGACAAACCTGACAAAAACAAGCAATGGGGAAAGGATTCCCTATTTAATAAATGGTGCTGGGAAAACTGGCTAGCCATATGCAGAAAACTGAAACTGGACCCCTTCCTTACACCTTACACAAAAATTCACTCAAGATGGATTAAAGACTTAAACATAAAACCATAAAAACCCTGCAAGAAAACCTAGGCAATACCATTCAAGACATAGGCATGGGCAAGGACTTCATGTCTAAAGCACCAAAAGCAGTGGCAACAAAAGCCAAAATTGACAAATGGGATCTAATTAAACTAAAGAGCTTCTGCTCACCAAAAGAAACTATCATCAGAGTGAACAGGCAACCTACAGAATGGGAGAAAATTTTTGCAATCTATCCATCTAAGGTCCAGAGTATACAAAGAACTTAAACAAATTTACAAGAAAAACACAGCCCCATCAAAAAGTCGGCAAAGGATATGAACAGACACTTCTCAAAAGAAAACATTTATGGGGTCAACAAACAAGAAAAAAGCTCATCACTGGTCATTAGAGAAATGCAAATCAAAACCACAATGAGATACCATCTCACGCCAGTTAGAATAACAATCATTAAAAAGTCTGTAAACAACAAATGTGGCAAGGATGTGGAGAAATAGGAATGCTTTTACACTGTTGGTGGGAGTGTAAATTAGTTCAACCATTGTGGAAGACAGTGTGGCGTTTTCTCAAGGATCTAGAACCAGAAATACCATTTGACCCAGCAATCCCATTACTGGGTATATACCCAAAGGATTATAAATCATTCTACTCTAAAGACACATGCACACGTATGTTTATTGCAGCACTATTCACAACAGCAAAGACTTGCAACCAACTCAAATGCCCATCAATGATAAACTGGATAAAGAAAATGTGACACATATACACCATAGAATACTATGCAGCCATAAAAAAGGATGAGTTCATGTCCTTTGGAGGGACATGGATGAAACTAGAAACCATCATTCTCAGCAAACTAACACAGGAATGGAAAACCAAACACTGCATGTTCTCATTCATAAGTTGGGAGTTGAACAATGAGAACACATGGACACAAGGAGGGGAACATTCTGTATTATATTGCTTAAAAGAAAGTCAAATTCCTACCTTTTTGGACACAAGACCCCAGGGCAGAGTTCTTATATATTCTATATTTCCCATCCAACCACTTAGGACTAATAACTTCACAAATTTGATTATTAGGTCTTACTTGTGTCTCATTGATTAATCTTTAATTTTTTAACTTATTCAGCCAATAATGGAAAATTGAAATGACAGCACTATGGCACAGGCATCCAGTCACTGCAACTCTTTTTGAGTCACTTCAACTCTTTTGACTCCTTAAACAACTGCCTTGACTCTGCCAGAACTAACTCAGGCACTTCTGTGCAGACAAAGCCCAAGAGGCCATAAATGACCTTTTATAGCAGATATATTCTGCTTCAGAATATATCTTTATATTCTCTTTAACATCAATTCCTGCTCAGGTCAAGCTCAGAGAGAAGAGAAGAGAGGACATCTAAGAGACACTGTCTGACTTTTACATTTTTTTCCTGGCCCACATTCACTTCATTTATATATCGGATATGTTAACTAAAAGTAATTTTCATAATCATATAAGCTGGGGACCATGATAAATTTTAATACATATACATTCCACATTACATTTTAGATGGAAGGGCTGCCCTAAATTTGCTTACATTTCTTTCAATCCTTATGAGGCAACATACACAAAGCATTTGGGGATTATTGTCAAGCCTCTTAGGGTTGAGGCTCTTCCAGAATAAAATGAAGAACAAATCCCCTTAGAGAAGGCACAGGTTCACCATAAGCTAAGAGAATCTGCCTTAGGGCAGAGAAGAAAAGTTAGCAGGTTTAGTTCCCCATTAAACCTGAAGTAGGGTTAAATGAGCTAGAAGAAGCTGTTGAACTGTAAGGCTGCTGTGAGATAAAGACAGCCACTGCTACATCTTACCCTGTAGAAACCTTGAAAGCATAATTCTGAGCTGTCCCCTCACTCACTTACTGATCTGGCAGCAGGCCCATAACTAGCTCTAGGCTCAGCCCTGTACTTTGAAGAGTTTGAAAGAAATATGAGAAAGCCTTGCTCTCCAAGGACCTTAGAGACTCACCTTTACTTCCTTCATGGTCTGCCACCCGATGATAGTAACCAGAATAACCTTGATAAGAAGGTTTAACTACTCTGAAATACCTGCTGAGAAGTTAACAGTAAGTTGAAGCTAAATCACTGCATATTTTTAAATTGAAATATGCATGAAAAGGAAGATAAGTCTGTGCTGCTTAGGATAGTGTAGATAGCCAGGATAAAGAAAGATGAGAAATTCAGATATATCGCTCAATCATTGGCAGTGTTTCTGAAGACACAGAAATCAAATGGCATGTGAACCAAAGGGCGCTAATGTTTCACCTTAAAGTGGAACCAAATCAGAGACTGAAGATGAGGCAGGCAAAAATTTTCTAAGACCACACAGCTAAGAAAGGGAAACTTGAATAACGGGCATTGTTTGGGTGTTTTAAATACATATTCAGTTGTTTGAATTACGATTGGAGCAAAACATATCAGGCTGAAGAATCTTACAGCCACAAAAAGGCTAAAGGGAAAGGAGAGGATGAGTGTTTTTTCAGAACTGCAAACTGGAACATGGGTCATCCAAACCTGATGAAACTAGGGTAACCATAATGGGCAGAGCTATAAAGGAGCGGTTAAAAAATATAGTGGATGAAAGCCAGCAGAAACCAAGATCAAGAACTGAGTGCATGACAGGGCTACGTAAATGAGTAACTTCCCTGTTCTGGGTAACAATAAAGGTTAAAGCAGAGAAACTACTTTAAAAGCATACAGTAAAATTTCAGTCATCCTTCATATGCCTATAGTGAATTATGTTTTCCAAAGCACATTCACATCCCTTGACTGTGTTCTCATAACTACAGTAAGGTGTATTATCCATGCTTTACAGATAAGGAAGTTAAAGGTCATGAACGCCAAGTAATTTATACTGTGTCACACAGCTAGTTAGCGGCAGAAGAGGGTGGGAAATCTCTTAATCTCTTTCTCCAGTACTCTGTCTAATATATCATGCTGCATCTTCCTAGCAAACAGAGTCATGATCCACAAGCCCATTTTTGCAATCTGGGAAAAAGTCTAAAAATGTTCCACAAGCCCCACATGGGCAGGCTCCTTCCCACTCTGTGCCAAATATCCCCACACCACTGTCTCAGGTGATGCCATGCACTGGACTTGCTGCAGGGCTTAGCACATGATATTCCTTCTGCCTAGAAAAGGGATCCCTCCGTATTTCTCCTAGTTCATGGTGACTCCTCTTTCAGCCTAAATGTAATTTCCTTCAAGGAAGTCTCCCCTGAACTCTAAGCTGCCTTAAATGTTTCTATGTGATATGGTTTGCTTGTGTTCCCACCCAAATCTCATCTTGAATTCCCACATGTTGTGGGAGGGACCTGGTGGGAGGTAATTGAATCATGGGGGCAAGTGTTTCCTGTGCTGTTCTTGTGATAGTGAATAAATCTCACGAGGCCTGATGGTTTTAAAAAGAGGAATTCCCCCACACAAGTTCTCTCTCTTTGACTGCTGCCAACCATGTAAGATGTGACTTGCTCTTCCTTGCCTTCCACCATGATTGTGAGGCTTCCCCAGCCACTGAATTTAATTAAACTTCAGTTTAATTAACTGAAGTCCAATTAAACCTCTTTCTTTCGTAAATTGCCCAGTCTAGGGTATGTCTTTATCAGTATCATGAAAATGAACTAATACACTATATTATATTACTCTATAAACACTTCGTATCATAACATTGTTTTATTTTACATTTCTTTAGATCAATAATTGATCAATCATCTACTCTCCCATTAGTCTAAAAGTCTGCTTTGCTCACTTTTATATAGTAGTTATTTACTAAAAAGTTGTTGATTAAGGAAATGACTGCTGGACTTTCTTCTCATATGGAAAGAAATCACTAATTTTCTGAAATAATTTATTCATGTTGAATATTATGTCTAGGTCATGTCCTCATGTGTGGCAATTACCTGGTGTGCTTGCAAATATGTATCCCAATTCCCAGAGATTTAGATTTGGTTTATATCAAGTGGATCCCAGAAGTATTCATTTTTACATTAAGCCTCTCAGGTGTTTCTGCTATGCATAGTCCACAGACCATACTTTGAGACACACTTCCAGGGTAAAGATGTTTCCAAAGAAAATGAGTACAAAACTGTTCTATCTTTAGGCTAGATTCAATGAAAGACAATTGATATGAAGGATAAAGCATGGATATATACAGAGACAGAGACAGGGATAGAGACAAAGACAAAGATAGAGATAAAGAATAGAGACATAGAAAGATAAATAAGTGATCAAAATCTAAAAGGATTCAGAACAGCTCTAAAAAAAGAGGCAGTTAAATCACGAATTATAACAGTATATCTTCATTGTCTCTTCAGTACAATCTGGTTTTCATGAGAATCCATGTGTACATCTGCTTGTATATTTTTGAATGCCTCTTCTTTCTCTAGAAAATACAAAGAACAGGGGAAATGTAGTGGAAATTAACAAAAGGTGAGTTTTTCTGGGAGCAGTTCCAATTTGAAAGGCTTATAGTGTCTTCATAGGCCAGGTGGTCTTAAAAACAACAGCAACTGCATCAACAAAAATCCTATTTTTGTAGGAGAAACTGAATAATTCCCTATGGAAAAAAGTGGAGGTAGCATTCAAATTTAGTTAGTGCCTGGACATTTTGGTACAGATTGCTGGGACGCATTATCCTTACTACCAGTAGCTTGACCTCAAGGTATTTCCCCAACCTATAACTTCCTGCCCAGATGGGGAAGACCCTGACTCTTATTTCCTCCTACAGGTTCTCTGACTTAGTATCGATGCAAGCCCTCTTTCATTCATGAAAGCAAATGATAAAGAGATTAGAATCCTGCAAAACAATCTTCCCCACCTTCTTCTCACCTCCAAGAAATCTTTTTCTGCAATTCATTTTTCAACTGATCTTAGTTATCCTAGGGTCACACAAAAAAGACTAAAGAGACTTTACTAACACATTAGTTAAATAAGTTTTCTTATCTATTTTCTAAGTCCAGAAAAATTTCCCTAAGTAGAAACCCATAGGATCTCTATTTCCAAGAGGCAATTCTTCATTACCATTAAAACTTTTAGTAAAACTACCTTATTTGCTATTCTGAGCCAGGCATATCTTCCCTAGAGAGTCTATGAAGTAGTTCCTGTTTGCTATCAGATACTTTTAGAATACTGGTGAGGTAAAACATGCCTCAAAGTGAAAAGATTCATATTGAAATAATTGCTTCATACAAATGGCTAAGATTCATTTCCAAAGCTGATTTAAGCTGACTTCCCAATTGCTATTCTCTGTCAGCTCCACTATAACATCTCTGTTCCTTTCCCATGATCAACAGCCATGGAATGAGTTTCACTGCTGTGGTTATAACTTTTAGACAGTGGAAATTGCTGAGCAAAGGTGTCCTTCAACAATCTCCAGTTAAAGAATTTGTTTGTTAGAACTGGTTAGGACAAACACTGTCAGTGCCAAGGTCTTATACAATGAAACTCCTTCCCATTTCCTCCCCGTGAATGGCATGCAAAGGTCAAGCATTTAACCACCTCTGGAATTCCAATTGTTGAACACCATCAAATATGTTGGCAATGATCACACCATTAGGTCTTCTTCCTCTCTTTCTCTTTAGCTATCTAGATGTATCTTCACAGAGTTTTGGCATTATGTTATTTAGAACAGATAAAATATGATTTAGCTAAGAAATTAGTGTTTGAAGTTTCAGAAAGGGATTGTCTTACCAGAGGAAAGTAAATGTATTGGAAAAAATAGTCAGTTGACAACTGAAGTGTAGATTACTCTCACATGTAAGGGGTGGGATATTAGGAAGAGTCTCAACAGGAATTGGATGTCATATTTAAAGGAGTGACTGAGAAGACTATAAAAATGGGGGAAGGGTTAAGGAAAAATCCTAAGAGATGGTTTTCCTGAAGATTATACAGGAGGAAATAAATGAGTAGAGGGAAAATGCAGAGCCTAAAACCCAAGAAAAGCTGAAGCATGGGACAAGGGTCACCCTCCAGGAAAAATGGAGGGACACAGCCATTGTCAGTCCAATAGAGAAAGCCAGGGGAATAAATACCCAGGCCATTCTATCTTCATGGCCTCTAGTTTATCACCAACATCTCCCATTGGGTGAACCCAACTGGACGCCTGAGTACAAGATAACTTCGTTGATGCAGTCCATACAGGTCAGCTACCTGGTCTGAAAGTATGGCAGAGAAGAGTGGATACTGGTTCTGGAAGTAGAAACAAATTATCCAGGAGAAAGAAAACAATCTCTCTCTTTTTGTATTTAGTACCCCTCTTACTAAATCCTTTACTTTACAATTTCTCCAGTGTCATAACTAAATCTTTTCACTACACACGCACAGCACAAACTTAGATACTATTGGCATATTTGGGAAGGATGGAACTGAGCTTTTTTTTCAGAATTAAGTTTATTTTTAAAGAGAATGTATTTTATATTTAACTTCATGCACAAAATCTTGATTTTACAAGAAAATTTTCTCAAATAAGTACAAGACACTTTAATATTTTGTTTAAAGTACATAAGTGGATGAATGATAAATTTGTATACTAAAAGCAGACATTAAAAGTTTGGAAATTTCAAACATTTTTATGTAGTAAAGCATGTAAAATATCCAGTTTTTATAAAGTCTGAAATTTATTTTAGATTCATTTCAAAAGTGAAAATTGTTACAAGAACCAAAAAAATGGAAATTATTAATAAGTTCCACTGCCACCAGCATTCTCTCATTCGCTATTTCTTGAAGTAACCAGTGATAACACCATGGTGTTTGTCCTTGCATGCATTACTTCATCCTCATTAAAATGCATATATATGTAATACGTATTATCCCTCAAGTTGTTTTTGTTTTTCTTTACTTAAAAAAATGCAGCAATTCTGCAAGGTCAATAAATGTGGATGTAGTTATGAGTCCTTTTTAATAGTAGCATTGTGTTTCATTGTTTCTTTGTTTGAGACAGAGTCTCATTTTGTCGCCCAGGCTGGAGTGCAATGAGGCAATCTTGGCTCACTGCAACCTCCTCCTCTCGGATTTAAGAGATTCTCCCACCTCTGCCTCCTGAGTATCTGCGATTACCGGCTGCATCACCAGGCCTGGCTAATGTTTTGTATTTTTAGTAGAGATGGGGTTTCATCATGTTTGCCAGGCTGGTCTTGAACTCCTGGCCTCAAGTGATCCACCCACCTCGGTCTCCCAAAGTGCTGGGATTACAGGCATAAGCTACTGTACCTGGCCAAGTTTCATAACATTAACGCATTATAATTTGCTCCCCAGTTCTATTATTGATAAATATTCAGGTGATCCCCACCTCTGGCCATATATACAGAATTCTAATCAAGTTAGAGTGTTGTTGAAGAACCAGTTGTGTCAACACCAGAGTGTATTAGAATATTTAATCTGTCTCACTGATTTATTTGCTTTTAAGAGACTGCATAATATATTTATCAAGGCCATGTTTGAACCTAGACTTCACTATGTATTGGCTATGTGACCTTGGGCAAGCTTCGTAGTTTCTTCACATGTGAAATGCGAATAATAATAGTATCTCTCTCTAAGAGTTAAGAATTAAAGGAGGCCAGGCGCAGTGGCTCACGCCTGTAATCCCAGCACTTTGGGAGGCCCAGGCGGGAGGATCACGAGGTCAGGAGATTGAGACCATCCTGGCTAACACAGTGAAACCCCATCTCTACTAAAAAATACAAAAAATTAGCTGGGTGTGGTGGCAGGTGCCTGTAGTCCCAGCTACTCAGGAGGCTGAGGCAGGAGAATGGCGCGAACCCAGGAGGTGGAGCTTGCAGTGAGCAGAGATAGCGCCACTGCACTCCAGCCTGGGCGACAGAGCAAGACTCCATCTCAAAAAAAAAAAAGAATTAAATGAGTTAATGTTTGCAAAGCATTTAGAATTATTAACATAATAAGAATTATATATGGTTTGTTAAATAAATGTAAATAAATTCTAATGGCATACCTTTCTACTTCTGTTCTAGTAAATTTTTAATATCTGATAACACTAGTTTCCTTCACCAGTACTCCTTATTCTAAATTGTCTTGGCTACTCTTAAGCAATTATGCTTCCTTTCATATGTACTTTAAAACACTTTTGTCTTAACCAGTTGGAATTCTGATTGGAATTGTCTTAGAATATTATATTAATTTGGAAAGGATTAATATTTTATTATATTTTAAAAAATACTTTTGTCTTAACCCATTGGAATTCTGATTGGAATTGTCTTAGAATATCATATTAATTTGGAAAGGATTAATATTTTATGATATTAAATCTTCCATCCAAGAACACAAGTTTCATTTATTCAGGTCTGATTTTATGTTTTAAAGGTGTATTTTGTAACTTTCTTCATAAAAGTTCTGCTCCTTTCCTGCTAAATTTTCTTCCTATGCATGTTATAATTTAGGGGACTTTTGTGAATAAGATGATTTTTCATTTCTGTGTTTTAAAATTTTTATTGATTTTGAAATAGATAATATATATACAGCTCAAAATTCAAAATGCACTCAAGAATGTACAGTGAAAGGCTTCCTCTAATCCCTTTCCCTAGTTTCCTTTCTCCTATTGTTTTTATTTTTTAATTTTTTTAATATTTATTTATTTATTTTGAAATGGAGTCTCACTCTGTCGCCCAGCCTGGAGTGCGGTGGCATGATCTTGGCTCACTGCAACCTCCACCTCCTGGGTTCAAGTGATTCTCCTGCGTCAGCCTCCTGAGTAGCTGGGACTACAGTATTTTTAGTAGAGAGAGGGTTCCACCATATTGGCCAGGCTAGTCTTGAACTCCTGATATAGTGATCTGCCAGCCTCGGCCTCCCAACATGCTGGGATTACAGGCGTGAGCCACCAAACCCAGCACTTTCCTGTGGTTTTTAAAAGGCCCTTTCACAACTTTAAAAGTAAATAGGTTTGATCTTCATATCATAGAAATGCATTACATGCAAAAATGATATATAGGGCTTTCAAACTACTGCCCTTTAATTATACTTGGATTTCAACATAGCCATCATCTTTTGTGGTTCAACATTTTCTCTGATTTACTGAAAATATTTGTTACTTAATGTAGGATGTTTTCATAAACTTATCTTCATGAGCAAACATCTACTCTTTGATGAGTAAACAACGGCTTGCAATGTCATTATAAAATGTCAGTGAAGGTTAGAAAGAATATAAGGTAAATAAGCAATATTTGCATCAATGTCTAAAATGGCTTTAGTGAAATAACACTACTCAAAAATTGTCACACATTCTAACTAAGAAGTGTCATGCTAGAAGAATGCTTTTTTAGGTTCCTACCTCTGCAACTCTTTTCCATAAACAGATAGGATTATTTGGCCTCATTTACACAGAAACAGTCTTTTCCATCTTGGGACTATTCCTGTCTGAGGTTGGATATTGTATGCATTGCAGCCCCACATCTCTCTCTTCCCTAAAGCAAAACTGTCCTTCCCCACCTCTCCTAGCTAGGTTAATACCTACACCATGTACCAGTTCCCCAGCTGGGAAACCCTGGTAGTGGAAGTCCAGCTCACAGTGAGCCCAGAACCAATAGAGACCACCAAGCCCTGTGCTTTCTTCTTTATGGTGGTGAAGGCATGTTACGGCAATTTGACTTCTATTTCTTATGGAGTATCAGAGCATGCTGTTGACCATGGTCTCTTAAGATCTTCACTGAATAGCAGGTACCTGAATCTTCAAAAGGTTTATATGCCACCCTTCACAACATGTGTATCTTCCCAAGGCTTCCAGCATATTAGTCGCCTCTTGCTCATCTTGCCCAATTAGCATATATCATTGATAGGACAGATCTGTGTGAGGTTCTGTGGCATATCCAGGCCATCCAGATTACTTAGGTCATATGATGAGAAAAATCAGACTTAACAGGGCCCTAAGGCAATACTGCAAATGAATATTACCATCTGCTTCACATAAATGTAAACAGTTTCTGATCCTTTCTTCTGATACAGACAGAAAAGAATGTGTTTTTTACATGAATGACTGCATATTACATACCTGATGTCTTATTAACCTGTTCTAGCAACAATACCCTTCTTGCTACCCAAGCGCTGCACTGTACCAGGGCTATTACACAGTTTAGTTGCTGTAGTCTTTAGTTATTCCCCAGGATCCAACCAGTTTCTGCGAGGCCAGACTGGCAAAGTTAATGAAAATAAGATAGGGAACACTATCTCTGCATCTCTAAGGTTCTTAACTGGAGACACCTAGCTCTGCTATCTCACCCAAGTGTCATGTTTTTGATTTACTCTTTTAACCACAGTGGGGGGCAGTTTCAGCATTTTCTGCTTGACTTTCTCCACTATGGTGACTCTTACTGCATAGGCAAAGGACCAAACTGTGTGTTGGGGTTTGGAGGAAGAAAAGTGTAACTCCAATGTGAAGTATAATAACCATAACTATACATTCAGGTAATGGAGGGATAATCATAATATGCTCACTGGGAGTTGAACTTAAACCATAATTCCAGAATTCCTTCTTTCTATTGTTGTTGTACATGTTAAGCAGCACATTTGTTGGTTGTCCCTCTCTGGAGGGACATTCCGTATGCCTCTGGAATTAACACACTCTATCTACCAGCTCTGCAACTCCCTGTCAGTCAACCTTTCTTAGCTGCCTCTATAACTTTGCCTCTCATGATAATTTCATTATCATGGCTCCTATCAGTTAAGTGCTGCCAACTCGCTTTTATTGTTACAGATCCCACCATTCCAATGATATTAAGCCCAGCTCTGTGACCATCTCCACTACCACCAGGCCTGGCCTGCAAAAGAGAGCCATTACCCCCCGCACCTTCTTCTGGTAGTCTTGACTGGTGTCCTCACCAGTGCATTCTTGATGGTTTTGGTGAATGGTATGTCCTCTAGACCCTTGTGAAATATCAAATTCTGTTGGCTTTTCTGGCCTCATATAATATAATATATCCATTCTGGTATGCCCACTTTCTGGAACCTCTTCATTCCTTTATATGTTGTCTGACAGGGCATTTTGGGCAGTTCTATTTTGTTCAGCATTGGTTATTATTTCTTGCAGACCTATAAGAGCCACGCTAGCAATGACTGTGATCTATCGCTTGAGGCTTTGCCAGGGTGATAAATCCTGTGTCTTGAGAAACTAACCCTAAGTCAATAAATTCTTGCTTATCTAGTTTTACATTCTGGCCCCCTTGATCATGTACCCTCAACATCCCAGTGGTATTCCAATGGATTTTGCCAATACAACATAGCAAATTCCTGTAGCTCCTTCTATGGTAATCTTTTTTCTCCCTTTTCAGATCCAGCACTTCCCCAGGCAGACCTTGCCAGTTATTGACTTAGCAGCCAAGAAAGGAAGTGGGGGGCAATTCTTACCCGCCTCTTACTTTCCCTCTTACCAGGGAAGTGTAGTCATCTTTTTAATCTGTGAGGGTTCAGAGGAGTCTGCAGAGCCAGCATCCTCAGGGTTATCCATCCAAATGTCCCCATCAAGTATTTCACAGTCTCAGGTTTGCCCAAACAGGGTCTGTTAGTGTAAGAGTTCTGCCTTGGTTGAACACCCAAACACCTTTGTAGTTAAGCAACTCTAACTACCATTTACGGCTCAACTGTATCAGAAATCTCATAAGATATGGGGCTTTTTGTTATTTACCAATGAGGCACTCTGGCCCTCAAAATTAACCGGTGACTACATATTAATGGATCTCAGTTTCTCATTAGCTTTGTGCAAGGCAATTTAGTAGTAAGCAATTAGCTCTGCTATCCCCATCACCACCAATGTCTTTTAAATTCCTGAATTACTACACTTGCAAAGGCATTCCTCTCTACTAATGAGGTTTTTTCAGGTCATCACCAGTGAAATTTGTAGTGTTGTACCACTACCAAGTGCCAGGTCTATCTACATCCCACATTTCACTTAGGACAGCATCCTCTTTGCTTACCAGGCAGTGAGAAAACTAGTCCCAGATTCTCAGCATACCACCTGTGTGGTCAAACCACTTCTGGCACCACTTGTGTTAGCTGAGGATTTCTAAGAAGCAAATGTCAAGATGTGACCAGATATAAAATAGATTTATTGGGGAAACCTATCTTTGAGGGAAAATATAGAGAAAGCCTTAGGAGGCTGGGAGAACCATCAGACTAGGATGCATGTCTGGCCCCTATGAAGAAGAGAGGGAAGAAAAAAAAGCCAGACTGCAATGAATTTCCACAAAAGTTTCAGCAAGTCTCATAGAAAATCCTTGAGCCAAAGTCACCTGCAGAAAAGTCACACATTTCCCAGGAATAGGCCTGCCTTAGTATCTTCTCTGTGCTCAATCACTGGCTGAAAGAAGCCTGTGGGAAGTCAGACTTTAGCATGAAGGTGATGGTTAATTCAGAGGGCAGCAACTGGAACCTTTTATGGCCATGATAGACATATTGTCTTATATTTGTATTACTATAAGCAATTCTGCAATTGATATCCTTATATATGTTTTCTTTTATACACATATAAGATTTATGTAAGTAGGTGCAGGTTACTGGAACACAAGTTATATGCCTTTTTCATTTTACTAAACCCTTAATGACGTTCTTCAAAATAGTTGTAATAATTTAAGCTCCCAGTAGCATGTAATGAAAACTTCCGTGTTTTGCCAACTCTTGATATAATACATTTCAAAACACTTAGCTGACTTTAATGGGTAAATAGTGAAATCTAATTTTTGCTTTCATTTGTATTTATCTGATGTCTAATGAAGTTGAATATCTTTTTATGTGTCTATTGGTTATTTGAGTTTTTTCTTCTGTGAATTGCTTGTTCTTGTCTTTCTCCTATTTTTATTTGGGTAGTCTTTTCCTTTTTGATCTTTAAAATCTGTTTTAATATACTCTAGAGACTGGTCTTCTATCTGTTGTACATATTGAAAATATTTTTTCTTTAAGTTTAATGATTGTCTTTTCATTCTGTTTATGGAACTATTCATTATGCAGAAGGAGTAATTCTTGCTATACTCAAATCTTACTATTTTGATTTGTGCTCTTGGGATCCTGTTTTAAAAACCTTTCTCCACCACAACATAAAGATTTGCAGCTATATTTTCTTCTACTAGCAGATTAAAAACTTGCTTTTCATGCTTAGTTCTTTCTGTCCATGTGAAACTCATTTTTTATATATGTTGGGAGGTAGAAATATAATTTCGTTCTTTGATGTGTCCAAGGTTATGTTTATAATTCATGGCCATTTTCAGATTTTCAGTGAGTACTACTCTTTAAAGAGTAGTAGAAACAAGTTTGAAACAAGTGCACTACATGGGCACTCTGCAGAAAAGAATGAGTGAGAATATTTCAGATACATTTGCCTCATTTTGGAACTTCTTACATTTATAGTAAATTGTGGGGCTACAGGAAAATAAATGAGTAAATAAGCTTTAGAATATATTTATTGGCAAAACAACTTCCCACTGACCTGTTAAAAGGATATTTAGCTAAGATATTAATAGCGCTAACAGTATTTAGCTGTTACTTGAATTTGATTATAAAGATAAAATTTGATATATAATTTGATTTATAAAGATAAAATTCAAAGTTACATTTATTTGACTTTAAATCAGTTGTTTTAGAATTGATTTCAGTGTGAAATGCTAAATTATGTAAAATGGAATATGTTCGAAATATTAAAGCAGTTTGTAAAAACTAAATAAACATGAAGGTTTCCATGTAAAATTATGATGAGTTCAGCTTTTAGTCTCTTTGTTAATCAATTAGGAACTCAGTTACAAGTAAAGGGAACTCAAGTCAAACTGTCTTGAGTCAAAAGAGGCCTTAATTGCCTCACATACCAGGACAGTCTATAGAATAGAACTTTCAGCGTTCCAAAACTCAAAAGCACCAGGCCTTTAGTTTGAGATTTTGCCGTGGACTATGTCAAGTCTACTCGTAGCCTCTCTCTTCATGATTGCAAGCAGCATTGATATAGCACCTCTAACACCATTTTCTCCCAGGAGCAGATTCTGTGGGAGAGGGCAAGGACTTCTTCCCAGAAGCTACAGCAAAAGTTTTGCAGTAACTTCCTTTTTGTTTCTGAAGTACAAGAACAAAGATTCGCTCCCCACAGAAAAGGTGGTTTATAGTTAGAATAAAAAGGTGACTGGATGCAGGGCCTCCTGAACAAAAGGTGTTCACTATGTTCCCTCATGCTCAGATTCCCATCAAATAACCATCTCAAATAACAATAGAGAAAAAGTCCCCTTAACCCCAGAAATTGTAGAGCAGTAATATTCCCAAGTGAGAATATTTGCAGAATTTCTCTGAATATTGTGAAGACGTGAACAGACTGAAAAAGAGCCCCCCCTAAACCTTGTTTGGGAAGGGAATAACAGAACACCTGGCAGCAACCTGCTACCACTCCCTAAATCAATGAGTGAGGAGTGGAGGAGAAGTGAGAATCAGCCCAGAAGGACCCCTCCATAGTATCAGGAAGCATAATGAGTTCCAGAACCACAGAAAGTACAAAGCACACAGTTCTTACAGCCTGATTTACCCTCTCTATGGTCTGTCACAACTGATGAGGAGTGTCAACACCACTGCACTGGGCTCCTAATAAAGGAATCTTTTCAGGCAAAGAATGGAGATTCTGCTTTGATTAACCCCTGGACACCATAAAAATCATGACAGAAATAATTCCTTACATAAGTGAAGGTTCCTATAACAACTTCATCTAGTTCTTTCTCTCCCCACTCTCTGTGCACTTTTACATTTCCAAAGTAGCAATTAGCTACAATAATCTCTATTTTTTCTTCTCTGTTTCTCCAGATCATAAAAAATGAACAGAGATTTACATGATCTCTGAAAGAACATATTTAAACTCCCAGTTCTGACACTCATAGATCTCCCTTTATAAGCATTAGAAAAGAGTTATTAAAAAGCAACCTCTGAACATACAAAAGAACATATGCATTCAACAGAGGTTTGTTTTAATTTTCTTGAGGAATTAGCAGATGACCACCATTTGTCATAGAATTACTGCAAAAAAGAAAAGTATATCAAATTCTTTATTATGTGGCATAAAGGTTCAGTAAAGCATTGTGCTCATGGACTAAGAACAGGAAATCAAAATAATCATGCTATGAGACTAAGAAAGTTTTCACGGAAATCTGATTCCCGAATTTAAAATTGTAAAGGAGGCAATGAAAAGCAGATTGGATGGATGCTATACATTCCAGACTTCAAGCCTTGGATCAACCTAGCTACTTATTTTTTTTTCTGTATCAGCACCCAAGCAATCAGGAAAAATAAAATTGTCTAAGTAGTTACACTTCAAATTGATGATTGAAGAACTCCACTTGGACACTCAATAGCCTCTAACAATCCGACTACATATTCCAAATTAATGTTGTTTCCCACTAATTGAGCTATTTCACGCCTTCACTTAGAACATTCTACAACAGCAAGACTCATGCTAAAATCAATGTAGAACAGGAAATGAGGATGCCAGTAGGTAATCTGATTCCAAAGTTTAAGAGGCTGTGCAGTGGCCAAAAAACAGCCATATCCCATTTGTGAGTAATTGTTATTGTTTAAGAATAAAATTTTTTTTATTTTAAAAACATTTTACATATTTTCCTTAGTGAATAATCTCACATTATCTTTATTGAGAATATCATGAACATCAGTTTGGAAACTCCCTCATACCTTCACTTCAAACACACAAACCTGTCTGAGTTCTCACTTACACTTTCTTCTCTCTTTTTATAGTGAAGGACATGTTCCTCTCCACATCAAAGATCAGTCTCTCAATCCTTCCACCCATGCTCTGCCTTCTATTCCATCTAGTCAAATCAAGAACTTTACTTCCACAAATTTCCCTTTTCTCTCCTGCATCAATAACTTTTTTTCCTTCTGGAATATTCTCATAAGCCTAAAGACATTCTACACTTTCTTTTATTTTTAAAAATAATTAAATAAGGGGCTTCATTTTACCACAGCTTTCACACCATGTTTCTGATTTTTATAGCAAAATGTCTTGAGTTACTTAAGCTCATTTTCTCCAGTTTCTCACCAAATTTTCATGCTTCTGCCTATGTCATCTGGCTTCTGTCCCAACTTCTCCACTGTCAGTATTTTTATTGAAAATAATGATTATCTCCTTATTGTGAAACTCAAAGGCTACTTTTTTCTTCTTGCTTGACCTCGCAGCTATCCTTGATAACAGTTGTTCACTGCCTTCTTTATGACTCTTTCCATTCTCAGGTTTTTTACATTATATTCTTTTGGTTATTTTTCTTATAATATTGACCATTCTTCTCCAGCTCCTCCACTGTCAGCTCTTGTAGGAGACCTCTCAGTGCTGAAGTTCTTCAGCAATTGAACTTGAATCATTTTCCCTTTTCTATCGGCATTCTTCCTTCAGATCTTTTCTTGCTTTAAACATCATTTATGTGTTAACAGTGCTCAAATTATATTTCTAGAACTTGTCTAATATTCCATCTTCTCAACACCTCCATAAGGCATACCTGTTTTACCCCTATCTTTTCTATCATTGTAAATTGTTCCATTTGCTCCAGCAAGAAGCTTTGAAGTCTTTTTCCCCTTCACCCTCACATCCAATAAGTCAGCACATCTATCTGAAAAAATATACTGTGCTACCCGAATCCAAACCAGATCTCTCACACAGATAGTTGCAATAGCCCACTAACTGGACTGCATTTTCTCTTTGGCCTTTCTACAATCCTTTCACCCTTTTTAGAGCATTCAGAACAACCCTATAAAAACATCCATCTCTTCTTGCTAACAACCCTGGAAATAGCTTTCCATTGCACTTTAAATTCTTATCTTTATACTTATCTCATGCCGTGACCATCCTTTATTACTATGTGTCAGTCATGCAGGATTTTTTTTTTTCAGTCCGAGACTATCCAAAAGTCTTTGCTTTACAGTTCTCTTTACTTAGAATATTTGTTCTTCATCTGGCTGGTTCCTATTCATTGTATAGTGTAAAAGTCACCTCCAGAGGGAAGTTTTCCTTTGTTTGTGCTTTCTAAGTAGCTTACTGAAGGTATTCTCTATCACAGTACACCATTTATTGACTCATAGAAAATACTAAAGTTGGGCGGGCGTGGTGGCTCATGCCTGTAGTCCCTGCACTTTGGGCAGCTGAGGTGGGCAGATCACAAGGTCAGGAGTCAGAGACTATCTTGGCTAACACAGTGAAACCCTGACTCTACTAAAAATACAGAAGAATTAGCTGGGCATGGTGGCAGTCACCTGTAGTCCCAGCTACTCGGGAGGCTAAGGCAGGAGAATGGTGTAAACCCAGGAGGCGGAGCTTACAGTGAGCTGAGATTGCACCACTGCACTCCAGCCTGAGTGAAAGACTGAGACTCTGTCTCAAAAAAAAAAAAAAATTAAAGTTGCAATTATTTAATTTATATGTTGTTTATATTACATTGTTTATTTATTTTCTCCCACTAGCCATGGAAAAGGTGCCACCCAAAAGGAGCTGTGATATTTGGTAGAGGAATGCCACCCTCTATTCCAACCAAGTTCTGTTAGGAAGAAAGCAGGGTGAATAAACACCTCAACCTCAATCCCCATCTCCTCTTATCTATTTCTGTTTCCTTTTGTCAATCAGACCCAAAGAGCAAAAGAAGCTAAGCTAGGTGATGTAGACCATAGAGATCAGCATACTAAGAAACATAACAGGACAGAGGAGGGCTGAGAAGGAATCTGAGAGGTAAATTGAGACTACCCAGGACATAGATTGAAGATAGAATGAGCTGAGTTTAATGGGAAGTCAAGAAGAAAAGCATAGTATGGGGGTTCAGTCATGGTGGTGGGAAAGATTTTAGAGGAAATAAACACAAACCTTCTTGGAAGGCCAAGAGGTTTGCATAGCTTTAGTAAAAGCCTTGGCTGAAGGCAGCTGAGTTCTCTTAAAAGCTCAGGGCATAGATACATAAGAATGTAGAGGAGTTTATCTAAAGAGCTTGCTTACTCATGTGGTCCTAAAATTGACCTTTGATCACTCATGGGCAAGATGGCTCTCCCGGGGCGGGGGTGACCAGATTAATTACCCACAGGTGTGTTGACTCAAAGTCAACCATGTTAAATAAATGCCCGCAGGGCCAGATAGTCAGGGCCATTGCTTCTGACTCTTTACAGCACCTTCCTTGGTGTCTGTGAGTGGCTTGGACCCCTAGCTGCTCTTTGACTGAATATTGGTGTTTGAGTACGTTATCCATCCGTCATGCAAGCTGGGGTCTGCAGAACAGACCCCCACAGTATAGAGCATTCTGTAGAAAGGGTGTGATCAAATCAACAATGGGAAAATAAAATCTTTCCTGAATTGAAGAAAGGCTTGAGTCTACCAGTCAAATAACAGAATTGCAAAGGTTTGAAAATATACTTTATAGATAATATTCCTTAAAACACGAATCAAAGATTTACCAAAGCTCTCCAAGAAAAGAGACTAAATAAACAACTCAGTAATTAGCAAAATAAATGAACTGGAAATAAGCAATAAAACTAACAAACCAGAGACTCATATTTTAATTATTTATAAATGTTTAGAAAATTTAATGCAAATATTAAAAATAAACCCTTGAATCATAAGAATCTTATACAATAGATTCTCAATTTCAATCATAGATGATGTTAATAAGATTGAGTAATAGAATAAGAAAAGAGCAAAATTATTTTACAGGGTTGTCAGTAGAAAGAATTTTATTTTTGGCATTTATAGGTAAGGAAAATAAGATCAATTTTAAAATAAAAATGATAATGCCAAAAAGCTATAAATAGAAAGAAAAAAGAAAACATAATCAAATATCAGAGTACATAAAAATAACCTCTAAGAAGTATTAACACAGAAAGATATAATAAGTATAACTGGGTTGACATTCTCTATTATAAAACAAAGACTAATATATTTATCACAACTCACTAAAATTAAAATTAAAGTTCAGTAAGAGAAAGTTTTAAAATATTCTCTTGATCTGTGTTTGGGTCTGTATTAGTCTGTTTTCATGCTGCTATAAAGAAATACCTGAGACTGGGTAATTTATAAAGGAAAGAGGTTTAATAGACTCACAGTTCCACATGGCTGGGGAGGACTCAGGAAACTTACAATCATGGCAGAAGGCAAAGGGGAAGCAGGCATCTTTTTTACAAGGTGGCAGGAGAGAAGAGTGAACAAAGGCAGAAGTGGTAAACACCTTTAAAACCATCAGCTCTCATGAGAACTCCCTCACTATCATGAGAACAGCATGAAGAAAACTGCCCCCATGATCCAGTTACCTCCCACCAGGTCCCTCCCTGAACACCTGAAAATTACAATTAGATTACAATTCAAGATAAGATTTGAGTGGGGACACAGGGCCAAAGTACATCATTCTGCTCCTGGCTGCTCGTGAATCTCATGTCCTTACATTACTAAACACATCATGGTATTCCAGTAGTCCCTTAAAGTCTTAACTCATTCCAGCATTAACTCAAAATTCCAAGTCCAAGGTTTCATCTGAGACAAGCACAAGCCCCTTCCACCTATGAGCTTGTAAAATCAAAAATAAGTTGGTTACATCCAAGATACAATGGGGGTATGGGCATTAGTTAAATGTTCCCATTCCAAATGGGAGAAATTAGTCAAAACAAAGGGGCTACGGGGCCCATGCAAGTCTGAAATACAATAGGAAGTCATTAAATCTTTTTTTTTAATTATACTTTAAGTTTTAGGGTACATGTGCACAATGTGTAGGTCTGTTAGATATGTATACATGTGCCATGTTCGTGTGCTGCACCCATTAACTCGTCATTTAACATTAGGTATATCTCCTAATGCTATCCCTCCCCACTCCCCCCACCCCATGACAGGCCCCACTGTGTGATGTTCCCCTTCCTGTGATCAT
This sequence comes from Homo sapiens, assembly GCF_000001405.40. Taxonomy (NCBI): domain Eukaryota; kingdom Metazoa; phylum Chordata; class Mammalia; order Primates; family Hominidae; genus Homo; species Homo sapiens. Next base: position 42,392,154 of record NC_000005.10, read on the forward strand.
GTGTTCTCATTGTTCAATTCCCACCCATGAGTGAGAACATGCGGTGTTTGGTTTTTTGTCCTTGTGATAGTTTGCTGAGAATGATGGTTTCCAGTTTCATCCATGTCCCTACAAAGGACATGAACTCATCATTTTTTATGGCTGCATATATTCCATGGTGTATATGTGCCACATTTTCTTAATCCAGTCTATCATTGTTGGACATTTGGGTTGGTTCCAAGTCTTTGCTATTGTGAATAGTGCCGCAATAAACATACGTGTGCATGTGTCTTTATAGCAGCATGATTTATAATCCTTTGGGTATATACCCAGTAATGGGATGACTGGGTCAAATTGTATTTCTAGTTCTAGATCCCTGAGGAATCGCCACACTGAGAAGTCATTAAATCTTAAATCTCCAAAATAATCTCCTTTGACTTTGTGTTTCACATTTGGGCACACTAATGAAAGGGGTGGGCTCCCACAGTCTTGAGAAGCTCCTTCACAGGCTGATGTTGAGTGTCTACAGCTTGCCCAGGCACATGGTACAAGCTGTTGGTGGATCTACCATTCTGGGGCCCAGAGGCTCTTCTCACAGCTCCACTAGGCAGTGACCTAGTGGGGACTCTGTGTGGGGGCTCTGACCCAACATTTCCCTTCTGCACTGCCCTAGCAGAGATTCTCCATGAGGGCTCCACCCCTGCAGCAGACTTCTGCCTGGAAATCCAGGTGTTTCCATACATCCTCTGAAATCTAGGCAGAGGCTCCCAAACCTCAGTTGCTAACTTTCATGCACCTGCAGGCTCAACACCACATGGAAGCTGCCAAAGCTTGAGGCTTTCACCCTCTGAAACAATGACCTGAGCTGTACCCTGGTGCTTTTTAGCCAGGGATGGAGCTGGAGCAGCTGGGACGCAGGGCATCAAGTCCTGAGGCTGCAAAGAGCAGCAGGTCCCTAGGCCCGGCCCTTGAAACCATTTTTCCCTCCCAGGCCTCTGGGCCTGTGATGGGTGTGGCTGCCTTGAAGATTTCTGACATGCTCTGGAGATGTTTTCCTCATTGTCTTGGCTATTAACATTAGGCTCCTCATTACTTGTGCAAATTTCTGCAGAAGACTTGGATTCATTGCCAGAAATTTTTTTTTTTTTTTTTTTTTTTTGGCTACCACATGGTCAGGCTACAAAATTTCCAACCCTTTATCTTCTGCTTCCCTTTTAAATATAAGTTCCAATTTCAAACCATTTCTTTGTGCACACATAAAACTGAATGCTTTCAGAATAATCCAGGTCACCTCTTTAATGCTTTGCTGCTTAGAAATTTCTTCCACTGTATACCCTAGATCATTTCTCTCAAGTTCAAAGTTCCACAGATATCTAGGGCAGGGGCATAATGCCACCAGTCTCTTTGCTAAAGCATAGCAAAAGTCACCTTTACTCTAGTTCCCAACAAGTTCTTTATCTCCATCTGAGACTACCTCAGTGTGGATTTCATTGTCCATATCACTATCAGCATTTTGCTCAAAACCATTCAACAAGTCTCTAGGAAGTTCCAAACTTTCCCACATCTTTCTGTATTATTCTAGGCTCTCCAAACTGTTCCAGCCTCTTCCAGTTACCCAGTTCCAAATTCACTTCCACATTCTCCAGTATCTTACAGAAATGCCTCATTACCTCAGTACTAATTTTCTGTATTGGTTCATTTTTACACTGCTATAAAGAAACACCAGAGACTGGGTAATTTATTAAGGAAAGAAGTTTAATTGATTCACAGTTCCACATGGCTGGAGAGGCCTCAGGAAAATTACTATCATGGAAGAAAGCAAAGGGGAAACAGGCACTTTGCACAAGGAGGTGGGAGGGAGGAGTGAATGAAGGAGTAACTGCCAAACACTTTTAAACCATCAGTTCTCATGAGAACTCTTCTCACTATCATGAGAACAGCATGGGAAAACTGCCCCCATGATCCAATCACCTCCCAGCAGGTGCCTCCCTAGACACCTGGGGATTACAATTCAAAATGAGATGTGGGCAGGGAAACAAAACCAAACCATGTAAATGTCAAAAAAGAAAACCAAACAAACCAATTACATTGCAAACACTATATTAAAATAATATATGAGACTATCCCAAACCTTTACTTATGAGTACATTTGTAACCTAAACTTATTTTATTCTTAAAACTAAGAGAATAAAAATAAATGAATTACGCATTCAACTCCAGAATTTAGGAGAAGGAGGAGGAGAAGCATAAGGAGAGTGCAAAAACATAAAACAAACAAACTAACAAAACAAAACAAAACAAAGACATGTCTACAGAAAGCAAGAAGAACAAAAGCAAAAAATAATACATTGGAAAATATGTTGTTTTAAAGAGAGAATGGATATGTAAATGCAATTTCTACAAACACACAGATGCACACACACAGCTGTACTGAAAATATTCATGAAAAATGTTTAAATGTATCATGTAATACACTCTGATGTTATTATTGACAAATAAGCTGCATACATTTAATTTCCACAGTTTGATAAGTTTTGACATATGTAAACACCCATGCAGCCATCAACACAATCAAGATGATGAAAATATCTAACGTACTCAAAAGTACCCTCATGTCTCTTTGCAATCTCTTTCCATCCCCTCTCCTTCCTCCCCCATCCACAGAGAAACACTGATCTTCTTTCTATCACTATGGATTAGTTTTAATTTCTAGATTTTTAAAAATACAGAATCATAAAGTATGTGCTTTTTTGTCTGGTTTCTATCACTGAGAGTAATTATTTTGAAATCTTTCCATGTGGTTTCCTGTATCAATAGCTCATTCTTTTTTATTGTTGAGTAATATTGCATTGTATGGATACACCACAATTTATTTGCTCAATTATATGTTGATGGATATTTGTGTTGTTTCCAGTTTGAAGCTATTAGAAATATTATATTCCTGTTTAGTTTTCTATTTTTAATGTGTCCATAACCTTCTTAAACTGATGGTACAGCCACTAATGAGACATAAGCCATAGATCTAAATAGTGTCTTAAGACATAAAATGTATATCAAGTATATCAAAGAGAAGAGAGGAAAATAATAATAAGTTATTTCTACTATGACACAGTTTAAAGATACAGTTTAAAGATCCCCTTTAGATCCACCTCTTTCTTTAAAACCTAGCAGATAAACAATATTAACAGTTCACTTTTAACATTCCTGTTAATCGGCTATTAATTCTTAAGAGGGAATTAATAGAAGTCAACATAGAACAAGAATAGAACATAAGAAGACGGGGTTGGGAAGAAGAATAGGGACAGGAATGATAATAGGGATTACAGAAGGAGAGACACGTTGACGAAGCCAATTGACAAGGTGCAAAGGACAAAATTCACCTATGTGCCAATTTCATTTAAATTGTCTCCCTTGACCCTTTGACATATATGATGCAGATACCATATCTTTTCCTAAATTTCCTCATTTCTTTTGCTTTCTCTATATAGACTGCATTCAAATAGCAGGCCTTCATTTTTGTTAATATTCCTCCCCCCAGATATCTTCACATGGTAAAAATTACCAATACAAAATGAAACGGTGGCAGTTGGTATTAGGTTCAATACATGTACAGTCAGCCCTCCATATCCACAGTTCTGCATCAATGGATCCAGTCAGTTGCACATTAAAAATATTCAGAAAGAAACTGAAATAATAGTAAAACAATAAAAAATACAAATAAAAAACAATACAGAATAACAGCTATTTACATAGCATTTACATTGTATTGGGTATTATAAGTAATCTAGACTAGAGATGATTTGAAGTATATGGGGAGGGTGTGCATAGGTTATATATAGATACTCTGCCATTTTACATAAGGGACTTGAGCATGTATGTGATGGCAGCAGCAGCCCCCCTAGAGCAGCTGCTGCCATGACCCTGGCTGCAGGTGGGGAGGCTTGGCCCAGAGTAGGCAGGAGCCCCACCCTCCCAGGTGCAGCTTCAGCTATCAAAGCCATGGCTACAAACTCGGACATCTCTGCACTCTTGGGGGCACAGAAAGGCCCCCCAGGCCCCACAGGCTCGGAGGTATCTGCTCCTGCTGCCTGGTCTCTCACCACTCCTGGCACCTGCTCTGGTCTCAGAGCAAGGTTTGGCCTGAGCCCAGGCACTGTCACAGCCTGACTGGGTGCGCACATGCTTGGGGCAGCACTGACATGCCAGCCCCCTGCTGCGTTGGCCCCCTCTCAACTTTGCATTGATATGCACAGGAGGGAGGCTGAGGGGGGCTGAGGGCAACTCGGTGCTGGCCTGCAGGCACCCCCCAGTACAAACAGCCTGGACACCATAAATGGCAGCAAGAGGCAGACAGGCTCCTGGGCTGAAGGGCACAGTCCTAGTGAGCCCCACCTACAAGCCAGGGGAGGTCTGAAGCCTGGGGGCCAGGCTGCTGGTCCAATGGACCAGAATGAGAGCTTGTGGTGCTTTCTCTGGGTGCGCCCATGGCTGCCCATGGACCAATTGCCACACACTTCCTCCCCTCTTAAGCTCATATAAACCCCAGACTCAGCCAGACTTGGGGAGATGACAGGATGACCAACTGTGGAGAGCAGCTATCCACCCTAGGGTCTCCTCTCTGCTGAGAGCTGAAAAGATGACGGGATGACCAGCTACAGAGAGGAGCTACCCACTTCAGGGTCTCCTCTCTGCTGACAGCTGAACACTTAATGAGAAGACCTGCCTGCAGAGAGGAGCTACTCACTCCAGGGTCTCTTTTTTGCTGAGAACTGAATACTAGTTGGGACACCCTGCCTGCAGAGAGGAACTACCCAATGTTGGTCTCCTCTGAGCTGTTCTGTTGCTCCTTAAAAGTCCTCTGCCTTGCTCACCCTCCACTTGTCCATGTACCTCATTCTCCCTGGACACAGGACAAGAACTTGGGAACTGCCATAGTGGGGCCAAAAGAGCTGTAACACAAACAGTGCTAACACATGCCCCTGGCTCACCACATTGGGGGCAACAAGAAAGAGAGAAGAAAAAAAGACAAGAAGAAAGAAGGAGAGAAGAGCTGTGGCCCTTCAGGGATCCCAGACCTAGGACCTCCTGGTGCCAGGGCTGTGACACCCTCTTTGGGGCTTTGTGGTTCCTGGAATCTCCAACCCTCCAGGTGCTACCATTTTTCCCAGTGCCAGCTGTGGAAGCTGCTTGTGGTATGCTTCGTCCAGCCACAGCCTCACAAAAAGCTGGCACCCGTGCTGACATTCCTGGCTGTGAGCAGTGTCCAGACCCCATACTTTCTAACACACCCTTCACCACTCTGTGCCTGGCTTGCCCTTGGCAGGTGCGGGGTCCAGGCCAGTAGCACGAGCTGAATGCAGCCTGCCAGGACGAGTAGGCCCTGCAGGCCTGAGCAAAACTAGGGCAAAGGCGCCACTGGCCACAGAGGTTTCTGACTGGCAAAGCGACACCCGAAGCATTCTGTAACACATGGATTTTGGTATTTGCAAGAGGTCTTGGAACCAATGCTTTGTAAATAACAAAGGATGACTGTGTATTGGCATACAATTTATAATATATGTATGATAACTAATAATAGCAATAGCTTAAACAAAATAGAGTATTATTTTTCTTGCACATGAAAATGTCTGGAGTAGGCAATCCAAAGCTGATACAGTATCAGCTTGGTATTAGGAAACCCTATCCCTTCTATTTTATGCCTTTCTAGCCTTAGCCTGAAATCTTTTGTTCAGAGGTAGTTTATTGGTTATCTGTGTATATGTAAGCCTATGAGGATCTGTCTGTATGTGCTCTCTCTCGCTCTCTTCCTCTCTCTCTCTTTCCCTCTCTCTCTCTGTCACACACACACACATACACACACACACGAGTATGGTGTAGTAATGTAACAGTGAAAGCACAAAACTAATTAATATAACTATTAATTTTTGTTTAAGGAGTCTTTACCAATCTCTGCACATAGACTAGGATAATTTTAGAGCACCGAGGTAATATGCAAAAACAGTAAATGTGTAGTTTTAAAAACTAAGTCTGGGATTAAAGGAGAAGTATGTAAACCCATAAAAACTGATACGCTGTTCAGCATCTTTTTTACTGAGTGGTTCCAGTCATGCATGCACACATATATTTTTAAATTTTAATCAGATACATATTTAATGATCTACCACTTGATCACCTCCTTTCTAGAATCAGTGTTCCTTTGACCCCAAGATACCTGCAGGTATTGCCTCTTTTAATAATCACAGCATTCGTATGAAGTATACATTATCATTTCCATTTTGAAGATAAAACAACCTCTAGCACCACTTTTTGGGTAAGGTTTTATTGAAGGATAACATACATAGAGATATGTGAGCAAATGTGTATAATTCAATTTGTTCTTACATGCCTTTTAGCCATCATCTAGATCTGGATTTAGAACATCTTCAGCATCCCAGTAGCTTCATTTATGCCCTCTCATAGTCAATAGAGAGGTCTAGCCTACAGATGGAACCTATGAGATCTGGACAAAATCATTAAGGGAGTGCCATCATGGTAGGAGAAAAAAAAACATTTGAGTGCAGAAGTTCTAGGAGACAATTGAGAATAAAGGAGTCTCATGCACATACTACTTGTGAGCACCATGTTACACACAGAATAGGTTTTATTGGGAAAAATCTCACAAATGGAGACATAGCAGAGCACACATGATCCCCTAAGCTCTCATCTCCACAGGCAGGACTCCAGGAGAAGAACACCACTCCCATAGCACTCTAGCATGTGTAAGAATAGGTAGGAACACTTAGATTCCTAGGTAACCATGGAAACTTCCTCCTTAAGGAAGTGACTCTCCTAGAAGCAGCTGGTATCTGCTAGTTCTTTCATTTAGTTAATTCAGCCTTGCTAAACTACCAAAAGAGAAGAAATAAGCCTCCAGAACCATCTAGATGTCTCTCCTTGCCTAAAGAAGAAGCAGTATCAAGGAGTTGAGAGCAATCAATTATTTCAAATGCTGCTGATAGGTCAAGTGAAAGAACTGAAGATTGGATTTAGTAACAGGTAGGTCATTGACCATGTAGACAAAGCCAGTTTTAATGGAGTGCTGGAGGAAATGCCTTTGTGGAATAAAATTAAGAGCAGTTGAAGAAGAGGAATTGGAAATAGTGACTATAAAGAACACTTGCAAGGAGTTTTGCTGCCAAAGGCAGAGAAAAAAATGGGTGACTTAGCTGGCAGGGGAAATGAGATCAAGCACAGCTTTTCTTCATGTTAAGTCAGCGTGCTTACAGGAATGATGCAGAAGAGAGCAAAAACTGATAGGAGGAGTAAAGGGAAACAGCAGTGTCCTGATTGAGACAACTTGGGATCTTGTGCACAAGAAGGGTGTAGGACTTTAGAAAGAATAGAAAGGTTGATCTATCACAACAAGTTTGAAGACAGATTGCAAGTGGAAAGATGCTGGAAGGAGGGGTAGATGTGGTGGTGGTGGTGGAGAGTGGGTCCATGAAAGTTCTCCTCTGATTTCTTCAATCTTCTTAGAGAACTAAGAAGCAAGGTCACCAGCTGAAAGTGAGGATGACAAGAAGGTGTTGGACATTTGAGGGGAGATGAGAGGCATGAAATAATCATCTGAAATTATATGCTATTGAAAATCATTGGTAAGCCATTCTCAGTGGGCTCACACTAGGGGTATAGTAGCATTTGTCAGAAAATTAAACAGCTAAAAAACCTAAGCATTATTCACCCAGAAAAAATATGAGCATGCCTGAACTCATCACTCCCACATAGCCCAAACCTGACAGTTTTCTTCCGTAACTTAACATTTAAGATGTTGAGTTACAACATGTTTGCTATGTTTGTCTTTCATTACAATATTTCACGTTGACTATTGAGAACTATAAGCCAATTTCCTTTTAGACTCTTGATATTTTGCTATTAGTTACTGTTGAACAAGAGCCATATCAGCTGTGCAGCACCTCCAGGGAAAGGGTGGATAAGTGTGTCTCTGGCAAGATAGAAGAAAAGCTACTTGTTAGCTTGTTTCTTCTATTTCCTTTTGTTAATTCTTTGTTTCAACTAGGATGAAAAATCTAGATCTCTTTGCTTCATTTTGGTGACTGTATTAAAAGGAGACCATCTAAATCAACTGAGATAGCTCAGTGTTCCCTTACAGGCACATTTATCAAGTTAAAATCTGGGTCATCTCCCCTCATGCAGAAGACAAAAGGAAATCATATTTTCAGGTCTGTCTTGATGTATCCATAAAATGAAGGAGTAATTTTTTTTCTGTTCCTGAAAAACATGAAAGAGCCTCTATTCCAGCTGTCACTGTGGAACAAAATAGGAAAGAAAGACAGACTGAGCTTTTTGGATTTATTTCATTTTGATCATTCAATATGTTTTCAATAAGATGCTAGATTTGGTTTTAAAATAAATATGAAAAATGTAATGGCAGATACATCGGGCAAAAATTTGGCTTGAGTTCGCAGTGGATAACATAGGAATACCAGATGTGGAGGGAATACATGAGAAGAAGAGCAATTTTATAAGCTAAAAAATAGTGGGCTCAGCATTTTTTAGGACTCTTAGTGCTTTGACTATTCTTCTTTTAATAATAAGTAGAGGATGAGTAGATTATTCAGCAGTAACCTATTACAGCCAAAAATTCCAGAAAACCCATATAAGGCTTCTTGTAGTCTACAACTATGCGAATGCATGCATAAAACTAAAGAGAACTCTGAGGAAGGAATGATATGATTGTGCCCCAGTGCCTCCTGGCTTATACAATAATACTTGGCCCATGTTGCATCAATTTGCTAATATAAACATGATATTGACTACATTTTATATGGTAATTATATATCTTCAAGAGGAAGATAAATTTGAGATGCCAATGATTTAAAGAGGAAAAACAATTTATATCATACTATACATAGGAGACTTTCCATCTGGATCATTCACTGATTTTTGAACAGTTTGAAGTGACTACTGAAAGATCCAAATGAACTTTATCTCCGATATAACTTGATAGAGTTTTCAGACTAGAAACTTTAGAAAGAGTGCAAGTGAAGAAATGCACATATCAGAGAACTATCACCCCCAAAACTATTGCTTGAATTAGAATTTTTAATAGGGAACACTAATTAAAACCTTGTAGGATATTTGGCTTTTTCAAACCTTTGTATAAATTCCGTTGCATCTATATGCATAAAATATATATAATACATGTATAATTTCTAGTGATTTATTACTTTTAGATGATAATATCTTTTTTAAGATTTATTCGTGGCATTAAACTTAAATACACTTTCGAAAGGAGCCCAGGACACTCATCCCCTCATGAAGCTTACATTTTTCTTTTCTTGCCATATATGCTCTATTTTAATGTAGAGAGAGAAATAGAAACTTAGAGTTTCGGAAGACTTGGCACACTCAAAAGCATACATGGAGGCTTGTATCCTACATTGCATATAATTACTATTTTTTCAAATTATGTTTTGGTAGGAGCTTATCCAGATTAGCTATAGAGCAAAGGAATGTTGGGGCAGGAAGTAACCTTAGAGAGGGTCAGGGCTCTAGGCCGATTAAACTTGTTTTATGAGTAAATAAATTCTCTTGGGGAAGTTAAAGGTCATCACCAGTGTTACATTATTGTATAGCATGGTCTCTGTCTTCCGTTGTATAGTATATTTGGGAAAGTTATACCGACTATATGTAAAGACAGACTTGGGGTCAGTCTAGTCCACATTAAAATCTCTGCTAAACTAATAGCTATGTAACTTTGAGTGTTATTCAGCTTTTCTGAAACCCAGCTCCTATATCTTAAATCAAAGATAATAAATAGCATAACACATACAATTGTAATGAGAATTAGTGGAGGTAATCAATGTAATAGGTCATAGCACATATAAAATATATAATAACACAGGAAATGTATAAATCTACTATGCTAAAATTCCCAATGGTATTGTAATAGAGAATAAAATAGTCTTCTATAAATAGCTTAACAATTAAATTTGAGTGGAGTTTCATGAAAAAATTCTTCAGACTCTTTATATTCATGACTTTCATTAGTTACAGAGGGTTTAATATTGAATATGAGGCACTTAGGTACTCTACGTGTCTATGCAAAATCAAACCGGTATGAAGGAGGTCTATGCAGATGAAACAGTGGGTGATCTTATGCACCTATTTGCAATGCAAATGAACATGATATATATTCATATACACCTGACTGAAAAAACTTGAAGTAAACTGGCCCTCTTGATTTATCCTTTTTCATTAATTGAATCTGGTAATATTAAAATCAGATCTTAACATCTTCAATGCATAGATTATCATTTTAAGTACAGACAAAATATAAGAAAAACACTATATTGTACTCTTATTTGTTTGAATTTAGTTGATCCAGATGTTCATTCTCTGCATGTAAGAATTCTGAACCTGAACATCAAAGATTTTTGCAAAGTACACCCAGCGAGATGCCAACCAAGAGTCATGACCAACTGGCACCAAAACAACTCTTTTTGGCTGATAGGCAAATTGTACTTGGATCAGGGAGAAAGCCAAAGCACTGAAGATTCTCTCACAGCATTCTAAACAGCACATAGTTTTATTCTTCAGAAAAGGGGCTCCTTCCTCAAAGCCTCCTTGTAAACAAATAACCCACAACATATACAGACAGCAATGGCTCTTACTGGAGCAAGTTTTTAAGCAGTATTTAAAAGTTCTTCAGGCTGGGAGCAGTGGCTTATGCCAGTAATCCCAGCACTTTGGGGGACCAAGGTAGATGCATCACTTGAGGTCAGGAGTTCAAGACCAGCCTCACCAACATGGTGAAACTCCATCTCTATTAAAAATACCAAAATTAGCCATGCATGGTGGCACATGCCTGTAATCCCAACTACTCGGGCGGGAGGCTGAGGCAAGAGAATTGCATGAACCCAGGAGGTGGAGGTTGTAGTGAGCTGAGATCGCACAACTGTACTCCAGCCCAGGCAAGAAAGTAAGACTCCATCTCAAAAAAAAAAAAAAAAAATTCTTCAAAAAGGGGCTTAAAAGTTTTAGAGAACTATTACTGCTATTGCACATTGGGATCCATTTAATTTATTGTATCATTTCAAGTCCTTTGAGAAACAGATGCCAAAATGAATTAAATGTTTGAAGGATTTATGGGAGAAAACACCTGTGAAGGATATAGGAGAGAGAAGCAGGGGAGCCTTCAAACCAAGCTGCAGGTTTAGCATCTGACTAAGGAAGAAGGAAGAAAGGGTGATTGTGTACAAGGAGCCTCAGACTATAATGAAGCTCTGCGAGTATCTCAATGAGGTCAAGAGGGAGCGCTAGAGCAAAGATTCACCTGTAGAGGAGTCCAGTGTCAGGCAGAAATGGCTCAGCTCTAGTAGCCAGTTGTTGGCTGGGAGCAGCCTGCAAGAAACTGTGGCCTTGGCAAAAACATTATGAATCCAACATATTTTTGAATTGTTGTCCACTGGAGACTGTCAGCCAACCCCAGTACTTGCAGAAAGTTCTCTCAAAGGGATATGGGAGCAGTGCATCTTCATAGCTACCACTGATGCCTTCCTAAAACACTACCCACAAGGATTCTCTAATCGGGCTACTTAGAAAGACAAGAGAGTTAAGAACAATTAAAACAGTTATATGCAGCTTTCCATATATAGTATTATATGCAATACATTATAGGCAATAGTTAGGGCTCTGATGTTAATTTCCAGTTCCTATGAAATAAATTGGTAAAGCCTTTGGTCTGGCATGGCTTAAAAGATTATAATTGCTTCAGTTGTGGTACAGCTCAGGTTTCTTTCTTAGCCATTTGTGGTCCAGGTTTCCTTCACATGCGTTTCATGCAGTTATAGGCTGAAATGGATTTTCCATTGAATAATTGACCATATTACTAATACTACTACAGAAATGATCAGTTCAACTGCATAAAGTTATCTCATAAACTTTTCCATAACTATCTTCATAGTCTATTCATATAACTTTTCATACACTATTTCAATAACTTTGTGACTCCTTTATTTTGTAAAACTTAAAGATTATCCTTTGTTCTTTCTTGACAATTATTATTATGTGGGAATGGTGACTTCCTATAAAAGATCTTGTGAAGTTCATGACTATTTTTCTTCTAATAATAAGTAGAGGATGAGTAGGTCATTCAACAGTAATCTATTATAGTCAAAAATTCCAGAAAACCCATAGAAGGCTTCCTGTAGTCTACAACTATGAGAATGTATGCATAAAAGTAAAGAGTACTCTGAGGAGGAAATATGATTGTGTCATATGATGGGAATGATGACTTCCCATATAAGAGCCTGTGAAGTTCTCCTGTTACTTACTGAAGTGCTTCTGTTGTTCTGCACACAGAGAAGTGTAGAGCATTCAAGAAGAAACGTTATTATGTCTTCTTTGAAATTCACTAGGGAGCAATAATTCTAGTATTTCCTCAGTAAATCCTGTATCTAGATGAATCAACAAAGTACAGACTGTCTCTTGAGCTAAACTTTTTACCATGATGGTATAATCTAACCTTAACCTAGAATGTGCCAGGAATTTTGACAACTCCTCCACAGGAAAGAATGCATTCTGTTACAAGATTCCTCCCTGACTTACGCTGAGATAATTCTCTGCCAAGCAAGCACAGAGATCAGGTGCCAGCCCTTATGAGAAATGAAAGAAATTAATCTATAATGGGAGTTGGAATAGTGACCAGCTTTATTCCACTTTGTATCCTTCCTTTCCCCAAAGTATGTGAATCAACTGGGTCTATGTGAACCTGAGAGAAGCCTTGTGAGGATTTTTAACACAACTACCATTCTCTCGGACTCATTTTTGCTTTAACCATATTAGGACATACCAAGAAAGTTGGATTAATAACAATGCCAAATTTTAATGTAAACAATTCCTATTGAAAAAAAGACTTAATCCTTTGCTTTGTGTGTTAATGAAAGTTATCTTTCAGTCTCAGATTGCTTCAAGGGTTTATCACAGTTCTTGGACTACACAGCTTGGTCACATTTCCTTATGCAGAGAAGAGGTGGAGAAAATGTCTAAAGCAGGCAGCCAGTTGCCTCTTTTAGTTTTTTCTTTTTGCAATACTCTCAATGACCTGTTTCTTAAACTAAAGCATAAGTATTACTTTCATCTTTATACAAATCATTGCTTTTTAAAATATTACAAAGTTGTCCTTATCACTAAAAAATTTAATAAAACTAATATAAAGAGTGAATTTATAAAGTTTTACATGCTCACTGGGAAAAAAGTCAAACATTACAACAAAGTGTGTAAAAAAAAAAGAGAGAGAGTGAATATTCATCTTTTTCCACTTCCCTCTTCTCCCATTTCCACTCTGTTGGGGTAACTGGATCTTTTGCCATACATTTTTATAAAAGTTCATTCATATTTTAGTTATTTTTCTGCAACTATTTTTCTTTAACAACATATCACTGACAGCCAACTGTATTAGTGAATACCTGTCAATCTCATTCTTTTAAAAGTAGTACAACATTCTGTTGTATGAACTTTTAATTTAAGTGATCTATATTAAGGAGCATTTTAATTGTCACTAATTTTCCTCTATTACCGTTAAAATCGGAAGAAATATCTTTTTCCCTATGTCTTTGCACTTGGGTAAATGTTACTGTAAGATAATCCCAGCAGTGAAATTGATGGATCAAAGGGTAGATAGAATTTAAATTTTGATATATATTGCCAAATTGCCTTTTTAAAATGTTACTAACTATACATTTCCATAATCATATGCACGTTTATCTTTCCCCATGCACTTGTCATAACTGGGTGTTATCAATCTTTTTGATGTGTTGCATTTCCCAATTGTAAATTACTGAAATCATTAATACCTTCAGGATATATTTTTAAAGATGGAAATGTGGTTTCACCTGCTTAAGCATTCTAAGGTTCAGCAATATTTTGATGCATATTTTATAAACCAAAAACTAAGAGGTAGAAAAGATGACTCCACTAAGTAGACGATGCCATCAGCTGCTAAGAGTAGTTTGCTATTGGGTGGTCCCCAAACTGGTAGGAATTCAAACAGTTAGTGGTGGTGATCGCAAAGTTACTTTCAATGTTACATTCTTTTCAACATTTCAAGATTGGGTTTGCTGAAGTGAAAATAGCACAGGCTTTGAAGTCAGTTAGAACTAAGATCAAATTCCTGCTCTCATTCTTAATGGGTGAACTCTCTGAGCCTTAGTTCCTCAAATGAAGGGTAGTTGTGCTCTGTCCTATCTCACAGCAGAGTTAAATATATAAACAGCTATGAGGAACAAATAGACAAATGTGCCGTATAAAAATTAAATATTCATAAAAACAATGTACCATTTTAAAAAGTCAAAAGACAACAAATGTGGGAGCATTTTAAAATTTGCTTCCTTCATAATAAACATAAACTTCTAAAAGTGGAATTTCTGTATAAAAGGATACATGCATTTAAGTTTATAAATATGCCAAACTGTTCTGAAAATAAGTTTTACCTATCTATATTCTCAATTGACATTGAATAAAAATGTCTTTGTCTCCACACCCTGACTGATCATGTGCACTATTGACACATTTTTCCCCAACTTGATAGGTTAAAAAAAGTTCCTTGCTGTGATTTACATTTCTTTAACAGTGAATTAATTTGAATATCTTTTCATATGTTTATAATAATTTATTTTTGTTTTTCTATCAATTTTCTGTTCTTAACTATTTTTGAAATATTTATTTTCCTATTGAGCTGTTTCTAAATCAGTTTTTAAGATCTCTTATATGTTAACTAAATTTTTCTTGTTTTACCTGTTGCAAATAATTGTTCATTCTATATTCTTTGGTGTTTGATTTTTTTACCATGGTGATATATTATATTTAATATAAAGTAAAATTCTAGACTATGTAGACAAACATATATGACAAACCTATATCTGCATATAATTACTTTCTTCTAGTGCAAAGTATACATTACCCATGATAAATCCAGGTAGGAAGAATAAAACACTAAATTCCTTATCATTGGGTAAAACATGTTAATGTTGTTTTGAGGTGATCAGCGCCGCATTTTGTAATTATATAGATATATAGATTTTGACAAGACCATTCTGCAAAACAAGCCTCAGCCAAAAGAATGAATTTTATAATTGCTTTTAAGATGCTCAGAAGGATACATTTAGGGTAGAGCAGCATGAGGTGAGAGTGGGGAATTTTACCAGGAAAATTTTGAAGACCCTGATTCTCGCCACAAAATATTGAGCTGCTGATTCTACCAGTCTTATTATAGCCACATTCAATTATTTAATTGTACTAATGCTATTTATTTCTGTAAATTTATTTTCAGAGAGTGATCTAAAGGGTAAAAATCAGGCTCTAAGTTATGTTTTGATAGCTTTCAGTTCGGAATCAACATTCATCATGCATAAGGCATGAAAGTATGGTTAAAATGGTTTATTAACTCTTGTGAATCATAAGCATAAAAGAATCAATTGATATATTTCTAGTAAATGTAATAAACCCCAAGATAATGCAGTACTTAGGTCAATCTTTTACATCAAGTAATCCCAGGAAAACTGGAGATTGTAAATAAATCTCAGATATCTTGCTCATTTTAGTTTTTGTTTATCTGGATGCATTTCGCTCAATCCCTGAAACTCATAGTTTCACAGACTCATTGAGATTTTCATGAACTATAAAAGCAATTAAATATTTAAATACAAAATTCTCAAATTCAAGATATTACTAAACTGAAAATTGTAAAAAATAACTTTTGAACCAAAACTTTCTGTGGTAATCATGAAGTAAGCAATTTATGTTTCTTAAAATTAAATTTCACCAATGTCTTTGAAATAAGAAGAAGTTAAAGATGAGTATGAGATTGCCCCTACTTTCTAGTAGCATTTTTTCCATTCAGGAATCTCCATGAAAATTTTAGAGGGAGAGAGGGCCTCTGGGTCTTATCTTATATAACACCATTGCCACTACATTATCCAGCCCACTACCTCTGGCCCCTATTAAGATGATCTTGAGAAACAATTTCTATGGATTAGTTTCAGAAGGATATGCACTTCTAAAAATAACTGCTTGGCTTTCACTTTATATTAACATACATGTTGTAAAGGATTATGATATTTTATTTGTTATAGCCACAAAGAAACTCAGAGCCAAGCTAAGAGCCCACTTCTAGCAAAAGAACAGGATGTTATGATACACATTACAAGAGCTAACTATCCCTGCTGGTTATCTCAGTTTTATATCCTATTTTTCTTACATTCTCATTTCCTCACCTGTTTTATTTATTTATCTTTTTGGCTTATATGTATTTCTAGAAGCCACCTCAAATCCTCTTTTAGAAGAAAGAGGTAGAGAAACATTAAATATATGAGTGAATAAGGTAAATAAATAACAACACAGATGATAAGGATATACACAGATTAAGAACTCTGACATATTGGTTTGGAAGATTATCTAAGTCTGCATAAATAAAGTGATTGTTATGCATCAACCAGTTTGTTTTATCCAGGCTTTCTATCATGTTGAAATTACTAATAAATTGGTTCATACCTCATCTCATACTATATAATAAATGTTTATTTAATGTTGCTTGTGAATCAAGTCATTGTAAAGTGAATCATATATTTAATCTACTAGAGAAACTTACCATTCAAGCACTTCGTAAAGCACAGAATTTTAATATTCTATTAAGATTCAACTTCTTATATAGATGAGGTTTCCATTATGCAGATTCAGAATTTATGTTCCCTGATTTAAAAGAAAACTAGAGTGCAAAAGCAAGGTAGAAGTCCTTGTTCTCTCATATACCCAACCCCCTTACACTTTCCAAAATTTTCACTACCTACATTTTCCTAGAAAAAATGTTTCATGTAATTTTTTCCAAATTAAAAAATAAATATTCATAAATAATGTGTGTAGCTATATGTGTGCAAAATATATAAAGTTAGATAAAATAAGAAAGAACTAAACAGACATTTTTGAAAGAAAAGATCCAAAAAATCAGTAAACATGAAAAGGCATTCAAGTTCCTAAGAAATCAGGGGAATGCCAGTTTAAACCATGATGTAGTATGCTCCACAGGCACCAGAATGGCTAAAACAAAAAAAGATGAAAAATACCAAGTGTTGGTAAGAATGTAAGAAATGAAATCTTTCATACACTGCTGGCAGAAGCACAAATTCATACAACCACTTTTGAACATCGTTTGGATATATATATATACTCAAGAAAAATGTGGACAGTCTCTAAAAGACATACAACAGAATGTCCATAGGAAAACTATTTGTAGTAACCAAAAATTGAAATCTACCCAAATATCCATAGATAGTAGTATTTTGCTATCAAGTTGTTGCTGTCTTCTGCATATATGTTTCCTACATATTTCACATTGTATTACTTTTCTTTTAGCTTTATTTTCAATAATGAGCATCAGATAGCCCGAAAAATGAAATTCAACTTTTTAAACAAGGATTTGATAAGTTCTTAATACACTGAATTCTATACTGGGCTCCTCAATTGAAAACCAACCCTGAACCTCTTTTCCAAGCTGCTCTTAGACGAATATCTGCCCCCTTCCAGCCCTGTTCCCACTAAAGAAATGTACAGAGGTCTCCAGGAGATCATACTGTAAATACTGCTCACTGGCCCATGCTAGAGAGTTCCCGAGCTGTCTTTCCTCCAGCAATGTCCCCATTCACCAGACAAGGAAACTTTGGATGAATGAGATATGCCTGGCCATGAGCTGTGGTTCCTCTTCAGACCATTCTTTGTGATATCTCAGACTTTGGAGTTCCTAGCTGAAGTGTCCTGGAGTTCCAAGGTGGGGGAGGGAGAGGTTGGCTAGAGCTTGGACATGTATGCTTCTATACACACATATATAGGAGACCGTTGCTGAGCATAGTGGGAGCCAAGAGTGGGGAAAGTGGCAACGACTGGGGACTAAGAATCAAACTGAGGACCAGATATCCCTGCATGACTAACTTCTGGTGCAAAATTCTGAGAGGTCTGAGAAATCTAAATTCAAACCTGTCCTTTCAGGTCATTATGAAGGTATATTTCTGAAGGTAAGAGGATAGAACACATTGTAGCCAACAATTCATTAGACTGACAATACTTTAAAATATTAATATTTAGCCTTATGGACTTATACTATGCGGGCTTCATTTGTCCTCTGGCTGTGGCTCCCACAAATGTTAGAAGTGGGCCTACATGTGATGGAACTAAAATGCAATAGACTTTCCTTATGTCCTTCCCTGCTACCACTACCATTAGTTTGGTTCCTAGATATTGAAAGATAATTTTAAAGATTTTGCCAAAGACAGATGCTTGTAGGGTGGTGGCTTGAAAACACAAATTGAGCAAGATGGTAGCATGGCTACATGAAAAGGTATGGAGTTGTCCACAGAATGCTCTTGTTTCACTGGACTATATCAATCTCATTGTGTGACTTGGTCTAGTTGATTTTCTTCTCCAAGCCACTTTCTTACTAAAAAAGAAAGGACAATCACACCTTTTTCACAGGACTACTGTGAAAAAATCCTTACATAATTTATGTGATTTGTGCTTGGAATATTGCACAGTGTTAAAAAATATGGTAAACACATTTTAGGAAGCAAATAAAATTTGGACAATCTGATTTATTTTTGTCTACAACAGCTGAAACCTATTTTACTTAGCTTTTAAGTTCTTTTATAGAGGTATCACTGTTTTTTATGTGGCTAGACATCTCAGCCTTACACCTGGTTCAGAAAGTGCTCCAGAGGGCCAGTGGCTGGGAGAAAAGTGCTATTACCTTGCTAGTCATCTTGTTCCTCAATATAGCCCTTACCCTACCTAAGGAGTTTTTCCAGCCAGAAATTCTCCAGTAGTTCATACCCTCACTTGACCTTTTCTGGCTTCACTGGGTAGACATTGAGTAGGCAGAGCTGGGTTTTTTTCAAGCTCAAAAGGGTTCAGTGTTATTTCTCTTGGGCATCCATGATGCCCTCAGTCAAGTCTGATTAGCAAGTTACATTGAGAGTTCATTTAGTAATTGGAAATGATCTGTGTGCCTTTTATGAAGGAAAGCGGTTATGAGAAACTTTCTCATACCTGGTCAGATTCCTTTCTCATTTATATCCTTTTTTTTGCTTTTATATTTTCACTTCTTTTAAAAATTAAGAAGATAGAGGTAAAGAAAAGAATCCTACAGTATGTGAAGATAGGCAGTAGGAAAGGATTGAAATGGAAAATGAAAGAAGGGATAGACATCCCTTTATCACACTGAGGTGCCTGAATTTACTTCCTGGGAGTGTAGGCTGAATAAGTAGCATAGGTTGTTTGGAACTGGGATCCCACCACATCTAACAGACTCCAGGGCTTCTGTCATTTCATTACTCTATGGCACCTAGCTGAAAGCTTATGGTCTTCCTCTATCTTGTGGTGACCACAATGGAATTGAATTTGATACCGGGAACAGCAATTTATGAAGGAGTTTGATAAACTGGAGCACACACCAAGGAGGTAGCCCAGGATGGTGTAGGGTCAGCAAGTCTCATTGACTTCTCATGTCAATGAGAAGTAGTGAAAACACCTGTGTGTGTTTGGTCTGGAGAAGAGGTAACTGGCAGTATGACATGTAAGTGTGTCTCATGAAACAAACAAATTTAAATTGCTAATTTTTTCCCTATGAGAGATAGAATCAGGTACAAATAATAGAATAGCAAATTCTTAGTAACATATTTTTAACAAATAATGCAGTCATGCTGCCCAGTGAGGGAATTAGTGGGTTACTCATCAGTACAATTATTCAGAAAGCAGAAATCATCTCAATGTTTCTAATTGTTTCATCATCTTTGATAGATGATTGTCTATCAGATGGGTTTTTTAAACAGGCTTTTGCATTTGGTGAGAAGGTAAAGAAAATAATGTCAATTTTTAAAAATCTCCACACTTAAATTATTTAAAGGGGAATGTTTATTCATGAGTCTCTTTTGAGACCTGTTTGATTTTGTTCCTCTCTACCAGGTGGCTGTACATAATCTGGCATATCCCTGGCCTGTAACTTTCCTGTGGGTGAATCCACTAAAGAGCATAAAGGAGATCAGTTTTATTTATTCCTTTGAGTTTTTATAAACTCTGAATTGAAATACCTATTTTTTGAAATTCATAAAATAAATGGTAATTTTTGTTCGTTTGTTTTTGCTTTTTTAATTATACTTTAAGTTCTAGGGTACATGTGCACAACGTGCAGGTTTGTTACATAGGTATACATGTACCATGTTGGTTTGCTGCACCCATTAACTCATCATTTACATTAGGTATTTCTCCTAATGCTATCCCTCCCCCATGCCCCTACCCCATGACAGGCACCAGTGTGTGATGTTCCCCACCCTGTGTCCAAGTGTTCTCATTGTTCAATTCCCACCTATGAGTGAGAATATGTGGTGTTTGGTTTTCTGTCATTGCTATAGTTTGCTCAGAATGGTTTCCAGCTTCATCCATGTTCCTTCAAAGGACATGAATTCATCCATTTTTATGGCTGCATAGTATTCCATGTTGTAGATGTGCCACATTTTCTTAATCCAGTCTATCACTGATGGACATTTGGACTGGTTCCAAGTCTTTGCTACTGTGAACAGTGCCGCAGTAAACATACGTGTGCATGTGTCTTTATAGCAGCATGATTTATAATCCTTTGGGTATATACCCAGTAATGGGATGGCTGGGTCAAATGGTATTTCTAGTTCTAGATCCTTGAGGAATCACCACACTGTCTTCCACAACAGTTGAACTAGTTTACACTCCCACCAACAGTATAACAGTGTTCCTATTTCTCTACATCCTCTCCAGCATCTGTTGTTTCGTGACTTTTTAATGATCACCATTCTAACTGGCGTGAGATGGTACCTCACTGTGGTTTTGATTTGTGTTTCTCTGATAACCAGTGGTGATGAGCATTTTTTCATGTGTCTGTTGGCTGCATAAATGTCTTCTTTTGAAAAGTGTCTGTTCTTATACTTTGCCCACTTTTTGATGGGGTTGTTTCATTTTTTCTTGTAAATTTGTTTAAGTTCTTTGTAGATTCTGGATATTAGCCCTTTGTCAGATGGGTAGATTGCAAAATATTTCTCCCATTCATGTAGGTTGCCTAGCTAACTCTGATGGTAGTTTCTTTTGCTGTGCAAAAACTGTTTAGCTTAATTAGATCCCATTTGCTAATTTTGGCTTTTGTTGACATTGCTTTTGGTGTTTTAGTCATGAAGTCCTTGCCCATGCCTATGTCCTGAATGGTATTGCCTAGGTTTTCTTGTAGGGTTTTTATGGTTTTAGGTCTAACATTTAACTCTTTAATCCATCTTGATTTAATTTTTGTATAAGGTGTAAGAAAGGGATCCAGTTTCAGCTTTCTATATATGGCTAGCCAGTTTTCCCAGCACCATTTACTAAATAGGGAATCCTTTCCCCATTGCTTGTTTTTCACAGGTTTGTCAAAGATCAGATGGTTGTAGAAGTGTGGTGTTATTTCTGAGGGCTCTGCTCTGTTCCATTGGTCTATACACCTGTTTTGGTACCAATACCATGCTGTTTTGGTTACTGTAGCCTTGTAGTATAGTTTGAAGTCAGGTAATGTGATGGCTCCAGCTTTGTTCTTTTTGCTTAGGATTGTCTTGGCAATGAGGGCTCTTTTTTGGTTCCATATGAACTTTAAAGTAGTTTTTTCCAGTTCTATGAAGAAAGTCATTGGTAGCTCGATGGGGATGGCATTAAATCTATAAATTACCTTGGGCAGTATGGCCATTTTCATGATATTGATTCTTCCTATCCATGGGCATGGAATGTTCTTCCATTTGTTTGTGTCCTCTTTTATTTCATTGAGCAGCGGTTTGTAGTTCTCCTTGAAGAGGTCCTTCACATCCCTTGTAAGTTGGATTCCTAGGTGTTTTATTCTCTTTGTAGTAATTGTGAATGGGAGTTCACTCATGATTTGGCTCTCTGTTTGTCTGTTATTGTTGTGTAGGAATGCTTGTGATTTTTGCACATTGATTTTATATCCTGAGGCTTTGCTGAAGTTGCTTATCAGCTTAAGGAGATTTTGGGCTGAGATGATGGGGTTTTCTAAATATACAATCATGTCATCTGCAAATGGGGACAATTTGACTTCCTCATTTCCTAACTGAATACCCTTTATTTCTTTCTCTTGCCTGATTGCCCTGGCCAGAACTTCCAACGCTATGTTGAATAGGAGTGGTGAGAGAGGGCATCCTTGTCTTGTGCCAGTTTTCAAAGGGAATGCTTCCAGTTTTTGCCCATTCTTTATGATGTTGGCTGTGGTCTTGTCACAAATAGCTCTTATTATTTTGAGATACCTTCCATCAATACCTAGTTTATTGAGAGTTTTTAGCATGAAGGGCTGTTCAATTTTGTCAAAGGCCTTTTCTGCATCTATTGAGATAATCATGTGGTTTTTGTAGTTGGTTCTGTTTATATGCTAGATTATGTTTATTGATTTGCATATATTGAACCAGCCTTGCATCCCAGGGATGAAGCCAACTTGATCTTGGTGAATAAGCTTTTTGATGTGCTGCTGGATTCAGTTTGCCAGTATTTTATTGAGGATTGTTGCATCGATGTTCATCAGGGAGAATGGTCTAAAATTGTCTTTTTTTGTTGTGTCTCTGCCAGGATTTGGTATCAGGATGATGCTGGCCTCATAAAATGAGTTAGGGAGGATTCCTTCTTTTTCTATTGATTGGAATAATTTCAGAAGGAATGGTATCAGCTCCTCTTTGTACCTCTGGTAGAAATCGGCTGTGAATCTATCTGGTCCTGGACTTTTTTTGGTTGTTGGGCTCTTAATTATTGCCTCCATTTCAGAGCCTGTTATTGGTTTATTCAGGGATTCAGCTTCTTCCTGGTTTAGTCTTGGGAGTGTGTATGTGCACAGGAATTTATGCATTTCTTCTAGATTTTCTAGTGTATTTGCATAGAGGAGTTTATAGTATTCTCTGATGTTAGTCTGTATTTCTGTGGGATCAGTGGTGATATCCCCTTTATCATTTTTTATTGTGTCTATTTGATTCTTCTCTCTTTTCTTCTTTATTATTCTTGCTAGCAGTCTATCAATTTTGTTATCTTTTCAAAAGAACCAGCTCCTGGAGTCATTGATTTTTTGAAGAGTTTTTTGTGTCTCTGTCTCCTTCAGTTCTGCTGTGATCTTAGTTATTTCTTGCTTTCTGCTAGCTTTTGAATTTGTTTGCTCTTGCTTCTCTAGTTCTTTTAATTGTGATGTTAGGGTATTGATTTTAGATCTTTCCTGCTTTCTCTTGTGGGCATTCAGTGCTTTAAATTTCCCTCTACACACTGCTTTAAATGTGTCCTAGAGATTCTGGTACATTGTGTCTTTGTTCTCATTGATTTCAAAGAACATCTTTATTTCTGCCTTCATTTTATTATTTACCCAGTAGTCATTCAGGGGCAGGTTGTTCCGTTCCCAGGTAGTTGTGCAGTTTTGACTGAGTTTCTTAATCCTGAGTTCTAATTTGATTGCTCTGTGGTCTGAGAAACAGTTTGTTGTTATTTTTGTTCTTTTACATTCGCTGACAAGTGCTTTACTTCCAACTATGTAGTTAATTTTGGAATAAGTGTGATGTGGTGCTGAGAAGAATGTATATTCTGTTGATTTGGGGTGGAGAATTCTGTAGATGCCTATTAGGTCTGCTTGGTACAGAGCTGAGTTCAATTCCTGGACATTCTTGTTAACCTTCTATCTTGTTGATCTGTCTAATATTGACCGTGGGATGTTAAAGTCTGCCATTATTATTGTGTGGGAGTCTAAGTCTCTTCGTAGGTCTCTAGGGACTTGCTTTATGAATCTGGGTGCTCCTGTATTGGGTGCATATATATTTAGGATAGTTAGCTCTTCTTGTTGAATTGATCCCTTTACCATTATGTAATGGCCTTCTTTGTCTCTTTTGATCTTTGTTGGTTTAATGTCTGTTTTATCAGAAACTAGGATTGCAACCCCTGCCTTTTTTTGTTTTCCATTTGCTTGGTAGATCTTCCTCCATCCCTTTATTTTGAGTCTATGTGAGCCTCTGCATGTGAGATGGGTCTCCTGAATGCAGCACACTGTTGGGTCTTGACTCTTTATCCAATTTGCCAGTCTATGTCTTTTAATTAGGGCATCTAGCCCATTTACATTTAAGGTTAATATTGTTATGTGTGAACTTGATCCCATCATTATGATGTTAGCTGGTTATTTTGCCCGTTACTTGATGCAGTTTATTCTTCACGTTGATGGTCTTTACAATTTGGCATGTTTTTGCAGTGGCTGGTATCAGTTTTTCCTTTCCATGTTTAGTGCTTCCTTCAGGAGCTCTTGTAAGACAGGCCTGGTGGTGGGTAAATCTCTCAGCCTTTGCTTGTCTGTAAAGGATTTTATTTCTCCTTCATTTATGAAGCTTAGTTTGGCTGGATATGAGATTCTGGTTTGAAAATTCTTTTCCTTAAGAATGTTGAATGTTGGCCCCCCTCTCTTCTGGCTTGTAGAGAGGGATCTGTAAAGATCTCTTGTAGAGAGGGATCTGTAAAGATCTCTTGTAGAGAGGGATCTGTAAAGATCTCTTGTAGAGAGGGATCTGTAGAGATCTCTTTCTGCCAAGAGATCCACTGTTAGTCTGATGGGCTTCCCTTTGTGGGTGACCCTACTTTTCTCTTTGGCTGCCCTTAACATTTTTTCCTTCATTTCAACCTTGGTGAATCTGATGATTATGTGTCTTGGGGTTGCTCTTCTTGAGGATTATCTTTGTGGTGTTCTCTGTATTTCCTGAATTTGAATGTTGGCCTGCCTTGCTAGGTTGGGGAAGTTCTCCTGGATAATATCCTGAAGAGTGTTTTCCAATTTGGCTCCATTCTCCCCATCAGTTTCAGGTACACCAATAAGACGTAGGTTTGGTCTTTTCACATAGTCCCATATTTCTTGGAGGCTTTGTTCATTTCTTTTTACTCTTTTTTCTCTAAACTTCTCTTCTCACTTCATTTCATTAATTTGATCTTCAATCACTGAAACCTTTTCTTCCACTTGATCAAATTGGCTACTGAAACTTATGCATGCATCATATAGTTCTCATGCGATGTTTTTCAGCTCCATGAGGTCATTTAAGGTCTTCTTTACACTGTTTATTCTAGTTAGCCATTCGTCTCATCTGTTTTCAAGGTTTTTAGTTTCCTCATGATGGGTTCAAACATCGTCCTTTAGCTCGGAGAAGTTTGTTATTACTGACCTTCTGAAGCCTACTTCTGTCAACTCATCAAAGTCATTCTCCATCCAGCTTTGTTCTGTTGCTGGCAAGGAGCTGCAATCCTTTGGAGGAGAAGAGGCGCTCGGGTTTTTAGAATTTTCAGCTTCTCTGCTCTGGTTTCTCCCCATCTTTGTGGTTTTATCTACCTTTGGTCTTTGATGTTGGTGACTACAGATGGGGTTTTGGTGTGGATGTGCTTTTTGTTGATGTTGATGCTATTCCTTTCTTTTTGTTAGTTTTTCTTCTACCAGTCAGGTCCCTCAGCTGCAGGTCTGTTGGAATTTGCTGGAGGTCTACTCCAGAAACTCTTTGCCTGGGTATCACCAGCAGAGGCTGCAGAACAGCAAATATTGCTGCCTGATCCTTCCTCTGGAAGCTTCATCCCAGAGGGGCACCTGCCTGTATGAGGTGTCTGTCAGCCCCTACTGGGAGGTGTCTCCCAGTTAGGCTACACGGGGGTCAGGGACCCACTTGAGGAGGCAGTCTGTCCTTTCTCAGAGTTCAAACACCATGCTGGGAGAACCACTGCTCTCTTCAGAGCTGTCAGACAGGGCCATTTAAGTCTGCAGAAGTTTCTGCTGCCTTTTGTTCAGCTATGCCCTGCCCCCAGAGTTGGAGTCTACAGAGGCAAGCAGGCCTCGTTGAGCTGCGGTGGGCTCCACCCAGTTCAAGCTTCCCAGCCACTTTCTTTACCTACTCAAGCCTCAGCAATGGCTGACGTCTCTCCTCCAGCCAGGCTACCACCTCGTAGTTTGATGTTGGACTGCTGCACTAGCAGTGAGCAAGGCTCTGTGGGTGTGGGACCTGCTGAGCCAGGCACAGGAAGGAACTTCCTCGTCTGCTGGTTGTGAAAACTGAGGGAAAAGTGAAGTATTTGGGCAGAAGTGTACCATTCCTCCAGGTACAGACTGTCACTGCTTCCCTTGGCTAAGAAAGGGAAATTCCCCAACCCCTTGCTCTTCCCGGGTGAAGCGACGCCCCACCCTGCTTCAGCTTATTCTCTCTGGGCTGCACCCACTGTCCAACCAGTCCCAATGAGATGAACCAGGTACCTCAGTTGGAAATGCAGAAATCACCCGTCTTCTGCATCAGTCACGCTGGGAGCTGCTGATGAGAGCTGTTCCTATTTGGCCATCTTAGGTTGTTTTCCAATAAATGGCAATTTTAAGCTTTCACCTGGCTCTGGGACCTCCTCATAAATTTTGGCTAAGAATACCCAGATCATGAAATAACATTTTCCCTGTTACCTTCCAATATAGGGGGAAAGCAATAAATACTTCCCTAAGTCATTTTTTTCTCTTCATGATTCCCTTGCCATCCTCACCCAAGGCAGTTGTGGGATGGAACTAGGGGACTAAGATAAAGAGAGTACCCTAGTCAAAGAGCTCTCACAGTGTGCTCACAAGCATCACATGCTCAATTCCATGATATGCTGAGTCCTGGGCAAGGAAGGAATTCTCAGCACTCTTGTACCTGCTACCTGACATTCTTGAGCCTCTTACCCTGCTATGGTTTTCTTTAATCAGCACTTCAGTGATTTACTTATTATGTTTATTGTTCATTGTCTCTCCTAACTAGAATGCAAGCCCCATGAGGGCAGCATCTTTGTAGATATGTGGTATAAATTTTGTTCCCTGATGCATGCTAAGTTTTTAGAACGAAGTCTGTCATAGTGTAGGCTCACCAACATTTGTATGAATGAAAGAACATGGTGAATGGGAATTCAGTGTTAGTTTAAAAAAAATTCATTAAAGGGATAATATTTTATTAGAATCTTATTAATTTTACCAGTAAATATTGTATTAATCAGGGAGATATATATATATATATATGTCATATTCATGAGATATATATATATATATATATGTCATATTCATGAGATATATATACAGAGACTTATTTTGAGAAATTTGCTCACATAATTGTGAAAACTGAAAAGTCAAAAATCTACAGGGTAAATTGGTTACAGATTTAGGGAATAGTTGATATGCAGTTTGAATCCAAAGGCTGCCTGCTGACAGAATTTTCTCTTCTTTGGGATAGGTCAGTTTTTTTCTCTTAATGCCTTCAACTGATCGATTGAGGCCCACCTACATTATGTAGAGCAATATGATTTACTCAAAGTCTATTGATTTAAATGTTAATCTTACCATAAAAATGCCTTTGCCAAAAAAATCTAAAATAATATTTGACCAAATATCTGGGTACCATGGTCTAGCAAAATTGACACATAAAATTAACCATCTCAATGTGTCAACTTTGCTAGGGCATGGTACCCGGACATTTGGTCAAATATTATTCAAATAAATTTAGAATTTATCACAAATGTTTGATATCATAATTTGATTTACAAATATCAATCTAATACTTTATTTTACAGCTGAATGATCTCAGAGAGCAACCCCTTCCTTCTATAGGCCAAGAAATGGAGTCATTGTGAGATTAGTAACTAATTTACCCAAAATCACAGAGGACCCACACAGGATCCCAAGGCTCCTGACTAACAATCCTATGTTCTTCAACTACAAATGCTATAAAACAAAACAGCTATAAAATGCTACTTTAAGTGTTTTGGCCTCTTTTGTTTTGTTTTGAGAAGAAGCTTTGGCATTTTATAGTACAACAGAGTGACTAAAGCCATGCTCTAACCTCAGATAACTGTAGATTTAGGAAGTTTATACTGTGGTGTTTTATGGTTTGGGGAGATGGCGATCTGACCTAGATATCTGCACTTGAATATATATAATCAGAATTATTTTCTAATTGTTTCTATTGTCTTCAAGGCAGTTTATATTTTTTGCTAAGCCCTACTGGGGATGTATAAAAGACTGGGGAAGGGTGGGCCATAATAAGGTAAGGCCATAATAAGGTAAAATAGGTTGGACAAGATAAGTTAGCCAATATCTGAGTAAAGACTTCAAGGAACTGTAGGAGGAAGCAAATGAATATTTGTGGAAGTGTGTTTAAATCAGAGAGAAAAGCCAGCAAAAAGCCTTCAAGTTAGGAGTCTGCCTGGCCTGCTTAAGAAACAGCAGGGAGGCCGGTGTGCTGGGAGCAGAATGGATGACCCAGTGATGGGGAAATTCATGGGAGATGAGGTGTGGGGCAAAGGTACATAGCTCACGTAGGGTCTCATGGGCCATTTTGAATTTTATTCTGATTTGAATGGGGAACCATTGGAGGGTTTTGAGCTGAGGAATGACATGATATTAATTTTAAAAGGAATGACTATGGCAACTGAATTTATACTTTGGGTTGTTGTTGGTGTTGGTTGGGGATTAGGGGTGGGGTTTGTCAAAGCAAGCAGACCAGTTGAGTTGAGAGACTACTGCAGTAATCTGAGAAATTCTGGTGGTTCAGACCAGGTGTCTCTGGACCTCTCCAAGAAAATAGACAGAGTTTTGAATGTGGAATGTGATTGGCAGAGAAGAAGTAAGGATGATTTCAAAGGTTTGTGGCCTGGGTAACTGGCAGGAAGTAGTTGCCATCTACTGAGATGGAAATGTCACCCACTGTGATTGGAGTATGTTTAAGGAGAAAGAACCAGAGTTCAGATGTGGACATGTCAAGTTTCAGAGGTCTGTTAGACATCCAAATGGAGATACCCAGTTGTTAGCCTGGAGCTCTGTGGAGAGATCTGGGTTAGAGATATAAATCCAAGAGATACAACTTTTCATTCAATTTGATTATTTATTGGACGCTTTATAAACTCTGTAAATACTGGGCACTAACCTAGACATTGCAGGTACAGATATTAAGAATATATAGTTTCTCCCTCAGAAATCTCTTAATTAATGAGAAAAGCAGACATGTCAACAAAACTGCAATATTTAATAAAAGAAGATATAAAGGCCTATAAAGGTGCTGATACAGGGAGAATTAATTAATTCCACCCTGGGGAATAGTCAGGAAGACCTTCAGAGAGAAAGTAAACAATTGATTGGAACTTTAAGATTAAGAAGGATTTCTCTGGGTGGACAAAGTAGGATCTTCCAAGCAGAGTGGAAACCATGAGCAAATGCAGTTTCATTCTTCAGAAGGTAAATGTGCTCTGGCATGCCTTAACTTATAACAAATTAATCAACTCAATACCTGCTACATTTTCCCTCACAATTTGGAATATATAAAGAGGCACATACTACTATGGACCAATACCTGGTCATATATGAGATTGAAGGACCTTTACTTACGAGGCTTAAAAATAAAGACTGCCCTTCATGTCAGTTGCAGGTTTATATCTAGTTCTATAGTATTAACTGAGGTGTCTTTTCCTATGTTTTCTGTGCATGATGACTTTTTAAAAATCAAAGACAGAGCAGCAGCCAGAGTAGTCTAGTTTCATGGCACACAGAATGGAGGATATTGCTGAACCCAGATTTAAAAAAAAAAAGAAGTCAATTCTTATTTTTTTAAGTATGGCCCTGAGCTCATCTCAGAGCATAAACAATAGAATTTAGAATATCTTTTATGACTCCGTCTGGCACCTCCTAAACTAGATCAAGATTCTCTAGCTCAGGGAAGAAGGGCAAAGGATGAGAAGGCACAGAGAGGATATAAACAGAGAGGTTGGTAGTGCCAGGCTCTGAAGAAGGTCCAACTTGGAAGGTCATTTCAGACAGGCGTGGAGTCAGCATTTGAGGCCTGTCTGGTCTCTACTCCTGCCAGGACTACCCTGTCAGCCAGCTTGGCAGGTATGGACCACCCAGCAGGAGTTTTTCTTGACTGTGCCCTAATCTTTTACTTTCCCAAGTTTCTCTATATGGGTACCTCCCCTTTTAAAAGCTCCAGACACAGCCAAGCACCACTATTGCTCCAGCAAAGTATGAAGCCCCAGAAATCAATGGTTTGGGGAAGAGTCTTAGGGGAACTAAATGCCTCCTTATTTTTAGATGCCATAGAACAAGAGCAGTTCAGGATCAATAACCATCCCACCCCATGATAAAACACGCCCCTTCCAGAATCTTTCCTTTTTCGTTCATTCTAGGTGTCTGTCTGGAACAGCTGGGGTATTTGAGCCACAGCTGAGCTTCTGAAAGCATTCTAAGGAACAGTTTTTCACTTATCTGATTCCTTTGAAAATAGGGGTATCTTATGTGATATCTGCTATCCCAGAGTCTTTGGTCCTCTGTTCCTTCTCAAGTCTTGGCTCCCGTGTACTACTTCAAAGCCCTATAGATATTTTATTCTAAAGAAAAGAAACTTGGTTCCTTTAAGTTGTTTAAACATTTCTTTCTGGGTATAAACTTGGGTTTGTGTCTGGGAGCTCTGTTAAAAAAAAAAAGTCTTTAGTAAGCCAAAGCTGTTAGAAGCTTATAAGTAAGTGACATTACAATTGACCGTCAGTAAATAGTGGAAAGATTGCATGACTAGCTACTCCTTCAGATCTGAGACAACCTGGAGCTAGATTTTTGTACTCTCTACTCAGAAAAGCATATAGTGACTTGGGGTTTGATGCTGTACAAAAATGACATGCTTATGCACAACTTTAACTTTCTGCAACACTTTTACAACTTCTTGTGAATGAAGTAGGCAGGGCTCGCATTTGACAGATGAGCTATGTCCAGCGTGAGGCAGAGTTAAAACCCTTTTCCTGGCTCAGGAACTTCAGGCTGGGGCCTGTGTCTGCTCTCCCTGCATCCCTGTCCTCTAGCAGATACCTCTCTGCTAACATGCTGAGTGTCCTTGGTAAATTACTCATTCTCTCTGTCTCCGTCTTCTAACCTCCACAATAAAGTCCTTCGTAGTTTTAACTATCTTTTCACTGTGCCCCAGTGAGCAGGAGTTTGGAACTTGATTGTTGATGGAAAGGCAATATTTGGATGGCTAAACACGCTTTCCAAGGTATCTCGCTGATCTTCCTCTCATTCCTGGAGATAGCTAACCTTTTTGTAAGTGTTTCTTTGAGTCTGTGGACTGCACTTAACGCTCTTGTAGGTCCTGCTTTCATTTGGAACGGGCAGGCGGAGAGGAAGGAAGTGTATTGCAACTACCAATATTTTCCTCTAGGAGGAGCCGCGCAGCTCAGTTGAGAGTGACACGCACCAACTCCAGCTCCTCGCCGGGAAGACTTCATCCCAGCAACTCGGAATGCTTGGCCCGGGCGGCACTCGGCCTCTCCGCAGCAGTTCTCGAACTGGCCTCCTTGAACGTCCGCTTCGCCTTCGCTTCTGCAACCTGGATCTGGGGGACTGCGGGCCAGGCGCGGCGTGACCCCTGGTGAACGGTGGCCGCCTTTTCCCACCCCTGCCCTCCCATCCTCCCTTCCCGTTTCACCCCGCCCCCTCTCTCCTCCCCAAGCCTGACAGCCCGCGAGCTGCCAAGCAGGGCGCAGCCATGGGAAGAGGAGGAGGGCTAGGGAGCGGCGGCGGCGGCGGCAGCGGCAGCAGCAGCTGCTACAGTGGCGGTGGCGGCGGCGGCTGCTGCTGAGCCCGGGCGGCGGCGGGGACCCCGGGCTGGGGCCACGCGGGCCGGAGGCCCCGGCACCATTGGCCCCAGCGCAGACGCGAACCCGCGCTCTCTGATCAGAGGCGAAGCTCGGAGGTACTGGAGTGGGGCTCCGGGAGTCTGGCTTTATTTTCCTCCTGTTGTGCCAGGGGGCCTGAGGGTGAACCCTGGGACTCTAGTTGTTTATGAAAACGGGAGGATCTGTCTTATATATTTACACGGATAATTTTTTATTCCGGATGACTTGGCTGTGCTCCCCTCCTCCTTGCGAAGAAGTTGTTTTCTGCTGGTGGGTTGTTGTAACCCAATCTAGTGTGTGTGTGTGTGTGTGTGTGTGTGTGTGTGTGTGTGTGTGTGTGTCTGGAAGTTGGTGAGGGCGGCAGGGAGTTGCGGGCGACAGACGAACCATCACACTCTGGCGTCTGCTCTGGCCCGCGAGTAGTGTACGTGGAGGGGTTTACTCCGGAGACAGTTTTGTTAAAGTCATAAAAGTTTTGCTAGTGTGTTTCTGTTTGCCATCATCTGCCTGGCTGCGGCAGGAACTGCCGAGGCTGCTGCTGTTGCGCGGGGAAGAATCCCCGGCAGCGCGACTGGAGAGACTGGGGAGGTCGAGCTGTGCGCGTGGACACAGCGCGCAGAGCGCGCGGTCTTTTGCGCGTTTGTGCGGGCCGCAGCCGCACGTTGGCACCGATGGAACTGGGGTCAGTAGAGTGACAGCCACCAGTCCGCATGAACTGGGGTAAGTGGAAATTGTGGCGAGCCGACCTCCCCCAGCTTTTGACACACTAGTGGTTGTAAAATCAACCAGGCTTAAAGTTTTGACAGAACTGCCAGAGGCTGCGGGTCAATGGGGTGGCCGCGTGTCTAGGGAGAGGGCGCTGGCGGCGCAGAGGGTGCGGGGCAGGGCACTTGCGAGTGCGTGGGGAAGTCTATTTGGGGCGAGTGCTTTATATATAGCCCGAGGGGATGCCTGCTGAGACCGAGCTGCGGGGGCTCTCGGTCTGGCGCGGACTGTGTGTCCTGAATGAGTGTACGTGTGCGCTGTGTGTGCGCGCGCGAGTGTGCGCCTGGGGAGGCGTGTCGGCGCCTGAGCCAGTAGGGTGTGCAGGGTGGAAGAGGCCACAGAGGTGCCGCCTGTCTGTTTGTGCCGCCAGGAGACCTTGGAAGGGACAGAGAAAGGTAACGGAAGGCCAAAGTGTTGGGAAGTCAGAGTAGTTTCTGCATAGGATTAAGTATTAAGGGCTTTAAAATAACTAAACGCATTGCCCTGAGTGGCTGAGGACTGGAAGTGAGGTTTTGGGGAGTTCTCAGGAGAACTGCATGGGAGGGCGTTTGGGAGGTCTAAGGGATGTGTAATATGTGTGAGTACAGAACTTCGGAGACAGACACAGGTTGGAGCTATGAATTTGAAATTTTCAGGGTGCTGCTGTCCACAGTCCAGGGACTGGCTGGTTTCAGAGGTATTCAGGCTCCCTGGTGTGTGTGCCTGGGAAGACACTCATCTTTTCTTGCAGACATGGGATATTGTGGCAGGTCAGGCTCTGTTTCCTGAGCAACTGGTGTTCCAGGCTAGTTTCCACCTGAATCACCCTAGAAGTGTCTTTTTTCTGATGATAAATGTTGAAACCTTTCCAGAAATTAAAATGCTGGATAGAAACAAAATTGATGCAGCAGACAGGATTGTTGATTCTATTTATTCAGTGATTGGGAGCTCTTTTTCCTTTTGAGAAAAGCAAAGCTCAGTGTTTCCAGATTAGATTTCAAGGAGTCTTCAGCTATCTACAGCTTCCCTTCTGGGCCTTTGGATGGAGCTGGAAGGATGTGTTTTGGCCTAAAGACCTTTGGAAGACATCATGTGTAGCTTAAAGAGGTTGTCCCGTCTCTCATCATCTTCTTCCACCCTTATAAACTTTTTGTTTTGCATTAATCTAAGGAAAGTTGGTGTGTCAACATTTAGCTTTTTTTTATTGGAGTAAATATATCACAGTGAAATTATAGTTATGGTCTCCTGAAGCCCATGGAAAGCCAACACTTAATGGGCAAAGGTGTGAAATGAAAGTCTATAAATGCAATGACAAAGTGACGAGATGAGTGCATTCTTTTTTCAAAATGAACATAACTGTGCTCACAAAAATTTGTTTTAGCCAGGCTTTGGGCCCATGTTTTTTATTATTAGTTTTTAAACAGCAGACTCCACATCATAAACCACTTTAAAATGGATACTAGAGGCCTCCTGTATGCTATCTCTGGCGCCTGCTTAAACAGATGTTTACAGTGCTTGGTAACCTATGGGATTGTCATGTTGAGTATCTTGTTAGCTCAGGACATAATGTTTATAGCATAATATAATAAATGGAGCCACAGTTGCAGCGTGCTTCTTCCAAGTGCATGAAGCAAATCTTGCAGCAGGGAAACAAATCTTGCAGTTGGTCCAACTTGGCTAGCCTTCTTTGGCTATCTCCTGGTGAGCAATGTTAATGTAAAGATAAATGTGAGTGACGTAGTGAGAAAGTGGGACAGTAAATTGTTTAGCTTAGTGAAAAAAGCATGGATTATGTTTTTTAAATCTGCTAACCTGAAGATTACACTTCTCAGGTCGTACCACTGGCAAATTGCACAACTATGGGAATTTGGTTTGCTTTTAAAGAGCAATTTTTAAAAAGTATGTCAGTAATGAAAATAACTTATATTTCTTAATGTGTTTATGTGTGTCCATACAAGCCAATACTTTTTCTTCTTTAAAAAGAACCCTATAATTTCTGTGGTAATTATTTAAATATTATGAGCATTCAAATCTCCTAATCACCTTTTCAATCTTCAATTGATAAGAATCGAAGTTTGGTAAGACTGGAGTCATCCCTCAGCCAATTGTGTAAACAAGACAGTACAGAATGTCTTTCTGGCAAGTAATTTTTTTCAACCTGAAACAGATAATATAAATAATATGTCCCATAAAAGAATTACTTAAGATGATAATTACTTTAGAGGTAATTATCTGGTGCATGAACCTCTATCTGTGAAAATGGTCTAGTCTATCTCTTATTGGAAATAATCAGTTGGAAATCTCCCTTTTTCATTGGTCAGTCCATTCTAGGAAAGATTCATTTCTAGAAAGTTCTTATACTGAATCAACATTTTCTTCCATCCACTTGCCTATCCTTCAGCAGCTGACCACAATGAATCTAGTCTCTTTTCCCTGTGTTTACCATACTTGAAAACAAATATTATCCTCCTTGCCGAATCCCCTTTTGCCTACTCTTGGAGCAGTTTTTCATCCACTATAGGGTTCCACCCTCCTCTGCCTTGAACAAGATGCCCTTGATTGTACATTCTCATTGTATTAGTCTGTTCTCATGCTGCTAATAAAGACATACGTGAGACTGTGTAATTTATAAAGAAAAAGAGGTTTAATGGATTCACAGTTCCACATGGCTGGGGAGGCCTCACAATCATGGCGGAAGGTGAAGGAGGAGCAAAGGCATGTCTTACATGACAGCAGGCAAGAAAGCATGTGCAGGGGAACTGCCCTTTATAGAACCATCAGATCTCATTAGACTTATTCACTATCATGAGAACAACATGGGAAAAACCCACTTCCATGATTTAATCAACTCCTACTGGGTCCCTTCCACCACATGTGGGAATTATGGGAACTACAATTCAAGATGGCATTTGGGTGGAGACAAAGCCAAACCATATCATTCCGCTCCTAGCCCCTCCTAAATCTCATGTTCTCACATTTCAAAACCAATCATACCTTCCCAACAGTCCCCCAAAGTCTTAACTCATTTCAGCATTAACTCAAAAATCCACAGTCCAAAGTCTCACCTGAACCAAGGCAAGTCCCTTCCACCTATGAGCCTGTAAAATCAAAAGCAAGTTAGTTACTTTCTAGATACAATGGAGGTACAGGCATTGTGTAAATATGCCCATTCCAAATGGGAGAAATTGGCCAAAACAGAGGGGCTATAGGTGCAAGTCCAAAGTCTAATAGGGCAGTCATTAAACCTTAAAGTTCTGAAATGAACTCCTTTGACTTCATGTCTCACATCCAGGCTGTTTTCATGGCTGGCATTGACTGTGGCTTTTCCAGGCACATGGTGCTAACTGTCAGCCCCTACCATTGGGGGTGCTGGGGAATGGTGGCCCTCTTCTCTTAGCTCTACTAGGCAGTGACCCACTGGGGACTCTGTGTAGAGGATCCAACCCCACATTTCTTTTCCTCATTGCCCTAGCAAGGGTTGTTTATGAGGGCTCTGCCCCTGCAGGACAACTCTGCCTGGACATCCAGGCATTTCCATACATCCTCTGAAATCTAGGTGGAAGTTCCCAAACCTCAGTTCTTGTCTTCTGTGCACCTGCAGGACCAACACCACATGGAAGCTTCCAAGACTTGGGGCTTTCACCCTTTGCAGCCATGGCCTGAGCTGTACCTTGGCCCCTTTTAGACATGGCTAGAGGGGCTGGGACACAGGGTACCAAGTACCTAGGCTGCACCTAGCAGGCCCAGAAAACCATTTTTCCCTCGTAGGCCTCTGGGCCTGTGATGTGAGGGGCTGCCATAAAGGCCTCTGACATGTTCTGGAGACATTTTCCCTATTGTCTTGGTGACCAACATTTGGCTTCTCATTACTTATGCAAATTTCTGCAGCAGTCTTGAATTTCTCCCCAGAAAATGGGTTTTTCTTTTCTATGGCATCATCAGCTTGCACATTTTCCAAACTTTTATGCTCTTTTCACCTCTTGAATGCTTTGCTGCTTCTAAATTTCTTCTGCCAGATACCCTAAATAATCTCTCTCAAGTTTAAAGTTCCACAGATCTCTAGGACAGGGGAAAAATGCCACCAGTCTCTTTGCTAAAGCATTAACAAGAGTCACCTTTGCTCCAGTTCCCAACAAGTTCTTCATCTTCATCTGAGACCACATCAGCCTGGACTTTATTGTCCATATCACTATAAGCATTTTGGTCAAAGCCATTCAACAAGTCTCTAGGAAGTTCCAAACTTTCCCACATCTTCCTGTTTTCTGAGCCCTCCAAGTCTCTAGAAAGTTCCAAACTTTCCCACATTTTCCTGTCTTCTTTTGAGCCCTCCATACTGTTCAAACCTCTGCCTGTTACCCAGTTCTAAAGTTGCTTCCACATTTTTGGGTATCTTTACAGCAGCACCAACTCTACCATTACCAACTTACTATATTAGCCCATTCTCATGCTGCTAACAAAGACATACCCAAGACTGGGTAATTTATAAAGAAAATTAGGTTTAATGGTCGCACAGTTCCACATGGCTGGGAGGCCTCTCAATCATGGCAGAAGGTGAAGGAGGAATAAGGCACTCTTACATGGTGGCAGACAATAAGGCATGTGCGGGGGAACTACCCTTTATAAAACCATCACATCTCATGAGACTTAATCACTATCGCAAGAACAGCATGGGAAAAACTCGCCCTCTTGGTTCAATGACCTCCCACTGGGTTCCTCCCATGACACATGGGGATTATGGTAGCTACAATTCAAGATGAAATTGGGGTGGGGACACAGCAAAACCATATTACTGACTGTCCCTCCTAATGTGTGTTTTCTAAACAAAAGATTTATAATTTGTAGTTCTGAACATTCTATATCTATTAAGACAGTTTAATATTAATGAAATTCTTTAGCCATTTCATTACGCTCTTGATTAATTTCATACCTATAAACAAGATAACTTGTTCTTTTCAGATTATTAATCATCCATAGTCAAAGCATTTTTATAATAGCTTCAAAACATTTTTTCATGCCTGAATGTACTATAAATTTATGGAAAGTATAATACTGTGTGG
The DNA here is from genome assembly GCF_000001405.40 of Homo sapiens. NCBI lineage: Eukaryota > Metazoa > Chordata > Mammalia > Primates > Hominidae > Homo > Homo sapiens. The sequence goes on from NC_000005.10 coordinate 42,429,680, forward strand.
GTAAATAAAATTCTATAAACAGTGCAAATAGTGACTTAATTTCTCCCTATCAAGGAATATCAACCCCAAATATACCGAAAGTAGAATGTTCCAAAGATAAACAAGTTGAAACTACATGTTATAGACAGGTAGGGACTATGATGTATTTTTTTCATAGGCCTCATTGTGTCTGCTTCCATGAACATGAGTCAGTACTAGCAATCAGGCATTTATTGAAGGCTTGTTCTGCCAAAGTCCCAGAGAGTATGCCATCTGGCCTTAAATGAAGTGAAAGTACATCAAATAAAGATACTTCCTTGGGCAACTGGGATTTAAGATGTGCATGCAGGACATGTCTAAGTCAGCCATCTACTTTTTCTCAGGAGGTAAATGGCTTGCCAATGCCACAGGAAAGTCTAAAGTGTTCACACTCCATAAGCAGGTCCCATGTCCTGTTGTAGGTCTGGACAGGAGCTGGACAAAGGCCCTGTTACTCTTAGCTTACCAAGTCTTAGCTGCCTTGGAAGAAGATAGCAAATCTGGCTTATCCAGAGGAGAGGCCTGAAGTGTGCATTGGGCACCTACCTGGTGTGACTGATTTCTCTTTTATGTATCTGTCTTGGGCTTCCAGCTAAATTGTGAATTCCCCTTGCCACCAAGCTAAGAATCTGCCACAGCATTGTCTTCCTGCACACACACACACATACACACACACAAAAACATATATGTTGGATGATGAAGAGACAATGTCAGTTTTTCAGCAAGTCTGAATGTGAAACAAATGGCTATGTTTCTTGGTGCAGTGGGGTGGGAGGATGAGAGAGAAAAAACAAACCTGTGATATAAACTGACATCTGAGCCTACCAAAAGCCCTTTGAGAGACCTTTGATCAAGACAAGGGGATAATCATAGTGTTGTGCACTTAGATAAAATTGTCCATGCTAGTCCCGTGTGTGTGTGTGTGTGTGTGTGTGTGTGTATGTGTGTGTTTCTTCACTTTATCCCCAGCATTATGGTCTCAATTCATACACATTTGCTTTTTTGCTTTATTCTAGTCTGATATGAAGGGAAGAAATAAGCAATGATTCAGTTCCTTTTTTTACATTTCAAACATTCATTTCACTACTCCCCACCTCCCAGTCCTCACCCCCCAAAATTACAAGAGACCCATTGGCAAGTACTTGGACATGCAATTTTCAAACCAAAGGTTTACTTTGCTATAAGAAACGTCTAAGTTAGGATGATATAATATGAAATAATAGTAAATTAGATGTCAAGAAACTTGGGTCCTCTCCAAGCTCTGCCTTTAATGGGCTTTGCAGTTTTTGCCAACTATTTAACCTTCCTGGGCTTCATATTTCTTGTATGTTAAAAACAAGCAAAAAGGAGAAGTAAACAAAATGACCCCTTAGAATTCTCTTCAGGGCTATTGTTTGAATCCATTTAATTATCAAATTTCTCTCTTCTTTTAAATGTAAGCATCAAAAAATGTTTGCCTATTTTATTCTCTCATCATTAATTTTTAATCAATTAAATAAAATAGATAAAAATTTTATCAAAACCATGCTTCTTGCTTTCATTCTAAAACAATGCAACTCATCACTATCTGATGCAGAAAGTCTTTCTGAAATATTGTTTTTCTCTTTTGTTGTTGTTTTTTTCTTTGTGCTAAAGAAAATTCATTGATGAGTACCAGGTTCTTCAAAGAAGGATGGAAAAGTCATTGTTTTTTAGTCTCAACTTCTTTCTTCAGTGCTTCTTCCTACCTTTTAATATAGGCAAATAAAGCCTTAGGCCAGGCACTAATTTTACTTAGTAATGATTCATAAGAAGGTAGTGATTTTGTCAGAAATTGCTGGCTGCATGCTTTTAATCAGCATCTAAACTTACCTTCAAATACTCCATTCCAAAATCAGCAGATAACTTCTTCTACAGAGTCTTTCAAACTTCCAGATGTGTTTACTGTTTTGATTAGGGCTTTCTTCTTTTGTTGTTGATAAGACTTCAGCCAGTTTTCTTTAGGCTAACATTATTATATTCCCAATGAATTATACTTCTTAGGTTGTGAATTTGTTTAAAGATAAATCTATCTCCAGCTGGCTGGCTTCTAAGTAAAAAGGGGTATCCTAGGGAAGAAGTGCACTTCACAGGGATTCAGTACAGGTGTAGAGAATTCCCTGATAGAGAATTGGAACACATCAAGAGTTTGCAAATTGAAAAGGTACTTTTATGTACTTATCCATGGTGGACAACCTGTGTCCTAGGGAAGAAGCGCATTTCACAGGGATTCAGCACAGGTGTAGAGAATTCCCTGATAGGGAACTGGAACACATCAAGATTTTGCAATCTGAACAGGTACTTTTATGTACTTATCCATGGTTGACAACCTACTGTGCTAGACATTTGCTGTAGTAACTCCTTGATTTTTTCCTCGGTTGTTTATAAAATTAAACATTTGAAGTAGCCTATTGAAAAGTCTTAAAAGAAGCATCTCCTCTATTCCTTTAGAATACAGTATATTAAACAAGTGATAAAGTCCAAAGAAAAATCCTTATTCTTTTCTTGCTTTAAAAAATGCACTTTATTTTATTAAGCATTATATCTATCTTTTAAAACTTTGAATTGCCATATCAATGAAAGTAGAGTGTTATCATTACAAAACAGAATCGCAGATAGTTCTTTCCCTGTGCTTATTGAGAGAAAAGGTGCATAATTGATGCTGTAAATGATCATCTTGAATTTGATGATGGCTGGTGAGAAACCTCAGTCAGACATTCAATTTTGATTGCCATTGGTCAGAAAGGCAGCCTTTGTTCTTCGTCACTATGTGGCACATGATCCTAATTCACCCTATCAGCTGCTTCTCTGCACACTTTCAAGCTATGTGATTGTTATACTAGAAAGCCTCTAAGTTGGCCAAACTAATGAAGACTAATCTGACAAAGCATATGTGAATGATAAATTCTGTAAAGACCGTGGAGATAGAGCCTCTGCAGTGGCTTCTTCCCCTGGGGATAGAAGAAGATACCAGAATCCCTGGGCAAGATGAAATAGATAAAGGAAAGGCATCATTTTTATACCTAGGAAATCAGAAAGATTAAAGAAAGAGAAGCAAGAATAAAGAAGAACTACTACTTTCATAGTTCATTCTTTCAATGTAGCACCTTATTTCCCATAGAGACATTGGTGAAGCCATGCTTTTCTTTGCCATAGAATAGGTGTTCAGTAAATATTTTGCAGGTGGCCTTAATATGTAGTAAAACATACAGAAATATGGAAGCATTGACAAGAAGTTTGTGGATAATTTGAGGGCAAAAGGATGTAGATAGGATCAGGTTCATAATGCAAATTTGCTATTATTCTCCTTAGATTAATGATGTCACTCAAACTTCATGACCTGCTTTCCAAGGTGTATGCTGTTCACAGCCTTGGAAACATTTAGAAGTTTTTAGTACTTGGAGCAAGATGGATATATGTTTCACATTTTATCTAGGACTTAGTAGGACTTGGGAGACATATCTACTTTGCCAGATCTTAGTATACTTATTATGGAGCATGACATTTTAATTCTCTTTGCTTTTGTCCTACAAAGTTTAGTGTTTTAATTTATTTTTCTCGGTGCATATAGGGAGAGAATTATTTATATAATCTGAAAAGTACTTTGAAAACTACTTGGGAAAATATGTTGAATAAATAAGTTTTTTTTTAAATTAGCCTACAGGATGTAAGTCTGGCCAGGCTAGTGGTATTTTTGGTATCATTGTGAAAAATCAAAAACAGAACATGTATTTATCAATCCATTAGTGTGTTCCCAGGAATGTGCTAGACACTAGGGAATTAAAACATGACTCTTGACTTTAGTACCAAGCATTCAAGCTAGAAGGCAACACTATTAATGTACATTCATGGTGTGATTATGGAACAGTCGATGACTGTACAACTTAATGAAAAGTTCATTAGAGACTATAAATGCTACATTTATTTAGAGAGAAGGACAATCTGTTTGGACTGAGGGATTGGAAGAGTGGCCTTCATGGGCAACATGGCTCCTGAGCCAGTACTTAAGATATGGTATTTTTTTTTTTTTTTTTTTTTTTTGGTTAGGTAGAAGGGTTGGAGAGGTTTCATGCAAGGAGTTAGGAACTGAGGACCAGGAGGCGTATCTTGAGTTCACTGGGGTTACTGGTAATAGGGAGGAGGCAGAGAGTACCAGGCTGTGGATTTGTTATCCGTTGGAAGCTCTTCCCATTGCTTATTATGGTCGCTGCATATAGGCTCATCCCTTGGGTAGGGCTATTGGAGTGGCCACCCTGACCCTATTGCTGATTGGATAGTGGTGGCTGCTGTGTGGTATTTCAGCACATTTATCTTTTCTGAACATTATGTAAATTCAGTCTGAAAACTTCTTTCTTAAACAATGTTCCAAGAGGCCTATTAAAGATGCCAACAATATGACTTCCATTCAAGAATATGATCTTGAATGGGCTTTACAATGGCAGAGCTGACCTGAGATTACCTCCTCTGCTCCTGCTCTCAAGCCATGTGCTGATGCTGACAGTCCTGGCCCAATAGAGCCATAGGGCCTCACAGAACTTGAGATCATCTACCAGTGGCTGTCAACCAAGCCACTCCTTTCTGCTAGGTAGTGCATAGGGACATTGGGAAATACAGTTATTATAAGAACTGGAAAGAGTTGTAGGCTTTTGGTGCCTGAAGTCAGAAATGCTAAATTTCTGTGATGCCAGGGGCAGTCCTATATAAGAAATTATTGTGCCTCCTCAAATGCCAGTAGATCCCTATTGAAATACTTGAGTCTCATATCCTCACTTTATTTATAGGTGAGGAAATGGGAGGCCCTGAGAAGTGACAAAACTTTCTTCTAGGATTAAACTTCACAGTCTCAGTGACAGATTTATAACTCAATTCTTTTAGTTTTCTTTCAAGAGCTCTTGTTGCAGCACCACAGTCCCTCCTATTAACATGGGCTATAACTATGGAATAGCATGTTGTTTATCTCTGCCATTTTTATAGAAGGATGATAGTTAGCTATGTTAACTATCTGAATGGGTGGAATGTGAATTGAGATAACTGGTACTTGACCAGCAGTTCTTTCGCCTGGGAACACACACAGATTCACCTGTAAATTAGGGTTGGCAGATGCCTGTTGAGATGTCAACCATAGCCAAAGCTTACAAATTGGTTGACTTTTTGGAAAGGGCATGGAGTAGGCTTTGGATTCACACAAATCTGCTTGTCTGACCGGATTTGAATACAACCCTTCTTATCTTTACTATCTTTGTGACTCTCAGCCAATTAAACTCTCTGAGCTTTATCTGCAAAAAAACAGTTGATTATTCTTATTTCACAAGCAATGAGTCAAAATAGTGCCTGGCACATATTGGGCACTGCAGATATAGAGAATTCCCTACAGTATCTTTTTGAGCATAAAGACTTGAAACCTTCACTTATAAAAGACCCTCTTGATAACAGTCGCTATTTTTTTCTCCTCCTTTCCCCAAACAACGAAACTAGGGCTTCAGTGAGTCCCTGAAGTGTTTACTTTGTTTGAACTGTTGAGATTTCCCTCCTCCAGAAGAGTCCTGCTGGCCAGAGATGAGTTCCTTTTGACTTCTCTGTCAACGTGCCTGTATTATTGTCACATAGTAAAAATGAAAGATATATCTAGATGATTATTAGCAGGTTATGAAACTTAGATTTTAAAGTCAATAATAAAAGCCATTCCTGGGTAGAGAAGTTTTTCAGAGAGATTTCTACCTTGCCAGCGATGAGAGAGCCTACTTAGGTGAGGTGAATACTTTAGGCAAGTTAAGGGATAACACAATATAATTTATTTAAGTAAGTTTTTTATCTGGGACTAATTTCAGGTTTGCAGAAAAGTTGCAAAAATTTTAGAGGTCCTGTATATTCCTCACCTAGTTTCCCATGTTGACATCCATAATCATGATATATTTGTCAACACTAAGAAACCAATGTTAGTACAGTACTATTAACTAAAATCCAGACTTCATCCTAATTCCCCCAGAGCTTCCACTCACATCTTCTTTTCTGTTCCAGGATTCAATCCAGAAGCGTGCACTGCTTTTGATTTTATGATTTTTAAATACTGTGCATGTGCTTTTTTAATTTGGGCCCTCTCATGTGTTAAACTTACCGGCCTTTGTAACCAGATAGCAAGTTCTGTAACAGAAAATACAATGATGTTGAATCCAACATCATGCTGGGCACAAAGTATGTTCTCCAAACTAATTAAATTTATCACAGCAACAAGAACAAAGTTTTACTCAGCGTACATATGTAGCTGAGTCCTCATTGGTAAGCTAAGAGGTAGTCATAAGAGTGGGATAACTTGGAAGAAATTTGATTTTGAATGTGTGCCCTGAACATTGGTATAAAACAGGACCCCCTAAATCATATATGAACTGAGTCTGTACACTGTGCCTAGCATTGTGTGTGCATATCACACTTACTCCTGATAACTGTAAGGCACATAGCCTTGAGTAACTTAGCTGAGGAAATGAGACCAAGGGAAGTTAAGTTACTTGGCCAGGGATTCACAGCTAGTAACACAGCTGAGATTAAAACATATGTTTTTCTGGCTTCAGAGCCTACACTCCTAATGCTGTATTCAATTACTCCCACACTTCTCCACTTGCTTAACCCCTATTCTTGGTGTCCTTTTTCTAGGTATACAGAATTTGAAAACTATATTGTCAAACTACAGCAGACCTGGATGCATGGTATACACTTCTTTGTGAGCTGGATTAAGTTTCAGCCTTGAATTTGTGGATTATTTTCAAAACCTGCCTAACATCTGTAAAACATGTTGTTTTTTTAATATGTAGATATCCACATAAATTGACCACAATGCTCTTCAGAAAGTCCCATAATCCAATAATAAATAAATTTTTGATACATGGCTAATAACAGGCACAGAAGCATCTCCAAAGGACAGGACATTGATATTGTGTAATAATTTAAAGTATTTTATGATTGTATAATGTGCCTGAGTTTTGGATAGTTGACCTCTATTTCTCAGTCTTTACATAGTTACTGCTTTTTTAAGTGTTACATGAGGGATGTGGAATATTCAGTGTAACATTTGACTAATCTTTATGTTTTGAGTGGCCCAACTGAAAATTACCCTTGGTTGCCTTGGAACTCTGGGCATGATGTTCAAAACTAGAAATTCTTGCAAATTATTTGAGCTTTGGCTCTGGGAAGATAAACAACATGAATAACTAGGTTAACCAGGGCTGAAATTTCTCTAACCTATAATTCTAAATTCAGAAAAGAATGGGCTTTAGGGTTTTTTGTTTATTTTTGCTTTGATTACAAGTTGTTGGAAGCCTAGAGTTAGTATCTAATAACACAATCTATGTAAAACACAAATTATTGGCTCAGAATGATATCTAATTTCTAAGAAGATATGAGGAGGCAATCATGTAAAAACGTGCTTTTCTTCCTAGAAGGAATAAGCTGGGATTGGCCAAAAGGTAATCCCTTTAGAGTCTAATGTTTAGAGCATTGCATATTTTTAAAGAAGACATATTACCTTTTAGAACATATGTAGGAAACCATTTTCTTTGCTTATATGGCTACATAAAGTTGTCATGGTTTTAAACCGTGACCTTAGATACCTTATAGAAGTAATTACAGGCACAATCTGTGAATGAAGATTTGCAAACTATGCTTCACCAAGCCTCAGGGACTATTGGATGTCCAGAGGACAGAGCCATGTTGGATGTCTTATGGGCCTTCAGTCCTGCAAAGTGGTGTGCTTTCATGTTTTACACACAGCAGTTCTGAGAAAATTTAAGTTGAAAAAACAGCCTCTCTTCTTATTATTTTTATATTTATTTATTTATTTATTTATTTATTTATTTATTTGAAACGAAATCTTGCTGTGTCACCAGGCTGGAGTGCAGTGGCGTGAACTTGGCTCACTGCAACCTCTGCCTCCCAGGTTCAAGCGATTCTCTTGCCTCTGCCTCCTGAGTAGGTGGGACTACAGGTGCAGGCCACCACGCCCAGCTAATTTTTGTATATATGTATTTTTAATAGAGACAGGGTTTAGCCAGGTTGCCCAGGCTGATCTTGAACTCCTGAGCTCAAGTGATCAGCCCACCTCAGCCTCTCCAAGTGCTGGGATTACAGGTGTGAGGCACCGTGCCGAGCCATCCTGTCTTCTGAAAAAAAAAAAAAAGCAAACAAAAATGTTTAAGCCTGGTATATATTTTCTTATATTGCATAAGCTACTTTTCTGACTGCCTCTCTTTAGAAATTCCTCTGATTTCTAGAGAAAAAAAAATCGCATTAGCTTTTTGGTTTCTAAATTCAGGCTCACTTTAGTAACTGCTAGATTATAAACTCTTAGAAGGCAAAGGGCTATGTATTCTCTACTTGTGGACACTCAATTAGTTTGCTTAAGCAATTACTTCTGTGTAAGCAACATTAATGAAGTGCTTACTATGATCAAGGGCTATACCAAGTCCTTTTTTATATTATTTAATCCCACACAAAACCCATGATCGACCTAATTGTACACTTGGTGAAACTATGATGTAGGGAGGTTAAATAATTTGTTCAAGAACCCACAGCTGGTAAGTCGCACAGTGTATTCAAACCCAGATCTTCCTAATTGCAAATGTGTCCAACTCCCATGCTTCTAACCACTGCCTATGTGATGGTTCTTTGAAATTCCTCCCTCCAAGAAGTGGAATTTAATTCCCCCCGTCCATTGAATGTGGGCCAAACTCAGGTGACTCATTTCTATTAAATGGAGTAAAGTGGAAGTGAAGATGTGTGGCTTTAGCGACTAGGTCATTCAAAGTGGCTCCTGTCTTGGTTGTTCTGTCTCTTATACCTATTGGGCATTTAATCTGGGGAAAACCAGCTGCCATGTTTTGAGCTGCTCTGTGGAAAGGCTAACATGAAAAGATACTGTGGATCCTACAGACAGCTTCAAATGAGGACCTGAGGCCCTCAGACCAGTAGCCAGTATGAAACTGAAGCCTCTTGACCACAGCCTCCATGAGAGTAATGGAATCTTGACCCCCTAGTGAACCACAGCCTCCATGAGAGTAAAATTCAAGATGGAGCCTTGACACCCAGTGGAGCCTCGAGATGACTGCAGTCTTCCACCAACAGCTTGATTCATGAAAGACCATCAGCCAGAGCCACCCAGCTAAGGTGATTCTAGGCCCCTACTCCTAGAAAATAAATATTTGCTGTTTTGACTGCCAAGTGTTTGATTAATTTGTTACGCAGCAATAGATAAATAATGCAGCCTAACACTGTCCTGGTCATTTTTAAAAAAGAAATTGTTTTAATTTTACTAAATCACAAATTTTAAAACATTGATACAGCAAGGAGAAACTTTCCAGAAAAAAAATGCTGCCAAATTTAAGTAGTAAAATATTAATGTCCAAAAAACATCATAGTTACAATGACATCTCTAGGATTGAGGATTTTGTAAGTCAAAGGTCAGCTGCTTAAAAAACCCATAATTTTAAAAGGAAGGATATTAATAATAACTGCATTATTGAACATAGATAGCATTTTGAACTTTTAAGAAATCCTCATGGGAAAACTCAGGAAATAATCTGTTTGGTAAGTTATCACTCATAATCTTAAATTGTTAGGTGCATGTTTGCACTTTCCATGATTTGAAGAGGAATATAAAGCAAAGTTGAATTTTAACCTCTTCCCTAATGATTTTACTCAGCTTTTCAAAGGGGTCCTAAAAGCTCAGAGGTCAAGTCATTTCTTGGTTTGCTCTACCTGACAAATTGCATTAACTCTGCTTTATAGCCACTTGCAGTTTAATAAATGACTTGGACTTTGATTAATATCTTTAGTGCTTAAGCCCAAGAATTTGTATAAGACTTTGGGATATAGTACTGTAAATTTATCTAAAGATGGACACTGGAAGGTAGAAGGAGATATATTAGTGTTGGTTTGGGTACATGTCTAGGTACTGAATTTGGATCATCATAAGTCCTTACAGAAGATACTTGTTGACTTGTCTTTTAAAAAATATGTGAAAGTGATTTTTTAATATATTTACAAAGTGATCTAAGTGATTTAAGGAATTCATTCATGAAGTGGATATGACTAGTTCTTGTTTAGTATTCAGAATGACTGTAAAATAGAAATGCTGATTTTCCTTGCCCAGATTGTAGAACACAGATCAAACCCTCCTAGTCCTTCCCTTAAATGTTTTTTCTCCATACAGCTTATGCCCTGAGTTCTCAAAACATTTTTTATATTGAACTGGACTGTATAGTATATGCCTGACCCTGATTCATGGGATTATGCTGCAAGGGAATATAAAGATGAATATTGATAGCCTGAGTGTGAAAATTCATCATTACTCTCATCCTCATTCATTAATTCATTTGTTCATTAACTCATAAACACACTAATTGATTCAACAGATATTTATTGAACGTTTACACTTTGCCCAGTGGAGCACTGGACTAGGTGCTAGCATAGTATAATAAGCAACCCAGAAATAGCCTCTGCCTTGCTGCATTTCATAGTCTAGGACGGAGAAAGGCATTAACCAAGTATAATTTAAAATTGTTTTAAGTAATGTGAAATAAACATATATGAGAACTTGACTCAGGTTGGTATATTTGATGGTTAGGGAAAGCTTCAAAAATGGGATATTTGAGATCTAAGTAAGAGGGAAAAGAAAGAGCATAATGGGTAGAGAAAAAATAGGATCCAGGAAGATACTTAGTACTTCTGAGAACTAAAAACAGTCAAGTCAGTGTAGTCAGAGTTCAAAGAAGGAGAAAGAACATGATCCAAGAAGAAGCCAGAAAAGTAAGCAGGGACTACATCTTACACGATGATGTAGGCTGTATTTTAGTTTTTACTTATCTTAAGAGCAATAGAAAACCATTGAAGGGTTTGAAGCAGGGGAGTGACATAATCAGGTCTGCATTTTAAGGAGGTCACCTGCTCTATTATGAAGCATGAATGGAGGAGGATGGAAAGAGATATTCAGGGAGCTGGTTTATGAGTCTGTTGTAGGCCAGAGGTATTGGTAGCTTGGACCAGGGTGATGATGCTGAAGATTGAAAGGAGTTAATAGATTTATAATATATTTGTGAAGTAAAGTTGACTGTACTTAGTGCTGACTTAGATAGTACTGGTGAGGGATGTCATGGTAAACTCCAAGGTACTGGGCTTCTTCAACTGAGTGGAAAACACTAGAGGGAGACCAGGTAAAGGTTGAAGGAAAGTGAGGAACAGTAGTTCAGTTTGGGGATATTTTGATTTGGAGGCCTTTTTAAGACTTCCTCAAAGAGACACAGTGCAGTCTTGAGTCCTGGATCAGAGGAGATACCTCAATGTATAAATTTGTAAGACAATGGTTTATACACACTATTAAAGCCACTGAGGTAAGTGAGATCATGTACAGAGTGAAAATGAAGTGAGAGAAGAAAGCATAAGTCTGAGCCATGAGAACTCCAACATTTAAAGGCCAAGTGGAAAAGTTGACAAGAGTGGGAATTGTGACTGGGGTAGATGCTAGAGGGGCATCTCAGAGGCCAAGGAAAGAGAATCATTTAAGGTGCTGATGAGGGGTAAAGTAAGAAGGTCCTGTAAATGTCCTCTTGGATTAATAAATTTGATGTTTTGAAGGACTTTAGGGAGAATGAGTTTGTTGTAGTGATGGGGGCAGAAGCCAGAATGAAGTGTCATGGGAAATGGGTGGAAGTCTTGAAAGAGAGACAATGAATATAGATAACTCAAGATATGTGGTCAAGGGAAACAAAAAGGATAAGGCTTTAACTAGAGGAGGAAATGGAGTTAAAGGAGGAGTTTTTTTTTTTTTGAGACGGAGTCTCGCCATGTCGCCCAGGCTGGAGTGCAGTGGCACGATCTTGGCTCACTGCAAGCTCCGCCTCCTGGGTTCACGCCATTCTCCTGCCTCAGCCTCCTGAGTAGCTGGGACTACAGGTGCCCTCCACCACGCCCAGCTAATTTTTTATATTTTTAGTAGAGACGGGGTTTCACCGTGTTAGCCAGGATGGTCTCGATCTCCTGACCTCATGATTCGCCTGCCTTGGCCTCCCAAAGTGCTGGGATTACAGGTGTGAGCCACCACTCCCAGCCAGGAGGAGTATTTTTTAAAGATGGGAGACTTGAGCACATTTGAACAATAATGGGGAAGACCAGTGGGGAGGATCAGGGGTGGCCTGAAGATAGACAGAGGGTGGATAAATAATCATGTAGGATTCCTGAGAAGATAGAAGAAGTTGGATCCAGAGCACAGCAGGGGGAATTAGCTGGCCTTGGAGAGGAGAGATGATCTCTATCCTCTATTCTAGAAGGAAGCCAAAGGTGATGTGTGCAGATGCAGAGGTGTGTTTGATGTGGTGAAGCCAAGTCAAAGGAGTTTTTGTTCGATGCCTTATATCTGCTCCAGAAAGCAGTTGAGTCACCAACTGAGACAGGGAGAGAGAAAGGGGCTGGCATACTAGGAAGGAAAGGGGATCATTTCAGATATTTGAGGAGGACAGAGTAAGTTGGAATATGAAAGGGAATAAATGAGTGAAATTTAGTAGGACTGCTAGTCACTGCTTGAAGGCTCAGCTGAGGCTGATGATCATGAATTCATGGTACTACTGTTAGAATTATTATAAAATATATGAGCCTTTTTGGAGGTGCTCAGCAGTTTACCAGACACAGAAAAACAGGTTCATCTAGGCTTAGGATTTTGTCAGAGAGGTATGATGAAAAGATTGCAAAGGAGTTTAGGATATTGGCATGGGCAAGGGAGCTTCTGGAGTGATAAACCAGGAATCTAAGCCTGCTAGGGAGGGACATATAGACAGGAGAAGGAGAGTATAGAGATCTTTCTGAAGGTTAGAGGAAATTTGTAATCAAAGTGGTTGATTAAACAAGACAGAAGTATAGCAGTCAGTGATCAGCCCAGGATGCTGCACCCCAGATCAATTAAATCTGTATTTCTGGGTGTAGGGCCCATCCCAGTTTCTCAGGAGATTCCAGTGCTTTCCTTAAGGGAGAATATTGATATAACTGTTATTAAGACTATTGTGAAAAAACATATTAGCAATGTGAAATCAAGACAAAAACACAAACACAGAAAGAAGTTAGACAAAAACAAAAAACACTGAAATTACACATTTTCTTTTTCACAAATCAAAGTCAAATTCACGGACCTTCTTCCCTGACTCATTCTCCCTGACATTAGAAGTCCAAAGGGAGCAAGTAAAGTCTTTATGGGGAAGATGGTATAATTAAGCACCAATTACCTAGGGACCAGATGCTTTGGGATTTGACTGATGAAAACAGATTAGAAGCATGGTGAATTTGTTCACTACTGTCTTTTTGGAGGGGCAACACTCCTGGCTCACTTGGCATGAGGTAATGTCAGTCTGGCTACAAAGATTTGAATGTGGGGCTTGAGTTTCTAAAAGGGGACTGATTGGACTTCTCTTAGCCAGGATACTTGGACTTGGTGGCTATATCATGGCTCACAGTGTCTTGGAATGGTCTTGAGCCTAGTTGAAATTTGTTGAAATTACATATGAATATTCATTAATGTATTACTTGGAACTCAGTGAGAAGGATCATCACTGCCAGATTTCCTAGTTAGGAAAACTTACCTTCATTCCTTCCAGTTAAATAGAAGACCATTGTATAGTTCATTTTGGGCTAAGTGGAGTGTTTATGAAATGTGTAGGGCTTATAGGCATAACTATTGCTAAAGAAAGCCCAGTAAAGCTTGACATCCCCTCTGTTGCCCTTGTCTGTCATTCCATAAATTTAATGTCAAGGGCATTTTTAGAGAAGATGATCACAGGATGATTCAGGTAGACATGGAGCAGGTTGTGAAAACACTGGCATGTTTCACCAATGTATTAGGGTTTCCAGAGAAACAGGACCAGTAGGGTGTGTGTGTGTGTGTGTGTAGATTTATTTTAAGAGATTGGCTCACACAATTATGGAGACTCGCAAGTTCAAAATGTGCAAAGTGGGCTAGTAGGTTGGAGACCCAGAGAAGAGCTCATGTTGCAAGTCAAGTCCAAGTCCGCTGCAGAATTTCCCTTTGCTTGGGAGGTCAGTCTTTGGCTCTATTAAGGCATTCAACTGATTGGAGGGCAGTTTACTTTACTCAGAGTACATCATTTAAAATTTTAATATCATCTAAGAACACTCTCATAGAAACATTTAGGGTAATGTTTGACAACATATCTGGGCACCATGGCCCAGCCAAGGTGATATAGATATAGATATAGATAGATATAGATATAGATATAGATATAGATATAGACATAGACATAGATAGATATAGATATAGATATAGATAATGGATATATATAATGGATATATAATGGTTATATAATTAAACATTACACCTGGGAAGTTACAGCACTATCTTCTCTGGATTAAACAACAACAACAAAAATACTCAGTCCAATTCATGATTTGTTGAGGGTCTGTGTAGAATATAGAAATTATACTACAAGTTTGGTTTTCTTTAGGATGGTGAGCATTTTATAAAATATGTATATATAAAGAGAGGCATTCTCTTGTAACACTTAGAATAGTCCTGTACACATAGAAGGCACACAGAATGTCCAGTGCCAGTGACATGAGACTTCATAATGAGTTTGAAGCCAAAGCTTTGTGTAGTAAAAAGCCATGAGCAGTTAATAAATTTCCATTTGATGGCAGCTATAAATATTAACCAGAAGACTCATAACTGTGTTTTCAACTCACATACCTGGGTTGGGGCAGAAGCAATAGTTTCAGCAGCTTTTATTTATCTGCTTTTAATTCCATCTCACCATTGTTAAATTTACCTGAAATAATTGCCATTTTGACAATGCCCTCAAAAATCATCTTATTGCCTGGGGACTGATTTTCAGATTCCTGAGCCCAGTATTCAGAATCCTATATATTCCCTCAACCTATCTTTCCATGTGTATTTTCTGTTGAGCTTCAAACTGAACTACCTCTTTGCTCTCAACATATTCTATTTGTTAACTTTTGTTCATGTTATTCCCTCTAAAATGACTTTTCTCTAATTTTTTTCATTCTCTCATTCTTCTTGTCTTTCGAGGTGGAACTCAAATGCCACAACGTCAAATGCCACAGTATCTGCTATGATCCTTCCCCTTTCCAGCTACAAATTCCTCTTTCCTCTACCACTTCTTTGGCACATTTATTAAGACTCGCGATTTCTCTCATCTAAGTCTCTTGTGCAATGTCTTACTGTATGTGGCCTGAATTCAGGATCTATGTCTACAGCCTCCCCTTTAGCCTCACTCCAGTATCTTGCAGGTGGGCAGTCCTCTGTAAACACTTGTTAAAAAAGTCAAAACACATTTTTCAAATCAGAAAGAACCTAACATACAAAGCCTCATTGTCATTTTTAAATTTCATCGAAGAGCTATACATTGAATTTTTTGTGTGTTCTCTATAGTACCTAGCCATGTGCTGGACAGTGGACCCACAGTGGACATTCAGTAATTAGTAATAGATGGATTTATTCTGTATTTAACAAAATTTTCTGGATGCTTTTAGACTGAAGGAGATTGGTTTGATGACACAAGTTTCAAAAGACAATGTTATTGCTAATGCACATTATGAGGGAACTATGATATATTTTGAAGTCCAACAAATAGAAAAATGAATCAATCACGAGTCAGATTTATTGATGGAATTGTGCCACCATCAAGTCCTAAAGCATTAGTAGTGATGTTATCAGAAAATATCCCACTCTGAGATCATCTGTAGCCAGCTTTATACTCTAAAAGAATAGTCTGAGTATGTTCTGCCTGGAAAAGGGCTCAGTGGTCTAGGAATTATTGTTTTTACTTTTTCAAAGTTTATAAACTTGGCATGACTGTGCTTTTCTGTGGCTTCCAATCTCTGGTGATAAGTTTTCTCAAAATATTCCTGATTTATCCTGATGTAAATCACAATTCATAAATATCAAGAGAGACTGCCTACAGTACCATCTTCTGATTTAAAAACACATTTGAATCAATATTTACTTATATATAATGCATTCTGCTGAATAAGGAAGTTCTGACTTGTTAAGCTCAGTATGCTTCGATAAGAAAGCAAAATTTTTTTGTTGGGTTTTTAAAATGTATTTTAAGGTCCTTGTCTCTTGGTGATAGTTCTTTACATATTGAAGTGCCAGGGAATAACTGTCCAGTAGCTGGACAAGAGAGACTCATAATATGGCAGTTGAAGCCAAAGCATTAAGCAAAAACAGTTATTAATATTAACAGGCTCACTGTAGAGAGAAGCCATAGTTGTCAGGGGAGGCAGAACTGCCCAGGAAACCCATCTTTGTCCTTTTGTCTACACAGGTTGGGGCAAAAGCAGCAGTTATTTGAACTCAGCAAACCTGTGTTCCATATTGAAGGCCTGCATAAGTCAGGGACCAGGGATGTAATGAAGACCAGACATGGACTTTAGGAGCACAAAGTGTAGAGATAAAACTGCACTCATAATGTAAGCTAATGGGAGGCAGGAACGATGGAAGCAGCAAAGACTCGCTACAGTGGGAGGAGTTATGAGAGACTTCCCAGAAGATATGGCATCTGAGCTGATTCTTAAAAGTTCTGTAAGAGGCCAACAGGCAGAGAAAAAATGAAAAAATGCTATTAAACAGTATAGCCCATAACCGTGGGGATATACCAGAGGATGATGTGTTAGGGAAATGGTAAGTACTTTAAAGTGGCTAGATCAGAGAATGTTCGAGGGCAGGTGAAGGGAAAAGTAGGCAGGGTTCTTATATTTATATCAGTGATCTTGGACTTTGTCTGGGGACCTGCAGGTAGCTGCTACCAGAATTTCTTATGTCAGTAAGTAACATGATCAGATTTGTTATTTTAGCAAGACAACTTACACTATAAAGTATAGAGAGGTGTTTGGAGTGCACTGATTGAACAGTAGTGTGGAGATGTGTTTTTTAATAATAAACCAAATGAGTAATAACATGTCTTACTCTTACATAATTAGTAAGATCTTGCCAGCATCTTTGTTGGATGAAAGGAAGCCTAGTGTTTATCACCAAATCTTTTGAGATGTCAGTATAACACAACACTGTATTCCACTTTTGAAAACAGCCATCCCTATAGTGTGTGAAGAGAATACTTAAAGTGCAGACAGACAAGTGAACACCGCACTTCTTTGTCACATGCAGTCAAGAAACCAGACAAGATATTTAAGCTATGATTATTAGTGTTGGCAAGGGTTCAGCTCCAGGGAAAATAAATACATTGAGTTAGTGGTGGTGATGAGATTGACACGAATAGAGTTGTATTTTCCTTTTCATGCTGTTGCAAGGGAAATGAAGCTTTAAACATAATGAAATTGGTTCTTGTGAACAGCAAATCTGCTATTTCTTCACTTTTTATGGCTTTGTCAACAGTGATCTAAGTTTTGCTTTACTTATTTATTTTAAATTTTGTTTTATTTTAATAGTTTTTGGGGAAGAGGTGGTTTTTGGTTCCACGAATAAGTTCTTTAGCGGTGATGTCTAAGATTGTGGTGCACCCATCACCCAAGCAGTATACACTGTACCCAGTGTGTAGTCTTTTATCCTTCACCCCCTCCCACCCTTCTCCCTGAGTTGCCAAAGTCTATTATATTATTCTTATGACTTTGCATCCTCAGAGCTTAGTTCCCACTTACAAGTGAGAACATACAATATTTGGTTTTCCATTCCTGAGTTACTTTCAGCTCCATCCGGGTTGCTGCAAATGCCATTATTTTGTTCGTTTTTATGGCTGAGTAGTATTCCATGGTATATATATATCACATTTTCTTTATCCACTCATTGGTTGATAGGCATTTAGGCTTGTTCCATATTTTTGCAATGGCAAACTGTGCTGCTGTACAAATGCATGTGCAAGTTGTGCAACTGCCTCCCTCCCTCCATCTCTCTCTCTTTCCTTTCTTCCTTCCTTCCTTCTTTTCTTCTTTCCTTGTTTTCTCCCTCCCTCCCTCCCTCCCTCTATCTCTCCCTCCCTCCCTCCCTCTCTCTCTCTTTCTTTCTTTCCTTTCTTTCTTTCTTTTCTTTCTCTCTCTCTCTTTCTTTCCTCTTTCTCTAGCCCTGCCACCCAGGCTGGAGTGTGGTGCCATGATCTCAGCTCACTGCAACGTCCAACCTCTGCCTCCCAGGTTCAAGCAATTCTCCTGTCTCAGCCTCTGGGATTACAGGTGCCCACAACCATGCCTAGCTACTTTTTCTATCTTTAGTAGAGATGGGGTTTCATCATGTTGGCCTGGCTGGTCTCAAACTCCTGACCTCCAGTGATCCACCCACCTCAGTCTCCCAAAGTGTTGGGATTACAAGCATGAGTCACCATGCCCCGCACAAGTGTCTTTTTCATATAATGACTTCTTTTCCTTCGAGTAGATACCCAGTAGTGGGATTGCTGAATCGAATGGTATTTCTACTTTTAGTTCTTTAAGGAATCTCCCTACTGTTTTCCATAGCGGCTGTACTAGTTTACATTCCCACCAGTAGCGTAAAAGGGTTCCCTTTTCACTACCTTCATGCCAACATCTATTATTTTTTTATTTTTTAATAATGGCCATTCTTGCAGGTGTAAGGTGATATCACATTGTGGTTTTAATTTGCATTTTCCTGATAATTAGTGATGTCAAGCATTTTTTTCCATGTTTGTTGGGCATTCGTATATCTTCTTTTGAGAATTGTCTATTCATGTCCTTTGCCCACTTTTTGATGGGATTATTTGTTTTTTTCTTGCTAATTTGTTTGAGTTCCTTGTAGATTCTGGATATCTTGCCGATTCTGGATATTAGTACTTTGTCAGATGCATAGTTTGCGAAGATTTTCTCCCAATCGGTGGGTTATCTGTTTACTATTATTATTATTATTATTATTATTATTATTATTATTATTGCTGTGCAGAAGCTTTTTAATTAATTAGGTCCAATTTGTTTATTTTTATTTTTGTTGCATTTGCTTTGGGGTTTTTGCTCATGAGTTCTTTGCCTAAGCCAATGTTGAGAAGAGTTTTTTTGATGTTATCTTCTAGAATTTTAATGATTTCAGGTTCTAGATTTACATCTTTGGTCCATCCTGAATTGATTTTTATATAAGGTGAGGGATGAGGATCCAGTTTCATCCTTCTACATGGGGCTTGCCAATTATCCCAGCACCATTTGTTGACTAGGGTGTCCTTTCCCCACTTCATGTTTTTGTTTGCTTTGTTGAAGATCAGTTGGCTGTAAGCATTTGCCTTTATTTCTGGGTTCTCTATTCTGTTCCATTGGCCTATGTGACTATTTTTATACCAGTGCCATGCTGTTTTGGTGAATATGGCCTTATAGTGTAGTTTGAAATCAGGTAGTGTGATGCCTCCAGATTTGTTCTTTTTGCTTAGTCTTGTTTTGGCTATGTGGGCTCTTTTTTGGTTCCATATAAATTTTATGATTTTTGTTCCAGTTCTGTGAAGAATGATGATGGTATTTTGATGGGAATTGCATTAAATTTGTAGATTGCTTTTGGCAGTATGTTCATTTTCACAATATTGATTCTACCCATCCACAAGTGTGGGATGTGTTTCCATTTGTTTGTGTCATCTATTATTTCTTTCAGCAATATTTTGTAGTTTTCCTTGTAGAGATCTTTCAACTCCTTCGTTAAGTATATTCCTAAGTATTTTATTTTTATTTTTGCAGCTGTTGTAAAAGGAATTGAGTTCTTGATTTGACTCTCAGCTTGGTCATTGTTGGTGTATAGCAATGCTACTGATTTGTGTACATTGATTTTTGATCCTGAAACTTTACTGAATTCATTTATCAGATCTAGGAGCTTTTTGGAGGAGTCTTTAGGATTTTCTAGGTATACAATCATGTCATTGGTGAACAGTGACAGTTGGACTTCCTCTTTTCTGATTTGGATGCCTTTATTTCTTTCTCTTGTCTAATCACTCTGGCTAGGACTTCTAGAACTACGCTGAATAGAAGTGGTGACAGTGGGCATGCTTGTCTTGTTCCAGTTCTCAGGCAGAATGCTTTCAACTTTTCCCTATTCAGTACAATGTGGGTTTCTCCTAGATGGTTTTTATTACTTTGAGTTATGTCCCTTCTATGCCAATTTTGTTGAGGGTTTTTATCATAAAAGTATGCTGGATTTTGTCAAATGCTTTTTCTGTGTCTAGTGAGATGATCATATGATTTTTGTTTTTAATTCTGTTTATGTGGTGTATCACATTTATTGACTCGGGTATGGTAAACCTACATCCCTGGTATGAAACCACTATATCCCTAGTATGAAACCCGCTTGATCATGATGTGTTATCTTTTTTGAAATGCTGCTGGATTCAGTTAGCTACTACTTTGTTGAGGATTTTTGCATGTATGTTCATTAGGGATATTTGTACTTTTAGTTTTCTGTTATGTCCTTTCCAAGTTTAGGTATTAGGGTGATACTGGCTTCATAGAATGATTTCCTCTTTTTCTATCTTTTTGAATAGTTTCAGTATCCAATTCTTCTTTAAATGTCAGATAGAATTCAGCTGTGAATCCATCGCTCTTGGACTTTTTTTGTTGGCACTTGTTTTTTTATTACTGTTTCAGTCTCACTACTTGTTATTGGTCTGTCCAGAGTTCCTGTTTCTTCCTGATTTAATGTAGGAGGGTTGTATATTTGCAGGAATTTGTCCATCTCCTCTAGATTTTCTAGTTTGTGTGCATATAGGTGTTTATAATAGCCTTGAATGATCTTTTGTATTTCTGTGATATCGGTTGCAATATCTCGTTTCATTTCTTATTGAGCGTATTCGGATCTTCTCTCTTCTTGGTTAATTTCACTAATGGTTTTTCAATCAATTTTATTTATATTTTCAAAGAACCAGCTTTTTGTTTCACTTGTCTTTTGCATTTTTGTTGTTGTTGTTGTTGTTTCAGTTTCATTTAGTTCTTCTCTTATTTGGTTATATCTTTTCTTCTGCTTTGTTTGGGTTTGTTTTTTTCTTGTTTCCCTAGTTCCTTGAGGTGTGACCTTAGATTGTCTATTTGTGCTCTTTCAGACTTTTTGATTTAGGCATTTAAAACTATGAAATTTCCTCTTAGCATCACTTTTGTTGTATCCCATAGGTTTTGATAAGTTTTGTCATCATTATCATTTTGAAAGAATTTTTAATTTTCATCTTGATTTCATTGTTGACCCAAAGATCATTCAAGAGCAGATTATTTAATGTCCATGTATTTCTATAGTTTTGAAGGTTTCTTTTGGAGTTAATTTTCATTTTTATTCCGCAGTTGTCTGAGAGGATACTTAATATGATTTTGTTTTTCTTAAATTTATTGAGACTCGTTTAGTGGCCTATCATATGGTCTGTCTTGGAGAATGTTCCATGTGCTGATGAAAAGAATGTATATTCTACATTTTTAGGTAGACTGTTCTGTAAGTACCTATTAAGTCAATTTGTTCCAGGGCATAGTTTAAGCCCATTGTTTCTTTGTTGACTTTCTGTCTTGATGACATGTCTAGTGTTGTCAATGGAGTACTGAAATCCCACACTATTATTATGTTACTGTCTATCTTGTTTCTTAGGTCTAGCAGTAATTGTTTTATTAATTTGGGAGCTCCACTGTTAGATGCATATATATTTATGATTGTGATATTTTCCTGTTGGACTAATCCTTTTATCATTATATAATGTCCCTCTTTGTCTTTTTTTTTTTCCACTGTTGTTGCTTTAAAGTCTGTTTTGTCTGATATAAGAATAGCTACTCCTAGACTGGCCGCAGTGGCTCACACCTGTAATCCCAGCACTTTGGGAGGCCAAGATGGGCAGATCACAAGGTCAGGAGTTCTACTAAAAATACAAAGAAATTAGCCAGGTGTGGTGGTGTGCGCCTGCAGTCCCAGCTACTCAAGAGGCTGTGGCAGGAGAGTCACTTGAACCCAGGAGGTGGAGGTCATAGTGAGCCAAGATTGCACCACTGACTCCAGCTTGGGCAACAGAGCAAGACTCTGTCAAAAAAAAAAAAAAAAACCTACTCCTGCTCACTTTTAGTTTCCATTTGTGTGAAATATCTTTTTCCACTTCTTTACCTTAAGTTTATGTGAGTCCTTATGTGTTACGTGGGTCTCTTGACAACAGCGGATACTTGGTTGTCGGATTTCTCTCCATTCTGTCATTCTGTATCTTTTAAGTGGAGCATTTAGGCCATTTGCTTTCAATGTTAGTATTGACATATAAGGTACTGTTCTATTCATTATGTTAGCTGTTGCCTAATACTTTTTAAAATTATGTTATTGCTTTATAGGCCCTGTGAGATTTATGCTTTAAGAAGGTTCTGTTTGGGTGTATTTCAAGGTTTTGTTTCAAGATTTAGAACACCCTTAAGCAGTTCTTGTAGTGCTGATTTGGTAGTGGCAAATTCCCTCAACATTTGTTAGTCTGAAAAAGACTATCTCTCCTTCATATCTGAAGCTTAGTTTTGCTGGATGCAAAATTTTTGACTGACAATTATTTTGTTTAAGGGGGCTAAAGATAGGACCCTGCTCCCTTCTGATTGGCAAGGTTTCTCTTGAGAAGTCTGCTGTTAATCTGATAGGTTTTTCTTTATAGGTTACCTGATGCTTTTGTCTCACAGCTCTTGATTTTTTCCTTTGTCTTGACTTTAGATAAACTGATGACTGAGTGTCTAGGTGATTATCTTTGCAATGAATTTTCCAGGAGTTCTTTGAGCTTCCTGTATTTGGATATCTAGGTCTCCAGCAAGGCCAGGGAAGTTTTCCTTAATTATTCCCTTAAATAAGTTTTTCTAATTTTTAGATTTCACTTCTTCCTCAGGAACACCATTTATTCTTAGGTTTGACTGTTTAATATAGTCCCAAATTTCGTGGAAACTTTGTTCATTTTTAAAAATTCTTTTTTCTTTGTCTGATTGGGTTAATTCAAAAGTCTTATCTTTGAGCTCTGAAGTTCTTTCTTCTTCTTGTTCTAGTTTGTTGCTGAAACTTTCCACTGAATTTTATATTTCCCTAAGTGTATCTTTCATTTCCAGAAGTTGTGGATGTTTTTCTTTATGATATCTATTTCTCTGGAGAAAATTTCGTTCATATTTTGTACTAGTTTTTAAATTTATTTAAATTGTTTTTTGCCTTTTTCTGGTAACTCCTTGAGTAGCTTAATAATTGACCTTCTGAATTCTTTGTCTGGAAATTCAGAGATTTCTTCCTGGTTCGGATCCATTGTTGTGGAACTACAGTAATCTTTGGGGGTTTTATAGAACTCTGTTTTGTGATATTACCAGAATTACTTTTCTGGTTCCTTCTCATTTGGGTAGACTATTACTTAAAATTGTTTTTGTGGACTGTGTTTTTTTTTTAATTTCTTATTTTTTCTTTCTTAAGAATCAGACTCTAATGTTTATTTTAGCCTAATTGGAGTCTTGGTGCTTGTAGGGGTGAAGACTCTGTACGAGATCCTTAGTTACAGAATCTTCCTGCACTGGTTTTCCCCAATGCTGATTTTAGTAGTTACATACTTGGTGTGTGGGTGAATTCTCTGTCTCCTGTGAAGCTGGAATGGCAGGGATCCCTTGACGCTTATGTCCTCCTCTCATGGTATACAGTTTATTTACTGGTCTTTTATTTACTGAGTTGATGATTCAGGCTTCAGGACAATTGGGGAGGTATCCCCCGGCAGGCACCAGTTGTGGCTAAGGCAAGTGGGTAGATGTAATACCCAATGGCGAGCCGAGGTCACAGCCTTGATGAGGGTGGCTGGAGGAGCTCTCAATTAGGTGTGCTGAAATTTTATCAAGGTGAAAAGTGGGAGCTTCCTCAGCTCCCCTGCCAAGTCAGAAAGAAAACTATTCACCTCACAGCCTCACTCCTGTCCTAGCATTTCAGCTATTCAGATCAGACAGGCATCTCTTTTCATCTATAGGAATGTTGTTGTTCCAAGTAGGGAGGAACTGTGACTCTGCCTCTCATGCAGGCCTGAATCTGGGGTTTGCTCCTCTTGTGGGCGATACTCACCCTGGAGTGTTCCAGAAAGGCTGTCTACAGGTGTATCCATGTGTGTTCCTGTGGGGGAAGCCCCAGCTGTGTCTGCAGTGGAGTGCCAGGGGGAACAAGGACTCCTTTTCCAAGGCCCTTCATGGTCACAGAGGCTGCTTGCCTATTGGGGTATAGGTGCAGACTTTCCCTACTGCACCTGGCACTGCAATTGGGTCTCTGCTGTGAGAAACTACCCACTAGCAGAAAGATCTGAAACTCCTACTATTCAGATTATTTTGTCTCACTTAGTGATTCCTTGATGTGGTGTTCTCCTCTTTCCCCTAGGGATGGGCTTCCTGAGAGCCAGATTGCAGTGACTGTTATTGTTCTTCTGGGTCTAGCCACCCAATGGAGTTACCAGGCTCTGGGCTGGTGCTGGCGAATGTCTGCAAAGAGACCGGTGATCTGATCAGTCTTCAGGTCTCCTAGCCATGTATACCAGCACCTGCTCTGGTGGAGGTGACAGGATAGGGATGTAGACTCTGTGAGAATCCCTGATTGTAGATAGGTGTAGTGTGCTGGCTTTCTCAAATGCTAGTTATGCTAGTATTGAAGTTGCCACGTGGACAGACTAAGGACCTCTGGTTAGCCAGGATGTTGCAGGCAGTGATATTAGCTGTTGTTTTCTCCTTCCTGGGAGCAATATTATTGTCATGAGTATGGCCTGAGTTGGTTGGCCTCCAGCCAGGAGGTGGTGTCTTTTGTGTTCGGCTGCCAAGGCAGATAGAAAAATACCATCAAGTGGGGGCAGGATTAGGCGGGTCTGAGCTGAGACTCTTCTTGGGCTAGTCTTGCCACAGCCACTATGTAGGATGGGGAGGATGGTTTTCAGGCTGATGGGGTTATGTTCCAGAGGGGATTATGGCTGCCTCTGTGGCACAGAATAGTTCACCAGGGAAGTGGAGAATAGCCAGTAGTGAAAGGCTTCACCCAGCTCCCACACAGTTGGTGAGCCCAATCTCACTCTTGCAATGCTGTGTTAACAGCACCAAGTTTAGATCCACGCCTCCTGCTTGTGGAACTCAGTCTTACTCCAGGCCATACACTTCCCCACTGAGAAAGCAAGCAAGGCTTTCAGGCCACACCCCTCCCTGTCTGCCCACAAGGTTCCTGTGCTCATATCTGCTGCAGTTCCCATTCACCCACCAGATTCTGTTCACGCAGGTTCATGCCCCCTCAAAATTATCACAAAATTCATTTGGAAGCTTCTTTCACCTTGTGCCCCCTCCCTAATTCTGCTGGCTGCCTTCCCTGAGGGCCCCTGTGAGATATAGTCAGGCATGGCTTCCCTGGGTTTGAGCTGGAGACTGGGAGTGCCTACAAGACTCTTCCTGCTGCTGCTTCTACTTTTGTGTTTCACGTGGCTCCCTAAATCTGTTCCAGCTCTAGGTAAGGTTAAATCCTTCTCTCATGATCTGGATTTTCAGATTCCCCAGTGAGGATATGTGTTTGGAGGCAGGTTTTCCCCCATTCACACTTTGGGAACTCATTGCTTTTTGCCTGTCTCACAGAGTTTGCAGCAGCCTGTCACTTCTTTCAAAGGATCTGTGAATTCTTTCCATTTTCCTGATATGATCCTGTGGTGGTTCTTGGAAAAAAGGTTCACAGTCTGAGTCTCCACACACTGTTCTGTCCATCCAAGCAGGAGATGTATGTTAGCCCTGCCTGCTATCTGCCATCTTTCTTCTGTCCCCAATCCTTCTCTTTAGATAGCTGAGATACCATCTTTTGTTTCTTCTGACTTGGTTCTATTCACTGACATTCCTCTCTATCAAGTAGATTTTTGAACTTTCATGGAAATTTATTCCCAATTTATATGGAAATAATTCCCAATTTATATGAAAAGCTTATAAAGTGATTCATTAACCAAGTATTTACTGAGGTGCTAAAAGTATACTCTGAAGCAGGAGTGGCAAGTCCTTTGCCTTCATGGAGATTGCATTCTCTTGTAAATCTTACATGATGGTCACTAGATTTAGGAATAAAGGACTCCAGCATAAAACACTGACACTTCTGCTGGAGAAATATTTTACAAACTATATATATTGAAGCCCAAACTCTGGTTTATTGGTAAAGGAGTAGCACTGATACTAGAATTTTGTGATCAACATGTTGGAATAAGAAGTCAGAAGACTTAGATCTGTGTTCTTTTTCTCCCGCTGGCTATAGGTTGCTTTAATCTCTGAGCTGCAGTTTCCTCATCTACAGAATAGGTTAGACCAGATTAGTGGTCTTCAACTTTGGCTGTATATTAGAATTATCTTACTCTTGACCAATTAGGTTAGAAATTTCGGGCCACACACAATGGCTTACGCCTGTAATCCCAGCATTTTGGGAGGCAGATACGGGCAGATCACAAGGTCAAGAGATGGAGAACATCCTGGCCAAGATGGTGAAACCCCATCTCTACTAAAAATACAAAAATTAGCTGGGTGTGGTGGTACACACCTGTAGTCCCAGCTACTCAGGAGGCTGAGGCAGGAGAATCGCTTGAACCTGGGAGGCGGAGGTGGCAGTGAGCCGAGATCGTGCCACTGCACTGCAGCCTGGTGACAGAGCGAGACTCCGTCTCAAAATAAATAAATAAATAAAAATTAAAATTAGAAATTTCCTGGTGGAGAGGAAAGCAGAGGTATTTTTAAAGCTCTCAGGTGATATATTTCTGTTTTAAGGTAGGACTAAAAATCATGGGACTACGTCAGAAGTTCTAATTATAAATCTATAGGTTAGTTTTCTCCAGGCATGGGTATAGTGCTTAAATGCCTTTTAAATTTGTTACCAACATAGAAAAAAAAAGGTTTCCGGCTTCTCTTGAAAAATGGAAATATTAGGCAACAGTTGGGCTTATGTTTCTGAGTGGTAAAAATTAAACAAAGTAAACGAGTCTCCGTTTCATTTGTTCCTGTTGCCTTCCTGGCTCTTGAAGGCATTGTCATTTGTGAAAACTAAACTAGATGGTCTTTAAAATCTCCAATTATTTGAATTGCTTATTTCCACATCCAGAAAAGAGACGGTAAACAAACTATACCTTTATCTGTAAGCTAGTTGGTTTGTGAAATCAAAGGGAACTTAATCTTTGAATATGGAAAAATCCCAGGGTCCAATGGAAGAGAAACTCCATCTCATTAATAGCAGGACTCCACAGACTGCTATGGAAAAGACACCCACCCGGGGCTAAGAGGGAGGGAGGCGGAAGAGGACTTAATTCATTTTCTGGGCATTTTTAATGAAGCTTTCCCCTCTTTCATTATTTCTTATTTGGGAGCTGGATCATTAGTTGGGATGTGACTGGCTTTCCCTGGGGAGCAAAAAGGAGATTAACAGAGGTTTTGCTCGCTTCTTCCTGTGATTTACTGTGGGAAGTCTCCCAGGTTCTTCCCTTCGCTTCTCTGTGGCCTTCATCTTCATGGTTTCTTGCTGTGTCTCTCTGAGAGCAAGTACCTGGGTGAAAAAGGCTGAGTGTGTGGTTTTTTGGCAACTGCCTGGCATTGGATTTAAGTGGGTATATTTGAATTACTAGAATTTTACATTTTATAGGTTCAAAATATGCACTTGAATTCTGTAGGACCTCTTACCCAAATTGAATAATCCTTTGTGCCTTGTTAAATTTTAAAAAGTCACACTATCAACATTATGACATATGGCATATATGATGGCAATAATAAAAATAACACACTTATTGTCCACTTTAATGTGCCAGCAGTGTTCCAAGTGATTTGCGTAAATATCAAATTTGTTCCACACAATTATCCTATGAACTAAATGTTATTATTTCCTGGTTTATAGGTGAGGAACACAGAGGCTCAAAGCAGCTATTTGATTTCTCTTATTTCAAAATTAGGGGAAGTGAGATACATTAACCTGTATAACCAGACCTTGTTAACTGTTTTTGGTAAATTCCAATGTGTATTGATTTTCACAAAGACAAATCACACCATTGTTATATTAAATATTAATTTTTTCATAGTCCCTCAAGGTGCTTACTGGCTATATTGTTACTGTCTTTTGATGTTGTTTATACATGGTGGATTACAGAATTCCATGAACATAAAAAATCTTGACTTTATCCTAGCCTATTTCCTATTCTTACCCCCTGCAAAGTAAAAAGTTCAAAATAGCGTTAGTAAGCCAAGCAAACTACTTACTAGCCACATGAACCTACTAGCCTCTCTGCCTCAGTTTCTTTGTTGGGAAAATGGACAATACCTAACTCAACTCATAAGGATATTTCTAGAATCAGGTGTAATATCAAATAAAAATATATTTCCTTTTTCCTAGAAGATACCCATGTATATCTTAGGTACTGATGTATTCATAGTGATGCAGAACATAAAATGTTTATTCTTTTGCTTAGCAACAACTATCCATAGAGATTTTTCCACTTTAGAGATTTAATCCCATTAAAGGTTTTTAGATTGATTGGACAATGAGAATGTTTTTGTCTCTCTGAAACTGAGGCTGAAAGTTGATTTCATTCTCTCACTTCAAATCATACTACAAGGCTACAGTAACCAAAACAGCATGTCACTGGCACAAAAACAGACACATAGACAAATGGAACAGATTAGAGAGCCCAGAAATAATGCCACACACCTACAACAATCTGATCTTTGATAAAGTTGACAAAAACAAGAAATGGGGAAAGGACTCTCTATTCAATAAATGGGGCTGGGAAGCTAGCTAGCCATATGCAGAAGATTGAAGCTGGACCCCTCCTTACACCATATAAAAAAATCAACTTGAGATAGATTAAAAACTTAAATGTAAAACCTAAAACTATAAAAAACCCTGGAAGATAACCTAGGAAATGGCATTCTCGACATAGGACCTGGCAAAGATTCCATGACAAAGATGTCATGACAAAGATGTCAAAAGCAATTGCAACAAAAGCAAAAATTGAGAAATGGAAACAGATTAAACTAAAGAGCTTCTGCACAGCAAAAGAACTATCAACAGAGTAAACAGCCTACAGGATGGGAGAAAATATTTGCAAACTATACATCCGACAAAAGTCTGGTATTCAGAATCTATAACAAACTTGAACAAATCAACAAGCAAAAAACAACCCAATTAAAAAGTGAGCAAAGGACATTAACAGACATTTTTCAAAGGAAGACATACATGTGGCCAACAAGCATATGAAAAAATGCTCAATATCACTAATCATTATGGAAATGCAAATCAAAACCACAATGAGATACCATCTCACAAGTCAGAATGGCTATTACCAAAAAGTAAAAGAAAAACAGATGCCTGTGAGGTTGTAGAGAAAAGGGAATGCTTATACACTGAAAAGGGAATGCTTATACACTGCTGGTGGGAATGTAAATTAGTTCAGCAATTGTGGTAAGCAGTTTGGTAATTTCTCAAAGAACTCAAAGTAGAATTACCATTAGACCCAATAATCCCATTATTGGATATAAACCCAAAGGAATATAAATCGTTTTACCATAAAGACACATGCATATGTATTTTCACTGTGGCACTATAACAGAGACACAATAACAAAGACATGGAACCAAACTAAATGTCCTTCAATAGTAGACTGGATAAAGAAAATGTGATACATATATACCATGGAATACCATGCAGCCATAAAAAGAAATGAGATCATGTCCTTTGCAGCAACATGGATGAAGCTGGAGGCCATTATCCTAAGTGGACTAACACAGGAACAGAAAACCAAATACCACATGTTCTCATTTATAAGTGGAAGCTAAACATTGGGTACATATGAACACAAAGAAGAGAGCAACAGACAGTGGGGCCTACTTGTGGGTAGAGGGAGGGAAGAGGATGAGGATTAACAAACTACCTATCAGATACTATGCTTATTACCTGAGTGGCAAAATAATCTGTACACCAAACCCCTCTGACATGCCATTTACCTATGTAACAAACCTGCATAGTACCCCCGAACTTAAAAGTTAAAAGAAAAAAAAATGATTAATGAGCGTGATACCAGAACAATATTATGATGCAGGGCTATTTTTTGTGTGTTTGCTAGCTGGGCTTGAGATTTGATAAATAAGTCCCATTGTCCTAATCCGCTAGTGATGATGTTCTAGCCTTTGAAATTCAAACTACTACTACTCCACTTTGAGAGAGACTGCATGAGAATTGGACCCAGCCTGGGGCTTTAGACACCATGGTTCAAATCTTGGCTCTTATCATTTTTTAGCCACGTGTCATGGACTCAATGTTTTTGTCTCCCAGCTCCCCAGATTCACAGGTTGAAGCCCTAACCTCCAATGTGGCTGAATTTGAGATTAGGGCCTGTGAGGAGCTGGTAAAAGTTAAATGAATTCTTAAGGATAGGTCTCCAATCCTATAGAGTTGGTGCTCTTACAAGAAGAGGAACAGACACCCGAGTTCTCTCTCTTTGCTATATGAGGACATGGTGAGGAGTGGCCATCTGCAAGCTCAGAAGAGAGCCCTCACCAGGAACTTAAGTGTCTGGCACCTTGATCGTGGACTTCCCGACCTCCAGAACTGTGAGAAATAATTTTTTGTTGTTTAAATCACCCAAACTGTAGTATTTTGTTGTGGCAGCCCAAGCCAATTATTATACCATGTAAGCAGGTTACTTAAATTTACTAAATATGTAAGTTACTTAAAATTTCAAATCCTGGTTCTAACTTTACTAGCTATCACTTTTACTAGCTAACACATTACATTTTCTTCAACTTGCCGCATGCTTTTGCTGTGAGTTTTAAATGAAATTGCTTAAGTACTTTGCTTATCATACTGCTGATCCATAGTAAGCACTTAAAGTTAGTTTCCAGGAAGTTTGGAATGGATCTCACTTATGCAAATGGTTGACTTTGACGGTGCTTGTTCCTCTCTGGAAAGGGTTCACCTCCCATTAGAATAGTCCTGTGACTGCAGTAATTTTGTATGTTAAACTTACATGTATATCTGCAGAATGTTAAATCTGCAAACACCATCCATCAACCCAAAAGCAAAAAAAGAGTGTTTCCTAATAGTTAATAGTTGGTAGCTTAATAGGAAATCTAGAAAAAAAATGTTTAATAATGAAGGCTATATTAATACCAAGTCTCATTTGAGTTCCTGTCAGTAAGGAAATAGTTATCTTTCGTTGTTAATCAATGAAGACCAGTTGCCATAATTAGGGCTCTGGTGTGTTTTCTTCACATGGTCTTCTAGGACCTAATGTAATATCATTTGAGAGGCTCAAAGAGGATCCCATATTCCCAAAGGTATCTTAGAGTCCTTAGCTGCCCAACATCCCACCATTAATCATGCTTTGCAGATGAAAAATTGAAGACTCCTTGTCTCTGAATATCTGGGATATGCTTTCATTCCTAGGATGGACATTTTTCTTCTTCCCCAATAAGGAAGAAAAAGGGACAGAGGTGATTTATAAGAGCAGTTCTACTGAGTGAAATGTGGGTCCTAGCAAAGGAGGACACAGCTGCCCCTTGTAATAGTGGAGGGAAGGAAGGAGGCAGGCTGGCTGTACTTTGCCCTCCTCAACCCTAAACCCTATCTGTTTACCACAGTGGACCTTTTTTCTGAACTCTAACCTCATTATTTCATTCATTATCCACGTAATATTCATTAATGTTCTCCAAGGCTCTTAGAATAAATCTTTAACATTTCCCCAAAAAGTCACAAGGTCTGACACCTGCCTTCCTTTTTCCAGCTTCCTATCATAATCCTCCTTTTTGGCAGTGGCCACACTGATCTTCTTTCAGGTTCCCAAGCTCAGCATTTGCTTTTCATTGGGAGCCCCTTACATCATGACTGTCAGCCTGATTGTCATTTCTTTGGGGAGGCCTTCCCTGAACCCTGGAACTGGATCATATACCCCTATCATGTGCTTTCATAGCACCATGAATGTCTCCTTGGTGGCAGTCCCCAGTAGGAGAATTCTGTGTTTATCTGTATGGCTGTTTCATAAATGTTTATCTTCCTCCCAATAGTCTGTCAGCACTTTGGCAGCCAGTTGTGTTTTGCTGTTGATTCTACCTCCAGCACAGAATGTCTCTTAGTATTTATGGAAGGGGACATGAAAAAAGAAAAAGTCCACTGCATGAAGATTTAATCCAGCGACACTGAGGCCTGAACATCTAGCTTTAGGGAAGCCAGCTTCTAGCAGGACAGACTGGTAGGGACTAGGTAAGGAGAATGGAAAAACACAGGGAATGAGCATCACTTTCTTTAAGACTTTGCCTCTGGCAGACCCCTCCAAGTAACAGATTCCAAAGAGATTGTGAATGTTCTCCCTCTGGTATGCAGTCTCCTGTCCTGTCAGAAACATGGTACCCAGAGGCCAAAGCTGCTGCATAAGCAAGTTATCATGAAACTATTCCAGGACAGGTTTCAGAAGCAGGGTCTTAAAAATGAGTATTAAATCTAATGTTCACCCAGATACATTTCCAACCCACATATAGACACCGAATTTAACGATGAAAGTGGAAGTTACTCTGTTGAGGATTTATTTGAAATGTTGGTTTTCTCTTGTCCATCTGATACAGGTCATAGCTCTGTTTCTGTCATTAGATTGATTTTCATGTTTCTCAGCACAGACTCTCTGTGAGTCAGAGATAAGTTTAATTTTTCAGCATGGCCATAGGAATGATGAAGTCATTCCTCATTAAAATGAAGCTAAGCAAAATTTAATAGTACTTGTTTAAGATTCCTTATTTACTTTTCTACACAAAAAGAGTTGCAAGGGGAAAACAAAAACTTTAGCTTTGAGTAATTTCCTTAATTCAAATATAGATTTAAACCACTTTGTCATAATATGTAAATGAACTATTGCTTTTTTCACCACAGGTCTGTTTTCAAATAGATAATGAGATTATATAAATAATTACCTTATATAAACATAAGGTTACTCATTATTGAAAGCAATTTTCTTTTTTTGTTTCTGGTTTATTATGGTTAAGAGTGAGCCTTTGTTTTAGATATTTGAAAACAAAATGTGTGTGTGCGTGTGCTTTTGTGTGTGTGTGTGGATATGTGTATCTAGGGAGGTCCTCAAATTCAAAAATTATAATACAAGGTTGTAATGTCAGCACTTCCTATTGCATAGTTTTATAATGGGGATATATAGCTATGCATTAAAATGCATTATTGAAATGGAAAATCAGGATGTGTTAAAAATGAATTAGTAATTATATTAAGATCTGAATGGGAACTAGCATACAATGTAACTTAAGCTTTTGAAAAATAAAAAAAAACAGAAAATAATTAATGATAAGTTAGTTTCAGTATTACATTGATAAATATTTCCAGAATAAGCTATAAAAAATAAGGAGGTAGATTTATTATTTTAAGGTTCATACTAAAAGATTGTAATATTTACTTAACCTTTCTTTATTTAATTTAGAATAAGATTACTGTCATCTCTCTAAGCATCTATGTAATAGTGTTTTATTTACTTTTCCATTAAATATTACTGAGATAAATAAGGAGTCCTGGTGAATGAAATATAATTTAATAAGCAGAGTTTTCTTAGGTGAAAACTAATCATGTCCTGCTATAAATGTATATTGAGAGAGAAGCTGAATAGACAAGCTCCATGATTTAGTCAATGATACGACTTCAGGGAAAATGTTTTTATGCCTTGTTGGCCATATCTTTTAATACTTGCATTGAAAATAAAATTACATCCCAAGATTATGAGGGTTGTGAAATTTTATAATTAGATATTTAAGTCCTGAATTGATTAGCAGCAGTATAAACATAGACATGGATTTTGGGTTAAATCTGAGAACTATTTTTTTGTACTAAAATTTGCGTGCAGATGACAATGGGAAAATCAAATGTTTTCCTGGAAAATTTTCAAATGGGACAAATAGTCATCTTTCTGGAAATATGAAATAAAGGGAGTGGTAGTGGTTGGACTATAAACCTCTTTGAAGGCCTTTTAATCTTTAGCTGTAATTCATGTTTTATCACCATTGGATTTTCAAAACGGAAAATACCTTAGAAATAATTTAGTGGGCCGGGCGCGGTGGCTCACGCCTGTAATCCCAGCACTTTGGGAGGCCGAGGCGGGTGGATCACGAGGTCAGGAGATCGAGACCATCCCGGCTAAAACGGTGAAACCCCGTCTCTACTAAAAATACAAAAAATTAGCCGGGCGTAGTGGTGGGCGCCTGTAGTCCCAGCTACTTGGGAGGCTGAGGCAGGAGAATGGCGTGAACCCGAGAGGCGGAGCTTGCAGTGAGCCGAGATCCCGCCACTGCACTCCAGCCTGGGCGACAGAGCGAGACTCCGTCTCAAAAAAAAAAAAAAAAAAAAAAAAGAAAAAGAAATAATTTAGTGTTACCTTGTTGATATTACCAAAAAAAAAAAAAAAGTGCTCAGAGTCACATAACTTGATTCAGTCAGAGCTGGTACTAGATGCTCAGTCTTCTGACTTCTAATTTAGTTTGCTTTCATTATCTACTTACTACCTGCTGCTGACTCAGAGCTCCTCAGCTATCTGCAAGTGGATGTGTTTATTGAACATTTACGATGTACATGAACTGCTCTCAATGCGAAGCTCCCATGGTGAATGGGAGCTTACTTTCTGACTCAAAAATTAGTTTTCTCTCTTTGTGTTCTAAATGAAAGTGTCCTTTTGCTTTATCTGAAGCAGAAAGTTGTAAGTTTGTTTATTTTACTTTTGAAATTTTGGAGAATTGGCAGTGGGGTCATGCCATCAGAAACACATACATGCAATGCATGGATGCACGGTGTGAATGAGCTCTCTGGAAGATGGTAGATTATGGGAAAGAAGGAAGCTCAGAAAGAGAGTGGACCAAGTCAAGAGGAAAGAGAGAAGAAACAGGCAAGTGTGGAGCAGAGGAAAAGTAGGAGGGTCATGAATCCATTCTGCAGGTGTGTGCTGAGTGACTGGAAGAAGGAAAAGAACCAAGGAAGTCTCTGCCATGTTATCTTAGTTTTGTTAAGGGTATAAAGAGATTGAAGAGAGTTTAACTAGGCCATCTTTAACCCTAGGACATCCCTAGAGTCCCTGGCAGAACTAATAATCTAAATTATGAATGGCTGTGTGTGCACACACACAGGATGCACTTACTAATGTCTATCATTATGAGTATCTTCTGACTTCTCCACTACAAAGAAAGGAAGGGAATGTGACCCTCTTTCCAGGTTAGAAGTAACTAGGGCATAGTAACACAAATGGATGAATTAAACTGTTTAAATGGTGCACTGGAATATATTTATTTTGGGGCAAATCATGAAGAAATAAAAAAGGAAGAGATTCTCTTTTGAGAAAAAGTTTGTTTCCTATTGTCAATTGAGCAACTCTGTGAACATCTTAAAGATAAAGAATGATTATTCTGTAAAGTGCTGGGATTTCTGGTGCTGTGTGACAAAGTCCGGTTCCTTTTGTCTAAGTTAGTTATAATAATCTTTAATGAAAAGCAGAGGGGTCCCATGGTTTGGAACAAGTATCTGAGTCAAGAGTTGACAAGTAGAATAGCTGGGCGCAGAGGCTGCTGTCAAGTTGACAAAGCCAGAACAGTACATTTGGACAGAAAGAATTTGATTTTCTTATACTGAATGTGATGATCTTGAAGAACAGATTTTTTTTTTGCATGAAAATAAATCTTTATTTTCAGTTATTACCCACCAGTAAGAGAAAGTTAGGTTAAGGGTATAAAGGGATTGAAGAGGTTTCTACTTTTGCCCAGTCCTTATTTTGAATAGCCTTCCACTCATCCAAAGTCATCTCTTTTGGACCCTCCTCTTTTACCTCTTCAACTTCATTCTCCTTATTTTCAGTGTCTGCCACTGGATGATGTTCTTCACCTTCAGGTGTTTCCTCAGTCACATTTGATTGATCCAAGTCACTGCAATTATAAGATATTTGTTTCTGAATGTATTTGGGGGACTCTGTTAATTCATCTTTGACAATTCCCCAGTTGTGAGATCTGCTACCTCCACGTTACAGGTCCTCGTGCTTCAGGCCACTGTAATGTGAAAAAAAAGATCTATCACTTCCACTATACCTATCAAATTCACGTTTGCCACGAGAATCAAATCCATCTCCTTGGCCCATTTCACGTCCACTGCCCTCTCGACCTCTTCCAAGACCACCA
The DNA here is from genome assembly GCF_000001405.40 of Homo sapiens. Classification (NCBI taxonomy): domain Eukaryota; kingdom Metazoa; phylum Chordata; class Mammalia; order Primates; family Hominidae; genus Homo; species Homo sapiens. Next base: position 42,465,821 of record NC_000005.10, read on the forward strand.
TGACCTTGAATAGGTCGGTCAATAATCAGTCTATCAACTGAAAATTCGCCTCCTTCACCCCTTTCATCAAGTGGCTTTTCAAGTCTTCGTTCACAAGGTGGTCTCCTTTCTGGTCTTCTATCAGTTATTTTCCCTTCACCGTGAAGTTGTTGAGCAGGTCTTCTTCCAACTTGTCTTATTCCTTCTTCTTTTTGTGTTTTTTATTTTTCCTCTAGGCAAGCTTTATTCTTTGATTCCTCTATCCAGGAAGGGGGCTGTTGGTTGCATCTTACCCAAATGGAATGCAATGGGAATTGGGAGCTTGAGTTGTGTGGAGGAGGAGTTGTCAATCTTAACAAATGACTATAGCTGGCGTGTGGTGTCCATCAATCCTTGAGGGCTTGGCCATGCACACTAGGGAATGGTCAGAACAGACTCAACAGAGGTCTCCAGAGCTTTACAATATCTACAATATCAAGGTTCAGGGGGTATAGACAGTAAGGAAAAAGGCCATTTCCTGTTTCTGTCCATTTTTGGTACAGTAGACAGTTAAGGTTTTTTCTTTTGACTAGCTTTTAAAAAATTACTTAGAAAATGGAAAGCTTATAAACATTCATAAGTGAATTGTTGAATTGCTACCCCAAGTGGTTTCCTTACCTAGTCACCACTTAACCAGAAATACTAGAATACACGGTTCAACCAGAATTCAACCAGGCAGATAACCTGCCTATTGCTCAAGCAATCATCAGAGTTTTTAAAAACAAAATTAAGCAAAAAAGACCTTTCCCCAAATACAATCATTACTTTGTATGACCCATTCCTAAGAAAGCTACATTCCATTTCAGAAAACATGACCACTTAAGGTACAGTTAAAACAAAGTCGTTGCCTTCAGGTGCTTACTTTCTGTTTTCTTTAAATTAACTGCTGAAATGTTTATCTTGTGTTTTGTGCTGCATTCCTGAAAACTGTAACTTTTAAGGACATAGGCCTCATCTTTATAAAGGAAGAAGAAAACAGCAAAGAGGTGTCTCATTTGGGAGGCAGAAGGTTATGACCAATGCTGGAAGTCTTCCTCTTCCTTACTTGTTGTTCAACAAGATGGGTTCTGTGGTGTCGCATGAGGTGTGAGTTGGAAATGAAAGCTGCACCACACTTCTTATATTCATAGGGCTTCTCCCCAGTGTGGGTTCTCTGGTGCACCGTGAGGCTCAACCTCTGTCTGAAGGCCTTCCCACACTCATTACACATGTAAGGTTTTTCTCCATTATGGATTCTCTGATGAATAAGTAGGTATGAGCTACATGTGAAGGCCTTCCCACATTCATTACACACAAAAGGAAGATCTCCACTGTGAATTCTCTGGTGGACAAAAAGGCAAGAGAGCTGACTGAAGGCTTGCCCACATTCACTGCAGTCATAAGGTTTCTCTGCAGTGTGAATTATCTGGTACATAATAAGGTGTGAAAAACAACTAAAGGTTTTCCCAAACTCACACTCATATGGCTTCTCACCAGTATGGCTTCGCTGATGTACAATAAGATTTGCAATCTGCGTAAAGGCTTTGCCAGAATCGTTACAGGCAGAGGGCTTCTCCCCAGTGTGGATCCTCTGGTGGACAATATGGTTTGAGCTCCCAGTAAATGTTTTCCGACACTCATTACATTTACAGCATTTTTCTGTAATGTGGAGTTTCTGGTGCCGAGCAAGTTGTGAGCTATAACTAAAGGCTTTCTCACATTTACTACGCCTAAAGGTTTTTTCTAAGGAGAGGTTTTTTTGATATACAGTCAGATTTGAACTCTGATTGAAGGCTTTCCCACATTTTGAGCAAACATAAGGTTTCTGTCCAGTGTGGATTCTCTGATGCACATCGAGCTTTGCACTCTGAATGAAGGCCTTCCCACACTCATGACATTCAAAAGGTTTCTCCCCGGTGTGGATTCTCTGATGCACAACGAGGTTTGCACTCTGACTAAATCCTTTCCCACACATGCTACAATGTAAAAGACTTTCGCCCAAGCTGGGTTTTCGGATTGTTAACAGTGTCAGAATTAAGGCTGTATTTTCCCACAGATTTCTTACATTTCTGGTCTTCCTCTTCTTTGAAGCTTTCAGGTAAGTGACAGTCATTCACTATGACTTATCTGAAATCTTTCCTTTCCCTCCTTATTCTCTGCCTCTTTAACATGTTTTCTTTTTCACAAGCCTCTCTTAACTCAGGTCCTTAAGGATCAGCTTTCTGGATTCTTCCTAATATGATGCGGGGGTTTTCAGCTTCCTCACGTATCTCAGTTTTTGGAACCAGTAACTGAAGGTTCTTGGTTTCAGCACCTTTTCTTCCTCTTCTGATCCATCAAGGCCTGTCTGACGAAACTCCCCTGGGGCCCAGACTTTGATGTTCTCAGAGTGCACTTGTTGGCTGGATGCCTGATCTGGGAAGTTTTCTTCTTCCTCCTCCTCCTTTTTCACCTTCACTGGGCGGCATGGGCCTAGGGCCATGGCTTCTCTCAATTCTGCAGTCATCTTCTCTGCTCAGCAGGGGAACGCCTATAGCTGGGAGCTGCCCAGCACAGGTCAAACCCCATCTAAGCTTTATGTTTCAAAAGCTTCTTCTTGAGTTTCCTCCCAGGGCCAAGATGAGTATTGCCTACGTGCGCAGCTGAGAGGCCCGACCAGAGTTCACTGGCTCTGCAGCAGGAGGCTGGGGGACCAGGACCTCAGCTCCTACTGGCACGAGAACAATGACCCTTATTCCTTCTTTCTTAAGCACCATGGACGGCTGCGTCTCCTCTTTCCTGTCAACCACGCCAACGCTGGAGGGCAGCGGGTTCTTGCTGTCTTTCTGGGACTCCTTGCGCAGCTAGCTATTTGCCTGCCGCCTTGGAGTTGGTCTGGGTCGCAGCCTGAGCTGCCGCTCTTGGCCCCAGAGACGCCGCCCCCGCCAGCTTCTTTTTTCTTGTTCTCTCCTGCCTTCAGCACCTCGAAGGGGTCCGATTAGTTGTCAAATAACTGGTCGAATCGGTTGGTGACCAGGCAGCTGAAGCCTTCCTGTAACTGCCCAGGCATGATGGTTGCTCGGCGGCACATTCCTCCACGGATTGCAGCGGGCTGCGCCGAGCCAAGAGCGCGTGCTTCAGCTCTTCCCAGAAGATCGAAGAACAATTTTTTTGAAATCCGCCTGTAAATGTCAGGCAAGGTAAATTTCAAAATGAATTTTTAAAGTCTCTAAAATGGAGTTATGTTTAATTATGACTTTATGACAAATTAAAAGATAGTTCTAGATAATACTATTGTAGAAAGAAGCTTCTCTTGTTCTGGGAAAGAGAGACAGTTTGGAAACTTGAGACAAGACCCTTATTGTCTGTTTTATTATTTACTGCTAACAAACTGCATTCTCTCACTGTTCACTGGAATAGGTGGGTCCAGGGAACTTAGGAAAGCCTAATGGGAAGTGAGAAAAGTAAATTATTTCTTATATTTTTATGTATACAAATAGTTGATAAAGGAGGAAGTGTAGTGGTGGGGTGGATCATGCAGATTGGGATACAAGAGACAGTATAATTATTCACAATTATAGATAAGGAGATCTAGGCTTCACATTTTCACTTCTGGAATATTCCACTTTGACAGAACAGTCTACTGTCTGCCTCAGCCTATCCTGGAGATGTCCTTGTGGTGGGAGAGGACCTGCTTTCTCCTTGCTGTGCTCCTACAGTTTGTCTCTGCCAGTCATGTCCAAGCCCCTTGTCTTAGTGCCTCACAAGACCTCTTCCTCTGACCAGGATTCAGGCACCTTCTCAGAACCTTCATTCCCCTGACAGCAGGACCAGCCAGTCTCCCAGACCCGGGGTAGTGCGAAGAGGAGAGCAGACTCCTTAGACCCAGAGTCCCAGGACACTTGGCCTCAATTCCCGTGACACCTATATCACCCAGACAACTGGGAAATGGAGGTGCTGGTGCCAGAACAAAAGCATAAGCTGTGTTTCTCAAGTTTGGACTTTACCTGGGCTGTTGCTTTATTTTCTAGCTGTTTACTGATTTTTAGAAGCATAAAGGTTTCTTTCTGTGAAGTTCCTAGGGACACTTAACGGAGTGGGGACAGGTATTCCTTTTGTCTTTCAGAAAGGCATGTTAAGAGTTAGTCTCACAGTAATTTAAGTCTCACCTCCTAAATGGGGTAAGAGTGGGGAGAAATATATGTGTGTATATTTGTGTGTGTATATAAATAATATATATATACTACTAATATAATTAATAATGTGTGTATAAATAATATGTAAATAACATATTATATTATATGTCAATAATAAAATATTATATTAATATATGTTATTACATTAATATACTATATATTATAATATATAAGATATAATTATATATTATATACTATTATATTATATCTATAACATAATATATTATATATTTATATATCATTATATAATGTATTACATGTATTAATATATATTATCTATATAGTAAATATATGGGGTGTGTATTTGTGTATACACACACACACGCACATATATATCCTGCATTGTTTGCTTAGAATCATGCTTTGCAATTATTAACTGCTTTTTCTTCCTTCCCTTCATCTAATACACCTGAAGAATATTTCAGTTAGCCAAAGGTGAGAATCCGAATTCATATTTGTATTCCCAATAGATTTCCCGCAGAATCTTGGGTTATCATTTCATCAATAACAGTTATGCAGATGTTCTATTGCTGTGTCCAATGCTTGCTTCGTTCATATGAAATTTGACTTTTGGCCATTCAAAAAGCAATCAGTGCCTTCTTGTTGATTAGCACTAATCACCACAAGATCCTTCCAATAGTAAATTTTCCAGAGCAAAATTCTAAACTTACAGATTAGTTTGCCGCAGCCCCTAGCCCTACACTGTAAGGATCTTGCTTTCCATGAGGTCCATTGTTAAATGGAAATGTTCCCCTGGCTCTATGCAGTGCTCAGGTGTTTCTTACTCAGCTGAAGGACTAATGAATTTAGTTTGAATCTAAATTTGGAGTAAAAAATGCCACTCAGGAGAGCTGCTTCTGTGACTGCATTGCCTTCCAACCTGCTTTTCCATTTTTCCTTATTACTCCATGTCCTTGAGGAGTTTATTCCTTTATAGCTTTTGTGATCTGGCTGTAATTATTTTGAAAAAAATTTTCATTATACTGGACATTTTGGATTAAGTCCTCCAAATTTTCTTATTTGTGAGAGTACAAGTCACTATTTACACTATGGTAAACTGCATGCAAACATCTGAGTACCTTTCTGTTCCTGTCTTCAGCTGGGCCAGCACTAAGCTGGAATAGCCTATACTTTGATGTTTTTCTGAGGAAGTACATTTTCCTTTTCCCTCAGATTCCTGGTGCCTGGTATAGCACTTTTTTGATTTGCTCTTGTTCTGGCAATAGGTCAACTGGCTTTCATGGTCCTTAACGTTTCAGGTAAATAATTCCAACAGTTGTGACTGGAAGGAATTCAAATCAACTCAAGGCATCCACTCTATGTTCAAAATGCCATGTTTTGAGTGATTTGTCCTTTGGTTAGTAACTTTAAAAAATATGAGGACTGGAAGGAGAAGCTACTATTTGAGGAACTAATGGAAAATCAAGCAGTTTTTGATGTACTAACATATACACTTATGATGCAAGGAGTGTGATCGTTGACCTTCCTACTTATCTAAACATTATGCTCTCAGAGCATGTGGATAGGTAGCATAGCCTAGTGGTTAACACACATAGAAAAGTCAGACTGCCTAGTTCGAATCCCAGCTTCATCACTTGCTAGCTATATAATCTTTATTAAATTAGTTAACTTTCCTGTGCCTCAGTCTGGTTTTCCTGAGGATTAAATGATTTTATATTTGTTAAGTGCCTAGAACTGTAGCTGGTCTGCAACAAGTACTATACGTCTTTGTTTAAATAATAAATAAAATGACAGTATTGTTCATATGGAGAAACAGGGGTCTTAGGCAGCTTAGGAGTTTTTCTAAAGTAACAGAATCATTTAATGGCAGGAACAACAATATTATCACTGCCCAGAACCCTAATGGAGAACTATAGCTCTTAAGGGTGATGTGGGGAGAAATACACTGATGAAAAACAATCAACATTATTAAAGACAGGATGGGAGAGAGTGGGAACTCGTCATTCATTTATCTAATGGCTTAGTCAGCAAGTAACTAATGCCTACTTTGGGCCTTGACACTATACCAACATTGTGCAGAAAGTGATTAAAATGCAAAAGAACATTCACTTAGGCTGGGATAAACAAGAGGTCTTTTGCAAAATCTGATGATGAGCTTGTTGATGTTGAGTTGACAAACTATGCAGCAGGTCAGTGGGGGGGTGATTATCATAAAATTCCATCCCTTAAACATCTACAGGAAGATGATTATTTTAAGATGCTTTACTTCTGGAGATGTATGCTTTACTTCTACTTAGAGAATCTGGCTTATGTTCTCATGTTCTGGTTTTATATGTAATTGGTCATGAGCTTAATTTGAGCCAAGCATTTGACACAGTTGCCCCCAGAAGTTAACTCATTTGTGGATTGTATAAATGCTATTGCACAAAAAAGAAGTATATATATACAAATAGTCATAGTAGACCACATCTCAGTTAATGGCTTCAAGTCTAGATGAAATGTTTTAAGAGGGATATTGACAAATTAGAGAACATTAGAAGCATTTGCCAGAATACTGGCAGGGCAAGAAATTATGCCAAATAGTAGAAAGAGAATTAGATGCCTAAGTGGAACATGGTGTATAGCCCATAAGAATTTGAAGGATTGTCACTGGTAGAATAAGATGTTATTCTTGGCTGCTTCCAGCTGAGGAGTGGTGGATGGGTGACTAAGGCCTATAAGAGAGCAAATATAAGGAAGAGTTTCTAGATATTAAAATCAATTTCCAAAGAAACAGCCTGGCCTCTAAGGGAAAGAGCTTCTTGTGAGTAGATGTGTTTAGGTGGGGCCAGATGAACAAGCTCCTGAGCTCTAGGGATTAGACTCCTTCTGCTGGATAGGAGGTACAACCAGGTCATCCCAGAGGTTCCTTGTGTTCCAAGATTCTGTTACTCTATGATTTCATGACTTGGATGTCACCTCCCTTAGGTTGGTTACTCTAAATAATGTTAAAAGTCAGTGTATGCCTTAAGATTGGGTGAATTGCTATGACAGAATGAGATTTACCAGAGAAGCAGTTAAGTCTAAGAATGAAACTACTGTTTCTAAGTGAAAGAGGTATGAATAACCTAAAGATAATATTTTTCTCTGTAGATAGAAAGAATTTGTATTATAAGTCTGTGTTGGGTGTATAGTAGGGCATCACCAGAATTCACCCTAACTGGGTGAATTCATGGCAGTGATCAGTAGAATATGTAGTTTAACAATGAGGCCTTATCATTTCTAAGTAGTTTCTTTTTGAGACGGAGTCTCACCCTGTCAACCAGAGCTTTGCCCTGGAACTCTTGGAGTGCAACGGCGCGATCTCGGGTCCCTGCAACCTCCGCCTCCCAGGTTCAAACAATTCTCTTGACTCAGCCTCCCGATTTCTAAGTGGAGAGTTATGAATGGCCCAAAGATAATATTTTTCTCTATAGATAGAAATAATTTGTATGCTAGGTATGTGTTGGATATATAGCAGGACATTACCAGAATTCAGCCTAACTCGGTGAATTCATGGCAGTGAACACTGCAATATGTGGTTTAATAATGAGGCCTTATTCTTAAGGCAAAGCTCAGAAAAGCTGATAAGCAAATTAGAAAGGTCTATTGAAAAGTGTCTGTTGGCCGGGCGCAGTGGATCACGCCTGTAATCCCAGCACTTTGGGAGGCTGAGGCGGGTGGATCATGAGGTCAAGAGATTGAGACCATCCTGGCCAACATGGTGAAACCCCGTCTCTACTACAAATACAAAAATTAGCTGGGCATGGTGGCATGCGCCTGTAGTCCCAGCTACTCGGGAGGCTGAGGCAGGAGAATCGCTTGAACCATGGATGCAGAGGTTGCAATGAGCTGAGATTGTGCCACTGCACTCCAGCCTGGTGACAGCAAGACTTTGTCTCAAAAAAAAAAAAAAAAAGAAAAGTGTCTGTCTAGCCAGGCGTGGTGGTTCATGCCTGTAATCCTAGCACTTTGGGAGGCCAAGGTGAGTGGATCACTTGAGGTCAGGAGTTCAAAACCAGCTTGGCCAACATGGCGAAACCTTATCTCTACTAAAAACACAAAAAATTAACAGGATGTGGTGGTGCACACCTATAATCCCAGCTACTTGGGAGGCTGAGGTAGAAGAATCGCTTGAACCGAGGAGGCAGAGGTAGTAGTGAGCCAAGATTGTGCCACAGCACTCCAACCTGAGCAACAGAACAAGACTCAGTCTCTGAAAGAGAGAGAGAGATGAAAGAGAGAGAGAGAGAAAGAAAAAGAAAGAAAGAGAGAGAAAGACAGACAGAAAGAAAGAAAGAAAGAAAGAAAGAAAAAGAGAAAGAGAAAGAAAGAAAGAAAGAAAGAAAGAAAGAAAGAAAGAAAGAAAAGAAATAAAGAAAGAAAGCAAAGTGTCTGTCTGCCAACCTGCTTCCACAAAGGCCCCTCTTCTGATTGTAGAAGTGCCTGGTTTAGGATGGCAGTGTGCTCTACCTGCTGTCTGGTGAGTAGTCAGGATTGGACTTCTATAAGACACCCTCTGAGAGGCTTGCAAATACCTTCAGAATCAGGCAGAGGTCTTTGGCCAGTTATTTCTGAATAAAGCATATCTGCGTGTCTGTCTGACCTAAGCCTGGGAACCACGATGGAAGATACTGTTTGAACAACAACAACAACAAAAAAAGGCAGGGAACTTAAGAGAGAAATGGATTTTAGTCACTAAGAACACGAAGAGGAACATTTTGATAATATGTACTCTATACAAACAGAATGCTTATACAAGACAATCAAAGAGGAATGGGTAGTTTTCTAAAGAGTAAAACCTGTATTTTTAGGAACATATATTTGTTTACAATATATTTTTTCTTTTTTCACCCTTGATTTTTAACTATTTAATAATTTTCTACAACATTTTTTTCTTTTTTTTTTTTTGCCCTTTTTTTTTTTTTTTTAAACAGAGTCTCGCTCTGTTGCCCAGGCTGGAGTGCAATGGTGCTATCTTGGCTCATTGCAACTTCCGCCTCCTGGGTTTAAGTGATTCTCCTGCCTCAGCCTCCCGAGTAGCTTGGATTATAGGCACCTGCCACCACACCTGGCTAATTTTTGTATTTGTAGTAGTGACGGGGTTTCACCACGTTGGCCAGGCTTGTCTGGAACTCCTGACCTCAAGGCCCACCTTAGCCTCCCAAAGTGCTGGGATTACAGGTGTGAGCCACCGCGCCCAGCCTGCCCTTGATTTTTAACTATCCCTCCTGTGAAAATTTAAGTCTTTCTGTGGGTTAAAGGGAACTGGTAAAGAGCACTGGATTTATGCTTGGGCTGGAATTTCCCTCTAGGTTTGGATGTAATGAAGGCAGTAGAGATTTGGGTTTATAACAGAGGCAGATTTGTGAAACTATAGGAGTTGAAGCCTGAGGGTCCCTCACTTGCAGAGACCCCTTCCAGGGTCCTGGAAGGAACCCTGCTAATGTGTTATTATGGTCATTTTTTTTATAAAAATTGCAAAACATAATGTGTTTCAGCCATGACTGGTTAAGATCATTGTCTTCTTCCAATTCAACTTTCCCTCCTTTCTCCTTCCCTTTCTAGTTGGGTGGCATTAAAGTGGTCATGCGCATTTTGTATTTGTAATTATGTATTTTTTTTTTTTCTTAAAAAGGACCCCCCCACCAAATTGTATAAGTTTCAGGCCCTAAAAACATGGATCTTCCACTGGGTGTAGGAATGGAATGAGTAACAATTTGGAAATTGCCTGTGTAGCAGAATCAGCGAAAAGTCAGAGTCAGCAGTCAAAATGTGATGGGGAGAGTGAGAGTAAATTGGAATCCATAATCCCAACAGCATTTGACAGTGGGAAAATGGAGCTTTTTCCCCCCTCTTTAGGGTTCATTTTAAAGAATTCCATGCAAAGGATATCATGAATTGAGAAATATACATCAGATTCATCAGATTAAAAATTTTTTTTTTTTTTTTGAGACGGAGTCTCGCTCTGTCACCAGGCTGGAGTGCAGTGGCGGGATCTCGGCTCACTGCAAGCTCCGCCTCCCAGGCTCACGCCATTCTCCTGCCTCAGCCTCCCGAGTAGCTGGAACTACAGGCGCCAACCACCATGCCCGGCTAATTTTTTGTATTTTTAATAGAGACGCGGTTTCACCGTGTTAGCCAGGATGGTCTGATCTCCTGACCTCGTGATTTGCCCGCCTCAGCCTCCCAAAGTGCTGGGATTACAGGCGTGAGCCACCGCGCCCGGCTTTTTGTTGTGTTTTTTGTTTTTGTTTTTGTTTTTTTGAGATGGAGCCCTGCTCTGTCGCCCAGGCTGGAGTGCAGTGGCACAATCTCGGCTCACTGCAACCTCCGCTCCCAGGTTCAAGTGATTCCCCTGCCTCAGCCTCCCGAGTAGCTGGGATTACAGGCACGCGCCACCATGCCCGGCTAAATTTTTTGTTTTTTAGTAGAGACAGGGTTTCACCATTTTGGCCAGGATGATCTCCATCTCCTGACCTCGTGATGTGCCTGCCTTGGCCTTCCAAAGTGCTGGGATTACAGGCGTGAGCCACTGCACCTGGCCTAAATTCTTTTTAAAAATAGCAAATTCTTAAAAATAATGCAAATTGATGATGAATTATGAAAATCATGATGAGAAACTCCTGACTGAAGAGAGAAATTGTTGGAAAATGATTCTCCTTTTCCTCTACTACTTTATGTAATTATAAAGCCTTTTTCTAAAGTTCCTTTCTGACACAGAAATACTGGCCAACAGAAATTCAAAGGAAAGTTGAGACTTTTGAAGTTCAGGCAATTTATATGGTGTTTCAGGTGTTACTACCTCTAATAGTCTATCAGTAAAACCCTGATAGGGGATGGTCTCTCCTTTTTGCCTTCTACTCCATCTCTTCTCACACACACTTGTGATTCTTTTTCTTTTTTTAAAAAATTTTATTATTATAATACTTTAAGTTTTAGTGTACATGTGCACAACGTGCAGGTTTGTTACATATGTATACATGTGCCATGTTGGTGTGCTGCACCCATTAACTCGTCATTTAGCGTTAGGTGTATCTCCTAATGCTATCCCTCCCCCCTCCCCCCACCCCACAACAGTCCCCAGTGTGTGATGTTCCCCTTCCTGTGTCCATGTGTTCTCATTGTTCAATTCCCACCTATGAGTGAGAACATGCGGTGTTTGGTTTTTTTTCCTTGCGATACTTTGCTGAGAATGATGGTTTCCAGTTTCATCCATGTCCCTACAAAGGACATGAACTCATCATTTTTATGGCTGCATAGTATTCCATGGTGTATATGTGCCACATTTGCTTAATCCAGTCTATCATTGTTGGACATTTGGGTTGGTTCCAAGTCTTTGCTATTGCGAATAGTGCCACAATAAACATACGTGTGCATGTGTCTTTATAGCAGCATGATTTATAATCCTTTGGGTATATACCCCAGTAATGGGATGGCAGGTTCAAATGGTATTTTTAGTTCTAGATCCCTGAGGAATCGCCACACTGACTTCCACAGTGGTTGAACTAGTTTACAGTCCCACCAACAGTGTAAAAGTGTTCCTATTTCTCCACATCCTCTCCAGCACCTGTTGTTTCCTGACTTTTTAATGATCGCCATTCCAACTGGTGTGAGATGGTATCTCATAGTGGTTTTGATTTGCATTTCTCTGATGGCCAGTGATGATGAGCATTTTTTCATGTGTTTTTTGGCTGCATAAATGTCTTCTTTTGAGAAGTGTCTGTTCATATCCCTCACCCACTTTTTGATGGGGTTGTTTGTTTTTTTCTTGTAAATTTGTTTGAGTTCATTGTAGATTCTGCATATTAGCCCTTTGTCAGATGAGTACATTGCAAAAATTTTCTCCCATTCTGTAGGTTGCCTGTTCACTCTGATGGTAGTTTCTTTTGCTGTGCAGAAGCTCTTGAGTTTAATTAGATCCCATTTGTCAATTTTTGCTTTTGTTGCCATTGCTTTTGGTGTTTTAGACATGAAGTCCTTGCCCATGCCTATGTCCTGAATGGTATTGCCTCGGTTTTCTTCTAGGGTTTTCATGGTTTTAGGTCTAACATGTAAGTCTTTAATCCATCTTGAATTAATTTTTGTATAAGGTGTAAGGAAGGGATCCAGTTTCAGCTTTCCACATATGGCTAGCCAGTATTCCCAGCACCATTTATTAAATAGGGAATCCTTTCCCCATTTCTTGTTTTTGTCAGGTTTGTCAAAGATCAGATAGTTGTAGATATGCGGCATTATTTCTGAGGGCTCCGTTCGGTTCCATTGGTCTATATATCTGTTTTGGTACCAGTACCATGCTGTTTTGGTTACTGTAGCCTAGTAGTATAGTTTGAAGTCAGGTAGCATGATGCCTCCAGCTTTGTTCTTTTGGCTTAGGATTGACTTAGCGATGCAGGCTCTTTTTTGGTTCCATATGAACTTTAAAGTAGTTTTTTCCAATTCTGTGAAGAAAGTCATTGGTAGCTTGATGGGGATGGCATTGAATCTATAAATTACCTTGGGCAGTATGGCCATTTTCACAATATTGATTCTTCCTACCCATGAGCATGGAATGTTCTTCCATTTGTTTGTATCCTCTTTTATTTCCTTGAGCAGTGGTTTGTAGTTCTCCTTGAAGATGTCCTTCACATCCCTTGTAAGTTGGATTTCTAGGTATTTTATTCTCTTTGAAGCAATTGTGAATGGGAGTTCACTCATGATTTGGCTCTCTGTTTGTCTGTTGTTGGTGTATAAGAATGCTTGTGATTTTTGCATATTGATTTTGTATCCTGAGACTTTGCTGAAGTTGCTTATCAGCTTGAGGAGATTTTGGGCTGAGATGATGGGGTTTTCTAGATATATAATCATGTCCTCTGCAAACAGGGACAGTTTGACTTCCTCTTTTCCTAATTGAATACCCTTTATTTCCTTCTCCTGCCTCATTGCCCTGGCCAGAACTTCCAACACTATGTTGAATAGGAGTGGTGAGAAAGGGCATCCCTGTTTTGTGCCCGTTTTCAAAGGGAATGTTTCCAGTTTTTGCCCATTCAGTATGATATTGGCTGTGAGTTTGTCATAGATAGCTCTTATTATTTTGAGATATGTCCCATCATTACCTAATTTACTGAGAGTTTTTAGCATGAAGCATTGTTGAATTTTTACAAAGGCCTTTTCTGCGTCTATTGAGATAATCATGTGGTTTTTGTCTTTGGTTCTGTTTATATGCTGGATTACATTTATTGATTTGCATATGTTGAACCAGCCTTGCATCCCAGGGATGAAGCCAGCTTGATCATGGTGGATAAGCTTTTTGATGTGCTGCTGGATTCGGTTTGCCAGTATTTTATTGAGAATTTTTGCATCAATGTTCATCAAGGATATTGGTCTAAAATTCTCTTTTTTGGTTGTGTCTCTGCCAGGCTTTGGTATCAGGATGATGCTAGCCTCATAAAATGAGTTAGGGAGGATTCCCTCTTTTTCTATTGATTGGAATAGTTTCAGAAGGAATGGTACCAGCTTCTCCTTGTACCTCTGGTAGAATTCGGCTGTGAATCCATCTGGTCCTGGACTTTTTTTGGTTCGTAAGCTATTCATTATTGCCTCAATTTCAGAGCCTGTTATTGGTCTATTCAGAGATTCAACTTCTTCCTGGTTTAGTCTTGGGAGGATGTATGTGTCGAGGAATTTATCCATTTCTTCTAGATTTTCTAGTTTATTTGCGTAAAGGTGTTTATAGTATTCTCTGATGGTAGTTTGTATTTCTGTGGGATTGGTGGTGATATCCCCTTTATCATTTTTTATTGCGTCTATTTGATTATTCTCTCTTTTCTTCTTTATTAGTCTTGCTAGCATTCTATCAATTTTGTTGATCTTTTCAAAAAACCAGCTCCTGGATTCATTAATTTTTTTGAATGGTTTTTTGTGTCTCTATTTCCTTCAGTTCTGCTTTGATCTTAGTTATTTCTTGCCTTCTGCTAGCTTTTGAATATGTTTGCTCTTGCTTTTCTAGTTCTTTTAATTGTGATGTTAGGGTGTCAATTTTGGATCTTTCCTGCTTTCTCTGGTGGGCATTTAGTGCTATAAATTTCCCTCTGCACACTGCTTTGAATGTGTCCCAGAGATTCTGGTATGTTGTGTCTTTGTTCTTGTTGCTTTCAAAGAACATCTTTATTTCTGCCTTCATTTTGTTATGTACCCAGTAGTCATTCAGGAGCAGGTTGTTCAGTTTCCATGTAGTAGAGCGGTTTTGAGTGAGTTTCTTAATCCTGAGTTCTACTTTGATTGCACTGTGGTCTGAGAGACAGTTTGTTATAATTTCTGTTCTCTTACATTTGCTGAGGAGTGCTTTACTTCCAAGTATGTGGTCAATTTTGGAATAGGTGTGGTATGGTGCTGAAAAGAATGTATATTCTGTTGATTTGGGGTGGAGAGTTCTGTAGATGTCTATTAGGTCCACTTGGTGTAGAACTGAGTTCAATTCCTGGGTATCCTTGTTAACTTTCTGTCTCGTTGATCTGTCTAATGTTGACATTGGGGTGTTAAAGTCTCCCATTATTATTGTGTGGGAGTCTAAGTCTCTTAGTACGTCACTAAGGACTTGCTTTATGAATCTGGGTGCTCCTGTATTAGGTGCATATATATTTAGGATAGTTAGCTCTTCTTGTTGAATTGATCCCTTTACCATTATGTAATGGCATTCTTTGTCTCATTTGATCTTTGTTGGTTTAAAGTCTGTTTTATCAGAGACTAGGATTGCAACCCCTGCCTTTTTCTGTTTTCCATTTGCTTGGTAGATCTTCATGCGTCCCTTTATTTTGAGCCTATGTGTGTCTCTGCATGTGAGATGGGTTTCCTTAATACAGCACGCTGATGGGTCTTGACTCTTTATCCAATTTGCCAGCCTGTGTCTTTTAATTGGAGCATTTAGCCCATTTACATTCAAAGTTAATATCATTATGTGTGAATTTGATCCTGTCATTATGATGTCAGCTGGTTATTTTGCTCATTAGTTGATGCAGTTTCTTCCTAGCCTTGATGGTCTTTACAATTTGGCATGTTTTTGCAGTGGCTGGTACCGGTTGTTCCTTTCCATGTTTAGTGCTTCCTTCAGGAGCTCTTTTAGGGCAGGCCTGGTGGTGACAAAATCTCTCAGCATTTGCTTGTCTGTAAAGTATTTTATTTCTCCTTCACTTATGAAGCTTAGTTTGGCTGGATATGAAATTCTGGGTTGAAAATTCTTTTCTTTAAGAATGTTGAATATTGGCCCCCACTCTCTTCTGGCTTGTAGAGTTTCTGCCGAGAGATTAGCTTTTAGTCTGATGGGCTTCCCTTTCTGGGTAACCTGACCTTTCTCTCTGGCTGCCCTGAACATTTTTTCCTGCATTTCAACTTTGGTGAATCTGCCAATTATGTGTCTTGGAGTTGCTCTTCTCGAGGAGTATCTTTATGGCGTTTTCTGTATTTCCTGAATTTGAATGTTGGCCTGCCTTGCTAGATTGGGGAAGTTCACCTGGATAATATCCTGCAGAGTGTTTTCCAACTTGGTTCCATTCTCCCCGTCACTTTCAGGTACACCAATCAGACGTAGATTTGGTCTTTTCACATAGTCCCATATTTCTTGGAGGCTTTGTTCATTTCTTTTTATTCTTTTTTCTCTAAACTTCTCTTCTCGCTTCATTTCATTCATCTTCCATCACTGATACCCTTTCTTCCAGTTGATCTCATCGGCTACTGAGGCTTCTGCATTTGTCACGTAATTCTCGTGCCTTGGTTTTCAGCTCCATCAGGTCCTTTAAGGACTTCTCTGCATTGGTTATTCTAGTTATACATTCATCTAATTTTTTTTCAAAGTTTTTAACTTCTTTGCCATTGGCTCAAACTTCCTCCTGTAGCTCGGATTAGTTTGATCGTCTGAAGCCTTCTTCTCTCAAGTCATCAAAGTCATTCTCCATCCATCTTTGTTCCATTGCTGGTGAGGAGCTGCTTTCCTTTGGAGGAGGAGAGGCACTCTGATTTTTAGAGTTTCCAGTTTTTCTGCTGTTTTTTCCCCATCTTGGTGGTTTTATCTACCTTTGGTCTTTGATGATGGTGACGTACAGATGGGTTTTTGGTGTGGATGTCCTTCCTGTTCATTAGTTTTCCTTCTAACAGACAGGACCCTCAGCTGCAGGTCCATTGGAGTTTGCTAGACGTCCACTCCAGACCCTGTTTGCCTGGGTATCAGCAGCGGTGGCTGAAGAACAGCGGATATTGGTGAACCGCAAATGCTGCTGCCTGATCGTTCCTCTGGAAGTTTTGTCTCAGAGGAGTACCCAGCCGTGTGAGGTGTCAGTCCACCCCTGCTGGGGGGTGCCTCCCAGTTAGGCTACTCAGGGGTCAGGGACCCACTTGAGGAGGCAGTCTGCCTGTTCTCAGATCTCAAGCTGCGTGCTGGGAGAACCACTACTTTCTTCAAAGCTGTCAGACAGGTACATTTAAGTCTGCAGAGGTTACTGCTGTCTTTTTGTTTGTCTGTGCCCTGCCCTCAGAGAGGGAGCCTACAGAGGCAGGCAGGCCTCCTTGAGCTGTGGTTGGCTCCACCCAGTTCGAGCTTCCTGGCCGCTTTATTTACCTAATCAAGTCTCAGCAATGGTGGGCGCCCCTCCCCCAGCCTCGCTGCCGCCTTGCAGTTCAATCTTAGACTGCTGTGCTAGCAATGAGCGAGACTCCATGGGCATAGGACCCTCCGAGCCAGGTGCGGGATATAATCTCCTGGTGTGCCATTTTTTAAGCCCATTGGGAAAGTGCAGTATTAGGGTGGGAGTGACCTGATTTTCCAGGTGCCGTCTGTCACCCCTTTCTTTGACTAGGAAAGGGAATTCCCTGACCTCTTGCGCTTCCCAGGTGAGGCGATGCCTCGCCCTGCTTTGGCTCGCACTCGGTGTGCTGCACCCACTGTCCTGCACCCACTGTCTGGCACACCCCAGTGAGATGAACCCGGTACCTCAATTGGTAATGCAGAAATCACCCGTCTTCTGTGTCACTTATGCTAGGAGCTGTAGACTGGAGCTATTCCTATTTGGCCATCTTGGCTCCTCCCCCAGATCACACACTTGTGATTCTTGCTGGCATTCACACTTACTCTCTCTTTATTTTTTGAGACAGGGTCTCACTTTGTCATCCAGGCTGGAGTGCAGTGGTGCCATCTCAGCTCACTGCAGCCTCCACCTCTGGAGCTCAAGGGATTCGAGTAGCTAGGACTACAGGCGTGTACCTCCACCCCTGGCTAATTTTTGTATTTTTTGTAGAGCTGGGGTTTTGCCATGTTGCCCAGGCTGATCTCCAACACCTGGGATCAAGCAGTCTGCCCACCTTGGCCTCCCAAAGTGCTGAAATTACAGGTATGAGCCTCCATGGCTGGGCACTTACTGTCTTTTTAATTATCAGCTTGCAAATGAGAAATCTGCCCAAGGAGCCTGAGCTTGGTGAATACAAGTTCATTTCAGCCCCATTGGTGAGTTTATGATTCTATGAGACTTTAAAGATGTATTTTATTTGGACATGTTAAAAAAAAAAAAAAAGAACCGTGTGTTTCTTCACAACATCCAAAATAATTATTTTATTGGTATTGATAATTATTATTGAGGAATAGGGAAGTCATGTATGTTATCAACCACTTCCTAAATGATACCTAGTTAACACGTTAGGGGAGGGAATCGAATCTGAAAGTGATACCCATTTAGTGAAGCCAAGCAATGTAGCAAGAGTTGAGAAAAACTTATAAAGGGACCTCTTAGCCCATGTCCATAACATTGTCGTTAACATAAAGATAGGTTGCCAGAGAAAGGGTAACTGTATGGTCAATTTAGCCAGGTCTGAACTCTCAAAAATCAAGCACTCTCATTCTGTTAGGGTGAAGTCAGAGAAAAGAACCTTCACAAGGTTTGAAAACACAGTTGTAACATACTGGGCTGTGTTCCAGGGCTAGCATTTGACTCTGATTTTTATCTTGTGCTTAGAACCAGCCTACTGTTGTCTCTGTGCAGAGAGAGTACTAAGTAGGTACTGAATAATACTTGCTGTCCAGCACATAGCTCTGTGCAGAACGAGCACTAAGTAGGTACTTAATAATGCTTGCTGGCCAGCACATGGATGGATCATGTTTATAAGTGTGTATCATAAACACTTTGCCTTGAGGAAATTGTTTTCTTTTTAGAGTTTTCATACTGTGGACATCCTTAAAAAGCCCAGAAAATGTATCTTTATGGATTGACATGTGACTTCTTACATATGAAGTTAGAAGCCAATGAAATGCTGTTCTTTGGACTGAACTTTCAAGACTCATGTGTGTGGTGTCTAATTCATTAACTAAAAATATGATTCATATTTACCTTATGTAGGACTACAGGTATCCACATATCCACCATTAGGATATTCTTTAAATCTGGTAGTTTGGAAGATTTCCAGACATTGTAAAGAGTAAATGCATCAGAAATAAGCATTTTCCAGAAGAGGGAGGTATGAAATTGTAATGATTAGCCTGTTGCTTAGTCCTGGAAATGTGAAATCAGATAAAAATGAAAAAGATGCTTTCCTTGCATTCTCTTCCAGAAATATGCAGCCTGCTGCTCTTTTGTCTTCAGTGTGACCATGCTGCCCTGAGGAGAGCCCAGAACTGTTTTTAAATTCAAAAGGACAGCTGCTTTCTGCTCACTCAGGTCCACTGAGGCATGCTCCAAGACAGGAAAAAGGTGCTTAGCGGGGCTCTTTGATAGAGATTCAATATATGAATTTTACTTTGAGAATAAAAAGCTCACCCACTTTTAAAAGGTTAATCAAAAGCTCATTGTAGTGTATTCTTCCTTTCCTATGCAGTTTCCTATGGAAATGGAATCAGTTTAAATTCTGGCCTCAGAACAGCAATATTTTTCACAGAGGCAGTCCTTCTGCCAAGTGGCTCTAGAAGTACCCGTAATATCCATGTCAGGAGTATGAAAAATGAAAGGGATGAACACTTCCTTCAGAAATTATACCTTTGATTCCTTTACTTTACGGCCAGGCAGGAAGAATCCTGAGAGAGGTCTTTACTGAAAGTTCAGTATTTATGAACTACATACTGAAAAATGAAAAACGATTCCTAGCACTGAGTTGCTTACCCTGTCAAGTTTACCCATTATTTTCAGGCTGTTGAGCATTGTTTGAAAAATCGATCTGAGAGCTAAATGAGACTCTGTCCCTTACCATGGTCTTGCTGTTATAAATTCACACTGGGCTATTTCCATTCCCTAAGTTTGCTTTGCCCTTTCCTACCCTTTACCTCTATGGTCTTCCATCCGGTAAATTTTCTCTCACCCTTCCTGGTCTAGCTCTATTTCATCTTCACTTATGAAGGCTTCCTTGTTTTCCTTTTTTAGAATTAATTGCTAATTCCTCACTGCTCTCTAAGCATTAATACCCCCATCATAGCCTTCATCATAATATGTTTTGTGCTGTAGTTATTTATGTACTTACTTGTTTTTCCCCCTTCTTTGCTCTTTGATTAAATGCATGCCAGATCCAACTTTACAGATGAGAAAAATGAGCTCTGAAGTTCAATAACTTGCCCAAGGCTACCCAGTTAGAAGAGTTATGGACTTCACTCTGAATATGGTGACTTTTGTTCTAGTGTGTTGCCTTCTCTAGTCTTCTTAAGAAAAACCTTGTCTTCTTTTCTTTTTTCCTTAGGTTGACTTATTCTATACATTAGAAGTTTCTAAATTTTAATCAAACTGTCATTCCAGGGTCATAGTCAGCCACATGTAAATCAGAATGCAGTTTTACATAGATTCATTATTACTGTGCATGGAGATTAGAAGCCAGCTCACAAGAAGACTTAATTTGGAAAGATATGTAACCAACTTCACGTAAGTGCTAGCCTTTCATTGATTTCTCACCTCCATTCTATATTCCTCCTGGCACTTGTTTTAAATCTGTTCTACTGAAGTCCATACTCTACCCCCTTGCTCTCAGCCGATGATCTGTTTACCTGCTCTGAGAAGATTTAGATCAGTAGTTCTCAAACTTTAATATGTATAAAAATCACATGCAGAGCTCTTTCTAACATAGTTTCCCGGGACTTTTCCCAGGAATTCTGATTTCAGCAGGTCAGGGTGGGGCTCATGAATGCTCCATTCTAACAAGCTCCCAGGTGATGGCAACACAGCTGGTCTGAGGACTACACTTTGAGAACCTCTGATTTAGGCCATCCTCTGCAATAGGATGTCTTCTCCAATACATCTTCTCTGGATATTTATCCTTCCTCTCCTTCTATGAGAATTCAGTCGTTCTATTCTCAGGCTGAACCCTCTCACCACGAGCTTTTATCCCATCTCATTTCATCTATTTCAGGACCTTGCTTCAACTTGGCTCTCTTTGAATCTTTTATATCACCCTCTCAATTGCTTTTTATTCTCTACTGCTTTACTAATAAAACTGTTCCTTTCTCAGTTGTACTATTTAAGATACATCTAATGATTGTAAGCAAAATTATTTTCTCTAAGAATGGTCGACAATTTCAGATTCAACTCAGCTGGCTAGGAACTAAGTTTCTGTA
This sequence comes from Homo sapiens, assembly GCF_000001405.40. NCBI lineage: Eukaryota > Metazoa > Chordata > Mammalia > Primates > Hominidae > Homo > Homo sapiens. Next base: position 42,486,521 of record NC_000005.10, read on the forward strand.
ATTTGGGAATTGGCTTGTAGAGAGCAAAATTAAGAAACCAAGTTTGGCCGGGCACGGTGGCTTACGCCTGTAATCCCAGCACTTTGGGAGTCCGAGGCAGGTGGATCACGATGTCAGGAGATCGAGACCATCCTGGCTAACACGGTGAAACCCCGTCTCTACTAAAAATACAAAAAATTAACCGGGCGTCGTGGCGGGCACCTGTAGTCCCAGCTACTCGGGAGGCTGAGGCAGGAGAATGGTGTGAACCCAGGAGGCGGAGCTTGCAGTGAGCGGAGATCGCGCCACTGCACTCCAGCCTGGGCGACAGAGCGAGACTCCGTCTCAAAAAAAAAAAAAAAAAGAAACCAAATTTAACTTTTTTTAATGGATGTGAGTGGAAGAGACTAATGAGATAACACAAAAGAGTTAACTTCTTACATTTCTGTAGTCTAATACGAGATAGTTTCTCCAGGAATTAACACAGCACATCTGGTTCACTGACCTGAGTTTGTTTCCTGGTGAGGCATTGCAGTATCATCCATATCTCAGGCAAAGGTACTCCAGCATTTTGTAGTTAAGCAGTTGGAGGAGGAGTAGGGAGAACTGCTGTACTTTGAAACATTTCACAGTGGACTACTTTGCATTCTAATGATGTTCTCCTTACTTAAGGACTTTGTTATGTAAGGATACTTTGTCCTTCTGATAATCACTTACACTTTTCTTCTGTGTTCATGTCACTTCATTAATCCTGATTACTTGTAATGAATCATAATCTTACCCACTTATTCTTGTGTGACTCATTCCTACTTGTATTCTTAATAGTATTTTCTATGTCTGATAACACATTGTCAATTGACTATGCTATTTTTAACGTAAGCGTTGGCAAAAAGGTTTACTTAGAGAAAAGCTCTACATTTAATTCCCCGGTGCCTCAGTTCCCAAATTTGCTAATAAAGATTATACTTAGCTGTCACTCCACGTTTCATCAGTAGGATTAAAATGAATAGAGATCATGAAATAAGACAATGAAAAAAGATAATTATAATGGACCAGATTGAGAAATCCCTACAAATCAACAGAAGCGACCTGCCATGTCAGATTCCTAGATGCAGTTTATTTACTCAGTGGGCCATATTTCTTCCTTATTCTTTCTTTTTCCATGATGCCTTCCAAAACTATATTTTAACCAGGAGGGAAATACCATTTGTCTTCTGATATAGGAAGATCCTACTGAGAGATTATATTCATATATTTCGTCCATCGGCCTGTAGGTGGAATTGTATTTAAAATACTAATAAAGGTTATTATTGCTTATATATCTAAAAATGCTCCAACTGTCCAAACAAAGCTTATACTGTTGATGATATTTATCAGTGGCTCTGAACACTTGCATATCATAAAATTCTCCCTCAAAATTTAACCTTAAACTCTTTCAGGCTTGTCTTGGTCACAGTGGGAACTGAGGACAGCTGCTCATGTTTTTTGATAGAACAGCTCTTAACATGCTTTTGCTCTTGCCTCCCACTGCCCAACACCAGCTGCATACACACAGTCTACTTGCTGTGTGCATGCTCTGGCTCCTGTCTCCTTTTCCTTCAGCCTAGTTAGCCTGGTTTTGTTTGGTTTCATCATACAATGTATCTATTAGTAAAACTTTTATGAACTCTGATTATAGTACTAAACTCATAATAAAGTAATCAGAACTTCATTTATTAAAACACTGTCTTGAGCTTATTTTTTAATTTAGTACACATGACAATTTGGTAAGGTAGGAATTTTCATTCCCCTTTTATAGATGGGAAAACTGAGGTCCAGGATATAGGTAACATTTTCAAAGTTAACTCGTAAGTAAATGGCTTAGCTGGAATTTGAACCCAGGTTTCTGCAATTCTAAAGCCCATCCTTTTAACTGCTATGCTATGCGCACAATTACTGTATTCTTATTTGCTCTCTGAAATACAACACCTTATTCTCATTTCATCTGCTCTTTCTGCCCTGTACACTTCAGTTTCTGCTCTATAGATACCTGCTCGTATTGTGACATCTCAATTTTTTTTGTACCTTGGCAGGGTTTTGATTGATGTATTGGTGTTCTGAACTCTTTAGCATATGTATTAATAGGGAAGACCTACCAAATATTTCATGTAATAGGGATTATTTTGTCTACCTATTTTATCTTTCTTTATAATGTAAGTTTGTAGAGGGCAGAAACTATAAATTGCTCAGTTAGGGACTCCACATTGAGCCAAGCACATACATACTTGACCCAGAGAAGTCATCACCATCTTTATCGCCACAGCTAACATATGGGTAGTGCTCACCATCTACCAAACATGTGCATGGATTATTTTATTTACTCTTCACAATAACCCTATAAAGTAGACTATGTTGCCATCCCCAAGGTTAAAAAACTAGCCCAAGTTCATCGAGTTACTGCATGATAGAGTTTGAGTCTAACCAACACCAATCTACACGTCTGTCAACACAGTTAACTATCCCACACTTCTCAGTGGAATCTAGAGTTCCACTTATTTCCTATTCCTTCCATTCTTCACTATATGTCCTCTTTGCCTTCTTATCCTGTTTCTCTACTTCTCACTTTCTGCCCTATACGTATCTGCTCAATCTTCAATCTTCTCTGCCTTACCCTCTCTTTTTCAATTTTGTTCTCGTTCTGTCCTATCCTGCCTCCCCACTCTTCTTACCTCATTTTCCTAGTCCTCTTTTCTTCTTTTTTTCACCTTTTTACCTCTTACATATTTCTTTTTTAAAAGTAACTTCAAGCTTGATAATAGATTCTTCAACGCTCTTAGCAATATCGTATCCTAACCATAATAAAATGATAGTGTGCTAGGTGTAAACAGAAGTAGAATATGAAATTGAAATGAAGAATCTCTTTACTTTTTCTATTAGAAACATAAATAATGAGTGACTGTAACATCTTGGTCTCCATAATTTCTAAGTGTTAAATAAAACACATTTCTTTTTTTATTTAACACACACACATCCACACACACATAAACTTGTTTTATGCATTGATTGCCATTTATTGAGCAGCATATTTTTGGAAATGCAACAACTACAAAAGAATTTTTAAGTTATTATCATACAGTGACATTAATAGGCTCATCACTTTGCCTTCTTTCCTTGTTCTATCATGTAGAGGGTTGCTTTAGAGATCATTGTGTATTGATATGAATTATCATTGAAGTTTTATTAGTCTGGATGTCTCATCTTGGGCATTTTGATAAATTTCTTTTGCTCCAAATCCAGAAGTTATGGCCATTCATCTTTATAAATAAGACTTTTTAAAAAAGGTAAAGTCATAAAATAAATATTTCAAAGCAGTGTTGGATATAGCCAGCTGAATAAACTGCCCTTTCTAGTTAACTTTGAACTCTAAACCTTATTTAAATATCCTCCCTTTTTTTCTGTAAAGAAGACGAGAAAAAAAAACAATTTCAGTAGATTCTAAAAGAAAATATAGCAAGAACATTTTCATAAGAGATATCTCACATAAAAAGCTGTAAAAATTGGGCAAGTATTTGCACCTAACCAGTAGAACTTAGAAGAGAAAACATGAAATGAACTTCTTAGCTTATGGAATGGTGTGGATAGGTTTGCATTACTTAGATGTTCACAGAGCTCTAGCATTTACTTACTGAAACACTGGAATGGTTCATATCCCTGTGGTTTCCACCTTATTTCTTCCAGAAGGATTAGGTTTTATGCTGCCAGAGACCACATTGACTCTTAGTAATGGGATCACTAAATTCTGGTTCACAATTTTGTGCATAGAGAGATTGCACTAATATCTCAAAATTGTAGCTATGATTATAACCCTGGCATAGAAATCTGAGCTATGCTGGCAGTGTCATGCTGTACAATCGAATCCACCTGATTATCTCTGCATTTGTGACAGCTGGGCTGGCCTTCATTGGCATATGCCTCTTTGCTGTGCCCAGGGCTTTGAATGCAAAATGAAAGATCAGCATGATATTAGGGGCCCATGATCCATAGATGGAGCTTCACAAGTGAACAGCGTCTCAGCTTTAACATGGCCCCCAGTATCCTGCTTTATCTTTCTGGACTGAAGTTCCTATGACAGATTTGTTGCTTTAAAAAAGTAATTTTGCAGATTTGTCCTTTTTTAAAAGAAATAAAGATTGCCTTCCATTTCCTACTGAAAGTGATATGGTAGTATCCATCTTATAATTGCACAGATTCAAAAATAAGCCACAAGTATGTGTGCTGAAGTATAACTGTGGACTATAAAATACAGATATCATAGCCTATAATATGGAGGGTAGTGTGATGTTATAAAGCCATTTTTCTGTGTTTTACATTATCATAAAATTTAACTACTGAAGGGAAAGTGAAGGTTTTAATATTTAACTAAGCCTAGCACTTGAAGAGAAACACATATATTTTACTTGGAAAAAAAGGAAGTTCCATTTTGGACACTGCAAATGACAGTGCCAGCTGTTGTCATAATATTTCTAACATCCGCTGAGGATTAATTCCAGGCCCAGCAAATTCACTGGATGAGCAGAAACAGCCAAAGAAGTAAACACTGGAGCTTATGCTGTGATATTATTAAATTAGGCATGAGACTTCTACAGAGTTGGATATGTAGTGAACACTGGATTATCATGCCTGAGGATCGTTTGCTTTGTGTATATCTGCAGAAAATTGAATCCTGAACTTGCTTTCTTCTGCCTCTTGGCCCTCTTCCTCTGTAGAGGTATACTCAGAAAATGTGATCTCATTTGAATATAAACTTTTCTATTAATATTCATTAAGTACTCATACAATATAAGCTGAGGAAACAAAGTGGTGGGTGTAAAACACAGGCCTCATGTAAAGAGCTTACTTTCACTACAGAGGCAATGTAGCATAATGAAGCAGAGATGGGTTTCAGAGGCAGGTAGACCAGAATTCAAATCCTACTTCTCCTAAGTATGGCCTTGGGCCCATCACTTAAATTTCTGAGACTCAGTTTCCTTTTCTATGAAAGGTAGATACTAATCATGCTACAGAGTTCTATTAAGAATTAGAAATATTTAAAGATACTTAGACCACTACAAGGTAGCTATTTTTCTAGAACAGGCATACCTTATTGTATACATTCTATGTTTCTAGAACAGGCATACCTTATTGTATACATTCTATGAAACAGAATATGGAAAGTGCTAAATGAAAGGCACAATCAGAGAATTCCCCAGGCCCTCAAGAAGGAAGGCGGAATGGATGAGGAAGTCTGCTGTCCAAGGGGTGGGCCAGAGCTAAGGCAAGATTTGTGGGTGGGCCTTCACTAACCAGGCACAGGGAGAGGGCATTCCAGGAGCAGATGTAGATCTGGCCAAGGAATTAAGACAGGAATGCAAGTGGCGTTTTCCAGGCAAAAGATTAGGAAGTTTTAGATCAGCCTGGATATGGAGACCTTGAATAGCAAGCCGACTGAGGAATGCATGAAAGAATGACTACTAGCTGGAATAAGAGATAAATCTCAAGGCCTCTTTTCTCTTTCACCTCTCCTCTTGCCCACATCATGGACAGATAGTTCTGGCTTTTCCTTATACTCTGTTTCTGTAAGCAATTTTAAGAAGGCAGAGTGCATAATGGTATTACTTTTATGTCTGCGTGTGTATTGCCACCATGAAGCCTATAGTTTTGCTTTTCAAACTACTAGATTGTGACCTTGTAATGATCTGGCAAAAGGCTGAATTTTTAAAAGCAGTAAATCCATATAGTGGATAATATTGGGAAAAAATTAGGGCTAATACTGAGGAATGAGAAGATTAGGAAAGAGATAAATAAAATATGGGTGGTATAAATAAAAATTAAAGTGAAAATGTGGGGAAAGGACTGCTTATGATTCACCTTACAAAATTTCTACCTTATGGGGTCTGTTTTCACTGTCAGTTCTTTCTGTGAATGCATGTTCATGAAGATACTGAAGGCTGTTTTTCTATAGGCAGCTGGTGGTTTTCTGCTGTAGGCAGAAGTGGTTGAGGTAATCCTAGGGAGGTGATGCTGAATGGGGCTGTGGTTCTACTTTATGTAAGGTTATTATATGTGAAAGAAAGAGTAATTTTTAAAAGTAATTAACTAGTGGTAGATTCTGAACTAACATTAGCAAAGGTTGATTATAAATCAGATTTTATTTTTACTACTGATTTAGAAAAAATCTTTGGAGAAATAGATTTGGAATGGTTAAATATCACTTTAGGGAGCACATTTTGGTATCACAGCTTAAAGGTACTCTTAAGAGAAAGCTTTACAAATGGGGCAACCTGAAAAGACACATTTCATGTGCATTCAAATTCAAGATAAGACCCAAAGCTCTGTTGCCAAGGTAAAGGTTTTGAGAGTTAAATGGGAATTTGGAAAATAATATGCAAAAATTGACTTAAAATGTAGATAAGCCTACAAGTATTTACAGGGTGGAGACATCAGAGAATGTAAGAAATAGTTTGGATCACTAACAGGAATGTGTAATGGGAAGTCAAAATCTATGCTGTCAGGAAAAATTCATATTATTGGATAGAAACTGTATTATTTGGTACATTTAAGATAAAATGAAAATTGTGTTTTCAAAGGGTTACGCCTCGCAGTGGATGAGTGATTGGGGCGTTTTCTGGTTTCAGTGATTCTGTAGGCAGAAAACAGTTTTTACTGCCAAGTGTGTCAGTGGAGGTGGGGAGACAGAGACCTTGCTGTGTTAAGTGAAATCTGTTGCTTAAGAATAAAGCTGGGATTTCTGTAGAATGGAGAAGGAGTTTGGTATTATCATATTATCAAAAATAACTGCTCTTTGAAAAGTAGATTTTTTAAAGTTTGATTATCAAGTATTTATTTAAAATACTGCCTAAGTATTTAAACACTTTCAGGCTCTGATTTTGTTTTTTTTACAAAGGAAACCTATGCCTAAAAATTATTTTAAGTAGTTATATGGATACATGAGCTACACAGTTTCAGACCTGTGTATATGACTTTCTAAGAGGTCTATGGTATCCAATAATAAATGATTTTATGCAGGGATTTAACACATAATGGGTCATGCATTATCTATACCTTGTTAATGGGATCTATATAGAGTGATAGCAGAAAAGAAAGTTAATTTTAGGATCCTTTAATGCCTATAAATTTAGAGCAAAAGAAATATTTCTAAAAGTTCAACTTTTGTATACATATGCCCAATCACAAGTTTTACAGACATTTTTACACGTTTAGGCCTGAAATATTTGATTCCGCTCTTATTTGTCAAGATACAATATAATTACATTAGTAAAATGCAAACAGGGCAGATAAGTTTTCCTTCTTTTTCCTATGCTATAGTCATGCTGCAAACCCTCCATTACAGTTTTTTGGCTGAGGTAGGTCTAGATGTCTAGAGGCCAACTAATACAGTTTTATATAATCAACATAGGGAAGTCATTTCAGAGACTGGCATTGAGCTCTTGGAGGGAAGAAAATGAACCTTAAAGCTTCTTGGGAATATCCCTCACTGCAGCAGAGTTTATGTGCTCTAATGGATGCTCCGTAAATGCTTGAGAGAATATAAGTCCCATAGGTTAGCATATACTTAATTCTACCTATCATGGAAACCTCTCCATACATTCTATAGCTGAAATATTTTAGGAGCTCAAAAGGAGTAACAGAAACTAAAGGGAACACCAGCTCCAAGATTGGATTTTTAGGCTTTCTTTCTAGTGTAACACTTCCCTTCCTGTTGGGCCATCGGCAACCATATCCTGGCTAATTAGAAGTGATTTTCAGGGGAAAGGAAGAGGTCATAAGTTCTTGCCTCCCTATTTTCCTTCTTGTTGGGTGCTAGTAACTTACCTTAAGAAGTAATGAAGTCCTAGTAAAACTCCTAATATTCAGAAACCAACTCTCATTATTCAAACATGTTGAGGAAAAAATGTCTCCTTGCGTCCTCTTCTGCTTAAAACTCCCCCAGTACCATCAAGCATGGACGGATATATGATAGTGGCAGTATCCAGAAGACACACCATCTATGTAACAAACCCTGGAAATAAAGTATGGTATAATCCTAAGCATTCGCTCAGCACTCTTGCTTCTGGGAATTTGCTATGAGTCAGCCACAGGCATCTCTGTGTACCTTCAAGCCCAGATTAGCACGTATGGGAGGATAAGAGAGAAAGTGTACTTCCTGAATACATCTTGGGTAGAGTAAACTAATCCTTAGCTAGGTTGATGACATCCTTACCCAGAATTTAAAAGTTCAGTAGAGACTCTTCTTGAAATGTTGAATTTTTATTTCTGCTTGTTGCCCTCTATAGATGAGTGAAATGCAATGAAGATATTCATGGCTACTATAAAAATGCATTAGTTCTTTTTGGTGAGCTACTTGACTATCAGAGCCAAATATGTAGGTAGTTGGAATTAAATTTCCAATTTAGCATCCCCCTTAGAAGGGTGATGGAAGCTCCCATATCTTGGTATTTCTCTTTCTGAGTATCTGCTGTCTCACTGAGGCAACATGCTAGCCTCCATGTTGTATTATTTCACAGGTATAGAACTAAGTGACACATTGCCAATTCCCACGCCCCCCCCCCATTTTCTTTGATGGAGGTAGATTACATTTATAAGGTGTAGATATTGCTTGAAGGTACTTGTTCTTTCTTATAAGTAAGCAAGAAAGAGAGCAGCAAATAATAGCTAGGAGGAAGATGTGCCCACACCACATTCAGGCCACTTAGTCTATCTAGTAAGATAGAGTGTTTCAGGCATCAAGCATGTACTGGGAGACATGCATACAGAAAAAGAACAAGCAATAGACTCCTTTGAGAGTGACATGGTAGGTCTGAAGAGTGAATGTAACTTTTTGTCTCCATCCCCTCAGTGATTCATTAATTATTCATTAGCTGTTTTTTTCCACCAGGATTACAATCATTTTACCTTTGCTTGCCAGCCTAGTGGGTTATTAACAGTGGTTACTCTATTTATTTACACATTTTCCTTGTGTATGTTATTCATCCTGTATTAGTTCACCCCCACCCCTAGTCACCATTCTTTTTTCTTTTGTTTGGCCTTTCATGGCTACCATATTACCATGTGATCAGAAAAAAAATGCACTGGTGTCAGAATTAGGCCAACACAGACATATGGGATGGTAGGTTCATTTGGGTTGGATAGAGAGCTGTTTGAAACTTGTATACACATTTTTCAATTTCAAGAAGAAACATCTGCAGTAAAGGAAGAACTGCATAGTTTGCAGTGGTCTAATGGAGGTGAACTCAGGAATCTCAGATGCATTTAGCTCTACAAGTCTCCATTATACAAATGATGTTGAATGTTTCATCTCTTGCTACAGATTAGTTTTGGGCCATCATGAAAAACTTTCCTGAAGATTAAGTCAAACTTATCTATGCATGCCTTCTTTGGATACATAGATCCACCTTTGACAGCTACTCTGTCCACTAATTCTGTCAAGTAGGACTGAGCTTTCTTGAACACCTCTCCTTTTGTTAACAAGAAGGAGAAGAAGAAAATTAAACACTCCTGGCATCTGCCTGGCTGTGATTTAGCCCTTGGTAAAAAGTATTACAAATTGAGACGGTGCCAGACTGCTCCTGTGATTCATCTCTTCTCCTGTCAAGACCAGTTGAGGCGATGCAATTGGGAACCTCTCTAGTTTGTGAAGAGACACTTTATGTTGGAAGCAACAGCATAAGCACAATAGTACTTAGGCATTCAAAGCAGAGAGAATTGGTTCCTCCTGATTGGGTGAACAATCACTGCAAATTAAGGTCAAAAGTATTGTCAACCAATTCAGTGTACTAGGCTTCTTCATCATTTCCCATGACTTGTTCTCTCTTAGGAGAAGGTTTAGCAAATTGGAGCAATTTTTTTTTTTAAATCTTGGTGCAGCGTTAGTGATAAAACACAAGAAAGTTTAAGGCTGGATATAGCATGTGCATCTATATCAAGATGAAGATCCATAGAGAGATGTGCTTGATCTTGGGATGCTGGATGAAAATCCAGGCACTGTGTTGTGGGAGCCTGATTTCTGAAAGTTGGGGCATCATTGTTTGGCTTATGACGTTTATAAGTGTCAGGTACGTCTTGTCCCACAGAATACTTGTTATAGCTGTTAAAGGACAGATTGTCTTCAAGACAACTGGTACCCATGCCAGAGTAGGGTATATTCTGACAGAAAATCCATTTACTCTCATCTGTAATTTATCCCCTTAGTTGAAACATGATCCCAGTGTAGGGCATTTACTTTTCACACTCCGTTTAAATCAGTGTGGTTTCTTCCTACCTTAATGAATTTTACCTCATTTCTTTGTCTTGCAAAAACCCAGGGCAGAATGGTAAAATTTCAAAACAAATCTTTCACAAGGCTGGAACTAGACACTCTGTTGGGTCACATGCAAGTTATTTGCAGAAGAGGAACACTTTGCATGTGAATAAGAGAAAGCAAAGCACTTACACCAGTATTCAGTGCTCTTGGGGCCAGGAGTGAGGGGCCTTCCATGTTTGCAGGACATCTGTTTGGGCCTTAAGTTCTGCTACAGCCCCAAGTCCTTATCTCATATCTGCCTGGTGTCCTATTTTTCTGCTTAAAGAGTCAAAGACTGAAATTCTTATCCTTGTTTCCCATTCATTCCTAAGTTACTTTAGCCTTCACATGGAGCCACCATGCTGTGGCCCACAGAGTGTGCTATTCACTTAAACTTATTTATCTTAACCTTTTTGTGAAATATGGTTGCATTCTTTGACTTTCCTTGCTTGTCACAGTTTACATTAATCCTGGAACTTTTGAGTCTTAAGCGCTACATGATAGTACTCTTTCTAATGGTTTCTAATGTTACACGAATGCCTCTCTTTCCCATTTCATCCCTTTCTCTCTGTTGGTTTTGACTTTAAGCTCTCTGGCTGTTTCATGGCAATGATTATTGGTGACAGTATTATCTATTACCAAGTGTTTCTTGTTCAGTTTTGCATAGTTTCAATGTCCTTTTAAGCAAGGATTGCCAAACTACAGGCCACCTGTTTTTGGAGATGCCATTTAATTGGAACACTGCCATACCCATTCATTTACATATCACCTATGGCTCCTTTCTCACTACAAGGGCATTGTTTAGTAGTTGAAACACAGACCTTATGTACCTTCACCTCAAAACCTAGAATATTTACTATCTGACTCTTTACAGAAAAAGTTTGCTGATCTCTACTTTGAAGAAGAGAAAGTCGTCAGATACATACAATGCCAAAGAACTGCTGGCTATGAAAGGGATATTGTAGAATTCTGCAATTTTCTTAAAGAATGGAAAACATTGGAAAAGAGTCACCTGTTTACAGGTGATTTGCATTTCTATAGGTATCAGAATAATGTGGGTGCTTGTAGGTTGGGGAAGGAATGGCAGGCCTTCTCTCTCTGTCAGTATCTTCAGGCCCTGAAGTCATACAATCAATGGATTGCTTTTCCTCTTCACTTTTCCATTTTGCCATAATTTTGCCAAGGGGGAGGTTGGAAGTGGGTTAATATTTTGCGTTAGAAGAGCATTTGGATACATCCTGATAATTACTTTATCTCAGATATTCTTAGATTCTCTCTAGTGAAGGCCACACCTTCTCTGTGCCTCAGGCTGGCATGGCCCAACTGTGCTACTTACCTTGGGTTCCTGCTGCTCAGCTTAAAGGGAATCTCTTTCATATGCCTAGAGCCTTGTTTACTCAGTTCAGGTCTGTACCAGTTGACACCAAGTCAAAAAGCACTTTAGACAGAAGCCTGCTTTGAAAGTGCTAGCTAGCAGCAAATAAGTCTGGCTTAATTCTCCCTTGAGTCTGGAGATCTGATTGGAAGGGTAAAAGGGAGAAAGGGATGATTTATTTGTTGACTGGATTGACTACTTTATATTAGTAATTATGAGGCAATTCTACCCACATTATCTCATTTAACTCCCCATAAAAACCCTACAAGGGAGGTAATATACTTTGGAAAACTGAGACTCAGAGAAATTAAGTAAATTGCAAAGTCCCCATGCTATAAGCATTATAGTCTCATAAGCAAATGTCATGAGCTTCTTCTAGCTTTTTCTTCATGCTCACAAAATGGTTGAAGGAGATCCAAGCATCATGTTTCTAGTTAAAAAGAAGGTGCAGAGTAAAAGGCAAAAGGCAAACGGACAAGCCAACCAAGTTTGTTCTCTTTCCTAGATGTTCTACTTGGTGACTTCAGCTTATATCTCATTAATGTGCATCATAGGATTATCTCTGCAAGGGAACCTGGAAAATATAGAAATTTGTTTGTGTTAAGCTGGGCACCTTGCCACCTCCATAAAAATGTGCTCTATAGGTACAGAGCAGGAGATAATCATTATTAATAGGCAACTTATAGTCTCTGTTTCAAGAGGTCATTCTGGTACCTGAGAAAATTGACAATCTCTGGTCTAAACTCTTACAGGCCTCTCTTGCCTTCATTTAAGATGAACTTGATAGAATAAAGATTATTGTTGTTCTCTAATCTCCTGGGTATGAGACAGAGAGGTAACAGATGGAATGATTTCTTTCTGGCTTCCATAGCAAACCAAAGCATGTGCCAGTGAAGAGTGGCAACTGCTACAAATACTTAGCCAAACGTGGGGAAGAGTGTTGATGCTGTAAGTCTCCTAGCTATGTCGAGGCAGCAGGTGTCTCTGTAGATCAGGGCAGCAATCCCTTTGGTAAGGGCATGAAGAGGGCACTTGGGACTACTGGATTGCATCATCTTGGCAGAGAAAAATGTAGCATATACTGGAACTCTAGCTGGGTAGGGAATTGACAAGTTGAACCACAAGTTGACTACTGTTCAGTCAGCACTAGCTTTTATCTTCCAGTCACCATTCCCTGTGGCTCTTCATTGATCGTCCACAAGCTCCAGGCCTGGGTGGTGCCTGTTGTGATATAAGAAGGGAAGAGTGATGGTTTCCAAAATGTGAACACTCATGTGTACAGTTTTCATGTTGATAATGAAATGCTAGAAGGGGAACAGCTAGCTGATGCCTATGTCTTTGTCCATACCTGGCTACCCATGACAAAGTTGTTGTTGTTGTGGTTGTTGTTTCACTCCAGGCACAGGCACAGAGCCGCAAGAGTAGAAAACAAGAATTCCATCCTGCAAAAGAAAACTGAATCCCCCTTGCTTGGTCACTTAGGGAATCAAGTTCAGGAGGGCTGGACATGTTTTCTGTTGCTCTGTAATAGGGGCTGAAACTTAGTTCAATTATGGTGCTTAGCTGAAGCACCATGACTGAATCTTTTTTTGAGAAGGAGAAAGGAGAAGATTTTAAAATGAAATGCCATAAGTGTAACATAGTACATATAGAGGTCACAAACTTGGAAAGCCTGTGGTGTCTTGGAAGGTCACATAAATGTGTGAAACACGCCAGTTGCACACAGGCAAGCATATGTCCCTTCTAGAGAAATTATTGCCACTGAGGAATGCTGGTTCTAATCTCCACCCTCCCTTCCCCTCCCCTCCACTCCTGTAAAAACCAGAGGTTTGGAATTTTGCGTGAATAACTCAGTTTGTTAGTGTTGACAACCAGGCATGACAGTAGCTCATTTGGACCCTTTGTCCAAATCAGGAAACAGCAGCCCTTCCTTCATGGCAGCCCTGTAGCTACGCCAGTCGAGTGTGGGCTGGATTTCAGCCCTTACTCTCCTCCTTAGCTGAGACTTTGTGCCAGACACAAGCTGCCCAGCTGTAGACAGTGGGCCCAGAAGTTATCAGTGTTACATGAGCAAAACAAAACATATCTACGGGCCATACTCAGCCCATGGATTATTATTTTGCAGCTTCTGTAGCTGCGGTTAAAACAAAGCTCTGGGGCCAGATCACCTGGGTTTAAATCTGGGTTCTGCCCTTCAGGCAAATGACTCAGTATTTCTTGGCCTCAGCCTCCTCTATCTGTAAAATGAAGATAAATACTTGTACTTACTTAACAGGGTTGTTACGAGGATAAAATCAATACTGTGGGGCAAACACTTAGCTCTACAGAGGGTGACACATAGCACTTAATGTTATATAATACCAAAATCATGTGAAAATCTGATTTTTTCACACTTAGAGAATATACAGCATATAAAATGATGGGAGAGTGCATGTCAGACCTTCATGATTATTTTCTGCTTCTTGGGGAAATGCTTATGCCTCTTTGGTCACTGTGAAGACAGAGAACTCAAAATAGTAAGCATCACTTACTAGCTGGCCTACTAAGGCCACAAGAACAAATGAAGTAAACACTCTGCTTGAACCACTGATTTTGTTTGCCTGCATGAAACACTTGCACAGGTTGACAGCTGACATCCGTAACAATGACATCCTAAAACCATTAAGAAATGATTAAATTAAGTTCAGTATTATCTGTTGCAAAAGACAAAGATGTGTGAGGTACGTTTTAGAATAACTTACAATGAAAACAACTAAAAAGTGAGGAAGTTTAAAGTGGTGAGTATTCAATTGCTTGAGTTCATCTTCTACACTGGCTCATTATCTGGAAGCTGGGCCACAGAGTTAATACTCCATCTTTAAAGACTGTCACAGGTGTTTGCACCTAAGATGCATCAGGTTCTGCAGTAAAAATTTGGTTCCTGGCACTGAGACAATGCTAGGAGGAGGGTGTTAACTTAGTACTGACCATAATGAAATCTGTGGTTGACTGCAAGGACCTGGGTTGAAATAAGACTAAATCCAGTAGTATTGCTCCGGTAGGTTCAATCATATTCAAGTGTTCAATAATGATTATAAAGAAGTGTCAAGCTGTCATGCTTACTTTAAAACATATCCAGAAAAGAGAATCCAAGGAAGTGTATTTAGTTCTACCTGCATTTAAATTAGCTTTTTTTTTTATCATTACATCAATGTCATTAGGCCCTAAATGATATTAAGAGTGTCTATGAGACCCCAAAGACAAAGATTGTCCCCTAAACTTCTATTCTTATTTGTTTAACATGGACTTGGCCCAGCTACCTCCAATCTAAAGCTTCTTTCTCTAGAGTAAGGTATCTCAATCTATGCACTGTTGACATTTTGGGCCAGATAATTCTTTGTTCTTGGGGCTACCCTGTGCATTTTAGGATGTTTAGCAGCATCTCTGGTCTCTACCCACTAGATGCTAGTGACTTCCTTCCCCTCAACTCATGACAACCAAAAATATCTGTATACATTGCTGTAATGTCACCTGGGGAGAAAATCTTCCTGGTGAGAAACACTACTCTAGACTAAGAAAAGTAGCCAGATTTTTAAACACAAAAGTGTTTTTCCTCCCAGAGGCAAAAAGTGCCCTAGAGATGGAAGAATTTTGAAAATAAGCTCTTCCACAAACTATACTGCCAAAATGGTTAGAGAAAGATCCTATAATCACCATGCTTGACAAATGGTGTTTTTGCTAAGCCTCACAGCAGCTTTGTTCATGTATTGTGTTAATTGCAATTAAATAAACTAGTCTAGAAGTGCGGGTCATCATCCAGCCCATTCATATCCCTCCTTTACAGTACACATCCAGACTTCTTTCAGAGTTTTGCTTGCCCATTGGTGCTCACATATAAAAACTCCGTGGGTGGGAGTTAGGGATTCATAGAGCAGAGAGGGACCTCAGCTCTTCATGTCCACTTTTCTTGTTTTAAAGGACAAGGCACTGAGGTCCAGAAAGTGGAATTTGCAGCACAAATTGCTATGATAAACCTCAGTGATTCAGCCCCTGGGATCTTCAATGATATAGGCACAGAACATATAACTATTACTGAGTAAAATGTTTAAAATTATGTTCTTATGGCAATGTTCAAGGTTTTAGGCATAAGTAAGACAAAGCAGAGAAAAAATAAAAAATATTTTTCAAATTGAAGGCTTAAAAAATTAAGGATACCCTCTATGTGCCTTCTGCTTTAGGATCCAGAATCTTATGTTTGTTTGCTCTTTATAACACATGACTGTGTAATATCAGTCAATTGTGACTGGTAAATTTCCATTAATTTGCCTAATCATATTTAGAAATTATGCCTACTAAATAAATTATGGTTGGAACTTGAAAGGAATAATGGCTTAAATAAGTGATTTGTTCTTTAGTCAGAAAAATATTCTCACGCTCTCTCTCATACCCTCATGAAGCACTGTCATCTCCATCTAGTTTATAATTAAGGCAATGGGACCAAAGTCATCCTGTTGGCACAGGATGGCCATCTCTGCATCCAAATTTCTTTTACTAATTGGAGAAAACCACTAATTGTACATTTTAAACTCAAAATGTCTTTATGTATATATATATTTAAAATATATTTTATTATTTTTATTAATTTATTAATTATAATTATATTTATTAAAATAATAATTATTTTTATTAATTTATACATATGTATAATTTATGTTTTCTCCATGTGGCTAGCTGTTGATCTAAAGGAGAAGGAGCAAGGCAGGAAAATTATCAGGTTCAGTGTTTAACTGGGAGATGAGGACATCACTAAAAGAAAGGTACAGCAGGTTCTACTGGTATGTACAAGTTTTGATTACAAGGTGTACTCTTGCCACCTGGTGTGGTGTCTCAGCTAACTTTAGTTTCTGATTACCGGGGTCTCTGAGACAACTCTCCAGGGTCAGGTATAGAGCTCCTTTTGCCCTTGGCATGTTCCAAATCGCTTCCTTATGCTCAACCTTCTGAGCAATACAAGGAAAAATTCCTTGTATTGGCATGTTATGAAGGTTATTGAAATACTTTAGGAAATGCCTTTGACCTTGTTTTGTACTTAGAGGATGATCTCATTCAGAAATGGGTAGTGTCAAAATATGGAATGTGCTAGTAAAATAAGCACACAATTCACTTAAAGAAACAAAAACAAGACAAGACAAAACAAAACAAAACTTGTTTGGGATGGGTGAAAGGCATGGGGCTGCAATTCATCCTGGATTTTAAGGTTAGAAGTGGTTGAAAGAAATGTGATATTTTTACCTAAACCGTGGTCAACTATACTTTTACTTTTTAGCAATGATGTGAATGAAGAATGGCTTTGAAGACTGTTGGTGGATTTGACAAATATTTATCAAGAGCCTGCTATGAGTGTCACCATTATAGGTGGTAGAGATTCCACAATGAACAAAACAGAGTCCTTTCTTACATTTTGTGAAGGGAGACCACCTCTAAACAAATATATATCATGTCAGGTAGAGATAAGTGCCATGGGGAAAAACAAAATAGGGTAAGGGGCTAGGTGGGGCAGGATCAGACCAAGGAATTTATATTTTATATAAGATTGTCAGGGAATGCCTCTCTAATTAGATGACTTTTTTTTTAATAGAACTGAAGGACATAAAAGGACGAGGCTTATGGATATCTGGGGGAAGATGTCAGAGGCTGTTATAAAAGTTGCAACAGGAAACTGATTAGGACTCTTAGCAGACTTATATGTGCTTAGAATGAAAGGGATTGGGATAAAAGAAAAGAGGGGAGCTTTGGGAAAGCATTAAACTGTGGCCATAGCACTGATTGGATAAACCATAACATTGGATTATGGGTCTGCAAATTTCTTACATTTTTTTTAAAGTGTCAGACCCATAGCCCTAGTAATAAGCAACATGGTCTTTTCTTTGAGCATAGCTGTAATGAACATGTTATTCTTTTGGAGTTATCCTGCAAAGCTTATCAAACTCAAGAAGCAATAGTTTATATGCATTGCCCAGGTTGAATATTATTAATTTGGGTTGGGAAGTGATATGACCACATTCTGACTGACTATAGGCCCTAGTTCAGTTTACCTGATTTTATGCCCAATTTTTAATGAGAAGGGAGCTTGCTAGGCCAGGCAGGAAGAAAGAAATGGGGACAGTGTCAAGCAGGAAATGCAGAAGAGTTGAGTGTAGGTAAATCCCATCTTTCCTGGCTTTACGTTGCCTTCACATCCCTCATAATGATCTTCTACCTCAGTCTTCAGTATAAGCAGTATGTTGTTCTAAAGGTATGAAGTCTTGGCCAGGCACCGTGGCTCACGCCTGTAATCCCAGCACTTTGGGAGGCCGAGGTGGGTAGATCACGAGGTCAGGAGATTGAGATCATCCTGGCCAACATGATGAAACCCCATCTCTACTAAAAATACAAAAATTAGCTGGGAGTGGTGGTGCACACCTGTAGTCCCAGCTACTCGGGAGGCTGAGGCAGGAGAATCGCTTGAACCCAGGAGGCGGAGGTTGCAGTGAGCCGAGATCGCACCACTGCACTCCAGCCTGAGAACGGAGCGAGATTCCGTCTCAAAATAAAATAAAATAAAATAAAAGTAAAGGTATGAAGTCTTTTCCAAGCTAAGGCAAGAATGCTGAAACCTCAATCATAGCACTTTTCCAAAAGAGTCTTACCTTATATTCTGGATCTCTTCATTATCTCAAGAGGGGCTTCTTTCTCTTTAAATGTGAAAAGAAGAGAGGCATCAGCTAGCCCTATTAGCCCAGGGCTAAGAATTGCTCCAGATTTTTGAATGCTTAACCTTAAACAAAGTCACATGTACCAGTGGAAAGTGGCTCCCCTGTTTTCAAGGACAGGTCAGATTTTAACTACGTGCCTCTTAGGCTTGCCCTGTC
Organism: Homo sapiens; assembly: GCF_000001405.40. Lineage (NCBI taxonomy): Eukaryota > Metazoa > Chordata > Mammalia > Primates > Hominidae > Homo > Homo sapiens. The sequence continues at coordinate 42,505,083 of NC_000005.10, forward strand.
TTCGGAGTTGTTAAACATGCATGTTGGGAGCTGTTGACTGTTTTTTTTTTTTTTTCTTTCTTTCTTTTTTTGCCTTATAATTTACTTTTATTTTAAATCTATTATACTTTGAACTGTTGACTGTTAGAGAAAGCAGTACTGGCTTAGGATCAGCAGAGAATATGGTTGAATTCTATTTCTTAAACTGAGGAGAATTTCTGTTTGAGCCCAGTCCAAGTCATTACTTGAGCAATTTTTTGCGCATTTTGCTGCTTAAGTGTTTATTTTTTTTTTGCTTTTACAAGTAATTTTTTTTAAAAAAGTTATCATACACTCAGCAAACATTTTTTGAGCACGTACACAATGCCCAGCCCTGTGCCATGCATGTTCAAAAAAAAAAATAGGTAACATTATATCTGTGCTTGTGAAATTAATACATTTGTTAGAAAGATAAGACTTCAATCAGTAAAGCAATCCAAGAAGGAACAAGTACAAATCCAGGAAGGAGACATTAGCTCAGTGGAAAGAGTCCACTGAGGTAGGTAGACTTGGGTTTGAGTCAGAAGCAAGAGATTGCTTTTGTGAGATTTCGCTTATCCTGTGTGGGCCTCAGCTTCCTGTTATGTAAAATGGGATAATAGTACCTATTACATTGTCACATTGGATTGCTGTGATGACTTGATAATATTTATATACAAAGCAACCAGTATAATGCGTGCTCATAGTAAGCACTTATTATATTATTATTATTTATTGGACATATAATTAGAAGGTCTGGGTTATAATCTTGATTCTACAATTATTTAGTTTTGGTAAGTCACTTAACTTTATCATACCATTCATGCATATTACCTATAAAGTGAAAGGAACAGAGGTTCTACAATTTATCTCCCAAATTCCATGGTATTTTGAACCAAAATGTATTGAATAAGTATTTGATGTTTGCTTCCCCTTCTTGTTAGTGATATTTACAATAGCAATAAAACATCAATATTTATTTAGGACTTGCTCTGGAGCCACGAGCCGTGGTGTGTTCTTGACATTATGTTATTTACTCCATGCTGCATACTCAGTGAGACAGATAACCTTGTCTTGTTTCCTAGATCCTAGGCCATATTTTATCCAGTTTAATATTTCTGAAATCAGAATGTATTATGTAGTATTATGTAGTTAATAAATATATTTAATGTGGAATTTTTTTCCCAAAAGCCCTTTCTAAGTGAGATGGACCCTCTTATGATTTAATGAGGATGTCTTCCAAGGGAAATAAATATTTTTTCTATATTTCTGATGGTAAAGTTGAAGCATAGAGAGGATAATTTACATGACCAAGATTAATGAACTAACAAAAGCAAATTCAGGACTTGAACTTAGGTTTGTTTTATTTAACAATGCTCACCCTACCGTACTTCTTGGGAGCAAAAAATTTAAAAAGTTTCTAACATATATTCATTAGTTCTTTCCATTTTTTATAGCAAAATATATTTGATCTGTCTCTAGAATCAATGATAGATTCACTATTTGTTAACTTTTAACAGGAATATATTTTAGTCCCTCTAGCCTGACTTTATAGGCTATGTACCCAGTACATGAAAATATATAGTAGCCTCAGTTTAATGTTGATGTTTATTTGATGTCGACATCACTAGTGACACTGGTCAAGCGTATCCTTTTAGATAAGAGCCTATTAGAATTATATATTCCCTGTAGAAATCTTACCTTGACCATAGTACATTTAACAGCAGATTTTTCTCAGACTTTCAAAATCCTGAAAGTCTGGGTCATTACAAGAAAACAAGGATGTGGTCATAAACAGTTGATTATTAAGCAAATTCATTGAAAATTAACAGCAGTATTCTTTGACCTCACTCTTTATAGCCAAACTGCTAATCTTGGGTAAATTATAAGATTATATTACTAATCCATTGACATTTAGCACAAATTAGCTATCAAATGGGTCAGTTGTTACTGTTGGAAACTTATGAAAATACATTAAAGTTCTTCCCATTTCCTGTATGTTTCTTTCTCTGACACAGAATCTTAGAGGCTTTTATTAGGCTGGGAGAACTTCCCAAATAATCTAATGACTAGTTGAATAATTGTTTATGATATAAAATCAGCTTTGTTGTCAGAATGATTACAGTTTCAGGGTCATAGTTAATAGAAAAATATTTCAGTGAAGGTTACCATTAGTCGTTGTAAGTATCCCTTGATTCAAGAAGTGAAACTTTTATTGAAAAAACTATTTGCAGAGCTGGAGCCCTGATGGGCCTTTCTGAAGTTTTTAAAATTAAGAAATCCTATCTCTACTTTTAACAAGACATGAATGTTAGTATATTCACCCAGACTAAATGAATGAATGAATGATCACATTACACATGCTTGGGATTTGATTTCCTTCCTCTGGTGTTCACTGGACTAGCAGCTTCAGTACTCAAGTGCGATTGTAAAATTACACATGGTGGAATTCAAAATGGTGTACATCAGTCAGGTCCTGGAAAGACACACAATCTAACTCAGAAGTTTCAAGAGACTTCAAGGGGAAATGTACAGAAGTATGGGTAGGATTAAAGTAGCTAGCAAGGAATGCTGAGTCACTCGGACCCTAGCTGCCATGAGAAGCTATTATCTCTTCTGGACCTGGAGCTGCAGAAGAAGGAAACCGTGTTACTCTAGTCCTGAGAGGGCCGGAGCCATGGAGGAGGGGTCTTGTGACAGAAGCTAAAGTTCTGGAGAGACATAGGCTAGGCCAGAGCATAGGAATGTGGGGAAGACATCCCTGACCTCTCTGTCAACCTTCTAATCTCCATTGTTCAAACCCAGTAGGAAGTTATCCAGCATTGAGCCTGGAGAGTCAGCCCGCAGCAGTCAGCCTCCTGAGTGCAGAGCAGAGGAAGACCTGGAATGGATATGCTATAGGAGGAGGGCCAAACAGAGAGTAACTAGTCCAGATGGGAAATGCTATTTTAGACCTCATACACTGCCAAAAAAGAATGGCATATTCAAGGAATCCAGGACCTTGACCTCATTTGATCTTGGATTTGCATCCATTTTCTGATACTTTCTTCCAAATACTCTTGTAAGCATCTGACAGCAGCCAGGAGAATTGCTGGTCAGTTCAGCCTGTCCCAGCTTCATTGCTGAGGTACATATGTGGTTAAGGAGCTGAGAGAACTGGTCTGATAGCTCACCAAAGGGGGCCTTTCCCAAGGAAAATAAAATAAAGAGAAAATTCATTGAGAATCTGTCCAGAAAGGACAGTAAGTAGGCATGGAATCATAGTAGTAAGGAAGCATGGAGGAGGCAGGTGCATAAAAATGACTTGTGATATTTTTGAAGCTATATGATAATGTTCTGACCCACACTCTTGCCAGCCTCTGCAATCTTCTGGAGGCTTCATATGAAAGCAGGATTGGTATGCTGTTTATTATAAATAGTGAGACCTGAGAGATGATTACTGTCAGCATAAATGGATATTACACATTGCACCTATCTCCCAGCAGGAAGTTTGTTTGTTTGTTTGTTTGTTTTAGACGGAGTCTTGCTCTGTCGCCCAGGCTGGAGTGCAGTGGCACGATCTCGGCTCACTGCAAGCTGCGCCTCCCGAGTTCACGCCATTCTCCTGCCTCAGCCTGCCAAGTAGCTAGGACTACAAGCGCCCGCCACCACGCCCGGCTAATTTTTTGTATTTTTTAGTAGAGACGGGGTTTCACTGTGTTGGCCAGGATGGTCTTGATCTCCTGACCTTGTGATCCACCCGGCTCGGCCTCCCAAAGTGCTGGGATTACAGGCGTGAGCCACCGCGCCCAACCAGAAGTTTGTGTTTGATGTCACTGTTGTTTCACCAATTTAAAAGAAAATGAATATTTTTAAAGGAAAAGAAAAAAGTTATCACACTATGTGATGAAATTTGTATCTATGGGTGGTTATTTGCTACTTGGTAAATAATTAAAGCCTGTACTGGTTACCTTTCCTTTAGCAGCTGACAACAAATAAACATCCTCACCTCACACCTTATACACTTTACTCCATGGTTCATTTTCAGTATTATTTTGTACTTCTCTTGCTTCATCATACTATTGCCTGGCAAAATTCCAACCCAGATTTAATCCTGCTTTCCATCTATACCCTGCCTACACCTGAGAGTTCAATGTTACTGTGGAAAATGCACACTGTGGTGACTTGTTTCACTTTAAATGCATGGGCCCTAACCTCACTGAGCCATTTATTAGTAATGATTGGCAACTCTCCATATTTCTTGAATCCACTCACTTTCCTAGTCTCCTGGACAACTATGTGACAACTCCTCTATCCTCAAGCCTCCAACAATTACTTCTCATACCCTAACTCTGCGCAGATAACCTTTTTTCCTATTTCACTGCAAAAAGCCCAGAAGTAATCAAAAGTGAATCTACAAGCTTCCACCACCACATCTACTCCTCCCAGTCTCAGTGACCATATGGTTTGCCTTCCTTCTGTTAACAGAGAGCTTCTATCAAAGATGAACCTCTCCACTTGGCACTTTATTTCCCTCTTGCATATTCAAGGACATTAGCTCAGCAATTTTCTTTCTTTCTCCTTTCTTGCATTATTTATTTTCTCCCTCCACCAGAAGTTGTCACCCCAACTTCTATTAGAATGACTTAGGAAGTGCAGGCCTCAAACCTTTTTTTTTTTTTTTTACACGTCTACCTCTATTAGCACTCCCTGCTCCTATTTTAGGAATCCAGGCTTTAACGCTAACAGTTACAAATTAAGCCACAAGCTTTGTAAGTATTTGCCTGTGCTCTAGCTGCTAGTGGGTTTTTGGAAAATCAGTATCTGATGGGCATTTGAATACATTTGCTCTTGTGGCTTTAAACAATGTCTGTACAATAAAAACTTGAGAATTTATCTCCTCTGAATTCTAGACATTTCTATTCAACTACCTAGCTGGCATTTCCACTTGCATGCCTTAAAGGCCCTCAATCTTATCTGTACTGAATCGATCACCCCCCTAACTGCCTCATCCGTCAGTTATCCCCATTGCAGTTGGTGACATTCCATCCTTTGGTTGCTTGGGTTAAAAAATGTTGGAGTCCCCCTTGACTCCTTTCTTTCTCTCATTTCCCAAAGCCAATTCTTTGGCAAATAGTAACCATTTATCACATTTTCCACTGCTACTGTTCTGGTCCAAGCCACCATCCTCATTCACTTGGATTATTGCAAAGACCTTTACCTGTTCTATATGCTTTTATATTTGCTCATTTTTCTCCCTTCACCCCTATTTTGCTTTCAGCACAGTATATCATCTCATGCATCTACTCAAAGCCTTCTAATGCCTTCCCATTTCATGATGGCCTATAAAGCCCTTTGTGATCTGGTTCCCTGAAATCCTTGACTTCATTTGGGCAGATGTTTCTGCTATAACGCTATTTATGTGTTCTGTAAAACTTTTTGGTCTGCAAGATGTACTTTGAAAAATAACAGGTCTTATGGTAAAATTACGATTGGAATAGAACACTCATATCTTATACAACATAAAAAACTGTAGCAATAACCAAAGCAATAATAGATACCTTGGGAGATAACAGGAAGGCAGGCAGCTCAGATTGACTGAAGGCGACTCAAGGAATATTAAAAATGCACAAAAACAGTAGCATGGAGATGCCGGCTGGGGAGCTGAGATGAGACAGATGAATGGAGCTCTGAGCCAGAGGGCCTACCACAAAAGTGGTCATAGGAAGAAGTTCAGCCTGCCTTGAGCAGATAGCTTTGCCTGGTGGGAGAGGGCGTATTTCTTGGGAGACACCTCTGGGTGCAGGCGCTCATCTTTAATTCCCTTAAGAGAGCTGAAATCACTGCAGTCTGTGCAGCAGCCAACTTCAGGGATTTTTCCTTTCCTGCTAAGGTTATAATTCTGTTCTTGCTATTCTTACTCCTCTTGCCTAAGAAAAATCTTGTTTCCATGTAATACCAATATTATCCCACTATTTACCAGTAGCATATGAGCTGCTTGCTGTTACAGAAACACATGCTGTAATAGAACAGACTGCACTCCTTGGGTCATCTTTGTTATTTCCCATGTGTCAGGTGAGCACCCACCTTGTGACTTTTGCTACTGGTCTTTCCCTGCCTGGAATGCTTTCCCTCCAGAAGTCCTCACGGATTTCTTCTTCTATTTCAGTTCTTTATTTAAAAATATTTTTCATAGTTTGAACCTCTCTAACCAGCTGATTTAAAAGAACAACACCACCCCAACAACGTTCTCTACTTTACATCATAGTTTAATTTTCTCCATAGTATTTATCATCATCTGATATATTATAATACTCATGTATTGGCTGAACCACATCCATAAGTATTAAGATCCGTGAGGGCAAGACTTGTGGGTTTTTAAACTTGTTTTCCTCCTTTGTTTTTCTCTATTATATCTTTAGTGTCTGGAATAAGGTTCAGCACATACAAGGCATTTACTAAATGTTGAATGAATGAATGAATGAAGCTCAAGCTCCATCTACAAACAGTCCTCTGTTTTTTGTTTTTTGTTTGTTTGTTTGTTTTTTGTTTTTGTTAGCTGTTATCTGGCTGTTTTTTATTAGATAATAATTTGTCTTCCTTTACTTACTGATTTTGTTTATGTGTTTGCAGGTGTGTGTGTGTGTGTTTGTGTGAAAGAGGAGAATGACTTTTATCAAACCTGGTTTTATGTCTTCCTTAGGATGCATCAGAGTTTCATGCTGTTCACACTACCCTTCGGGGTATTCAGACATTTAAAGTCTTAATATTTCAGCAATAAAGTCTTAATATTTCTGGCCTGGAAAAATACTGTGATATGGGTTGAATTCATCTTTTTGCACCCCTCTATCATCATAACCACTCCCTGCTCCCATTCTAGGAATCCAAGCTCTTATGCTAACAATTAAAAATTAAGTCCACAGACTGCAGATAGACCCTACGCTTGAGCTGCCGGTGGGTTGCTGAAAAATTAATATTTGATGGAAATTTGAATTAATTGCCTCTTTACCCCCTACCAATCCCTGTGTATGGTCAAAAAATAGGACATTCCAATACTCCACAGTGATGGCCACAGTGCTGGTTTGTGCTGATGTTATAAAGGAGCAGGAAGATGGTAATGAACTCCCTCTGGTGCTGGACAAGGCTTCACAAGGGTGCTGATGAAAACAATGTGAGAAAATGGACTCAGGGGTTCTCAAGGCAGAGAATGGTGGGGGGATCCAGGAATCCACATATTCAAAGACACAAAGAAGTACAGATTTCTGAGGTGTTCAGGGAATGGTGATTCATTAGGTATGGGGCTGGGGGTGGGGCACAGGGTAGGCAGAGGAGAGAGCAGTAGGTGTATATGCCATGAAGATTTTGGAATCGATCCAACTATACAGCTATCAAAGGTTTTTGGTGATACAACCAGATTCGTCTTCTCACTCCTTACCTTTCTCACCTGATCCCTCCCTGGCTTTTCCAAACTGTCAACTATAAGGCTGTGTGACCAGAGAGCATGCCCCTGTCCCCAGTACTCAGATAAGTGCCTGACATATATATATATACATAGACAACCTACTTGTTTATGTGTCTGAACAAACTATCAATATTCATTTCTGCATTTTCTTTTCAGCAATGCTTACACTGTCTTCAAATCCTTTAGGGCCCTACACTTGACTATCAGGCTGCCTATTGAAAACTAACTTTACAGGTTGTTCATTGGTTACCATGATGGCACAAGTAACCATTCAGTAACTTTTTTTTTTTTTTTAACTAGAATTGAAAGCTTTGATCCATTCTCTTTTTCTGGTCTCATTTCCCTTCTACCAGATCTGATTCATGGTGCAACTTTTGGTGGCATCACCCCTTAATCCAGCAACATTTTTGTATACCCTGAGGTTATTACTTTGATGTCCTGAACTTATGGCTCTGGGGGATATTTTTTTAAAGGGGTCAGAGAAATAAGGTTGAATTAGAGAGATTCTTAGAAGTTTATGATTAAAACACTATCCCCTCTGATCTGAGTCCCAGCTCTGCCATTGACAGGTTGTGTATCATTAGCAATAGCAAGCTACTTCACATTTCTGAATCTCAGTTGATTGAGCAAAATTTAGATAATCAAAGACTACTGGAGATGTGATGCTTTGACACAAAGAAATCTACCTCTTTGGTGAAATTTCAATTGTGTAGGAGCAGTTATTTGGGAGAAAAGTGCCCTCTCACCTTCTTAAATCATCTCCTAGGGCTATAATAGGAAATACGCAGCTTTTGCTGAGAACCCAAATGACATTGTGGATTATCCAGCTCTAGTCTTCTCTCTCCCATATAGAGGCCGGTTATCTTTGTCACTTCACAGCTCATTAGCAGCCCCACTCAGGGCCATGGAGAGGAAATAGATGAGATGAAGCTTAAATATGTCACATTGGTTATTTCTTAGCAGCTCTGATAAAAGGCTTAGCAGGGGCCAGGCGCGGTACTGTACGTCTGTAATCCCAGCACTTTGGGAGGCCGAGGTGGGCCGATCACCTGAGGAGTTCCAGCCCAGCCTGACCAACATGGAGAAACCTTGTCGCTACTGAAAATACAAAATTAGCCAGGCGTGGTGGTGCATGCCTGTAATCCCAGCTACTCGGGATGCTGAGGCAGGAGAATCGCTTGAACTCGGGAGGCGGAGGTTGTGGTGAGCCAAGATCGCGCCATTGCACTCCAGTCTGGGCAACAAAAGCAAAACTCCGTCTCAAAAAAAAAAAGCTTCAGCAGGGTGAGGTTAAAACTCAAATAAAGAGGTCTGAGGATTATCTGTGATGTTAGCTCATGTGTGTTACCTTCCTGTCTTCCCTTCTTTGTTCTTATTTCTAGGGATTAGTTGACTGCAAACATTAATGGGTTAAATATAAAAATGACTGCAAACATTAATGGGTTAAATATAAAAAATCTTTTCTATCCTGAAGGTCTTTGAAAAAATGATTTTATTACTTACTGGAAAAGAAAAATAAAACAAAGCTTGCTTCACCCAGAATTTATTTTTTCTTCTAGTTAAAATGAGCAACTTCTTTAACCAGAACTGACCTTGAAGACAAATGGCTAAAATAAAACATTTGCTGAATTCACTGGGCGCATCTTACAAGTAATTTTTGGATTCTGCATTGACTACCTACAAGTGCCTTCTGGGTGCAAGTCCACAGGCAAGATTTGTTCTGCAAATCTTCCATGACCAAGGTCACCTCTTTGGATTGGCAGACCCAGGGAGTCCATATTGGGAAGATAAATTCACACTTCACCCCTTGTTGAGATCTCCAGCCTTGCTCCTCTGATAACCAGGTCTCTCTTCTGTCCTATTATAATTTATGACCTTTGAAAAGTTACTTATATCTGGGGCTATTCAAACTCCCAGCTATCTATGACCATATGCATAAATGGTTCTAGATTTAAAAAAAAAAAGAAGCTATTCAGAGATATTGGGATACCCTATAACCAATATAAATGGGTAATTCAGCAGAACCAGATGCTGGGGTTGAGAAATAGATGTGGACAATTGGGGCAGGGCCTAAGAAAGATCGGAGGCAAAGACAGTGACTAGATGGGGAGCTCTGATAAGGTAATGCCCAGGCCTGTGCTTGGAATTCTGCCACAGTGGGGACATTAGTGGGGGTCTGTAGTCATTGCAGGGTGAGAGGAGGATAGAAAGAAAAGATTGTGTGAAGGTCAGTGGAAGGTCCCCCATTTCATTGCTAAGAGAACTATGTATGCACGTTTTCCTGTGTTTAGTCTCACACATAATTGTACCTTTAAGAACTGATCACACACTGCATTTCCCTGGCAGTTTTTGGCATCTCAGATGAGGAAGAGTGATGGGCGACAGGTGATGGTGACAACTATTAATAAGATCTGAAAGTAAACAGTCTCATGAAAGGTGGCCAGGAGAGGGCAGTCACCTTTTATCAGGAGCACAGACTGAATTTGCAAAGGGTACTTAAGCTACAAGACTATAAAGCATGATGCAGGCTTAACCAAAATGCAGTGTCTTGAGCATAGTAGACTCTTAGTGTATGTTTGCTAAATATACCTTAGCTGCTGCTGTTCCCCAGAGCTCATCAGAGTTCCATAGAAACCTGGTCCCTTCCAGAAAACCAAAGAATGACTAAAGAAAAGTGATTGCAAATCCAGAAAGCAGCTTTGCCTTACTGGTTGGTAACAGCAGGATTTTCTTTTCCTTGTAGTTTATTTTGGCTTAGGCTAGTGTCTCTTTCATGAAGACAGCTACTATTTACAATTGTTGTTAACATGTTTTTCCTTTTTCATCTCCCAATATACTCTCTTCCTGTCGTTAAACACAGTCAATTTACCAATGGAATCTGCTTTATAAGCTCCTGCATTTTCTTTTTCCACAGATGGGATTAATGCCATTATGTTCTATGTCATCCACATAGTCTTGGCTTCTAGGCACCAAGGTGTTGTTCTAGAGGAAAGAAGAGTAATGGTCGACACAGGCAGGCTGAGGGCTAACCTAATGATTTCATGCATTTAGTGGTAATTCTTAATTAAGATCCCAATTTTATTCTGTTGGATTTAGTCTATAACCCGCTGAAAATCATTCTTGAATTAACACTGGGTGGATATAAAAGCAGAAAGCCAAGGACTTTGCACTGTTCTCAGCTGTAGCTGTTTATTTAGCTGGAGAAAATTTAGTGGGTGGTCCAACCTTCATAACCAGGAAGAATAAAATAGAGGTGTAAAGGCCTTGGTGGAAGGAGGGCAGTAGCAACCTTTCCATTTCTTCAGTTTTATCGCAGCCTATGAAATTAGTTCCTTAGGTATGTTGATCTTGTAGGAGCTAGTATTTTAACATTTGCTCCATCAAGTTGTTTGGTTTAAATCTAAGAATAAGCCCACTGAAAACTATTCCTAATTTGTGAAACGAATAACAATAATAGATGTTAATAGAAACAAAGACTTCATTTGGTTAGTTTTTAGAGGGGGCACAGAGAATGTAGTAACATAATAAGTTAGATTTTTGTTGTTTTCTTTTTCTTAGTTCTTTGTAGTCTTTATAATCTCTAATTGGCATTTGCTCCTGACTTTTCTCAGTGTACTTCCACATGGAAGAGACAAAAGTCTCAAAGCTGGTGTAGAAAAACCCTTAATAAATTGCCCATTAATTAGCCACCTTGATTTCCACCTTTAAAGCAGTTAATTGAAGTAAGAATTTGTTAGATTTTTCTCAAGCATAGCAGAAATTAAGATTAATTTCTTAGGTGTCATTGCTACTTGCCTACTTAAACCACCAGTTCATCTTTATCATAAATACTTAAGCCAAAAGTCACATTAGAGGCAATATGGCACAGTGATTGTGGACCCCGGAGTCAGGTGAGCTGGTTGAAATCCTGGCTTGGCTACTTCCCAGCTATGTGATCCTGGGCTTCAGGGTTCCCTTTTGCAACATGACATGATTGCTGAGCTGCTTCTTAGGGTTGTGTGTGGCTCCGGTAAGATAATACAGGAAAAGAGCTGAAAGCAGTATCTGACCCTGGAGAGAAAGTAGGGAAGAGACAATAGAGGAAAGAGGACAAGGAAGTGGGAGATGAAGAGAAAGTTCAAGAAGGAAAGTGGAAGAATCTCAAATAGAAAGTTAATTTTCAGTTTTTCCTGAGAAGAGATATATAGACATCTTCATGTGGCTTTGGAGAGCCTTGGAGCCCATCAGCAAGACGGTTGGAAATTATACTGAAACAGAAGTGTAGACCTATGTGACTTATGTCCTGGCCAGTTGCCTCATGTCCTCTGTGGTCAGGTTGATCTCTACTGGCACTGTCAAAAGATTTTTTATGGACAGCTGGTTGGGGTAAACTTTGAAACCTGATTGTTTGCACTTGAGTGCCAGAGTGTGTAATTATTTACCGGTGTTCACTAAGGATGTCAGTGTAGATTTTTAGGGGGAGAAAAAACTTAAATTTAAAATTTGGAGGCATCTTTTTCAGTCTGCCTGCCCTGGTGTTTGTTATAACACTTAGTTTGGCATGTAACAGCTGAAGCTACTGGTTAAATCATTAAGCATTTATTATTTTAAAACTCCTCTTCTCAAAGCAAAAAATAACTATCATGTTGAAGTTCTTTCCTCTAAGAATGACATTTACTGTGAGTTTTATACCAATGGACTAATTGGAGGGTTGAGAAAATAAATTTTGGAAAGACAACAATAACTTCAGAATTTTCCTTGGATGGAGGTTTCCTTTTTAAAACCTGAACTGAGCTTTATCAAAACAGTAACTGAACTTTGAAACGAAACAAGAGTGCTGAATTGAAAGCTCCAGGAAGGCAGGGATGTGTCTGTGTTGTTTATGACTATAACCTCTGGGCCTAAATCAGTACCTATCCCATGGTAGGCACTCGGTAAATACTGAAGGAATGAGTACAGTATGAAAATTAGCATGGCTGATCCTTGGAAAAAATATAAGTCAAAAGGGAATAGCATGCATGTGTAACTAAAACATCAGTCCACATGCTTGAAATGTCATCACTTTTTTATGGTCAGGACCTGTTTTTTTCTGCTCCAATTAAAGAAGAAAATTGTAATGTGAAAGAAGCAAGAAGTGAAGTATTTGGTATTCATGTGTTTTGACATCTGCAGTAAGTTTAAAATAAATTTCTAAATCTTATTGTATTGAAATTGTATGAGTTTCTTAAGTGGTATTATTCATTCAGACTTAAAGTGAAGTTAGGTTGCTGTCACTCATAGTGGACTTTTTTTTTTTTGGCATTATTAAAACAACATGTCTTCTGGGTGTTGTCTTGTATTACAAAAGCTTGCGTGTTTTCTCTTGATGCTGTGCCCTGTCTGTTGCCATTGAGGGGTCTAAGGACCAAATGAGGTCTTGTTTCCTTCCTGATATTCTTTTGACCAGTTTAGAATATGCCAGGTCCATTCACACAACTAAGCGGCTCAGTTCTCTCAGTTCCCTGGTCTTCTCATATTAGATTGTTATCTATGAGCTTGAAGTTTAGACATGAAAAAGAATGGTTGTAATCCTCTTCCTTCTCTCACCCTCTTCCCTTTTTTTCTTAAGTTAGCCTTTTGAATTCATGATTCTAATAATTAATATATATTATTATATAATATAGTATATATTCATAATAATGATTAATGATAGTATTAATAATTCTGTGTGTGTGTGGGCAGCTACTCATACAGAGGAAAACAGATTGATTAGTGGAAATTACATTAATTTCATAACTTCTTATTAAAAGAGTTTGTGTGTGTGTTGTTGGTTGTTTGTTCCCTTTGCAACTCAACATGGTCTTCTTGAGGTGTAGGGAAAACATATGCTTAGGAAACAGAGCCTTCTTTTCTCCTTTTGGTATGGAAGACATATGCAAAAAGAATGAAGGAACTAATTGTCTCTAGCCAGGGCTCTGCAAAAATAGTACTGGTAGAGAAAAAGCTCTAAAAGAAGTAAAAGTTTATAGTGCTTTCTCCTGGCAGAGTTAACCTCATCTTCATCAGCTTTTCCCCTGCCTCAGAGAGGCAGTTTTGGAATGACCAAAGCAGAGTGCCCAACCTCTCTGTTCAGAGTTAGCGAGCATTTGGATCACTCTCTCTCTCTGCCTCAGTATGAGTGGAATATTGCATGACCATTTCTGATTTCTGCCATGAGCGCACTCGGCCTAGATGAATAAATCCTCCTTGAAGAAGGCGGGGCATTTTGGCATTCACAAGAAACCATGTTGATATCTGATCCTCCCACTGGAGAAATGTGGCAAAGTGAGAAAGACTCACTCTTTGGGACTCCAAAAATGTAAACACAAGTAAGCATGCAAGCTGAAGAAGTCACTTGAAATAGAAAAAAAAAGTGTTAAACTCTCTGTTAGTCATGTGACTTTTTCTTGGTATTCGAGAGCCAGGAGGCTCTTGTGGTCTAATCTGGAAAGAGTCGCTAATCGCTGTGTCACCTTGGCAAATTGGTTGATCTCCCTGTGCTGGAGTGTTTAGTCCAGCTGCTGGATGGGATGAAAGCAAGACCTCACTGAAACCAGATGCTGTCTCTCTGAAAAGATTTCAGCAATAAATAATATCGTATATACTTTGTTCCTGGCAGCAAATACTGAACTGCTATAACCCTCTGTTTTCACTTGCTTCTAAATTTCTGGAAATATCTCCTTTGGGCTTGAATTTTTCCATGCTTGTCTTCAGCCCAAAACTTTTTGGAAAGTTTGACCAAAATTTCACTTAGCTGTTTTTCCTGAATTATGGGAGAATAAGGGCAATGCATTGTTTTTCAGCTCATAAATTCTCATTTTTCCCATTATTCCTCAGAAAAATAGCTGCTACATTTAAAGTGTTTAGAACTAGTAAAAGAATCTTGGTATGGTAAAGAATACTGGCAGAAGACAAATTTAAGTCTCTCAGTATTTCCTTCTAACTTTAAACATGACTGCACACAATCAGGGCACACATAAAAAGCTCTGATGTAGTTTTATAGATGGCCAAAGAGAAGATTCTGCAAATTCTCTCAGTAACTCATCCCAAGTTACCAAGAGGCAACTTTAGCTACCATCAGTTGTTACCTTTCTCAACCACTTGCTCTGTCTGTGGATCTGATTTCTAAAAAAATGTCATGGTTATATGTTGGCATTGACCCCTTATCTACATTTTAAATAAAGTTGACCATTTCTTTTAGGTAGCCTTCATGTGTGATGACCTCAGTCATATCTGCTGACCTACTAGACTCAAAATTCCTTTACAGCAGGGCCTAGGTCTGTCTACCTCACCATTGACACTGTAGTGCTCAGCAGGGTATGACACATGTAGTAAAAACTGATTGTTGAATGAATTAAATGACCATAAGTACAGTTGTTTTTGCTGCAATTTGTTCATTGATTTGTCCACTAAGACATGCATGCATGTATTCAGTGAGTATCACTGAGTCTCTACTTTATGCCAGGTATTGGTATGAATGTTGTGAATATTTCTTTGCTTTGATGGATAACACAGAAGTTTTGCTGATACACAACAAAATAATTATATTATTTGAGTACAATTACTATGCCTATAGTTGGAATATTAGTCCAATATAGCTAAAGGCAATCCCAGGGAATTTATCACTTACTGAGCGTCCATGATGTGCCTGGCCCTGTGTTAGGTACTGAGAAGAGATCAATTAGACAGTTTCTGCAGGAAGTCACACATAGGTTAACAGTGCCAAGACAAATCCTAAAGTACCTATTATACAAGGGGAACTATAATAAAGAGCCAGGTGAGTTGAAGGCAGGAGAGGTATCATTGTACCACAAGATACCTTGTGATCTTGTGTAAATCCCCTGAACAATCAGGAAAAGCTTTATGGCATAGCTTTATGGTCAGAGATCTCATGGGGACAGGCAGTTAGTTGCAATGCCTTTTATAGCCACATCCTTCACTCCTTAACCCTGCACTGTCTGCCATTCATTCTCTCTGTGCTTTCAGCCTTGAGAAGCTGGCCAAATTTCTCAGGACTGGAAAATAAACTGGAATGACACTCAGGCACTTGATATCAAGATTATTAGGGTCATGATTGTGTTTAAGACCCTAAGACCTCTTGATGCTTTTACAAGAATGGGTACTTTTTTTGTCCCTGTTTTCTTCTTTTGCCCCAAGTTTCAAGAGCATGTTACAGCAGCAGTATAAGCATACACAATCAAAGGTGATTGAAGTGAGGACAACTGGCTCAATGAGCTCCAGCCACTTCAACTCTCCTCCTAGTCCCTGTCCCCTTGCCCGGAATGCTTCACCCTCAGACTTTGACATAGCAGGCTTCTTTTTGTCATTCAGATCTCAGCTCAACTGCAAGGATTTCTCTGACCTGAAGTTACATATGTGTCACCCCTTCTGGTCTCCGTTGCTCTCTATCACATCACCTATTGGACTACCTTTATAGCATTTATCTCCACCTGATTGTGTCCTTTTCACTGTTTTTCTTTAAACTTTTTATTGTCAATTTTCTTTCACTAGATGCCAGTTCCATGAAGTAGGAAACCTTTACCACTGGTCTTGAGTGCTCTTGAAAGTGTACGTGTGCAATAGGCACTCAAAAATGTTTATGGAATGATCAGCTGGATGCGTATATGGCAAGTGGCGAGAAGCCAAGGGAATAGGACAAGAGTCCTATTGTGCTCCTTGCCTGAAGAAAACCTCTTGCAAGAATCATAGGCTGTTCTTGAGGGTGCCTTTGCCTTGGATTCGCCAAAAATTCTTCTGTTTCTTTTGTGTGAAAATTTTCCCCTCATACACAGCAATGGGCACTAAGAATGCATATATCCAGACTTTTCAGGTTACAGGATGGCATCTCAGATATAGTCTTCCTTTGATCTATATACTATGAAGCCATAATTGCTTAGCCAGTATCTTTTTCAGGATTTACTCCATATTTCTTATTCTAGGCCTTTCAGGTGGCAGCTGCACTGGCTTTCAGATATAATTTAGAATTTAGTTTCGGATTTGTAAAGCTACTCATGCTGCAGATCTTCTCTGAAACATTTCTGTCACATTTTAGAAAGCTTTACATTTTCATCTGCTAACGATTTTCATCTGCCAAAGAGCCCATCTACTTAAAAAGCAGATCACTGAAGCCACACTTGGCACATATTACTTTGGCTTATTTTCTTTTGATTTTTTTGCTTTGCTGGGATTACTTATTTATGAAGAAAGAGAGAATATTGACTTCTTATTTTAGAAGAGAGGATATTACTTGGGTTGAGAGTTCTAGTTATATAAAATGTATTTATCTAAGTTGTTAACTATATCAAAAATGGAGCAGTCAATCTTTGGAAATAGTTCAGGGTGAAATGTTTTTAGCATGTTCACATATTCTCTTTGCTGTTTTTAAATAATTTGGCAAAGCTTATTTGCATTTCCCAAATTAACAATTTTGGCCAAGAGGAAAAGCTAAAGTGTTGGTTTTTCTCAGCTCAACTTTTTGGGTGTAATTAATTTATAAGCAAGATTTTATGAAGGGAGAACAGATAGGACCTTTCTACAAAGTCCCTGAGCCAAAATAAACACCCCATTG
This sequence comes from Homo sapiens, assembly GCF_000001405.40. Classification (NCBI taxonomy): domain Eukaryota; kingdom Metazoa; phylum Chordata; class Mammalia; order Primates; family Hominidae; genus Homo; species Homo sapiens. The sequence goes on from NC_000005.10 coordinate 42,522,086, forward strand.
TTCCATCGTTTTGTATTGCACATAGGAAAACATCCATCCCTATCATTATTCTGTTAAAGGGACACAGATTACCAGATTTGTAATTTTAAAAAAGGCCATTTGTTGATTGAGCCACTTTGCGTATAAAGGGTGGTATATGTTGCCTGCCGAATTTCTGTACAAGAAAAAAATCATATATCAAAAAAATTTTTCTCATTCATCATATAAGAAATTTATGCATTTTAGTATGTACCAGAAGAAATGGCTTTGGCATTTTCTGTTTTTAGCAGTCTGTTGAAATTTCTTCATTAAAGACATTTTCTGTTTGAAGGTTAAAATGACCATATAAATACAGATTAATTCAGTTTTAATAGGTGCATCTTCCTGTCATTTACCACTTTCTCTCCTCAATATCAGCTACAGTGATCAACATATATTTAGCAGTGAAACTGATATATTCTGTTTATCTTCAAATCATAAGCTTTTTGTTTAAATACAAAGGAAAATCTTATACCTCTGATTTTAATATGACAAATCAAAAAGTCCACACCAAACTCCCAACTCATCCCAAAAAAGAGATTGCTATCTACTCATCACTGTTCTCTGCTTCTAAGATTTGTTTCCCTTGGGGTTACTGTTTGAGCAACTTTTCTTACTTCCAAGATTGTTTTTGTGGTTTTAAGAAAGAATCTGAATTCCAAGATTATTTTTCTGGTTTTAAGAAAGAGTCTGAAAATCTAGAGATTACTTACCTTGTGGTGAGGTGGTTGTCTATGCTTCTGTTCAACAAAGGCCTCATGTACTGAATGGAAAAAAAGCATCAGGACCTATAATTTTCTAGGCATTATGCAAGATAATAGAGGAGACAAAAATGATGTCTTGCTTCAAAGTCTTAGATCTATTTCCCTTTGGGGGTTGAGGAATGAGAAAGAGATTTTTAGATGAAAAACAGGAAGCCCAATGAGGACGTGTGGCAATAGTTCCTAAAATGAGCAAAGAGATAAATTTACTCTTTTATATGATTACAACCAAATCACACACTGGTGAGTTTCAAAACAGTAGTTTTCATTTAGAAAGCAAATTAAGTGGAATAATTCAACTGAGTTTCACTGCAATGGGATTCATTCTAGATGGTTCAACTCTGGAATTAGAAACAATATCTAAGGATGTTGCTGATAGTAGTCAGCAGATAAATACCAGTAAGTCGTATACAGGTATACATCATTTTATTGTGATTTGCTTTATTGTGTTTTGTAGATAATTGTGTTTTTACAAATTGAAGGTTTGTTGCAACCCTGTAACGAGCAAGTCTTCTGGCTCCATTTTTCCAATGACTTGTGCTCATTTTGAGTCTCTGTGTTACATATTGGTAATCCTTGCAATGTTTCAAACTTTTTTATTATTATTATATCTGTTTTGGTGATCTGTGATGAGTGACGTTTGATGCTATTATTATGTTGTTTTGGCACACCATGAATTGCACCCATATAAGGTGGGGAACTTAATCACTAAATGTTGTGTGTGTTCTGACTGCTTCACTGAATGGCTCTTCCCCTATCTCTCTCCCTCTCCTCTGGCTTCCCTATTCCCTGAAACACAACAATATTGAAATTAGGAGCGTTAATAATGCTACAATGACCTCTACGTGTCTGATATGGTTTGGTTGTGTCCCCAACCAAATCTCAACTTGAATTGTATTTCCCAGAATTTCCATGTGTTATGGGAGGCACCCAGGGGGTGGTAATTGAATCATGGGAGCCAGTCTTTCCCATGCTATTCTCATGATTGTGAGTAAGTCTCACTAGATCTGATGGGTTTATCAGGGGTTTCCACTTTTGCTTCTTCCTCATTTTTCTCTTGCCACCACCATGTAAAAAGGGCCTTTTGCCCCCAGCCATGATTCTGAGGCCTCCCAAGGCATGTGGAACTGTAAGTCCCATTAAAGCTATTTTTGTTCCCAGTTTCTGGTACGTCTTTATCTGCAGCATGAAAACAAACTAATACAGTAAATTGGTACCAGTAGAGTGGGGTATTGCTGAAAAGATACCCAAAAATGTGGAAGTGACTTTGGAACTGGGTAACTGGCAGAGTTTGGAAGAGTTTGGAGGGCTCAGAAGAAGACAGGAAAATGTGGGAAAGTTTGGAACTTCCTAGGGACTTATTGAATAACTTTGACCCAACAGCCTGATAACGATATGGACAATAAAGTCCAGGCTGAGGTGGTTTCAGATGGAGATGAGGAACTTGTTGGGAACTGGAGAAAATATGACTCTTGTTATGTTTTAGCAAAAAGACTGGCAGCATTTTGCCCTAGAGATTCATGGAACTTTGAAAGTGAGAGATGATTTAGGGTAACTGGCAGAAGAAATTTCTAAACAACAAAGCATTCAAGAGGTGAATGCTTGGGTGCCATTAAAAGCATTTCATTGTGAAAGGGAAACAGAGCATAAAAGTTCAGAAAATTTGCAGCATGACAATGCAGTAGAAAAGGAAAACCCATTTTTTGAGGAGAAATTCAAGCCGGCTGCAGAAATTTGCATGAGTAGCAAGGAGCCTAATGTTAATCCCCTAGACCATGGGGAAAATGTCTCCAGGCCATGTCGGAGACCTTCATGGCAGACCTCCCATCACAGACCCAGAGGCCCAGGAGGAAAAATTGTTTTTCTGGGCCAGGCCCAGGGTCCCTGTGCTGTATGCAGCCTAAGGACTTGGTGCTCTATGTCCCACCTGCTCCAGCTGTGGCTGAAAAGGGCCAACACAGAGCTCAGGCTGTGGCTTCAGAGGGTGGAAGCCCCAAGCCTTGGCAGCTTCCATATGGTATTGAGCCTGTGGGTGCACAAAAGTCAAGAACTGAGGTTTGGGAACCTCCGCCTAGATTTCGGAAGATGTACGGAAATGCCTGGATGCCCAGGCAAAAGTTTGCTGCAGAGTTGGGGCCCTCATGGAGAACCTGTGCTAGGGCAGTGCAGAAAGGAAATGTGGGGTCAGAGCCCCCACACAGAGTCCCTGCTGGGGCACTGCCTAGTGAAGCTGTGAGAAGAGGGCCACTGTCCTCCAGACCCCAGAATGGTAGATCCACCAACAGCTTGCACTGTGCTGCTGGAAAAGCCGCAGTCACTCAATGCCAGCCCATGAAAGCAGACAGGAGGGAGACTGTACTCTGCAAAGCCTCAGAGTAGAGCCGCCCAAGACCATGGGAACCCACCTCTTCCATCAGCGTGACCTGGATGTGAGACATGGAGTCAAAGGAGATCATTTTTGAGCTTTAAAGTTTGACTGCCCTGCGGCATTTCAGACTTGCATGGACCCTGTAATCCTAATCCTATTGTTTTGTCCAATTTCTTCCATTTGGAACAGCTGTATTTACCCAATACCTGTTGTATCTAGGAAGTAACTAGCTTGCTTCTGATTTTACAGGCTTATAGGCAGAAAAGATTTGCCTTGTCTAAGGTAAGACTTTGGACTGTGGACTTTTGGGTTAATGCTGAAATGAATTAAGACTTTGGGGGACTGCTGAGAAGGCATTATTGGTTTTAAAATGTGAAGACATGAGATTTGGAGGGGCCAGGGCCAGAATGATATGGTTTGGCTGTGTCCCCACCCAAATCTCACCTTGAATTGTATCTCCCAGAATTCCCACAGGTTGTGGGAGGGACCCAGGGGGAGGTAATTGAATCATGGGGGCCAGTCTTTCCTGTGCTGTTCTCATGATAGTGCATAAGTCTCCTGAGATCTGAGGGGTTTATCAGAGGTTTCTGCTTTCGCTTCTTCCTCATTTTTCTCTTGCCGCCACCATGTAAGAAGAGTCTTTTGCCTCCTGCCATGATTTGGAGGGCTCCCATACATGTGGAACTGTAAGTCCAATTAAACCTCTTTTTGTTTCCAGTTTCAGATATGTCTTTATCAGCAGCATGAAAACAAACTAATACAGTGTCCAAGGGAAAGGAAAAGTCACATGTCTCTCACTTTAAATTAATTAAGCTTAGTGAGGAAGGCATGTTGAAAGCCAATATAGGCTAAAAGCTAGGCCTCTTGCACCAAAGAGTTATCCAAGTTGTGAATGCAAAGGAAAAGTTATTGAAGGAAATTAAAAGTCTACTCCAGTGAATACATAAGTTATTAAAAAAAAAAAAGTGACACAGCCTTAGTGCTGATATGGAGAAAGTTTGAGTGGTCTGGATAGAAAATCAAACCAGCCACAACATTTTCTTAAGCCAAAGCCTAATCCAGAGCAAGGCCCTGACTCTCTTCAGTTTTATGTAAGCTGAGAGAGAAAGCTACAGAAGAAATGTTGGAAGCTAGCAGAGGTTGGAAATTTAAGAAGCCATCTGTGTAATAACATAAAAGTACAAGATGAACCAGCAGGTGCTAATTTAGAAGGTGCAGAAAGTTATCCAGAAGATATAGCTAAGATCAGTGATGAAGATTACTAAACAACAGATTTTCAGTATAGATAAAATAGCCTTCTATTGGAAGAATACGTCAATAGAAGATCTAAGACTTTCATAGTTAGAAAGAAAAAGTCAATGCTGGGCTTTAAGACTTCAAAACTTCAAAGGGAAGGCTGATCCTTTTTTTATGAGTTGATGAAGTTGGTGACTTTAAGTTGAAGCCATTCTCCCCAGCCTTGCTAGAGAAACCAAAAGTCAAATTCAGGAAATACAGAGAACCCCTGCAAGATTCTACACAAGAAGATCATACCCCAGACACATAATCATCAGATTTTCCAAGGTCAAAATAAAAGAAAGAATGTTAAAATCAGCTAGAGAGCAAGGGCAGGTCACCTACAAAAGGAACCCCATCGGGCCAACAACAGACCTCTCAGCTAAAACCCTATAAGCCAGAAGAGATTGGGGGCCTATATTCAACATTCTTAAAGAAACAAATCTTCAACCAAGAATTTCATATCCAGCTGAACTAAGTTTCCTATGTGAAGGAGAAAGAAGATTCAGAGAAGCAAATGTTGTGGGAGTTTGTTAGTACCAGACCTCCCTTATAAGAGATCTTGAAAGGAGCACTAAATATAGAAAGGAAAGACAGCTACCATCTAATACTAAAACACACTTAAATACACAGACCAGTGACACTATAAAGCAACCACAAAAGCAAGCCAGCATAACCAGCTAACAACACAATGACACTATCAAGTTCACACATATCAATACTAACCCTGAATGTAAATGGGCTAAATGCCTCACTTAAAAGGCACAGAGTGGCAAGCTGGATAAAAAAGAAAGACCCAATGGTATCCTGTCTTCAATAGACCCATCTCACATAGCCTCAAAATAAAGGGGTGGAGGAAAATCTACCAGGCAAATGGAAAACAGGAAAAAGCAGGGGTTGCAATCCTAATTTCAGACAAACAGACTTTAAACCAACAAAGATCAAAAAAGACAAAGAAGGGCATTACATAATGGTAAACGGTTCAATTCAACAAGAAGACCTAACTACCCTAAATGTATATGTACCCAACACAAGAGCACTGTATTCATAAGGCAAGGTCTTAGATACCTACAAAGAGACATAGACTCCCTCACAATATTAGTGGGAGACTTCAACACTCCACTGACAGTATTAGATCATCAAGGCAGAAAATTAACAAAGACATTTAGGACCTGAACTCAACATTGGACTAAATGGATCTGATAGACCTTTACAGAACTCTCCACCTAAAAATAACAAAATATACATTCTTCTCATCACCACGTGGCACATACTCTAAGATTGATCACATAATTGGAAACAAAACAATCCTCAGCAAATGCAAAAGAGCTGAAATCATACAATTTCAAAAATCAGAGGGCCCTTAAGAATTATGCTAAATCTACTCTGTCTATACTCTATAAATGGAACACAATACATGTGTAATAGTACACCTGTTTACAGTATGGCTTGCTGAATATTTTAAGGCCACAGTTGAGACCTCCTGCACAGAAAAAAAAGATTTTTTTCTAAATATTAGTCCTCATTGAGAAAGCACCCAGTGACCAAAGGGCTCTGATGGAGATGTACAAGGAGGTTAATGTAGTTTTCGTGCCTGTTAACACAATGTCCATTCTGCAGCCTATGTATCAAGGAGTAATTTTGGCCTTTAAGTCTTATTATTTAAGAAATACATCTTGTAAGGCTATAGTTGCCATAGATAGTCATTCTTCTGATGGATCTAAGAAAAATACATTAAAAACCTTATGGAAAGGATTTACCATCCTAGATACCATTAAAAACATTTATGATTCATAGGAGGAGGTCAAAATATCAACCTTAACAGCAGTTTAGAAGAAGTTGATTCCAATTCTCATAGATTACTTTGAATTGATTCAAGACTTCAGTGGAGAAAGCCGCTGCAAGTGTAGTGGAAATAGCAAGAAAACTTGAATTAGAAGTGGAGCCTGAAGATGTGACTGAATTGCTACAGTCTCATGATAAAACTTGAACAGATGAGGAATCACTTCTTATGGATGAACAAAAAAATAGTTTCTTGAGATGGAATCTACTCCTGGTGAAGATGCCATGAACACTGTTGAAATGGCAAAAGATTTAGAATATGACATAAACTTAGTTGATAAAGCAGCAGCCAGATTTGAGAAGATTGACTCCAATTTTAAAAGAAGTTCTGTGGGTAAAATGCTGTCAAGGAGTATCACATGCTACACAGAAATCTTTTATGAAAGGAAGAATCAATCAGTGTGTCAAACTTTACTGTTGCCTTATTTTAAGAAATTATCACAGCCACCCCAGACTTCAGCAACCACCACCATGATCACTCAGAAGGTGTCAACATTGAGACAAGACTCTCCACCGGCAAAAAGATTATGACTCACTAAAGGCTCAGATGATGATTAGCATTTTTAGCAATAAAGTATTTTTAAATTAAAGTATATACATTGTGCTCTTTTTAGACATAATGCTCTTGCACACTTACTAGACTACAACAGATTATACACGTAACTTTTTTTTTTTTTTTTGAGACAGAGTCTTGCTCTGTAGCCCAGTCTGGTGTGCAGTGGTGCAATCTTGGCTCACTGCAAGCTCTGCCTCCCGGGTTCACGCCATTCTCCTGCCTCAGCCTCCCGAGTAGCTGGAACTACAGGTGCCCACCACAATGCCCAGCTAATTTTTTGTATTTTCAGTAGAAACGGGGTTTCACCATATTAGCCAGGATGGTCTTCATCTCCTGACCACGTGATCCACCCTCCTCAGCATCCCAAAGTGCTGGTATTACAGGTGTGAGCCACCGCGCCTGGCCAGACATAACTTTTATATACAGTAGGAAACCAAAAAATTGTGTGGCTTGCTTTATTGAGATATTTGCTTCATTGCAGTGGTCCGGAACTGAACTGCAGTATCTTCAAGGTATGTCTGTATTCAAGTTTATATTTTGACATACATTCTTCTTTACTTGTTAAAATCATGGTCACCTCATTATTATATGACTGATCAGAATTTGCAGGGTTGCTTTGACCATATACCATTGTTCTACAACTACGCAGATGTCTGAGTCCTAAAGGTGAATCTGTCTGGCCAGTTCTGGGTTTAACGGCCTATATAAAAAGTAGATGTTACACACCTTGTATAACTGAAGCGCCCTATCACGGACACAGCTTAACTCTTGGGTGGGTCACTTAGTCTGCTTGGTTGAGGTTTCAGTGCTTTTCACATCTACAGAAATGTCCTATTTGTCTAAGGCAATTTTATGAAGTAAATTTACTCTTGTCATCCTTTCCAACCTGAAAATAGAGGATATATAATTTTTAGCATTCCATTATTACCTAGGGGATGGTCTTCAGTCATTCTTCCCTGAATTTATTACACTGGCCCTATCTTCTTCACCTGAAATAAGTTAAATGTAGAATTAGCACTAAAGAGAAATAGAATGAACTTCTTCCGGAATGGGAATAGGAAATGAAAGAGAGTAAATCAGAAGTGAATCACTTCTTTTTTTTTTTTTTTTTTTTTTTTGCTTTGCAAATCTATATTTTTTTCCAGCTTTATTTAGGTATGATCAGCAAATAAAAGTTGTATATATTCAAGGTGTATGACATGATGATTTGATATATGTGTACATTTTATAATGATCACCATGATCAAATTAATTAACACATCCTTCACCACACAGTTACCATTTGTGTGTGTGTGTGCAAGAGGAGGTAAGGGAGTTTAATCATTTTTGAACACTAGCTACAACATAATTCAATTAAAATTCTGAGAAAGAAGAAAAATTGTCATGCAGCTGTTTAATTTTAGAAGCATTAACTGACAAAATCCAAGTCTTATGATGAATACTCAGTCAAATTTTCATGAATGAATGGGAGCCTTTACCTCTGAAATTGTTGTCATGGAAGAAAACACTAACACTGTCTTACACAGTAATTCAAGTTACCAATTGAGTTAAAGTAGCAAGATGAGCCATGGTTGTAATTGAGAATGGCAACTATGGTGTTCTTATCTAATCTGCTACCTAGTTTGCCTTTTTGCTCTAAAATGGTGACTATGTTAGAATTCAAAGAATAAAAGGCCTTTATCCTTTCAGGGGAAATACAAGTAACAAGCTTAATTTTTTTTTTCTTAACACTGATGAAACTCATTTGGGGCTGTGGAAATTGCTGCTAGCATTGAACCTCTTATTAACATTCAAGGTGTGCCAGTTTTGCACAAGCTGTGTCATATTCAGAGATAGATTGTTGGCACAAACTAAGGCACTTATTCTCTTGTTTTTTCACTTCTTTCAATAAGAACAGATAAATATACTATTTCTAGATAAGCAGTTGAAACTGTTCTGCTCATCTCTTTGGAATAGGTTTGTGGGGGTATCACTGTATGACATGCCGAAGAAATATACAAGGGAAATGCTCCCGCATACATTGAGATATAAATGAATGCCTATTTTAGAATACGTCATTTCTTAAAAGTAAAATAAGTTTTGGCTGGGCGCAGTGGCTCACGCCTGTAATCCCAGCACTTTGGAGGCCAAGGTGGGTGGATCACCTGAGGTCAAGAGTTCAAGACTAGCCTCGCCAAAACAGTGAAACCCCATCTCTACTAAAAATACAAAAATTAGCCAGACATGGTGGTGTGCGCCTGTAATCCCAGCTACTCAGAGGATGAGGCAGGAGAATTGCTTGAACCCAGGTGATGGAGGTTGCAGTGAGCTGAGATAGCACCATTGCACTCCAGCCTGGGCAACAGAGTGAGAGTCCATCTCCAAAAAAAAAACCAAAAAGTAAAATAAGTTTTTAAAGTCACTGATTCTGTTTCTAAGGAATTCTCAGCTGGGGCTTCTGAGTCAATTCTCGATGGTTAGAACTTATGAGTAGCAGAAAAAGAAAACTACTATGGATTTTCTCTACAATGATTTGAGACAGTGAATGGGGCTTTCTGGCAGGTTAGCAGTTAGGAACTCAGATGACCATAGACTTTTTTTTTTTTAGAGTGGGTCTCGGTCTCACTCTATCACCCAAGCTGGAGTGCCGTGGTGTAATCATAGCTCCCTGAAGCCTCGACCTGGGCTCAAGCAATCCACAGATTTTTGAAGTTCACCCTGGATTGTTGTGTTCTACACAGAGGTTCCACCTTTTGCTGCCTTTTATGGTTACTATATTATTATTTTGATGTTTCTTAACCAGCTGAATCACATTGTAGTATATGAAATATGTTTTGGCTCTTGTTTTAATGGTTATTTGCTAGCAGATTTCACAATGGCCCAATGAAACAACCCATTCATTGCTATTTGTTGCAATTCATGGTGACTAAACATGACTCCATGGTACGGCTCACCAAAGTCTTGGTTTATGTGTGACTTCCAGGGGAGAGAGATTGAGAACCATCTGTTAATCATTTTGTCCCTAAACTAGAGTTTTTCAATGGAGTACTTGGGCAGTTGAATTAGTATGTTTCTCGTAGGCTAGTGAGAAAAATAGCTTTTTTTTTTTTTGGCATTAATCAGACTGCTGACCCACATCTCTGGGAATACTTGTGACAAGATCCAGCCTGACAATATCACATATGATTTGCTTTTCTTCTTGGAAGGGACACATTGTGGCTTTTCTCTGGAATCTGTGAAGAAAATGCTCCTGAGCCTAGAAACTGGAACTGAGAAAGCTCTTCCTGATCATATAACAATAAGTCTTGTGAGGGTCAACCCTTGAGCCATGAGGGCAGCTTGAAGGAACATGGGGTTGAGAGTCAAGTCATCAGAACTTCTGTTTATTTTTCTGTGTAATATTTAGGGACTTGTTATGTTTAACTCTAGGCAAAGGTATAGATTTGGAGGTCTTTGATATAGATGATAGATAGATAGATAGATAGATAGATGAAATATATTTTAGCATACAAAGGAGGCTACAATACACACTCATGTACCTGTCACTCCAATGAATTCATCAAATGTAAACATTTTCCCCAAATCTGCTTCTTAGCTGTTATTCGTAAAGAAACAAATTGTACAGAAAAATTTGAAGGCCCCCGTTTTACCTTCCCCAGTCTCATTATTTTCTCTGCCACCCCAGAGAAAACAACTGTCTTGCATAGGTATTTATATAATTCTGTTTTATACTTTGCCACTTTTACTACATATATGAAGCATGCTTGTTACATACATGAACATAAAATATACATGTTTTACTGTAAGTGTGGAATGTATTCTAGAATTTGCTACTTTTACTACAAATATTTTATTTTCAGAATTTACCCTTGTTATTATATAACCCTAGTTCATTTTTTAATTGCCATATATTACTCCATCTTATGAAAATACCACAATTTATTTATTCCCATACTAATCAGAATTTGAATTGATACAATTTTTAATTAAAATTAATAATGCTGAAAGAAATGTTCTTTTTATACATTTCCCTCAGGGTGCATGTGATAGAGTTCTTCTCACATATATATCAGTGTACTTGCTGTGTCTTAGGATATGTACAATTGCATGTCTATTAGATATGCCAAATTGCTCTGCAAAGTACTCATACCAGTTTCCACTCCTACCAGCAATGAATGAGAACTTTGTTTCGCAGGTCATTGCCAACACTTGATTATTATCAGATTTAATTATTTGCCAGTTGATGGATGTGAATTGCTCTATCACTGTTTTAATATTCATTACTTTGATTATTTATAACATTAGGTATACTTTTCATAGGGCCATTTAAATTTCCTCTCATCTGAATTGCCTATTTCTCCTCTTCGTTGATTCTTCTATTATCTTTTCTTCTCTTTATTAATTTATAGAAATGTATGTGTGATCCTAATATGTGTCATAATATCTATGTTCATATTTCATATATAAATATAATGAAATACTTGTCTCTGTTATATATAGGTTGAAAAGTTTGCTCCCTATCTGCTGATTGCATTTTAATTTTGTTCATGGCATCTTTTAACACACGTGATTTTTAATTTTGATATAGTTAATATTTTTTATTACTCTAGATTTTGAGAATTGCTCAAGAAATGACTTTATTTTGCATAGTCATATGCTCTAATTTTTTTAATCTACTTACAATAGTTTTATGTTAAATATGTCAACCTTTGTTTCACCCGGAATTTTTTATATGTATGGTATAAAGCATAAATCAATTTTTTTTACTATTGAGAATGCTTTTATTATATTATATCTTATTCTATTCTATTTTTATTTTTCCATAAGTTATTGGGGTACAGGTGGTATTTGGTTACTTTAGTGGTGATTTGTGAGATTCTAGTGCACCCATCACCCAAGCAGTATACACTGCACCATATTTGTTTTCTTTTATCCCTCATCCCCCTCCCACCCTTCCCCCAAAGTCCCCAAATTCCATTGTATCATTCTTATGCCTTTGCATCCTCATAGCTTAGCCCCCACATATCAGTGAGAACATATCATGTTTGGTTTTCCATTCCTGAGTTACTTCACTTAGAATAATAGTCTCCAGTCTCATCCAAGTCACTGCCATTAATTCATTCCTTTCTATGGTTGAGTAGTATTCCATCATATATATATAGTATATGTATGTATATATATGTACGTATGTATATATGTATATATGTAAGTATATATGTACGTATGTATATATGTATGTATATATATGTACATATGTATATATGTATGTATATATATGTACATATGTATATATGTATGTATATATGTACATGTGTATATATGTATATATGTATATATGTACATGTGTATATGTGTATATATGTATATATGTACATGTGTATATGTGTATATATGTATATATGTACATGTGTATATGTGTATATATGTATGTATATATGTACATGTGTATATGTGTATATATGTATGTATATATGTACATGTGTATATGTGTATATATGTATGTATATATGTACATGTGTATATGTGTATATATGTATGTATATATGTACATGTGTATATGTGTATATATGTATGTATATATGTACATATGTATATGTGTATATATGTATGTATATATGTACATATGTATATGTGTATATATGTATGTATATATACTATAGTTTCTTTATCCACTCGTTGATTGATGAGCATTTGGGTTGGTTCCATGATTTTTCAATTGCAAATTGTGCTGCTATAAATGTGTGCAAGTATCTTTTTCTTATAATGACTTCTTTCCTCTGGGTAGATACCCAGTAGTGAGATTGCTGAATCAAATCGTAGTTCTACTTTTAGTTCTTTAAGGAATCTCCACGCTCTTTTCCATAGTGGCTGTACTAGTTTACATTCCCACCAGCAGTGTAGAAGTGTTCCCTGATCACCGCATTCATGCCAACATCTACTGTTTTATTATTATTTTTTTTATTATGGCCATCCTTGCAGGAGCAACATGGTATCACATTGTGGTTTTGATTGCATTTCCCTTATCATTAGTGATATTGAGCATTTTTTCACATATTTCTTGGCCATTTGTATATCTTCTTTTGAGAATTGCCTTAGCCCACTTTTTGATGAGATTGCTTGTTTTTTTATTTTCTTATTGATTTGTTTGAGTTTGTTATAGATTCCAGATATTAGTCCTTTTTCAGACGTATAGATTGTGAAGATTTTTCTCCTACTCTGTGGGTTGCCCATTTACTCTGCTGACTGTTCCTTTTGCTGTCCAAAAGCTCTTTAGTTTAAGTCCCAACTATTTATCTTTTGTTTTTATTTCATTTGCTTTTGCGTTCTTGGTCATGAAATCCTTGCCTAAGCCAATGTCTAGAAGAGTTTTTCCAATGTTATCTTCTAGTATTTTTATAGTTTCACGTTTTAGATTTAAGTCCTTAATCCATCCTGAGTAGATTTTTTGTATGAGGTAAGAGATGAGGATCCAGTTTTATTCTCGTATATGTGACTAGCCAATTATCCAAGCACCATTTGTTGAAAAGGTGTCCTTTCCCCACTTTATGTTTTTGTTTGCTTTGTCTAAAATCAGTTAGCTGTAATATTTGGATTTATTTCTGGGTTCAATATTCTGTTCCATTGGTCTATGTGCCTATTTTCATACCAATACCATGCTGTTTTGGTGACTATGGCCTTAGAGTATAGTTTGAAATCAGGCAGTGTGATTCCTCCAGATTTGTTCTTTTTCCTTATTTCTTGCTTTGGATATGCAGGCTCTTTTTTGGTTCCATAAGAATTTTAGAATTGTTTTTTCTAATTCTGTGAAGAATGATGGTGGTATTTTGAAGGAGAAGGTTTTGAATTTGTAGGTTGCTTTTGGCAGTGTGATCGTTTTCACAATATTGATTCTACCTATCCATGAGCATGGGATGTGTTTCCATTTGTTTGGTCATCTACGATTTCTTTCAGCAGTGTTTTGTAGTTTTCCTTGTCAAGGTCTTTCAACTCTTTTGTTAAGTATATTCCTAAGTATTTTATTTTTTATTTTTTTGGCAGCAATTGTAAAAGGGGTTGAGTTCTTGATTTGATTCTCTGCTTGGTCGCTGCTGGTGTATAGAAGAGCTACTGATTTGTGTACATTAATCTTGTATCTGGACATGTTGCTGAATTCTTTTATCAGTTCTGGGAACTTTCTGGAGGATTCTTCAGGGTTTTCAAGTTAAATGATCATATCATCAGCAGACAGTGACAGTTTGACTTCCTTTTTACCAATTTGGATGCTCTTTATTTCTTTCTCTCATCTGATTGCTCTGGCTAGGACTCCCAGTACTATGTTGAAGAGGAGTGGCGAGAGTGGGCATCCTTGTCCTGTCCCAGTTTCCAGAGGGAATGCTTTCAACTTTTCCCCATTCAGTATTATGTTGGTTGTGGGTTTGTCATAAATGGCTTTTATTACATTGAGGTATGCCCCTTGTATGCCAATTTTGCTGAGAGTTTTAATCTGAAAGGGATGCTGGATTTTGTCAAATGCTTTTTCTGCATCTTTTGAGATGATCATGTGATTTTTGTTTTTAATTCTGTTTATGTGGTGTATCACATTTATTGACTTGCATATGTTAAACCATCTCTGTGCCCCTGGTATGAAACCCACTTGGTCATGGTGGATTATCTTTTTGATATGTTGTCAGATTCAGTTAGCTAGTATTTTGTTAAAGAGTTTAGCATCTATGTTTATCAAGGATATCGGTCTGTAGTTTTCTTTTTTGGTTATGTCCTTTCCTGGTTTTGGTATTAGGGTGATGCTGGCTTCATAGAATGGATTAGGGAGGGTTCCCTCTTTCTCTATCTTGTGGAATAGCATCAAAAGGATTGGTATCAATTCTTCTTTGAATGTCTGGTCAAATTCTGCTGTGAATCCATCTGGTCCTGGGCTTTTTGTCGGTAAGCCTTTAATTACCATTTCCATCTCACTGCTTGCTATTGGTCTGTTCAGGTTATCTAATTTTTCCTGATTTAAGCTAGGAGAGTTGTATTTTTCTAGGAATTTATCCATCTCTTCTAGGTTTTCTAGTTTACGTGCACAAAGGTGTTCATAGTACTCTTGAATGATCTTTTATATTTCAGTGGTGTCAGTTGTAGTATCCCCCATTTTGTTTCTTAATGAGGTTATTTGGATTTTCTCTCTTCTATTCTTGGTTAATCTTACTAATGGTCTATTGATTTTATTTATCTTTTAAAATAACCAGCTTTTTGTTTTATTTATCATTTGTATTTTTTCTTTTAATTTTATTTAGTTCTTCTCTGTTCTTGGTTATGTCCTCTCTTCTCCTCGGTTTGGGTTTGGTTTGTCCTTGTTTCTCTAGTTCCTTGAGGTTTGACCTTAGAAAGTCACTTTGTGTTCTTTCAGTCTTTTTGACATAGGTGTTAGGGCTATGAACTTTCCTCTTAGCACTGCCTTTGCTGTATCCCAAAGGTTTTGATAGGTTGTGTCTTTACTGTTGTTCAGTTCAAAGAATTTTTTAACTTCCATCTTGACTTCATTTTTGACCCAATACTCATTCAGGAGTAACTTATTTAGTTTCTATGTATTTGCATGGTTTTGACGGTTCCTTCTGGAGTTGATTTCCAGGTTTATTCAATGTGGTCTGAGAGAGTACTTGATATAATTTCAATTTTCTTAAATTTATTGAGGCTTATTTTATGGCCTATCATATGGTCTATTCTTGGAGAAAGTTCCATGCACTGTTGAATAGAATGTGTATTCTGCAGTTGTTGGATGAAATGTTCTGTATATATTTGTTAAGTCCATTTGCTCCAAGTACAGTTTAAATCCATTGTTTCTTTGTTGTCTTTTTGTCTGGATGACCTGTCTAGTGCTGTCAGTGGAATATTGAAGTCCCCACTATTATTGTGTTGCTGTTTCTCTCATTTCTTAGGTCTATTAGTAATTGTTTTATAAATTTGGAACCTCCAGTGTTAGGCGCATATATGTTTAGGATTGTGATATTTTCCTGTTGCACAAGGCTTTTTACCATTATATAGTGTCCCTGTTTGTCTCTTTTAACTGCTGTTGCTTCAAAGTTTGTTTTGTCTGATACAAGAATTGCTACCCCTGCTGGCTTTTGGTGTCCATTTGCATGAAATGCCTTTTTCCACCCCTTTACTTTAAGTTTATGTGAGTTCTTATGTGTTAGGTGAGTCTCCTGAAGGCAGCAGATACTTGGTTGGTGAGTTCTTATCTATTCTGCTGTTCTGTATCTTTTAAGTGGAGCATTTAGGGCATTTACATTCAATGTCAGTATGAGATGTGTGGTACTGTTGCATTCATCATGCTGTTTGCTGCCTGTGTACCTTGGTTTTTTGTTTTTGGTGTTTGGTTTTTAACTTGTATTTTTGTTTATAAGTCCTATGTGATTTAGGCTTTAAAGAGGTTCTGTTTTAATGTTTCCAGGATTTGTTTCAAGATTTAGAGCTCCTTTTAGCAGCTCTTGTAGTGCTGGCTTGGCAGGGGCCAATTCTCTCAGCATTTGTTCGTCTGAAAATGACTGTATCTTTCCTTCATATATGATGCTTAGCTTGCTGGATAGAAAATTTTGGACTAATAATTGTTTTGTTTGAGGAGGCTGAAGATAGGGGCCCAATCTTATCTAGCTTGCAGGGTTTCTGATGAGAAATCTGCTGCTAATCTGATAGATTTTCCTTTATAGGTTACCCAGTGCTTTTGCCTCACAGCTCTTAGAATTCTTTCTTTTGTCTTAACTTTAGATAACCTGGTAACAATGTGCCTAGGTGATGATTTCTTTGCGATGAATTTCCCAGGTGTTCTTTGTGCTTCTTATATTTAGATATCTAGGTCTCTAGCAAGGCTGGGGAAGTTTTCCTCAATTATTCCCTCAAATATGTTTTCCCAAACTTTTAGATTTCTCTTCTTCCTCAGGAACACCAATTATTCTTAGGTTTGGTCGTTTAACATAATCCCAGACTTCTTGGAACCTTTGTTCATATTTTCTTATTTTTTTCTTTGTCTTTGTTGAATTGGGTTAATTCAAAGACCTTGTCTTCAAGTTCTGCATTTCTTTCTTCTACTTGTTCAATTTTATTGCTGAGACTTTCCAGAGCGTTTTGCATTTCTATAAGCTTGTCCAATGTTTCCTGAAGTTTTGATTTTTTTTCTTTATGCTACCTATTTCCTTAAATTTTTCTCCTTTCCCTGCTTGTATCATTTCGTTGTATCAGATTTCCTTGCGTTGGGCTTCACCTTTCTCTAGTGCCTCCCTGATTAGCTTAATAACTAACCTCCTGAATTCTTTCTCAGGTAAATCAGAGATTTTTTTCTTGGTTTGGATCCATTGCTAGTGGACTAGTATTACTTTTGGGGGGTGTTAAAGAGCCTTGCTTTGTCATATTACCAGAGTTTGTTTTCTGGTTCCTTCTCATTTGGAAGCTCTGTCAGAGGGAAGGTCCAGTGCTGAAGGCTGTTGTTCAGATTCTTTTGTCCCTTAATGTAGTACTCTCCCTATTTTCCTATGGATGTGGTTTCCTGTGAGCTGAGCTGAAGTGATTGTTATCTCTCTTCTGGGTCTAGCCACACAACCAGTCTACCTGGCTCTGAGCTGGTACTGAGGGTTGTCTCCACAGAGTCCTGTGATGTGAACCATCTATGGGTCTCTCAGCCATGGATACCAGCACAGTATTTGGGGTGTCTCCTGCATCCTGCAGGAGCAGTCCACTTCCTTCTGTGGGTCCTCTCGGGATTCCTGTTTCATTCTTGAAGTCTAGATCTATTTTTTGACAGTCTAATCCTAACACCATTTACTGAGGAACACTCTTTTTTTCATTGTTCTGTAATGCCTCCTCTGTTGTAAATTAAGATCCCATAAATGCCTTGGTATTTGCTAGACTTTCTTTTTCTTCTGTTGTTTTAAAATTTTCTCTCCCAACAAGATAAAATATTGTGTAAATATTATATGTTTATACTAAGCATTTTTATCTTGTACTGAATAATAGTGAGAATGCTTCAAAATTTCACTGTTTTTGCTATTAAGTATGATATTAAGTACGCTATTAAGTACTGTATAGGTTTTTGGCTGACTTATTTTTGTCAGGTTAAGAAAACTGCTCTCTATTTCTAGTTTATTAAGACAGTTTATCACAAGTATTAGCCTATAAATAATGGTTTTTCTGCACATTCGAATAATCATTTGATTCCCACTTTTAAATTATTAATGCTGTAGATTATATTGATAGATCTGCCTGATATTAAACTATCCTTGCATTCTTGATCTAAATCTTACTTGAATGGGATGTGTTACTGTATTCTCTCTCTCTCTCTCTCTCTCTCTCTCTCTCTCTCTGTATCTCTCTTCCTCTCTTCATCTCTCTTCTGCAACATCTTAAAGCATATTTTGGTAAATTTGCTTTTTATAGTTATTGATTTTCAGAAATATTTCTTTGAGAAGCTAAAAATGCAAAGGTTTTATTTCACCTTGTTTCAAATATAGTAATTATCTAGGAATAAGAATTGTCCATTTTCTACCTATTGAGAATCAAAACATTCACAGAACATAAACCTACTTGTTTCAAATATGGTAGTTATCTAGGAATAAGGATTGTCCATTTTCTACATATTGAGAAAAAAACATTCAAAGAACATAAGCCTAAAACCTCTCTTTCTTTTGTTTCTAACCTACGGGAAGCCTGTCACTTTTCTAAAAGTTATGATCAGGCTGAGCTTCACTCCCCCTTCCTGGGCTCTCTGGTAGAATATGCCCTCCCAAGTCCTCCCTAGTGTGAGTCCGCCCCTGTCCCCACCCATCCCCTCTATCCACCACCGCCCCCGCTCTCAGGCTGCCCTGCAGTTGTTTCTTAATGCAGCAGAAGGCTGCAACAACCACAAACTACATTGCCCATGATCAACCCATGCCCATGTCCTTCTGCACCCCCCAGTCAGACTACCCACTCCCACAACAACCAATATCAGTGTTCCCATATTTCATGCATTATCTATCCTTCTCTCAAATAAAGCAGATCTAGCACATTTTAATTATCCTTTGTGACAGTCTCTAGTATTTTCCTTGTTTTTTTTTTTTTGTCTAGAATTTACTTTCATCTTCTGATTCACAGGAAATTTGTTCCATATTGTTTTTTTACAAGCAATATCTAGTTGAATTACCCACCATGTTTTACTTTTTTCCTCACCATTAGTTCATTCACCTAATAAATTCTTATTGCATGCCTTGTGTTTTCCTGCTATTGTACATGCCTGGAAATATAGGAGTCAACCAAATCGTCTCTGAGCTCATGTAGTTGACAATCTAGTTAGAGAACAGAGATGATAAACAAGTAAATATATATCAAAAATAATTGCCATGGAGAAAAATTAAGTAGTATAAGGATTATTATTTATCTAGGTTGTCAGGCAAGAGCTTACAGATGGGTGACATTTGAATGCATACTTGAAAGAAGTCTGGGAGAAAAGTATCCCAGGTAGAGGGAATAGCATATACTATTTGGGATCTTCAAGGAACATCAAAGAGGCCAGTTTGTTGGAGCAGGATGAGCAAGAAGAACGTAGTGGTAAATGGAGGCAGAGATAGTGGGTGAGAGTGGGGTTGGGAAAAAATCAGATAGGACTTTCAGACCACTGTAAATACTTGGTCATTTACTCTAAGTGAGATAGGATACCATGACAGTGTCCTGGAAAAAAAAAAGGGACATGTTCTTATTTTAGTGAGACCAATTTGGGTGTTGGGAATAAGGAGATTCAAAAGCAAAAGCAGGTAGGCCATTAAGAAACTGTTATAATAATCCAGATAAATGTTGGTGCCTTGGTTAAGGGAGATAAAGATGGAGATGGTAAGAAGTGATCGCATTCTGGATGTAATTTGAAGGCATGTCTGAGAGGATTAGTTGATGGAGTGTTACTTATGGGGTATCAGTGAAAGAATAGAGGAAAGGCCTGAGAATCTGGAAAGATGAAGGTGATATTTACTGAAATGGCCTACACTCTTGAATGAATAGATTAGGAAGTAAAATTGAAAGTCTGGTTATGGGTTTTATAAGTTTGAGACGCCTATAAAACATTCAAAGAAATTATTAAATAGTGAACTGGATATATGAGCCTGTAGTTCAAGAAAGAGGTCTGGATTAAAGTTATGATTTGGACAACATCATCATATATGTGGCATTAGTGTCATGATTCCAAATGAGATAATCCAGGGAATAACTATAGAGAAAAGAGGAGAGGAGGATAATTTCTGGTGATATTTCAATGCTAAGTGGTTGGGAAAATGAAGAGAACACAGTGAAGTTGACCAGGATGAAGTACTTACTGAGGTGGAAGAATCAATGGAGAAGGGTGTTCAAGATACAAAATTAAGACAGTGTGTCAGAGAAGTGGGGAGTGATCCATTGTGGCAAGTGTTATTCATTGGTTAAATAAGATGATTAAGAATTTGCCACAATGTGGAAGTCATTGGTGACTAGAGCAAAAGCTATTCCATTGATGTAGTGGAGATTAAAGCCTGATTTCAATAAGTTTAAGAAATTGGGCAAGGAGGAATTAAAGAAAGGAGAATAAGACAATTTCTTCAAGAAGTTTTGATTTAGAGGGGAGCAGAGAAATGGGTCAGTAACTTCATGAGCAGTAACTGAAATAGGAGAAATTATCCTTTTTCTAAAAGGAGATAATTTTAGTGCACACTTAAGGTGATTCTTATCTTCCTGCAAAAATAGCTCCTTTAGGTATTTTTCAAAATTTTATACATGTATATTTCTATTCCAATCATTTTTGGGGTACAAGTGATTTTTGGTTACAAGGTTGAATTGTATGGTGGTAGTGAAGTCTGAGATTTTAGTTCATCCATCACCCAAGTAATGTACATTGCACCCAATATACACCTTTTTTTATCCCTCAGCCACCCCTACCCCCTCCTCAGTCTCCAGTGTCCATTATATCACTCTGTATGCCTTTGCATACCCATAGCTTACCTCCCACTTACAAGCAAGAACTTCATGGTATTTGGTTTTCCATTCCTGAGTTACTTCTTTTAGAATAGTGGCCTCCAGCTCCATCCAAGTTGCTGCAAAAGACATTATTTCCTTCTTTTTTATGGCTGAGTAGTATTCCATGGTGTGTATATATCACATTTTATTTATCCACTCATTGTTTGATGGGCATTTAAGTTGTTTCTACATCTTTGCAATTGTGAGCTGTGCTGTGATAAACATACATGAGCAGGTATCTTTTTGATATAATGACTTATTTTCCTTTAGGTCGATTCCCAGTAGTGAGATTGCTGGATTGAATGGTAGATCTACTTTTAGTTCTTTGAGGAATTTCCATATTGTTTTCCATGGAGGTTGTACTAATTGACATCACTACCAGCAGTGTATAAGTAATCCTTTTTCACTACCTCTACACCAGCATTTATTGTTTGTTTTTGGGATTTTTTTGTTTTTGTCTTTTTATAATGGCCATTCTGGCTAGGAAAAGGTGGCATATCATTATGGTTTTAATTTGCATTTCCCTCCTTTAGGTATTATTTAATGAGAGTCTTTTGGTGGTAAAGTATCTTAGTTTTCATGTGTGCTCACACACACATACACAGAGTCTTTAGTGACAGGCTAGTTGGGTATCAAATTCTGAATTGATGTTTTTTTCTCTAATACTTTTAAAGTTTATTTGTGTTCTGGCATCTGTTGTTACTAAATAAAAATCTTCCACCAGTCCATTTGAGTTCATTAGCAGGTAATCTGCCTCTTATTTTAAGCACTTTTAAAGATTTTTCTGTATCTTGATGCCATATGATAGATCTACCTTTTATTATACTTTACTCAGTAATTACTGTGGGCTTTTAATCTGCAAACTCAATCAATTATTCGATTTTATAAAATTATCAGTAATAACCTTTTCTATAACTGATTATTTGCAGTTGAATTAAATCCTCTCTTTCTGGAATTCCAATCATATGTGTGTTGGAGCTTCTCAATCTGCCCTCCAAGGCTCGTAACTGCTCTTTTAAATTTTTCAGTACTACTCTCAATTTTTTTTTTAAAAAAACAACCTAATATTGCAGTGTTTGGCACAGAAGAAGTTCAAAGTACAACTTTGCACTGCCACGTTGACCAGCTATTCTGGCACTGGTTATTCTTTAAAGTTATTTTTAAGGTTAACGTACCTTATCAGGCAGCAGGTCTCAAAACCTAGGGAAGCTTAAAAGCCTAAAGGCAGCCTGGCAAAAATCAAGCTGATTAAAATGCTCTTTCCCATTTTCTTGTCCTCCTATGCCCTCATCCCTAAAGAATAGTGAGAGGGCCTTCCTTAAAAAGATATGTATAAAATAGCAGAAAGAAAAAGGGGATCCAGCAAGCGTGAGAAGACATACTTAGATAATTCACAGTAAATGTTCCAAATAATATTCAGCCTCACTAATTCTCAAATAAATGTAAAACAATGGCAGATCATTTTTATCCATTAAATTAGTGAAAATAGGAGGAAAAGAACATTTTGCTGACAATTGTTAACAGTGAAACTGAAATTCTCTTCTTGTCTAGTTTGAATCTAAATTAGGACAGTTTGAAAGCAATTGGGTGATATCTATGAAAAATCTCATAAACATTCTACCCTTCCATGTAGCAACATTGCTTCTGTGAATCAACCATTAGGCAAATAAATGGAAATAACAAACCAAATTTCCCCCCACCTCCCAAGAGATGTTTATTGTAACATTACTGATAATATTGAAAAACTAGAAGCGATCTATATCAGTGATCCACCCTTGTTTTGACTGTCACTCACCGTAAGAAAATATTAGGTATACAAAGTAACCCAACAGACACACCCATGCATCAAAAAGTTCCATATAAGGAAACCGTTCAATCCATTCCATTTATTTAAACAAGCCAATGAACAAAGCTGGCTTTGATCCACTAAATTGATCCTACAACCTAAGAGTAGGTTATGACTCAGTTTGAAAAGCACCAATCTGAATGTCCTATAAAAGATATATGATGGAATATGAATTAAATTTGATATTCACAATTTTTTACTTTTTTTTGTTTGAGGGTAGTTGGAGGGGTACTATGTTTCTTCAGCCAGCAAGGAAGATAATGTTTCTAGATAACTCCATATAATGGAGATTTACTGTAATGATACCAGATCTGTTCTACTATGCCCAGCCATTCTTATGTATCTGTCTCTCAATGCATCATGGGTCCTTTATGGATTCTTTTGTGATGTCCTCAAGCTTCCTGTCCACTCCCTAGCAACTTGCCCAAACTGATAGAACCGGCCTGAATCAGTCAACATCTGATTTCAAGCATTTTCTCTTGGTCAGCCTTTGGTATTAGGACTTTATTCTCAATCTAATCAATTAATATTAGCTGAGCTAGGTTGATTTCATTTGAATCAACAAAGAATTGCTAAAAGCTGCATTTCCTAGAAAATGTGGCAATATAATTGGCAGGTACTTGAGAGTCTTTAATGTTAAATGGAAAAAAAATAAAAAATAATAAGAGACAACTTTTTATACGGAGCATGTTTTCGGTTTTCTTTAGATATTTTGTTAGAGACAAAAAAGGAATCCAGAATTTATTTTATACTACATTAGTACTTAACAGATTTCTACATAAGCAAGTATTATGCATTTGTAATCAGAAAAAAATATCAAAATTAGCTCTGTGGAAAATGATCATCTTGCAAGCAAGCATCATGTACCCCTACTTTTGATTTAGCTCATCTTCTTGATGTAAATATGAAGTGTCTGCGCTTGAAATTCTGTTTGAAGTGGAAATCTTCATGTTTGTCTTACAAATACCATCTCAGAGTACATTGCTCAGTATAAAACTTGTTTTGGGGGGTTGGGTACAAAAACCTGCAAAGATATAGTCCAGGCTCCTTTTCCCAAAGTCCTTCACTTTCCTACTCTTAGTATAACCATTATTTTGTAAAATTTAATAAGGCCCCTAATAACTTGGGGTTTGGGAATTTGATTTGAGGTAACATGCCTCAGAGTATCACCTATTTTTTATTAAACCAACAAATTTCTATCTGACAAAGATGTGCATTTATGTGGGCCTTAATAATTCCCCCAAATAAAACTATTCGTAAGTTCTAACAGTTCCAAATACTTTTGGTTTCAGCACACTAATAGGATTTATAGCTGTCTTAGATAAGGAGCAGTATCTTCTAAAGCTCATGAAAAAGCCATATCAGAATGCCATGTGTTCAGGTATATTTCCTTTTCTTTATGGTATCAAGAATAAAATCTCAGCTTATGTTTTCACTCAAGTGTTGTGTGATTACTTTTTCCCATTACTCTTTCGATTGAGCCTGAAAAATGAGGTGAAAAAATCTTTCTCTTTCAAGGATGAACTAGAAGGATCTAGGCTGGCTGGTCACCAAACCACTGACTAGTTGGCCCTTTGTCTTTTTATAACCCCTCATTGTCTGGGATCCAACATCATAGTGAGTCTCAGACATGTTCCACAAGTCTAGATAGCCCTCATCCATGTGTTCAGTGGTCCAGCCCATCAGCATCCAAGCCAGCAGGGTGAGGAGGGGAAGTGTAGGGGATGCTCATTGCCCTGAAGGATGCATATGCCACTTCCATTCAGGTCCTGCTTGCCAGAACATAGTCATGTGACCACAGTTAGCTGCAAGGTTGGCTGAGAAATGCCTTTCACTGGGTTCTATTACTAACTGAAAATGGGAAGAGTGAAAGTTGGGGATAACTAGTAAATATTAGTTAGTCCAAGTCATGGATTGTGGTATTAATTCCATGTGCTAGGAAGGTCATTTAAATGTTTTATGCAGAAGGATGCCATGATGATAATTATGTTTCAAAGCATATTTGTGTGTGAGAGAGAGAGACTGAAAGAGAAAGTGAGATAAATGGATTGGAGAGAATTTGTCTGAGTGTTAAGAGGCCATTCTCAAACCCAAGTGGGAAATGGTGGCTAGTAACAGTAGTGAGGATAAAGGGGGATGGAATGGACTCAAAAGATACAGAAGAGATAACATCAAAAGATGAAACAGGGGCAGAGGAGGAAGAAAAGACATCCAGATAACTCCTAGGTTTCTGATTTATACTGCAAATTCTGGGGATCAGGTGTTTATGGACCACTGAGTTTAGTTTTAGAAACGTGATTTAGAGGTATTTGTCAGATAGGTGGTTTCTACACATTCAAAATAAGATTTCAAAACATATTAGCCACAATTCACAATCAGCAAAATTCTCAAATCTAGTCATTGTCAACTAAACTATTAAAATGAATTTTCCCCTCTAAGTGTTTCTCATCTTAAAGGGTTTGTATGTATTACATGTCACAGTATGGTTTATTGCATATAAACATGGGAAAGCAAGCCAGGCAGAAGGAGTCTTGTAACCAGCTAAAGGCCCAGCTAATTCTTGAAGCAGTCATAAATCATGAACGGTCTTCTTGTGTTAATAGTGTGGACAGGACTGTTGGTCACACACAGGAAAATGAGTCACACAGTCTTGTGTGTACAGCAACTCACTCCACACTCAATGATGGGAATGGTCATGATTGTTCTAACTGTGTGAGCAGCTACAAGAATTATGGCAAAGCTCCAGAGCTAGAAAGCTGGTTTTTTTTTTATGTCACCCGAGTATGTAATTCACTAAATGTTTAGTATTTTATACCTTTTAGTTGACTTGTGAGCCCTTTCTAAAGGAGATCTATTTCCCTCTACTAGAAGGTAATCAGAAAAACCCTAAACTACGTTTTCTAAATGCTGTGTTCTTCTGCCCAATTGACCAAAATATACTTAGTTGATTAGGACTTTGAAGGGATGAGATGAGGGGACTAAATTAAGATGCAGGAATTTCAGTTTTCTAGGGGTTTTCTGTAAACTACTTTATACTGCTGACAAATGGTTAAATGTTTCCAATGAAACTAAGTATGCTAGGATTTCTAATGAGCAATGAAATTTTAGAATTCATTTACTCATTAATTTCTTCATTTACAAGATGTACAATGTGCTATCTTCTGGGCATTTGGGGTACTTTAATGAGGTAGCAGTGAGTACCACAAATGGTCACTTCTGCCTTTGTTCTTATACTCCTTAGAGAAGGGAAAGGACCAGATTCAGATACCCTATCACTGCTTTCTACCCATCCAGATCAGAGCCTTTGCTGAGTTCTAACGCTTAGCCCTCTTCTCAGCTGATTTGGCTGCCTCCATTGTAATAGGCCTCATGAGACTCCAGCCTAGGCCTGGCCTTCAGTTCAGCAGGCAGAGCCCAGAGATGTACTGGGCAAAGGTCAGGGGATTTATTATATGAGACAATGGTCTGATGTGATTTAATTTACTCCTCTGGTACCAGATATGTGTGTGTGTGCATGAGAGAGAGAGATTGAGAATGACTGATTTGGGAGGGATTTTGTGAAGGTTTATATATCAAAGCAGAAAGACCAAGAATTTAGAGATTAATACATGCCAAGTGGTAACCAAGAAACTTCTGTGGGATCCCACCTCCAACCCCTCCCTCTCTGTCAGATTTTAACCAAATCAGTGTGATGTGATCTGCTTGCATATATGAGTGAAAGAAAAAGGAAATTTAAAAAGTTCTTGATATAAAGCCTGGAGGAAACAATACGAAAATCCAGCCTCTATTTCAGCAATATCTGCCGGACTATTGGTTAGTATTCCCTTACTGTTACTTATTGTTTGATTAAAAGGCTGATAGTCAGGGTTTTTTTTTTCTTACTTTTGCATTTTTTAGATATAAATCTTTAATATATGGCTGTGGCCAGATGTTTTCCTTTCTCCTCCCACTTCGTTCTTCCCTCTTCTGGGTTAATTTCTCATTGTTCTCTCTTCCCCTTACTTCTCTGCCCTTTTCCTTTCTACTCTAAGCGAAACTTCTTTTTTTCTGTGCTGGAGTTTATAAAGTATTCTTTTAGGCAAAGAAAGCCTTTGGCTGCCTTCCTCCTTGTCTGGTCACCATCAAGATATAATTTTGGTTTTCAAAGGTTGTTCTCTGAAGGAAGGACTAGTTTTCTGAGCATTTAGAGAGCAGATACATTTTGAGAAAGTCAACAGAGATAGTAATTTGCACTCAGGAAATACTTAAGGGTTTTAATTCTGTTCCATGTGTTACATTTCAACAGTTTACATTAAGAAAAGTATTGTAAAGAGAAGTGATACCACAATTGCATGTTTATTTTGCATCTTTAGTCTGAGAGATGGTCAGTACTTTGAAGGAAAGAGAAATAGGGCTTTGTCTCCTTCTGCTTCTTGCTATACCTCTTTTCAGATTAACTCTGATGCTTTGGGTTTCTTACTGCATGCCTGATTAAAACCCATCCCATAATGCCTGATGTGATGGGAACCACCACTTATTCTATCTCAATGGAAAGTATTCACATGAGCTTTCAACAGAAGGACATTCTCCCACCTCTTCCAAACACCTCTTTGAAAACCGTGTCCATGGGCCTTTATTCATGTCTTCAACAATTTGTTTAAAACTGGTTGTGCTAGGTAGTGGGCAATATAAAGATGAGCCACAGGAGAGAGATGACAATATCACTGATTCCTTATAGTGCTGTAATAAGGGTTTATTAAGGCTGTGATAGAAGTAGAGAGGAGAGGCACCTGACTTCACTTGGGAGTGGGGTTGTTGCTAAGGTGTTTCTAAGTTGAAATGTCCTTGAGCTGAGGTTTAGGGGAATGAGTAGCAAAGATGGATTAAGTGAGAAGAGTATAGGAGGCAGCAGGGCCAGAGGTGTGAATAGCCCAGAACCTTCTGAGAAGATTCCTTTGTGGACGGAAGAAAGGGGAGGTTTGTGGAAATGGTGGAAGATAAGGTAGGAAGAGGCCACATCAGATCACACATGGCTGGATGTACCTCTCTAAAAGTACTGGGGGGTTTGAAACAGAGGCTATAAATTGGCAGTTTAAGAAAATCACTGTGGTGTCAGTGTGAAGAATACATTTTTGCAAGATTCTAACGAGGATTATTTTCAGAAATTTAGGCCCAATTTAGTCCAGATGTCAGGGCTAGTTTGGAGTAAATTTCTTTCTTTAATTACTCCAGGGCTCTTGTATTGCTTCAAAGAAAGTAGAAAGTGGAACTCACCCTCATTCAGGGAGGGTGGGCAAGCGACCAGCCAGCTGGGGAAGGCCAAAGAGCCAGGTCACCTTGTGCCCGCACTTGTTATGATTTGTTTGTATTGTCTGCCTGATGATCAATGATATTAGCTATGACAGCACGTATGAGCCTGGGGTAAGTGTGTCTTCTTGCTACTTGAAGTGCTTCTTGAAAATAGTGGCAGGCTGAAGACAACAAGGAATACTGAAAAAGCCCATTGGACTGGGGACAGGAGACCTGGTGCTGCTCCCAGCTTGGCCGGCACCAGCTCCGGGGGCTTAGACACATTACTTCACCTCTCTGGGCTTAACTTACCCCATTTGTAAAATGCAACCTTTAGACTAACACTGTTCTCGGGGCCATGTTCAGCCTCTGGCTTCTGTCATTGTGATCCTGCCTCCCCAAGGTTCCCCTGGGCCCCATCACTACTAACCCTAGGCTTCTAGACATTCTGATTCATAGAGAAATAGGAAAGCCCATTTATCTTAAGTTAATGTCAGCCAGAAGTACAGTTGTGTCTTAAGGAATCTAATCTAGTGAACATGGAAAATAATTTTCTAAGGAAAAAAATTGTGATTGGTGTTCTGTCCTGAACTGATGGCAAAAGGGAAGCAGAACCACTTCACACATCTCAATCTCTCTGTTTTTTCCTTTTTATCCTCTTGAATTTTTCTGCCTGTTTGTCTTTCAAAAGTAGAGAGGAGTTTGAATGGGGATGCTGAGGAGACTGAGGGTAGCCACCGATGGGGGAAGCTGGACTGTGGGAAGCCGAGTTCTGCCACCTGACAAAGGGGCACGTGTTTAGTGTTTATTTGGCATAGCAGCTGTTCAGGTGGAGCCCAGGCAGAATTTTGATGTCGTTGGGACCTTCCATACCTTTCTGAAATTCTCTTGCACCAACACCCGGCACCCTCAGGTTATGTTCTGCTGCCCAAAGCCTGAGGCTCAACTTCTAGCCCTCTCTTTTCTCTTTTACCGGAACTAACTTCTAAAAATCCAGAAATGACAAGTAGATGGTGGTCTGGATGTTCCTGAGGTGGAAAGAGAACCTCTAGTGCCTCTGGCTGACATTATATCCACTGACAGATCCCCTCCCGCACGCATACATGTCACATGTTTCTGCTCATTTATCAAATACAGCCCATGCTTTGGTGATTGAGAGCAGAGTGGGGATTATAAGTTGATGCAGTAGGCCTGTGTCTTGCCCTTAGAAGTTTACAAACAGCAACACAGGCACCAAGAGCTCATCTGTTACACCCACAGGGATTTATCATCTTGTGACTTGGATATTGTGGAATGTTTTATAGTAAAGGTTAAAAAAAAACAATGTAGGCACAGAGGAGTTAACAGCTAAGTTGCGGTGGGGAGTCTGGAAGGCTTCATGGACGTGGTGATATTTGAACGTGACTTTGAAGGGTAGGTAGAGTCCTGATTTGTCTAACAGTAGCCTTGAAAGTAAAGGAAACTTGACCATGAAGAAGGCTGTTGAAAGTCTGGAGAAAAGAGAAGGTAGGAGACTAAGACTCTAGGAGAAGGTACTACGTTCCAGGGAGAATGCAGAGGTAGAATCCTCCCTCATGGTGACAAGTTAAATGTGAGAAGGGATGGAGTAACCAACTGGGTGAACCCTGATCTCATTAAGCAAAATAAGAAATAGAAGAAATGAATCTGCATGCTCATAATGTAGGGATCAGAAGCAGGTAGGAAATGCTGACTTTATTTTAGACAGAGGTTATTTTAGGTACCTGTGGACATCCAGGTGTATTATTTCCCTATGTCTGAAGCACATGTCCTTTGGTTCTTTAGCATTTTGATGATGATGCTCCATGTAAACTGCCCCCTAGGATTTTCTATAAGTTTTCTTCCTCATTTGAGAGTAAAGTTTTAACTGGTAACATGATCACAAGTGGTTGAAAAGTTAAAATGTTATTCATATAGCTTTCCAATGAGGGGAGCATGAATGGTTTGGTACTGTTTTACAAGATGTGAAAACTGATTTCACTTAAGTAGACTGTAACATAAAGTTTATGTGTCTGTCCCTTTGGCTTCCTGGTAGGTGGACAGTCTCTCTGAATCAATAGTGGCTCAGGCTTCTGATTTCAAACCTCTTTGGCCAGCCAACTGGTTTAGGAGAAACATGGCCAGGTCATTGAATTATAATTTCCTGAGTTATGTTGTGGTGGTCCCGTAGGACAGTAAACATAAGCCTCCTGGGAACTGAACTTTTAATTCAGGAGGACTGAAAACAAGCTCTTCTGAGCCAAGATTTGCAAGGACATGTTACAAAGATAGACTGGCCTTCCTGCTTCCACACCATTTTTTCCTCCATAAATACATGCTCCTTTTCCGTATTTTTCTTCTACCCTAGTCTGTTGTAGATTTTGACCTTGGCTGTTACTTTCCTACCAACACATTGCCTATTTTTAAGTTTCCTGGTTTGACCTGATGTTAAGATGGAAAGCAAAGCTAGCAAACTGATGGAGATAGGGCCTTCCAGCCTTTCTAACTTTCCCTGGGATCATCTTATGTTGATTTACATGTTCAAAAAATTTTTAAAAATAAATAAATTGTATCAGTTGATCCAGAAGTGATTAGACTCTAGGGGCCTGATTTATCTTAGCCAAACTTAAGAGATGAGCCAATACACCAAAATGCCAATATATTTGTTTGTTCTCTATGGCACTGTCAAGCAATTTCATTTCATCTGATTACTGTGTTCATTTTCCTGAAAGATAGTGAACCCAGAAAACAAGAATCAGAAGGTCATTTGACAACTGTGGAGTTGGAATAGAGGGAACTGAATGACCCTCTATTGGGTCATGAGGGAGAGCATCATCAAGCTTTGAGAAATTATTGCACCTGTCTCTGTGTTGGGACATTTTTTTGGTCCCAGGTAGTTGGAAGAGACAAAGCTGTAAATTATTTACTAGTTTTTCAACATTTCCTTATCACTTATCGTTAACTGATGGAACTAAGTTTTCTCTAAAGTCCCTTATGAATAAAATTGCTAGACATTGCAAAAATGCCCCTCTCAATATTGACATGCTTCAGTGGTGATTATCTTCCTGATTAATGTTTACAGTCAATCTCAAGCTCTATAATGGACTCTTAAAGGCTGTAGTAGTTTTCTATTGCTTCCATAACATATTACCACAAACTTAGTGGCTTAAACAATACCCATTTATTGTCCCACAGTTCCATATGTGAGAAGTCTGGGCACACCATGGCCCAACTGGGCTCTTGCTTAGAGTTTGCAAGGCAGAAATCAGTGTTGTTAGGGCCTCTAGGGATGAATTTTCCTCCAAGCTCATTCCAGTTGTTTTCATGAACTGAGTTCCTTGTCATTGTTGGACCATGTTCCCCATTTCCTTGCTGGCTGTCAGCTGGGAGCCAGTTTTTGCTCCTAGAGGCTATCTGCATTGCATCTCATGGTTTCTGTGTGCCCCCTTCCAGCAACAAGATTCTATGTACCCCCTTCCAGCAACAATATTCTATGTACCCTCTTCCAGCAACAGAAGATCAAGTCCTTTTCAAGTTTCTAGTCTCTCTGACTTCCCCTTCTGCCATATCTCATTCTGCTTTTACAGGCTCAGGTGATTACATCGGTTTGTGCAGATAATCCAAGATAATCTCCCTGTTTTAAAGCCAGTGGGTTAGCCATCTTAATTACATCTGCAAAATTCCTTCACAGCAGTACCTAGATTAGTGTTTGAATAACCCAGGATGGTAATCTTGCGGGGGATCTTTTAGCATTCCATCTACCCAGTCTCATCAGCAACACTTTGAAATATTGTCGTTGAGTGATCATTTCTGTGGCCGGCTGATTTCATCTATACAAGTGTATTCTTTTTATTTGCCATTTTATAGGATAATATTTTCTGATCTTAATTCCATATTTCAGTATTAAAATTACTTGACATAGATCCATAAATCATCATCTGTTGCAAAAAAGCACATTAATTGATTGGTTGAATGGGGAGATTGAGATATTTCTTTTCTCTTCTTCTGCTCAGGTGGGGGCAACTTTTGGGGGCAGATGAGTTCTGTTGCCACAAAAGTTATATAGCACATTTGGTTTGCACTGAATCAGCGATTCTCAATCCTGGCCATGCTTTAGAATTATACAAGAAAAATCTTCAAGTATCAATACTCAGTCCCTATCCTACTGATCCAATTCATCTATGATAAAGCCAGAGCATTGATTTTTAAGTTCTGCAAGTGATTCTAATATACAGCCAAGGCTAAGAACTACTGATATGTTCCAAACACTCTATTTTGGAGATAAAGAAGTTGAGGCTGAGGATGAGAACTTAGTCACATAAAGTTCCATAACTAGTAACAGACAGAAGTTCTGTCCTACAAAAAAAAAAAAATTTGATGCTTTAATTGTATGTAGAGTTCAGTGCTCAGTAATTATGTACAAAGTGAGTGTTGAGACGATCTGGAACACCCTACTTCTTGCTTTAGTAGGAAGACTATTTCTTTCTACTACTTTAAAAAATTATCAGATCTTGCAAAATAACTGTATGAAGGTCTCTTCTCAGCAGCTTTGGCCTGCCTTGTGAGTAATAATAAACACAGATCTATTCTACACTAACTAGGGAGCTGGCCGCTTGGACTTCTACTACCTCTCTGTGTTCCAGAGCTTCATGGTACAATGCAGTAGCCACTAGCCACATGTAGCTATTAAACACTTGAAATGGAACTA
The DNA here is from genome assembly GCF_000001405.40 of Homo sapiens. Lineage (NCBI taxonomy): Eukaryota > Metazoa > Chordata > Mammalia > Primates > Hominidae > Homo > Homo sapiens. The sequence goes on from NC_000005.10 coordinate 42,554,690, forward strand.
GTTTCAACTGAGATGTATGTGAGTGTAAAAGGCATACTAGAATCAAAGATCCAGTATGAGAAAAAAGGTGCAAAATATCTCATTAATACTTACATTGATTACATGATGAAATAATATTTGAATATATTGAGTTAAATAAGATACATTATTAAAATTAATATATCAATTTTTAACTTTTTTAATGCAGTTGCTAGAGAATTTACAACTATGTATGTGGTTGGCATTTGTGGCTCACATTATATTTCTGTTAGCACTTTTCTAGGGAGTATTTTCTATTAAAGCTATTAACAATGAATGGTCCAAGTCCAAGCTATTACACCTCCTTTGATCCTGAAGAGTGAAGGGGTACACTGTAAACTTCCTGGAGATGAGACATGATATTGATCTGCCCTGTGTTTGCCATCTATCTGGCAGCCAGTCAGTCTGGCCAAATAGACTTCTATTTTTACATAGAAGCTTAAAGGAGGCAGGATAATGCCCCATGTCATGGAGAGAGCACACTGCATAGCTCTTGAGTAATGTACCCAAAAGTAGACCAGGTGCTATTGGAGGTTCTAAGGCATAGCGATAAATATTACATCCCTTGAGCAATGTAATACAGCCCTTGAAGAAACTGCCATGTCAGCACTTATGAATTATCACTGTCTTTGACAGGCCCTATGCACTGAAAATATTATGGTGTCTACCTCTCTTTATAATTCACATCCAAATATTACTCTGTCTTTTTCTTGCTCCCTGTAGTTTGTTCTGATTCACTGCTACCCTGATTGTGTGTTTAGTTTGCCTAGTTCACAATTGAAGAAGCATGGGAAAGTAAAGGCAGGCCTTGGAAAGATCAAGCACAGTTCGAAACCCTACCCAGAATTATTCTGTCTGTGTGAGCTTGGGAGATTTACTTAACCTCTCTGAGCTCCTCTAAACTTCCATTTTCTCATTTGTGAAATGAGCCTTTCTCTTGCAAGGTCTGTCTGAGGGTTGAATGAAATAAGAAGGTACCTGGCACACTTATTTTTTGGGTAGATGTTGTAGTGAACATCTACTCTGTGGCAAGCCTATGGCTAATTGTTAGGATGTAATCGTGAGTGAGACACAGCTACTGCTTCCAGCTAAGAGAAGAGAAAGACAAGGAGCCTGGTAACGTCGGGACATGAATAGCCGTCAATGAAAGGCAGCTATTATTACACTGCACAGTGCAGGATTTGGCTTATAACAAAATTTTAGAAGGGTGTTCAGGTGAGGGAATTGAGACCCATAGTGATTAAATGACTACCTGAGTCACCAGCTCGGACAATGCTGGGCTGATGTCAGGTTACGGGATTGCTGACTCCTCCTCTAGTAATGCCTTTCCTGGGAGATCACATTGCCTCACTCTTGGTTTCCCAACTTGTTTACCTTCAAAGAATAACTTTACCATGTTGGACTCGATAAAAGGAAAGAGGGGTTTCCTCCAATTTTTGCTCCATTTGTTATTAGGGCATGCTAGTAACTAACTGTCTTTGAAAACCTACGCTTCTGTTAACTCCAAAGAAGGCAGGAATACATGCACTTCTTTAAGATATAAAAAGTATTTAGTATACTATAAATTATTATAGTAATCATTGTTAGATTATATCTCACCAAGATAATGAATGTTTTTGTTTGAAGACTTCACTGTATGAGAAATTGTCTCCTATACCTTATTTATCTCCTTTTAGATTAGGTAAAACAAAATTTTCAAATTTGAGTCTGAAGAAAATTCCAACATCTTTAAATTTGTTTAAGGAACATTTTCCATGATCTATATGATCTATCATAGTAATTTAAAAAATCAGATTTTAGAATGAGCCACGTGTAGAAAGAGAAAAAAAGTAGAAAGTCAATAAGAGGTTTCATTTTTCAAATTTTGTTTTGGAAAAAACTACTTGGTAGGGACAATGGTGTAAAGTAAGATATAAGAAGGAATATACTGTTCAAATAAGCGGCCATGCAATTGATTTTCTCTTTCATGTAACAATCACATCTGCATTGTGAATCCGTTAGTGCACCAAGTGAATCAAGCTTAGTGAGTTGACAAACATCCACAGGGATAGTTGCGGGGAGGCATTATAAAGTGCAATGTGGTCCTAGTGAAACAGAATGCTTCGTTCTTTGAGAAAGTTCCACTCTGAATAGAATAACGGTGCATACCAATATCGGAGTATGGCCAAGCATTTGGCTACTGACATGCCCCTTCTTCTTTCACTCCTCCATAAAGGAAGAGACAGAGACTCAGGTTCTTGTAACTCAGTTGCCTTTTTTGAGTTCTCCCAAGAAAAGTTCTAACTTCAAGCCAAGCGTCTTGTCACTGGGATTTCTGTATCTAATTTTTAGTTCTAGAAATCCATGATTTCACAAAACAAATTATCCAAACCTAACGACAACCACATAGAACTTTCTTAAAGTAGACGAGGGAGGAATTAGCCCCTAAAGTATTTCCTGCACAATTGGAACTCACTATAGAAGATGTACAATTGCCTGTACACCCAAGCACAAATAGGCTGTATTATTGCCTTATCCTAGGAGATATACACTTTACATTATGATGGTCCTTCCCTTTCCTGGACCTTCATATGATGTAAGTGCTTGATTTAGGAATAGGGTCTTACATATTGTGGCTGGCGAAGAGCACATTTGCTGATTGCTCTACCACATGCCTAGATGTCCTCTTCATGATATATAAATGAGGGTCCCTACTCTCAATATACCCCATAGGAACATAATAAAACATAAATAGTCTATTTGTTACTACTACCAAGAAGACTTCAGTAAGTGTAATAACTAACCCTTTTGGATACATGCAGAGGGAATGCCAAATGCTTTAAATAAATTATCTCATCTAATCCTGATTTTTTTATTAAAAAGGGAAAATCTTATCATATGAATATTAGAGATGAGTAAACTGAGGTTTGGTAGAGCTGGGATTTGAACCTAGCCCTCTGTGACTCCAAAGCACATTCACTTAACCCCAAGCCCACCCTCTCTGTAAATGAAGATTAATGATAGCATCTGTGGTAGAAGCTAATGTCTCCTGACCTGGGAAAATATCTTTCAATGATTATTAACTAAATGTGATCAGCTGCCAGTGGATCAGATGTCATCAAATAAAATCGAGTGTCCAGGGTTTACTCAACAGTACTGTCTCTTACATTTTTTATCAATGTTAGTAGATTGCTTAATCTTTGTACCTGTTACCTCACATGAAGCCTAGATAGCATCAGTCCCTTCCCCAGCCAGTTTGTGCTGGGTTCAGCTTCTGGCTTGTGAATCCAGTCAGTGAATTAATGTTGGTAGCTTAAAAACAGCCCTGAGAGAGGTATTTACATCACAGAAATTGGCAAATGATACAAATCATGACCCTTTTTTTAAATTCCAGGGAGACAGGTGTTAAACATTTACCAGTACACCACTGTCTATGATTCAAATCGGGACATAATAATTGTATTTCTGAAGGTAAACAAATGCACACTGAGTACCCTTGGAAAAAAGCAACCTTCCACAGATACAATCACACCTAAGTCACCTAAGTCTTTAGTGAATTTTTTGTCCCCATCATTCTGCATTTGGGAGGACCTTTTACAACATAACCATAATGATTTTATATGTCATTTGAAATTTTAAAAAATTACTTTATTTGTTCATTTTTGTTATGAAAGCAAATATGCCCATAGTAAGCATTTAATGTTTTTGAATGTAAGTGCAGACATATAAACCATAAAATGTATATACGAATGCTACCAGTAGAAATAAAATGCAAGCCACATATGTAATTTAAAATTTTCAACTATAGTCATGCACCACGTAATGACTTTTCAATGATGGACTGGTCCCATAAAATTATAAAATCATGTTTTTATGACATCTTTTCTATGTTTAGATATGTCTAGATACATAAATACTTAATATTGTGGTAAAATTGCTTATACTATTCAATAGAGCAGTAACCTGCTGCACAGGTCTGTAGCCCAGAGCAATAGGCTATCCCATATAGCCTAGGTGTGTAGTAGGCTATACCATCTAGGTTTGTGTAAATACACTCTGTGGTGTTCACAGAACCATGGAATTGCCTAATGATGCATTTTTCAGAATGTATTCCTGTCATTAAGTGATGCATGACTGTAATCACATTTAAAAAATAAGAAATATTTGTTTTAATAATGGATTTTATTTAATTCAGCAGTTAAAAATATGATTTCAACTTGTAGTCAACGTGAACATTATCAAGATATTTTGCATCTTTTCTTCTTGTACTAAGCTTTCAATTCTGTGTATATTTTATACTTATAGCACATATGAATTTAGATGCTAAATTTTAATCATAAATACTTGATCTGCATTTACATTTCATAAAATGTAAAGCTTAAAAAGTGGGTTCATATATCCAATCTGTTATAGACTTACATATTTAATTAAATTAAATTTAAATTGTCATTGAATTCCTCAATTGCATTAGCCACATTTTAAGTGCTCAATAGCCACATGTGACTTATTGTAACATAATTGGTCATTGCAGGTACATACCATATATCCTTATTTTATAAAATTGGAAACCTAGGCTGGATGTGGTGGCTTATGGCTATAATCCCAGCACTTTGGGAGGCCGAGACGGAAGGATCAGGTGAGGCCAGGAATTAGAGACCAGCCTGGGCAACACACCAAGACCTTGTGTATAAAATAAACAAATAAATAAAAATAGCTAGGTGTGTTGGCACATGCCTATGGTACAAGCTATTTGGGAGGCTGACGAAGGAGGATCCCTTGAGCCAAAGAGTTGGAGACTGCAGTGAGCTATGATTATGCCACTGCACTCCCAACCTGGGTGGCAGAGTGAGACCCATGTCTCTTCAAAAAGTAAAAATACAAATAATATAACAAATAAATAAATAAAATTGGAGGCCTACTATATATACAACTCCCAAAAGTCTTTTCCCCCCTCACACGTTACACATTTAAAATTCCCATCCTGCATTCCCTGCTGGATCTCCAAGAGGAGAGAAATCTCAGCAAAAGTAGTTATATCAAAACTGTCTGTGAGCTTTTTCTTCCTCACTCATAGGAAGGAAATAAATTCACATAAGGCATTTTGGATCTGACCATTTTCCAAATTATCATCACCATAAAAAGTTGGTAACAACATGAACTCTGAAAGCAAGCTGTTTCAATGCATGCCTGGTGCTAATGAAAACCAGCAGTTTTAAATGCCCTTTTGGGTTAGCTTCTTCCTTTTTCTGTGCTGTATTATTAGAAAAGCTTCACCAAGGAGATCAACTAGATATAATTTCACAATATTTCTTAGTAATCAATGTTGGCATTTACTCTTCCCATATATTAATTTATTAACATCATGCTTCTAAGGATGCTTTAATCACTTTTTTAAAAAAAATACTTGATACAAATTAGAGGGTGTTAGTTATTTTAGGTGGTGATTTGTTTTGTTTCTGCAAAATTACAAACCAGATATGAGCATATTATTCCCTGTGTGGCTTAATAAACTGTTTTTTCTTTTTTGAGACAGAGTCTCGCTCTGTTGCCAGGCTGGAGTGCAAGGGCATAATCTCGGCTCACTGCAACCTCCGCCTCCTGGGTTCAAGCGATTCTCCTGCCTCAGTCTCCCGATCAGCTGGGACTACAGGTGTGCGCCACCACACCCAGCTAATTTTTGTATTTTTGGTAGAGACGGGGTTTCACCATGTTGGCCAGGATGGTCTCAATCTCTTGACCTTGTGATCCACCTGCCTCGGCCTCCCAAAATGCTGGGATTACAGGTGTAAGCCACCACGCCTGGCCAATACACTTTTAATATAATTTTTGATAAAGGTGTTATGGAGACTTGTCACCAAATAGTCTAGTCTTCACATTAAATTCACATGATACTCCTCATCTCTATTTAGCTCTCTCTCACCTCCAGTAATGACCTCCCTTGTCTCTCAGTCTTTGGTCTCTTACCTTCAGCTTCCCACTAGCCGTTTCTCACATTTCCAAAAGTCTTGTAATTGCCTTAAAACACCAAGTATCCAAAGCAGTCCTATGACCTTCTCCTCCTGCTAACCAACTCAGATCCCCAAATCCTGATTTCTTTCACTAGCACTATCTCTCATCCACACATACTCAGTTATTTGTGATAGACATGTCTCTATCATCTCTCATATCCAATCATCACCAAATCTTATCAATACTTCTCAGTGATATTAAGTTAAGAAGTCATGAAGGGCGGCTGTACCCTAAGGAAAACCCACTTTTGCACAAATCTGAGTTTCTGATCAATCTGAGTTCAGAATGCTGTTTTAATCTGGTCCTACCTCGCCAATCTAATTTTAGGCCCTTTTATTCGTGAATTTGAACCTTGTTCTCTATTCACCAGCTTCCTCAGAATATTGTCCAAAACATACTCAGAATTCATACTCATATCCAGAACATTTGCTCTGAGCTTTTACCATACAAGTTCACCACAGTTTCTCTCCCTTTTCCATATCCACCAAAGCCTTATCTGTCATTTAGTTTTAATTTTAAGCCCTTCAGTTTGATAGCTGATTTTTCCCTAGTCTGACCTTCTATTTTCGGGTATGCTCCTTCTTTTCACAGTTTCATGTGTTTGTACTGCCTTATTCTTGAAGAACCATTATTTTGATTGCTTTTGCATTAATCTCCATAGTGCCTTGCTCAGTGTTAGCAGGAACTAGTAGTTTAACAAATACTTGCTAATTCTAAATTAAAGAGCATGAAACATATTGTTTTCTTTGCCTGGAGTTGGTTATAGCATGCTGGAAAAAGTATTATATCTAACCTTCATCTTTTCTCATGTGTTTATGAACTGTTTTATAGCCAAAGAATAAGTTAGTATATCATGGGCCTAATTATGTAATTTGGAGGCCTCCTCTGCTGGGCAGTCTACAGATTTAAAATTCATGCCAGCTGCATTACGCTGGTTTTGAACTTGCTTTTTCTTGAGAAAGATGGGGAGCAGACAAAATGCCTCAGGCTTTGAGGGTAGAAATGGTGTGAGTTCCATTATGCAAGAATAGAACCCCATTTTTTAATCCCTCCTGCTGAAAATCTTGCCATGAGGCTATAGCCAAAGAATGTGTAAATATCAAAAGAAATTTAGAGAGGGATTTTCCCTAGGAAAATATTGCAAGCTTAAAAAACCCAGTGGGCTAAGGTCCAATTTAGTAGATTCCTCCGAACAATGCCATCCTCTACTTAGATTGTTACAGAACTTCTTATGACAGCATTTGAGTAGACTCCTGTACCTCTGGGTTAAAAGGTACATGTAATAAGTTTAGGTACCTGGGCAAAAAGGGCTTGGCAGAGGGGAATAGAGGGACTTTCTTATTCTCACATCTAGTATATCATTACATTGTAATGTTAGATAACATTAAAGTTCCAAACTTCATGTGTCCGCACTCTGACGTTTCCTAGGGACATTTTGTCTCAGCTAGAATCTAATAGAGAAGGATTCCCTCATCTAGAAGCTTCCATATGGGGCTCTGTGAAGATGATGTGGACAGTGTACAATCCAATTGAATGTCACGTCTCGTGGCCTGGCTCATGTGAGGGCACTAGAGAGAGTTCTCCAGAGGAGTGCAGATGGGGCTACTTTTGGAATCATTCCCACTGAGCCAACATCAGTGGAAGAGAAGGGGAGGAGTTAGATTCTAATAAAGCCCTTATCTTCTGCTGAATCCATCCACATTTTTTTATCCTCCTCCTGGCCCCTGCACTTAGTTAGAGTCGGGTCCCTATGCAGTGTTCCAGGCGGCAGTGAACTGCATTCACCTCCTGTTTGGGAGCATGGCAATTTTAAATACTTTTTTCTGCTGTAAGAGTATGCAAACAGATTTCTGGTTAATTTTGTGTTGAGGATTCTTGTTTGTTTTTTGTTTTGATAGAGCACATTCTATGGACATATGTTCAGCTTGTAAAGGAAGTGTTATAGTTCCTTTTTTTTTTTTTTTTTTTTTTTTGGAGATGGAGTCTTGCTCTGTCACCAGGCTGGAGTGCAGTGGCGCGATCTCGACTCACTTCAACCTCCACCTCCCTGGTTCAAGCGATTCTCCTGCCTCAGCCTCCCGAGTAGCTGGGATTACAGGCATGCGCTGCCATGCCCAGCTAATTTTTGTATTTTTAGTAGAGACGGGGTTTCACCATGTTGGCCAGGATGGTCTCAATCTCCTGACCTCACGATCTGCCTGCCTCGGCCCCCCAAAGTGCTGGGATTACAGGCATGAGCCACCACGCCCCACCTAGTTCTTTATTTGGAAGAAGTGAAGTTCATTTGCAGGCAGCTGCTTTCAAAAGTTTGGGGATTGGAGGAAGGTCATCTTCTATTCAACTGAAGCAAATGCCACTTGTTTGTGGCATCTGCCAGGCATCCTTGAGATGTCTGAAGAGGTGACTTCCAAACCAGAGGATGCAGCCTTCCGAGAAATGCAAACCTGTTCACATTCTTGCTCAGATGGGAAGCAGAAAAGGCTGCGTGGGAATTGGGGATTTACTGTTATACTCTGGCATTGGAATAGCAGGTGCTACTGGAAACTTCTTTACCTGACACTAAGTGTCTTGGGAGATAACAAGTAAAATTAACACAGCATCCAGTTCTTCAGTGCTTTCTCCACTTAAAAAGAATCAGGCTGGGCACGGTGGCTCATACCTGTAATCCCAGCACTTTGGAAGGCCAAGGCGGGTGGGTCACTTGAGGTCAGGAGTTTGAGACAAGCCTGGCCAACATGGTGAAACCCCGTCTCTACTAAAAATACAAAAAAAATTAGCCGGGCGCGGTGGCGGGCGCCTGTAGTCCCAGCTACTCGGGAGGCTGAGGCAGGAGAATGGCGTGAACCCGGGAAGCGGAGCTTGCAGTGAGCCGAGATTGCGCCACTGCAGTCCGCAGTCCCGCCTGGGCGACAGAGCGAGACTCCGTCTCAAAAAAAAAAAAAAAAAAAAAAAAAATACAAAAATTAGCTGGGCATGGTGGTGCACACCTATAGTCCCAGCTACTTGGAAGGCTCAAGCAGGAGAATCGCTTAAACCTGGGAGGCGGAAGTTGCAGTGAGCTGAGATCGTGCCACTGCACTCCAGGCTGGGCAACAGAGTGAAACAAAAAAAGAAAAGAGACAGAATCAAATGCAAAGTAAATATTTAGTTACCAACAGGATGGCATTTTTAGCCTATAACTTTTTTTCAGCCTTTTAATATATTTCTGCTGGAGGTTTCCAGCTTTGATTACATAGCCTGTTCACCTAGGAGTAAAGGACATTGGGAGGGAGAGATGCTCAGTGGTTCTCATTTGCAAAGTAGACGAGGATGATGAAAGGCCATCAGCTCAAGGCCTTCCAGGTTAGGAATTAAAAACATGAATGTTGTAAAAACCACAACTCATATTTATTTGAAATCTCACAAAGTGTGAGATTTATTTGAAATCTCACAAAGTGTGAGATTTATTTGAAATCTCACAAAGTGTGAGATTTATTTGAAATCTCACAATGTGTGAGATTTATTTGAAATCTCACAAAGTGTGAGATTTATTTGAAATCTCACAAAGTGTGAGATTTATTTGAAATCTCACAAAGTGTGAGATTTATTTGAAATCTCACAAAGTGTGAGATTTATTTGAAATCTCACAATGTGTGAGATTTATTTGAAATCTCACAATGTGTGAGATTTATTTGAAATCTCACAAAGTGTGTTCATCTGCATGTTTCTCACGTGAAATCTCACAAAGTGTGTTCATCTGCATGTTTACACTCAATCCTATGAACGACTCCATGAAGTAGTGTATGAAGGAGAGTTCCTCATGCATGTGGATTTGCACATGGGGATTCAGATACAAGAAGACAATTTAGTTTACATAGAGATGTGCTTTTTTAAAGAAATTTTTAAGAATACAAAATTATATGGAACAAAAAAGATAGGTCCTCTGCTGTCTAGAAATTAAAGTACGTCAAGAATTTTATCCCTATGTAGAATTACACAGCCATTGCCGGGGGCCACATCTGTAGGCCCATGGAAAAAAACATCTTTGCTCATTATTTCAGCCTGATTAGGGATACCATGAAGGGCTATTCCATTAGGTCAGGTTTGCACAGTAATAAAAATGAAGCCAGTAGAGGATCTCGTGGAGCTCCTGGTATGATGATAAGTCTCTGAGTAACTTGTAAATAGTGCAATTTTATGGAAATGTTGCAGCTAAGCTTTAAAGTAGTTGGCATTAGTTGTCAGACACAGCAACAGCTCTACAAAAGGCAATACGCTGAGTTCATTTTCAACCAGCCCAAACTTGCCTCAGAAGATCCGGGATGTGGACACCCTGGTATATTTTTTCTAGAAAAGCTTATTTCCTTCCTCCAGATAAAGGTGTATGGTCACTGAGGTGTTGTGCTGACAGAAGTGTTGATCTACTCTCTCCGTTAGACTGAAGGGCTCCAGGTGTGGCCACACTGGGCTTCTAAATGGCTAGCAAAGCCACAGACGCATCCCTCTTGGTGTCTGAGGTGTTCACATTCCTGGGTCTTTCAGATCTGTATTCCTCATGAAAATAAAACCTCTCTACGACACACTGTGTCCTTGTGGGTTTTTAGTTTTACTAGGGAGTTTTTGTTTCCTTTTGCTTCCCTCCTTCTTTCTGCTTCCCTTCTAGTTAAACCTCTTTAGGATGGCTCATTAGCAACTCGTTTTGAGTGGTTTGAGCTCTTTTGTTCACTGGGAAACAGATTTATGAAATGTTACTATTACCATGATTGTTATGTTTTTCCTTTTATGGCCTGTCCAGCTCAAGGCCCCATGCTTTCTGATACTGCTGATAAGGTTTTCTATTTCCAGATCAAATTAAAGCAAACCTTACTGGCCCTGTTACTGAAGCTGTGCATGGGGGTCGTTTGCTGTGAGGTGTTTCTATGGCTTTGAGCCAGGGTATGAACATCTCTAGTGTTCATGTTATTTCCTGAGACTAGCACTCACGGGAAGTAGAATTTATTACAACCTGCTGTTTGAGTTCATGAAAAGTAGGACAATATGAGACTCTGGGGCAGTGAAAGACTTACCAGGATTCCTTCTGGAACTGACTCGTCAGCTCATTCATGTCTTACCCAGTCTTTAAACAGTATTTCATGATAATGGTCTGCTTTTAATTGCTGGGCTTTACCTTACCCTTTTTGTGATTGCAGGTCCTACAGGTATGGATCTCTGGCAGCTGCTGTTGACCTTGGCACTGGCAGGATCAAGTGATGCTTTTTCTGGAAGTGAGGGTGAGTTCTGCTTTTCCATTTCCACCCTCAGTGTTTTGAAACAACACTGAACTGTATTCGCTACATCCAAGTTTTTTGGATGATTTTATTAAAAGATGCAAGTTTTACATAGCAGCAAAAAGGAAACTTGACTTAGCTTTAAAATCAGAAACTAGTAGGACTTTTCTGTGGATGTTTAGGAGGAATGCAGTAGTCAGTCAACTTTGGCATCTGATGTTTTCATATCAAAAATTAATACTACAAATCATGCTGAGGACATTTATGTTGAAGACAAGCCAGGTCTCTTGTTCTCAGGCTTTGGGAGAGATATTGAAATTACACTGAAGGGTTATTAGCTTACTGTTCACTCAGCTCATCTGTGACTAAGGATATCTAATCTATTTCCAGAGCTCAGAATTCAGGCTTGTTAATCATATTCTCAGAGAAAAGAAATTGCAGGTTTCAAATGAATTTCACTTCTCACTCTCTGGGTGATTACCATTTGGCTAAGTTGAGGAAAGAGACACCTGAAATAGTTGAATGATATACCCAGAAATTATGAGCTTCCTTCCCCATCTCTATAATTCTCCCTCCCTTTTTTATATCCCTCTCCTTGTAGAGAAGTCTCAATATGTTTAAACTATGTTTCATAGCAGACCTAACTAAAACAAGGAAGAGTAATAGAAGGGAAAGGGAAGAGGAACTTTTCTGTCAGAAAGAAAACTGTGCTCTCTAACGGGTGGGAGACTTTTTTTTTTTTAATGAGTACTTGATGTTTTTCCTTGCCTGGGCTTCTACAGAAGAAAGAAAGAATATATTTCTCCCATGCTATGACACTGAATTTAGTTGTTGCTTTAAGAGTGTCAGACTCCCCTTCTCACCATTCAGCTCATGTTGGAAAACACAGTTTAACAGCAGACTTAGCGCCTTAAGATGTCCTCCCTGACCTTCTAGCCAAAAATAAATCCGTAGTAGTGAGCTGCTGAGGGTGACCACAGTCACTTAGAAAATGAGAAGAGTAAAATATGTTATTTTATCTCTTAAAGCAATTTAAAAATATTTATAGAAAAGAGTCATAATTGTTGGAAATATTTTTTGGTCTCTCTGGCGTTATAATGTCAACATTATGCAAGTCAAACATGGAGAGAATTGCAGGCTCCATTTCAGCAGCTTTTCCCATGGCTGGTTTTAGACCTTGGTTCTGAGCCAAAGAATTGCAGCTGAGATCCTCTGCTGTTCCAAAGTCATGGTGGCTTAATCTCTCGTTTCTTCATTAAGGTGACTTTCACTCCACTGGGCAAGATTTGAGGAATTTAAAAAACTTGTGAAATGAAAAGTATGGCATAGGAAATCTTTAAAGAAAATTAAAAATGCATCCCCAGCTGAGAGATTAGAGCTCAAATTACATTTTAGAACTAGAAAGTCTGCAAGGAGCATCTGTTTCAGCTGCTTCGACATTTTACTAAAACTTTGAGTTCCTGAGTGAAGAGAAAACATCACTAGTTGCTTTTAATGTTTGCTTTTTGTTTTTCTTTTTAATAGTTTTGTTTGATTCATTTATTTGTTCAGGGAGAGCAGAATATAAGCAAATGCAATAGTTTATACTAAACACAAATCACATATCCTACCAGTACTTACGCATAAGAAGTAATTTAACAAAGAAGAACATTTTTGTCTCTTTTTTTTTTGTCTTATTGAACTAACCAATATTTCTTTTTCCTTTGGAATATGTGCATATTCCAGAATCCTTTCTTAAAATGGTCTAAGGATTAAGGATGGGGCATGATGTTTATGTAAGAAGGCATATGTAAGCACGTTCCAGTGTGTGTGTGCATGCTTGGCTCTGTGTGTGTGTGTGTGTGTGTGTGTGTGTGTGTGTGTGTGTGTGTGTTCTAGTTCTGGCCACTTATCTAATGAATGGGTTCATGGGTTCAGCCAAAGTTACTGCATAACATGACATGGGTCAGTCTCAGATAATATTTATGGACCATGTGTTTGTTTTTCTGCCAGGTCTGGATTGTAGCCAAATCATTTTATTTTTATTGTGTCTCCTATTGAATAAGGCAGACTAAAAATATAGATTAAATTTTTAAAAAGAAAAGATACTACTATTGAATTCAGTTTGTTCAGTGAAAGATGTGGCATTGATGGGTAAGTGATCTTGGAAGCATCACCTGGAGAAAAGTCACCCAGGAGCTGGTAGAAGATGACAGACCTGTATGCGTAGGGAAGGGTAGCACTTGAGCAGGGATTTTCTTGCTTGGGCAGATGAGCAATTAGAAATATACTGGCCCTGAAAGGATTTTTTTTTATTAAATCTAATTGCCCTGTGGGAAATTTAATGAGAACTAAATTTGAACAGTGCCGTTATTGTGTTAGCTAAAGTGTTGTAATAGATGTTTTCTGTCTCTCATCCTTAATATGAAGTTCTCATCCTTAATATGAAGCTCTATATCTGCTCCTCAAAGCCAGTTACATAGTCTAGAGGAGAATTTTTTATTCCAAAATCAGGAATGATCCACAATGCCTTGTTTTCAAAGGGCTTCACATGGTTGACCTATCAACTGATTGTATCAAAATTGCTGCTGCTGGAATAATGTTGCTAATGAGAAATGTGCATAAAGATCTAATGGATATAAGTATTCTTCCAAGGAGTGCCTGTTATAAATTAGGTCGTATATCTCTACTATTTCAATCAGTCTACCCTTGAATATACCCTTTGACCTCAGTAACCTAAGGTGGAAGTAAGCAAGCCCCTGCCTTGTAGTTCAGTCTAGCTGGGACATGAGGAATGTCTTGAAATTAATGAGAGCCTGTATACCTTTAAAGTCTAGATTGTGTGATGAAGAGAAATGGTCAAGATGCCCTGAAAAAGAATAGATCAAGGTGGACTAGAATAGTTAATTCAACAAATTCAGTGTACTGATAATTCTTAAGAGCTTCCTATTTTCAAAGCCTGCACCTATGGCTATGAGGAATACATTGATTCTTCCCTCAAGGAACTTTTCATGGGTTAATAAATCAGGCATGTACACCAAGAATTACAATATCAGGCATTGTATATTAACTATCAAAATGGCTTGAATCACACTTTATAGAAGTGATGATGACGTGAGGGATACCTCAGCTGTGGTGAATTACAGCTTCATGAAGGAGGTTGACATTGTTTCTCTAGAGACTAGAATGTCAGGTTTAAGATTTTAAAAGGCTGAGAAGAACAGAAGGCTATTACAGGAATAACTTATGTGATAAAGCAACAACATAAACAGAAGTGTACAGATGTAGATATGAGATGTCTATGGACAACAATTCATTCACTTACTGTGCTAGTCAATGGATGGTTCTATTTTATGCATTTAACATTCAACAAGCATTTCTTGAGCACTTACTTCGTGGAAGGCATAGGATTAATTTGGCCAGGGTGTGTGGTACATAGGTGCTATATTTGTAATTATTCCCTTTGGAAGCAAACTTAGGTCAGTAGGTTTGAGTCAAATTATAGAAGGCCCAGAGATAGCAAAGGCATTATGGAAAAGGCAAGACTTGCTGGGCCCTTGAAAAATCGGTAGCATTTGGAGAGGAAGAAAAGAAAGAGGAAGTGTATGCCATATCCAGCCAGTAATAGTCCTCAATATTGGAGGCCAGACAAAAGCGCTACCTGCATGATGGAATAGTGTGTGTGTGTGCATATGTGTGATATTCATATGTAACATATATAGTATCTACATGTAATATTGATATATAATATTTACATACAACATATTTATATTTGTATGTGTGTAATACATACACTATATGTACACATATACATATACATGTATATATATGTACACTATATGTATATAGTATATGTATGTGCACACCAGTGAGGTGTGGCTTGCAGGCAAAGCACATAATTGACATCACTCAAATTCTGCAAAAGGTGTTATATCATTCTGTACCATTCAAAGTAAGAGACTTAGGAATGAGATGCCACATCCTAAGGGAACCAAGAGCCCCAAAATAATTTTTTCTGTATATTTTGAACATTTTTCATAAACCTATGCACACTGACAAAACACTTACTTGAAAGGAAAGACACCCCTGTTCTCATTGCTATCAGACAGCAACAATTTATTTTTTAAAATAAACTCTATTCCACCACAGTTGAGGTTCCACAGAGCTCTGAGAGGATGTCAAGACATGTCAGATATATTTCACACAAGTATTAGAGTCATGGTTTCAGTTAGTAAACAGTAATGAATGCATCTGTTAAATGTGTTCAAGAATGAACACTTCAAGGCTTTCCATTCACAGTGAAGGTGGGGAAAAAAGCCACAGAGCTTTTGATTGCTGCTGTCTTCACCATAATCCAGAGGCAAGAAGAAATCTTATGGTGTGTTCTAGTGCAATGGCCTGCGTCCATGTACATCAGCAATCCTCTGTCCCCTTGTCCTCCTGATATTGCAGAATTTATTTGATGTTGGAGTTCAGCAGGTCACAGCAAGCTGGATTAATCTAGATGGTGCCAATGTAGATAATGACACATAAAAAGTCTTTCAAGAAGCTTTTATTAAGTCATTTTACAGATTCAAGGAGGAATTTCATGTATTTATTTATTTATTCATTCAATTTTGCATGCATGCATTTATTCATTTTTTTGTTTTAGAGATAGGAACTTGCTATGTTGTGCAGGCCCCAAACAGTTCTACTAGCTTCAAACAATCCTTCTTCAGCCTGCAGAGTAGTTGGCATTATAGGTATGAGCCACTGTGCCCAGCCCAAGGAAGAATTTTGAATGTATATTCCTGCTTTTAAGGAGCTCACAGTCTTTAGAAGAGAAAACAGAGAAATAAACATAATTTAATTGTGATCCTCTTAGATTATTAAAGGGTTTTAATCTAGGTAATAATACTGTTAGATTTTTACTTTGTCAGTAATACTAGTAATAGGATAAAAGTGAATTTGAAAGGGATGAATTAGAGGAGGAAGTTGATGACAATAGGTCAGGAGAGAGATAATCTAAGTGTGACAGGGATGATAAAAAATAGATGGATCACAAACACGGGGATGTTAAGAAGACAGAATTACCAGTACTCAGAGTCTAATTAACCTGTGGATTTTTGACTCGGGGAACTATCAGTGCCTTCTTTTCCATCCATTTCTAAGTTTCTGCATTTTTAATTAATGTGATCATCAGCAATGACTCACGTTTAATGCAGTGAAGTCCTGGTGCACAGTTCAGCCTATTAGCACTAAAGTGGCACTTGCACAGAACAACTCTGTAGGGGAGGAAACATGCTGAGGCTGGATGACAGCAGAGTGTCTAAGCTACGCTTCTTTTGTACTATTTCTCTGAACTCCTCATGCCTGTGTCTACCCTGGGTCCTGCAGCTGTCTGCTCAGCTCTGCAGTATGGCTGTGGTATGGCTCAGGCTACTATGCAGTGAGGGTCTACAGCAAGGACAAAGGTCTGAACTCCCTCCTCATTGTAGTCTCTGGACATGTGTGACTCTATCCCAAAACCTTGACAATCCCCCAGATATTTTGTCATTGCTAGAGTATGTACTTACTCATGGGATACAATAAAATATATGCAGGATGAGTTGAGAACAGCAGAGCCATGTGCTGGGCAGAGTCTGGGAGGTTGGTTAGGCTCCCACGGAAAATGAGTGACCTACCCCTACAAAGAAGCTGGCAGTGTGAGTGATTAGATTTGTGCCACAGCTAATTAGTAAATTGAAGGAGTGGGACCACCCAAGAATACTCAGAACCCTGAATGTTAGTTAAATTCACACATGCCAGTGATAGAGTATATTTCTGGTCTTCCGCCTTAGATGCCAGCTCTTACGGGAACAGAGCCAGTCCTGGTTATATAATAGAATGTTTCCACACCACTTTGGTTCAGTATCCTAAATTGTGGCTCTTGTTATGGGGTAGACAGGAATGAGGTTGACATAACGTATTTGGTGTTTGGTGATGGCAAAGAGTACCTGTTCATAGACACACCTGGTTGTCCACCTCTGGCTAGAGACCAACCCAAGTTCAACTGTGCAGAAGTCCATGTTGGCCTTTACTGGCCCAGCCAGCCTCTACCTGAGATCATTCCCTACAACAAGGGGCCCAGGATTCCTCAGTCACCCCAGCAGCTTTTCCCAAGGAAAACCATCTCATGAAGAATTTGCCATTGATGATTTTCTCCTCACTGTGCATCGAAGTCAATGGGTTTATTACTGAGAGTTGGTTCCTTTTAAACCTTAACCTTACACTGTATATGATATAGAACTGTAGGCAGGCCAGGGTCATCAATAAAGACATTTTTGGGGCCTCTACTTGGCTTGTAACCACCTGCTTATCCACAGTACTGTGCACCTAGCTTGTCATCAGGCAGAGTCACCAGCAGCCACAACAAAAGGGTGCACCTTCGTCTTTTCCAAGCAGCAGGCAATGTGGCTCCATTTTAACTTTTCTGGCAATACTCACATGGATTGTTAAATAATGCTGTCAACAGTGTCATCTTCAAACCCAAAGCAAACTTCCTCATCATCTGTAGTTAGCAGCATGAAGACGGTGATGATGTGTAACATAAACACACTTTGAAATCTGATGCAATTGACCCTACGAAGAGAGTATTCCTTAGTGCCCTGTCTGGCAACTTCTGGACAGACCAGGAGGCCTTGGGGCTTAGAGCACTTCTTCAGCCTCAGCTGCAAATCCATTTTTTCTTGTCCCTTGTTCCCAGGATGAAGCCACAGTGTTTCATCAGGTACATTTATCAGGAATCTCTGTTTCTGTTTATATAACAATTTAACTTAAGCCTCAACCTTCACAGTGTACGCATCACATTTCCATGGAAGGATTGCAGGTATTAGAAGATGGTGGATCATGTCTTAACCACAGGGGAAATGTTTCAGGATGTTTTTATAGAAACTTTCACTAACAAGCAGGACACAGGATTGGCAGAGAGGTGGGGGTAGGAGGCAGGTGAAGGGTGGCATTTGTTGTGTTTCCCTCTTCTAAATGAAGTTATAATGACATCTGTGTTTCAAGAGTGTGGCAAGTTTGGACTGAGCTTGAAATAAATACAGTTTAATTGGTTTCAAATAACTGAACAAAATGACCATTCCATGCCCTGTGTAATAAAATGTTATAGAATTAAAACTTATTAGACGTTAAAATCCATGAAGGATATTTTGCTGGATGCCCATCCTTCAGCATTCTGATGAGGATCTTCGTGTATTTGTTCAATGAATAAGTGAATCAGCAGCTAAATCCTGACCTTTGATTTCCTCAGTTCTCTCCTGCAATTGTCACTGATGCTCTCATCTCCAGTCCTGAGCAAGGCAGGAGTTGAATTAGTATCCCCTTATAGTGGGAGGGGTCTAGAAATAGCTGTGCCACTTTAGAAGCTAGGCTTTGTGGGCTTTTCCGGGGGATGGAATGATTTCATTTTCCTGCTTTCTACTCCACATACCACCAAGATCAGAATTCTGCCCTAAACACTAATGTGTGGGAGCCTGATGTCCTGCCTAAGTCTTGTCAACCTCTTTCCAGGTGACTGAACTCCGAACCCCATGCACCAGTCACTGGCCAACATTCTGCATTAAGTGACCCGGTCACCCAGCACCATCCCCCTGACACCACCTTTATCTCTACACCACCTGCCTCCTGCCTGATTAAATCTCCTCAAATATTGACAGACATAATGATACCTGAAGATCCCAAATCCAAATTTTCTTTGCCCCTTTGGACATTGAACTTTAGATTACAAAAGACCCTGACTAGGGATCCTGTGGATAGCTGAGTCAATTTTCTTAGCCCCATTCCTTAAATATCAAGTCTTTCTAATTTTCCAATGAGAGCACATGAAACTCTCAAGGTTAAAAGTCAATTTATATTAATAAAATCTTTAATTTCTTGATTTCTGAATATGAAAAAATGATACTTTGTGTATTTTTTAATTTTTTGGCAAAACCTTCCAAATTTGTGGAAAGAGAAATAATATTGACTACTGGATAACCATGTGCTATGTGTAAATATTAACGGATTCACCTTAGTGGGCACTGACTTGATGATGTTTGCCACATTATATTTTCCAGAGCCTTGGCTCTCCCAAAAAATGAGAGGTCATTTTTCAGGGGAGGACCATTTTGTGTTTGGCTAACATTTAGGACATATAATTTCTTCTCCTCTACATGCCACTGACCCACTGCATCCCTGGTTGGAGCAAGAAGAGCCATGCTTTCCTTAATAATAGCTAATGGTGAAAGGATGTGTTGTAACAAGAGCAGAGGAATAGGGAAACAGGAGAAAGACAGTCAGTTGAAGAGTCCTGCCCTGTGTCAGGGCACCGTTTGGCCAGCTGGGCTTGCTAGGAGTAGAATATAGAAAGTACATGAAGTGCCATACTCAGACAGCTCTGGCTACGTTGACAAACTGGTATATCATGGTGCCCAACTTTCTTTGTTAGCTGGGCCAGCATCATACCCTCTAGTATTTGCTCTGAACTTCGTAAGCACGGTTGACTAGCTTTCTTTTCCTCTGCAGTTATCATTCAGACTGAATAGTTTCTAAGAGGCTCTTAATGAGAAATAGAAGGAAGTAAGTTAACTTCTGTGCATACCTTGGCCATATTTGCTTGACAAACTGATGTGTATACTAAAGCCATTATGGGTGTGAAAGGCAAAAGTATAAGTGCTCCCCAGTATGACCTGGCTATTTTGTCTTACTTCTATATTTGATTGCTAAAAATATATGTTCTTGGGTCAAAAAACTCACTTTAAGGGAAAAAAATGGAAGAATATTAATAACCAAAATAGAAGAATATTAAGAACTTTAACATGAGATGTATTTAGATCAAAACCATCTCTTTTTGGATTTTTGCGGGTGATTTCTCCAACATGTTTAGAACTGGGTTGCTATTCACCCAAAGGTGGAAACTTTTGATGTTGGGGAATACCACTGATGCCTTAAAGCAGAGGGTAAAAGGAAAAGACTGAAATTCCAGGCTAAAATGAGGAGAGCATGGCCACCACTGAGCCCAAGGTAGCATTCAATAAATACTATATAAATTACTGATTTATTTCTACAGTTGGTTGATAGAAGCTTACTATGATCTGCCTAAGGGTGCATCAAATTCCTCTGGTACTTATCCTATTCTTGACTATCACTTCCTTGGGGGCAGCAGTTAATCAGGTAGAGGCTTATCCTGTCAAGAGAGTAAAGGGAGCTATGGAGGAACTCGCTGGGAGGAGAAGCTGGTCCTCAGAGATGCTTAGGGTTTAGGACCAGTAAGAGGCAGTCTCCACACCACCCACATCTGATTCTTGTCTCCTTCTTCTCTGCTGTGGTCAGGAGAAACAGTTTAGATTAGGGATTTCAGAGCAGTGGTGTTGAACTTTGTCAAAACTGCATTTGAATCCCATTTATGAATTGTGTGATTTTTTTAAGGTTGAGTTCCCCAGAAGTAGGATGCTGAGACAAGGATTCCTATGAAAGTGAATTATTAGAAAATGGTCCAGGGAGAAAGCGATAGGAGAGTCAGAAAATGAGACGGGGAAGGTAAAGAAACCAGACAAGGATACAATATCAAGTAGAATCCAACAGTGGTGTGGGTGGGTAGAAGTATCTGTCTCAGCAGATTTTGAGTTGTCCAGATTATCCTCAGTTGGTGGTTAAGGTTAAATTTGCATCCTCACGAGGATGCAAATTTCTACACACTATCAGTTGTCCAAGTGCAGGTAAAGCTGGCTCCAGCAGCCTGAGGGCAGCCGACAGAGAGACACGGGTCCTGGGTGTGGGAGTGAAACCACACATGAAGCCTGCATGTAAAAAAAAAAAAGGTAAAGAGGGGCTGGGCGCGATGGCTCATGCCTGTAATCCCAGCACTTTGGGAGGCCAAGGCGGGTGGATCGAGAGGTCAAGAGTTTGAGACCAGCCTGGCCAACATGGTGAAACCCTATCTCTACTAAGAATACAAAAATTAGCTGGGCAGGGTGGCGGGCACCTGTAGTCCCAGCTGCTCGGGAGGCTGAGGCAGGGGAATTGCTTGAACCCAGGAGGCAGAAGTTGCAGTGAGCTGAGGTGGTGCCACTGCACTCCAGCCTGGTCAACAGAGCAACACTCTGTCTCAGAAAATTAAAATAATAAAATAAAATAAAATAAAATAAAATAAAATAAAATAAAATAAAATAAAATAAATAAAATAAAATAAAATAAAATAAAATAAAATAAAATAAAATAGTAAAGTAAAATAAAATAAAGGCAAAGAGATCAATCTACATCACCAAAGCACTGACAGCATCTGCTACAGTGACTTTGGTAGTTTCTTACATTCTCTGAGCCTCAGTTTTCTTATCTCTTAAGTCAGAGGAAAATGACTTGTTTAAAAAGGCTTCAATGAGGTAACACAAGTAAAGCATGTATTGAGATTACTACACAGGAAAAGCAGTTGCTGAATACAATTAGTCAACTGGTAATTGGTAATAATTATGTAAAATTCCTATAATTATAGGGAGCGCTATACAATTATTATATATAATTCCTATAATTGGAATTACCAATAGGCTAATTGTATTCAGTAACTACTCTTATTGTCCTCAAGTTGAGTTATTATTGCAAGCCCTGAGGGCTGAATAAACATGCAAACTAAACTGACATGTAGAATTTTATTTATAACAATATATGCCTAAAAGAAGCGGTTTATTTGCACAAGGAAATTTTGGAAGCTACAGATAATTTTAATAATGACTACAGAAAACTATCTTGAAGATGTTTCTAATGTTTAAGACATAATAGCATAAGCCTTTATAAAATGGGATACTGTTATGTAGTTATAGTTGTAAGAATCAGTGTTTAAAGGATGGGTTTGATGAAATTGTACTACTCTAGTTCCTGTGCTTCTAATAAAATTAAATCTGATTAATACAGCAAGTAGGTCTTTGGTGAGTTGATTCTGATGCTGGGAGTGATTTTCTTAATTCTTGCTCAGAAAGCCATCCATGAGAATTAAATGAGATAGCATGTACAATACCTGGTATAGTTACTGGTAAGAGGTTTTCAGTAGAGACCAATCTCCTCTTTGTTTACCTTCTCATCAAGAGAGGAAGAACAAGGAAAATTAGGTTGCTTTTTTGAGAAAATACTTTAGGCCAATTACAATTATCTGAAAGTAGAATGAATTTCTAGGTTAGGCAAGACTAGAGTTAAAACGTGGGTGTGCAGGGCTGACCTGCCAGGGTACTCTGTATGGAAGTACATGGAAATGTATGCCCAAATACAGCTTCATATAATTGTTTTGATCATACACAGTTTCCACATGAGATTATATTTGAATGACTAATTCAGCAAATATAAAAAAGGAGAAAACCAGTGGACAAGATGATTCCTAAGGTTCCTTTCTTCCTGGTCTATGCCCTAGTGTATTATGAATTGATATTCACTGGAACACACAGTTACTGCTGGAGATTGAGTTATAAAAACATTCAAATGGGTTACTCCATTATATCTACTTAGGAAATTTTTTTTTAAAATAACTGATAGATGTTCAGTTATGCGAAACGAAAGGTATTTCTGGCTACCCCTTTATAGTTGTGTACATGACTGCAGAGCCATCATTTCATGCTTACTTCCCCACATTCATGTACCATTTTCTCAAAGGAAAATTATTGAATGAACTTGCTAGTTTTGATTCTGGGGTTTGTTTTAAACAACTGATATTTAAATCCACCTAGTCCTCTTTAGCTGTTCTCCTAGGAACTTTAATATTAACAAACAGCTGAACTTATACATTTTGTAAAAGAGTTCAGACAATGAATTCATTCTTCTTGAAATGCATGGAAGTACCCAGGTGCTAGCTACACCCAAGAGCCTTTTCTAAATACAAAAAGGATTGACAAACCAAGCATTCATCCTGTCTGCGTCCAACAGTTCGGAATCAAACCATGAACTTGCTGTTCCTCTGTTTGTGGTTAGCTTGTTTGTATATTTTTAAGGAAGATGATTCAATGCAAGAAGTAGTTTTATATAGTACGTTAAGTAAATTTCCTATACGATATACTTAATCAGAAAAATATTTTTGAACTAGAGCTCACAGAACATATGATTACAATAGTTTTCAGAAAGCAAGGGGCTAAATGAGGATTTCTCAACCTTGGCACTATTGAGATTTTAGGTTAATTTATCTATGGTGGGAGGCGTGTCCTGTGCATTGTAGCATATTTATCAGCAGTTGTGACCTCGTACCCACTAGATACCAGTAGTCCCCCTTCTCAGTTGCAACAACCAAAACAACTATAGACATTGCTAAGTGTTCTCTAGGGGTCAAAATGGCTCCTGCTTGAGAACCACAGTCTAGATCTGGTAGTTGCATATTGAACTGACAGTCCCCAGGATTGTTGTGGGGATCAAATTAGATAAAACTTGTTTATATTTTTTAAAAAGTAAAACTAATACATATAGTTACATTACACCTCTTCTTTTCATTTGTTACTCATCTAAGATTTTTTGAGCCAGATGATGGAGACCCATAAATAAATTAACCTTAAGAGGCTCAAAGGTTTGCCAGGTAAACAAAGAGTTAGAAGAAAAAGAGAGATCATGTCAGATGTGCCTTAATGAATGTGTGTGTAACATGTACAAAAAGTTATGGGAACCCCAAGAAAGAAAAGACTCCTTTTGAATGAAATCAGAGAAAACCAACTGGACCATACAGTTGAAGCTCTATAACAGGAATTACCAATTAACTAATTGTAACTAAATACTCTTTTATACAATGTCATATATTCATGTAGTTTTTAAATCTAGAAGTAGTTAAGGTTCATAATTGTCATTTCTCAGGGACACTACTGAAGTGGTATCAAATCTAAATGAGCAACTTAAGAATTGAAGTTGTCAGACAGCTGTTAATTCCCCTTTTTCATACCTGCTCCAATGATAGCCAACAATCAAACAAAAATAATAAAATAAAAACGAAAGCAAAAAATACAACTCAGATTTCACTACGTACAGCAATAAATATCAGAGACATTAGGGAATAATAATAGGTCAAAGCAGAAATTCATTCCTCAGCATGTTCTTCAAGTGGAAGAATTAGGTCTGTTTTAGTTCTGTTGATTCTAAAAGAAACATTCAGGCTATCAAGAAAACCTGTTTTAAACTCTAAATCTGACACTATAGATAGATAGATAGATAGATAGATAGATAGATAGATAGATAGATAGATAGATAGATAGATAGATGATAGATAGATATAGATAGATAGATAGATAGATAGATAGATAGATAGATAGATAGATAGACAGATAGATAGATATAATTCTGCCTAAGTAATTATCTGCTGGTACCAAAGAGATTGACAAAGAGATTCACTAACCTACCAGAATTTCCCAACCTTGTTCCAGGGTATTCTACATTAAATACTCATTACCAAGGAAATTCCACATAAAAGCTGTCATGCTTGATGGAGCCATATTTACATGAAACGTTGCAGCATTTTCTTCTTTAAACCTCTTCTACAATTTGACCAATTCCATGTTCCAGGGAGTACTCAGAGGCTGATTAGGACATGAGTTGTTAGCATGTGCTGCACTAATGGTTATGAGTCACATTTGTTTTGGAAGATCACCCTTAAAGCCTGTCACTCATGCTTGTTTATGGGAAATACAACAACTTAAACATCAGTTAACAAATCCCCATGAATGCATGGTCATATTTGAGTGCTTCTAACAAATGCTTCCTTTCATTTCTCCCTTGACAGCCCTAAGAATTAAAGGCTGGTAGAGCAAACTGGGAGACATCCATGAACATTTATTAAAGGAAGCATAGGAGAGTATGATAACTGCAAAGCCAGCTGTTTATATTATTGGTGTGAGATTAAATTTCATCAGTCTTAAAACCTGCTTTTTACCACTAGAGAAATCAATCTGCCATATTTAAGGTTACATTAACGTGGAACATTCCACGTACTGAACTGTCACATGCCTTTAAAATAACCATGCCATGCTGTTTTTTTTTTTTAAAATCATTACACATGAAACAAACAGCTGACAGGTGGGGATCTATTGGTATATTCAAGTTTTTCATGTGAAAATTTCCCCCAATATTAGTGGTAATCACAATTTGATTATGAGAAACAAACATACCATATATAGGCAGAACTATATATCAGTAGCCTTTATATTTGACAGCTCACTGTAAAATCCATACTATGATTCAGTGAACATATTTATGTCTTATATCTGGGTTGATCTGGTTGCCTTCAGCTTTCCTCACTTGAAAAAACTATACTTAAAAAACTGTAATTTAATGTTAAAGTTAATTAACACAGCAAATACTTATTGATGACCTATTATTTACTGGGTACTATTTTCGGTGCTTGCAATGCCTCAATGAACAAAAGAGATAAAAACCTCTATGGTCATGCTGCTTGCTTTAGTGAGATATATGTGTGTTTGTGGGGTGGAGGACATGAATGTGAGGCAGACAATAGGCTACAAAAATAATAAATTATCTAGTATTTTATAAGGTGGAAAGAGCTATGGAAAACTGCCCCATTTGTTCCTCATCTGAGTATACCCAAAAGTTGATCTTTAATATTTTATATGAGTCTCCTAGGTTCTAAATGTTAGAAACTAATTAAAAATAAATTGAAACTAAACTAAATATCTTTGTGATCTCTCTGGCTAGAAGCCTCAGGACCAGTCCTCACTGTTTACTGATGAGGAAGCCGAGGCCCAGAGAATTAAACGATGTAGCCAAGATTTCAAGCAGTTACTGTCAGAGGTAGGACCAAGACACACAACCTCCTTCTCTAGTGTGTTTTTCTCAATCGGTTGGCATTTAACAGCAAGTGTTTTAGTTGAAAAAATTTATTTGAAAATCTGTTTGAAACATGACAAAATAGGAAATACCTGCTTATTCCCTCACTGCAGAGTGGTCCTCAGCAGAAAGAAGATTTTGAAGTTTATGAATTATGTTCAGACAAGACCCTTATAAAATCACTCTCCTCTCTCCAGTGGCAGAAGCGTGGCCCCTGACTCCTCACCCACCTTCATTCATCTTTCGTATTCCTTGAAAATTACCACTGAGTATTTTCCTTCTGCTTCCTGCAGCACCAGCAGAAAAGATGAGGATGCGTCTCTTGATTGCCATTACAAATCTCTTTCTTATGCTTGTTTCCATTCTTATTCTGCACATAACTTGGACTTGGCCATCATTCTTAGAGCTCCTCTAAATTGTTTGATTAAAAGATTGTTTATAAGTCCAGAGTCAGAACGGAATTGAAAAGGCACTGCACATTATGATGGAGAGGAATAAACTCCAGTCAAAAGTCATGGCTTCTGGACTCACCACCCTAAGGCAGCCTCACTGGAACTTGCTTTTCCAACTGTCAGTGGAGTTTTAGAATTTTCCTACTTGCAAGCTTGTTGTGAGGATTAAACGGTTAAGAGAGATTGTGTCTGTTATGGAATTGTGAAAACTGTAAGTTGCAGTCCACACTGTAGAAATCTTAGTTACCTCTGCCCTTTCTTTCTCTAGAGACAGGTTGCTAGTGGAATAGACAAGTTTGCCATTAATTTGAAGGTTGCATTAAGCATATATTATGTTAGTGAAGTTGGTCTTCTGAAAGTTGGAAGGGACCTCAGAGGTCCTGTATTAGACCAACTGTGGCTGTTCCTTAGAATAAGCTGGAAGTTTTCTGAAAAATACAAATTCTGAAGCCTCATACATAGAGATTCTGATGTGGAAGATCTGGAATTGATGGCAGCAGCGGCCCATCTGGAGCCGCTGCTGTGAAGATGCCGGCTGTAGTGGGGGAGGTGCGGCTGTGGTTGTGCCCTCCACAGAGCTGCCAGGTGGGAAGCCTGACCCTTCTGAGTTGGCAGGTCTGAAGCCCAGTGCTCTTCAGGCACAGTTGCAGCTGCCCATCTGTGCCTCTAGACCTGGGCATCCCCGTGCTCTCGGGGGCCCAGGAAGCACCCCCTGCTCCTGCAGGCTTGGAAGTGCCTGCTATCACTCCCTGGCCTCTCCCTGCACCTGCACCCAGCACCCGCTCCGGGGTGAAGCAAAGTCATGGCCAAGCCTGGATGCTGTCATGACCTGGTCAGGTGTGCACACACTCGGAGCAGTGCTGACACACCAGCCCCCTGGCACATAGGCACTCTCTGGACTTTGGACACCAACCAGCATGGGAGGGAGACTGAGAGGGCACTAAGGGGTGGTTCAGCGCAGGCCTGCAGGCGCCCCTTGGCATGAACAGCCTGGGTGCTGTGGATGACATGTAGATGGTGGCAGAAGGCAGACAGGCTCCTGGGCAGAAAGAGGCCAGTCCCCAGTGAAGCTCCACCTTCAAGCCAGGGATGGCCGGAAGCCTTGTGGCTGAGCTATCAGTTCCAGGTGGAGTCCTTGGCTGGGAGTGAGAACTTATGGTGCTTTATCCAGGCCTTCCCATAGCCACCCATGGACCAATAAGCACACCCTTCCTCCCTTCTGATCTCATAAAATCCCTGGACTTATCCAAACTCGGGCAGATGTCGGGATGACCTGCCTATGGATAAGAGCTACCCACTTCAGGTCTCCTGAGAACTGTACTGTCACTCAGTAAAGTATTTCTTCACCTTGCTCACCTTCCAGTTGTCTGTGTATCTCATTCTTCCTGGATGTGGGACAAGAACTCAGGACCCACTTAATAGCAGGACTGAAAGAGCTGTAACACGAACAGGGCTGAGACATGCCTTCCCTGCCCACCACATTGTAGGTGACAAGAACAGAAGAGCTACAGCCCTTTGGGGAGCCCAGACCTGTGTGACACCCTCTTTGGGGGCTCTGCGGTTTCTGTCATCTCCATGCTCCCAGGCGTCACCACATTCCCCTCGTCCAGATGCAGTTGCCCACGGTGGAAGCCATTTGCGTACATCAGATGCAGCCGCAGGCTTGCATGGAGCTGGTGCCTGTGCTGGTGCCTGGAGCTGCTCACCCCACCACGGCAGCTGGTGTACCTGGCTGTACACAGTGGCTGAACCCCATGCTTACCCACTCACGTATCCCTCATTGCTCCACGCCTGGCTTGCCCTTGGCAGGCATGGGGTCCAGGCTGGTAGCGCAACCCGAGCATAGCCTACCAGGCCGTTGGCAGAACAAGCCCATTGGGCCCGAGCAAAACTTGGGCAAATGTGCCACCAGCCACAAAAAGGAAACACAAAAGTTTCCAGCTGGAAAAGCAAGACCTGAAGAATCCTGCAACAGAATGATGCTCTGGAGTGTTTTCTGTGTTAGGTGTGCTTGTTTGTTTGACTAAACCTCCAAACATGAGTCTGAAGATTAACCAGTTTGGGAAGCCTTGCTTCAGCTTTCTACTGACATTAAACTCCTTCTCCTCTCCCATTTCTGTCTTCACTTAGAAATGGAAACCCACTAATTACTCAAGATCTTACCTTTTCCATTCAGTCAACTAGGCCCTTGCACCCCCATTACTTTGCGTTCCACCTTGACAATTGCTATTGCCAAACATCGGCATTAATCTATTTTGACATCTTCTTTCCACCTGCTGCCCTCTAGTGGAAGTGCTGACAAGCAGCAAAATATTTAACTGGGAACAGCAGGAAAGTGACCAGTTTGAGCTGGCCAGTTCACACAAGTCAGCGCAGGTCCCCAGCATGATGTCTACAGACTACAGCTATGCCAGAAATCGTTAGGATGGCCTCCAGCTGTTTGGACACTATTTGCACACAAGTTACATTTAGAGCAGAACTTTGTAAAGACCCTGGCATTTATTCAAGGGCTTTTTAAAGGTTTCAAAAATCTACCTGGAAAACATTACCCTTGGGATATTTTTGTTTCTTTGTCCCTCATTTTCTTCTTTTGTCATTTACCCAAATTCTTCTTCTTGCAAAAGAAGGTGGTTCTTTCCTGCCTTCCCTAACCTTTGAATTTTCCAAATCTTGCAAAAAATAAAGATATATATATCTTTAAATAAAGATATATATATATATATATAAATTCTTACAGTTTAGAAGCTTCCAGTCACCAGGTGAAAGGAATTCACATGAACTGAAAATTGACAATGTAAAGGACACTGTGTTCTCCTACTGTTCCTCCAAGTCTCTTTGCGGTCCGTTAGTAGTCTTCTTTTTTCCAGGAGACACTGAAGTTAAGAGAGTTTAAGAAGATTGTAGTATGTCACAAAGCAAGTGGAAAAGCTAGCACTAGAACTCAGGTCTGGCTGATGGAAAACCCTTATGTATTTTTTTTAATGTGCTTCTTTGGTGTTTAGTGATTATTTAGTCTTCCGTGAAGTAATAAATAATAACTTGCATGGTAAATGTTATTAAGGCTCGAGGTACTAAATTTATAGCAAAAGTCATTCAGCTTTTTTTTAAATGAATGTTTAATAATCAGTGTGTCTCTGCATAATCTCCAATTACTCCTTTTAGCAGAGGAACATGGCAGGAATGCAGGTAAGTTTGGGTGGGAGGAAAAGACAGCAAAAGCCACAGCACTGATGCAAAGTTGAGACTAGATTTCACAGGGCAGATGCCGTATACTCCCTCAAGCTTTGAAGAAACTAAATAGTTATCTATGTTAACCAATAGGGCAGAACTCGTACTCCAAACACCGACATAAACCGTGTGTGTGTTTTGTGTATGTGTGTGTCTTCCCCCACAGCATTCTGCACAATTATTAACCCTTTTTGTGTAGTGGTTTTTCATAATTTTATCCTTGATTGTTAATATCATGGTAAGTGATGTGTTATAAATATATTTTTCCTTAAGTATCATAAACAATCTAAGATTTCATTTGGCTGATTTTTCTTTTCTTAGTATTGCATATCATTATTGCTGTTAGAACACTCATACAGATTATTCAGCTT
Source organism: Homo sapiens (assembly GCF_000001405.40). Classification (NCBI taxonomy): domain Eukaryota; kingdom Metazoa; phylum Chordata; class Mammalia; order Primates; family Hominidae; genus Homo; species Homo sapiens. The sequence goes on from NC_000005.10 coordinate 42,584,771, forward strand.
CTTAACTAGAATGTATACACACACACACACACACACACACACACACGTGCATGTACAGAACTGCCTTCTTTCTCTTTGATGGTAGAAAATACAGCTCTCTATAGTAAGCAAATTTGCTTTCAGTCTCAGACATACCCTTCATTCTCTGCATGACTGGTAAAGAGCGGAAAGAGTAATACTTAGGATCTGGATTCCAGTTCCCTGTTCTCTGACCATTTAAAAATTTTGTTACCTTGGCCAGGTAAATACAGTTCTATGAACGTCAGTTGTGCCTCAATTGAGCAGGCTTGTCCAAAGGATTCCTCAAGGATGAGGTATCCTTTCAGCTGTATGAGCTGAACCTTGATTTGTGCAATAGTTTAAGCCCCTGAATAGTCAGATAAAAATCATGTTAATTAAAATTAAATAGCTATTGGTAGGATCTGGTTTTCCACTGGCTTGCATGAATGATGTTTTGCCCTCCTTTCTGATACTCAGCTCAGAGGATTCCTTCCATTGGGTTTTCTTTCTTGTAGTTTTTCTGGTTCATAAATAGCCTATAGACAAACACTAAACTGTTACAGGTAAAAGGACCCTAGATTAAGCCTTTTATAAAACAAATAGTCCTGTGTAAATAATGACATCTTATTTTATGTGTGTGAATTTGAGTTTTAGGATGTAGGGCATGTCTGACTAGATAGCTAAAGGCTGAGCTCCAGGCAGCCAGCTGCTATCCAATCTCCACACCTGGAATGTTCCAAAAAACCTCCTGTGTTTTCTTTCTGCAGCTAAGCACTGATGAGCAGGATTTAAGAAGTACAGCCACACACTTTTTGCTGCACGTTTTTTAAAGTTTGTTATTTTTGTCATAGATTACTTGTTTTGAATCAAAAATTTTTAAAGAAAACTTAATCTCCCAAATTTTAACCCCCTTGAAGTTTCAGGATTCCAAGGAATATTTTTATTTTAAGATGCATAAAATACTCAGTACATGTACAAAGGTAATGCTTATAAGAAACTTAGAAAAAAAAAAGGAGCTAGTAAGATTGAGAAGGGGAAGAATATCTAAGCTAACATTACTAACCTGGCAACTATTATAGGTGGCTGGATAGCATGAAGGCATAAAGCTGAAGGCAGTTAAGAAAATAGACTGGATTTGAATCCTGGCTCTACCTGGATTAGTTTTGTGACCTCAGAGAAGTTGCTTCCCTTCTCTGTGCCTCAGTTTCTTCATATGTAAAAGGAGATAACTATAGTGTCTAACACACAGAATTATTGTGAGGATTAAATAAGTTAATACATATAAAGAAAGTCCAAAACTATGGCACACAAATGTTTAATATATGTAAGCTATTATTGTTATAAAACTAAAGAAAGAGAACCCAGAAGACATTCAGTTTGGTGGGATTCAGATATATGTTTTCCTTTCCTCCTCCTCCTCCTCCTCTCCTTCTCTAACCCCACTATGCTTGCCTCCCAATCTATCCCTGACTCCTATTTTTCTTCCTCCCAACTTAAGAATTGTCACTAAAAATATTTAGAAGAAAAGAAAATGTGCATACTTCAGGGGGTGCCAAGCTTTTGGGTAAAGTACACTTTTCAGCTAACATGACTGTATCCAACAGTAATGGGCTTTATGGCAAGAAAAAGCTTTTTTCTCAATAAATGGGTTTTAACTTTGTAATGGATTATTCTCTTTGCATGGGTAATTCTTCTGGAAGATGGAAATTGGCTCGATGATAAGATAGGACAGTTGGATTTAGGGATCTAGATTAAGGGACTATCATGTATGCTTTTAGGAGAGAAGTTTAATCTGCAAAACCTACTTGTCTTATTTAATTAATTGTTGCTCTTAGCTGCTCAATTTTGTACAGGTGACTTGCATGAAAGCAAAATGTATGTCAAAATCCAAAAGCAGAGTGAAGCCTCGGGACTTCAGTGCTTTTGGGTGTCTTTCCAGACCTCTGCTCTTCCCCCACCCTCACCAAGGCCCCACTGACCTCAAAGGGCCCTTCTTGCCAGGCCGTGAATTACGTCTGAGCCAGAGGGCTGGGACTACAGCCAAAGCCAAATGAAGGTGCAGAATTTAGGACTAAAAAAAGCCTGAGCACGTGGCACTGGGTATAGCAGATAAATTTGTTGGAGAAATGGTTTATAAATAACATGAAAAGGGAAAGGGGATAGAGGGTCAAAATATTGAGCTGTTGAGAGTTGTTCAATATTTGAGGTCAGTCTCACCATTTTTAATACTGAACCCAAAAGTAATACACACTGAAAAAAAAAAAAAACTCACTGAATAAAATTAACTACAGCTGGGCTTATTTTTTCTTATCAAGACATTTGTAAGTTTGGCAGCAAGCATTTTTAAACAGGATCTCTATTATATGAAATAAATTTAAAAACATGTGTCTACAGTCAGGACAAACAAGTGAACAAAAACAAAGCAAAAGCAATAAAGAAGCCCCATGAAGGCATTATGCTTTTCTGAGGACAGTATAAGGCTAGGATACTGCAGAAACTGAAATACTTAGGGATCTTATTGAAATAGTTTTCTTTTCCTCCAAACAAAGCAACCATCTCAGAGGGATAGATGGGCTAAAAGACAAGGAATAAAGTAAACAGAAGATTGGTAACTTGGGAGGTTTTCTTTTCCCCTTTCTCTTTTTGGTTTTGATTTGCTTTTCCCTTGTTAAAGCCAGAAAGGATAAATTTTGGTCCAGAACTCCCAAGACCAGAGGGTCAGGGAAAGCCACCCCGAGGCTGGAAGCTATGAACTTATCGCTAGTCTAAACTCCACCTCCTTCTTCCCTGGGAGTCCTGCACAAATATAACTGCCTGATCTTTCTGTTTACTGGCAAAGGTTTTGCTCCCTTCTCTTTCGTATCGGAATGTGAACTTGGGGAAAGATTTGGGGTTTTTTTTGTTTTTTTTTTGTTTTTTTAAGAAACAGAGACTTGACTTATTCCTCCCACAAACTCTTACCCTGGCACAGGGAGACCACAAACTAAGTGAAAACAAGGTAAGAAGCTTAGAGAAATGGGACCATATGCCCTCCCCGGAGCTGAACCGTGTTCCCTGTCCACCATCACCTTGTCTTCCCATGCTACTACTCCACTCCTGTCTCTTCCACACTCTGGGTCACATGTCTACCCCTTACTGTGAGTTATAATCGCCCAGGAAGGGTAACCCATTGACTGAGGGCCAAGCTTCTGATAAGTGAATGAACTTGTCTTTTCTCCTGGCCAGATATCTGTCTTTGCCAGAGAGGGCTGAGTCAGGGAGACTAAGATTTTCAAGGTCAAATTGTATATTGTTTAAAATTGTGAAAATTTGCTTTGTGCATTGAATCTCATTTTCAAAATAAAATTATGCCTTAAGTCAGATCATACTGATGCAGATTCTGCAGATGTTAAGAGGCTTCCATGATTGTATTTGCCAGCTGCAGGTCAGGCAGTGGTGGATGGTGGTAAGAAGTAACCTATACTTTTGGCTGGGAGCTGTGGTTCATGCCTGTAATCCCAGCGCTTTAGGAGGCTCAGGCGGGCAGATCACGAGATCAGGAGATTGAGACCATCCTGGCTAACACAGTGAAACCCCGTCTCTACTAAAAATACAAAAAAATTAGCCAGGCTTGGTGGCACACGCCTGTAGTCCCAGCTACTTGGGAGACTGAAGCAGGAGAATCGCTTGAACCTGGGAGGCAGAGGTTGCTGTGAGCGAGATCGCGCCATTGCACTCCACACTCCAGCCTGGGCAGCAAAAGCGAAACTCCATCTCAAAAAAAAAAAAAAAAAAAAAAAAAGTGACCTATAGTTTTGCAGTAGAATTTTGAATTCAAACTCAGGCTTTATATTTTCTCCAAAGTAAATTGTATTTTGTTCATTTTAATCCATTGGTTGACTCTAATGAGATCTTTCTGACTGGAAATTCTGCCCTTTTTTTCCTCCATAACTGTATTACCAGTTATCTCTCATCCATGTGTTTGATAAATCCATATGAATGTCTTTTTTTGTTTTCTACCAAAACCTTTATAACAAAACAAAATTCATAGCTTTGTCAACTACACTTGAAAATTATGCCCCAGGCTTTTCAGGATTCTGTAATTAACTTATTGAGTCATTTGTTTAACCATTGGTGAATTCATTTATCTTTACTCGGGCCACAGTAATGTATTTTACTTACAACATATTATGAGAAACTACATCACCTGCTTCACCGAAATTGAAAAACATTAGATGAACAACACTGCCCTAAACCATATTTCAATAATCCTTTCATGAAAGGAAAGGAAGTACATTTCCTATAATGATTTGTTCTTAGTGAAGCCATGTTGACTCCAAGTGACCTGTTGTTTCCTTTCTGGGCTCATAGAAATAATCTAACCATTCTAAAATATTGATGGGGATTCAGGTCAAAGGTATAGTTTTAAAAATTCACCATATTTAACCTGTTAAACATTCAGTATCTCCTACCTTCTGTCTTCCAAAAATCCAAAGAAATAACCATTTATTGTTCCGTTTATGCTTTCAGTGTCTAGGACATAGCTAATCTGATACTGAACATTTGAACTTATCGTTAGCTTTGAAAATATGCCCTATTGTCCTATTGGCTTTATACTAAAGTTTTATTAATACATTCCCTCAATAGTCTCCAGTCTTTGCCCAAGAAGAAGAAAATTCTGTAAGAGTTTCTTTTTACCTTCCTTTCTTCTCTGAGTGGAATAATCTTTTTTGTTGTCTTCATAGTATTTTAGAGTTTTGTGAGATCAGACAAAATTTACCTCAGCTTATAACTTTATCTTTTAAGTGGAAAAACTCTGAACTATTGATTATTGTGTCATCTTGAAAAAATAGTCTATGGAATATATATAAGTAGTTGTGTTATTTTTTTCAGTGTTAAGTTGACCTTTTTCTTTTAGTGCATTGTGAATATTTAAAAGGTCATTTGTGCAACATATAAGAGGATTGACAGGTTTCCATGCATGATGCTTAATGTGGAGATGATTTCTTTCCATCAAGTTATTATGCTTGGAATAAGTAACACATCTTAAAATTACAACCTTGATGTAGCAAATCATCAGATGGGTTACCATTACATGGAAAGAGCCAGTGAAATAAAGACCATTAAGTTCAGGTAGACAGAGATGGCGGTGAGAAATTCACAGCCAAAGAGGGCCATATGGAGGTGAAAACACTGGTAAATGGCTCTGGGACCCTAGGAGTCTACAGTAAGTCATTGGGAAGTTGGAGTGGAGAAAGGCAACATTAGCTAGGTATTTCATTCATTCCTCCATAAATGCTTATTGGGAGCATGTTGTGTGCCTGGCATCATCCTAGCTTCACTGAAAAGAATGAGGAACATATAAAATGTGAAGGTGAGAATAAGTGAGAAGTAATTGCTCTTTACTCTCAATTATAGCTGGGCAAGTACATATATGAATATGCTTTTGTGTTCTGAACACACACTAAGCAGTTGGTCAAAGTATTAAGCTAGAGACAACTTCTACTTTCAAATGTAGTGTTTCAAAATAATAATAATAATAAAGATTTCAGGACAGTTTACATATAACCATTTAGAGATTTAAGGATTAAAATCAGGAGGGAAGGAGAAATGTCTCTGCTGGGGAAATTTTTTTAAACTAGTGTTTTCTACTCAGCTACTCAATGTGATTTCTTTTATTTTCTTCCTTCCATTGCTTATTGGCATTTATTGTGGGGAAGACTGCTGTGTTGGCAGCATGAGAGAGATGGGAATCAAGAAAATGGAAACACCATTCAATATTCAAAAGCCACTATCCCCTTAAAAGCAACCACAGATCATTCAGTTTTGCCACATACTCAGATTGCACACTAACTGGAGGATGTTAAAAAGTGTTCTATTACAACCAGTTATCCAGTTTTTGCCACTTAAACTCTGCTGTGAGAAATGTGACTGTAGAGCAGCCTTAAAAAGAGATCATCTTGATATTAAGCAGTGTTACTCATACATGCTTGTTGACATTCTAACAGGTGACTTTGAATGGATCTTCAGGCTCAGAAACATGGTTGTGTCCCTAGAACTGGTGAGGCTGGAACAAGGTGTACAGAAGTGAAATGACCACTTGCTTTCTCTATTGGATTTCTTTATCCAGCTGTGCAATTGTTTCAGGGACTACAGTTGATTTTCCTGATGCAAGCCTAGCAACTTGTTTTTCAGTTCAGCACAGTAAAATATGAACAGGAGAGAACTCCCTGTTGGCCACCCACCTCACAATCTTTAAAAGGGAACTCTGTACAGAAGCATTCTGCATTAGGCAAATGTACACTTCTGCAATCAAAATGAAAAACACTTGAGCTGAATCGTTTTTCGTTAGCTTTAGTTTCCAGCCCTGATTAAAAAGAACACAGGGAACCCTGCAAGTTTAAGCGGTTTTGGCAGCCGAGGAAACAGCTGTGACATTGTCAAGGGTTGTCTGTAGGAGCTGTGCAGGCTGCTGACAGCACTGATAATGCCCAGAAATGGGGCAGACGCTTTTCGCATTTGGTCATCAAAGGAGTGGCAGCAGCTAGGTTCAAGAAGTGAACTTTTGACCCTGTCTGAGACAACTGGCTCTCGTGGATCTTGTTCTGTCATTCTCCAGTCTGATTTTCTCTTTCAGAACAAGTGGGTAGGATCTTTGGTTTTTAAACTGTTTGACTGTTATTAAAAGTAAGCTAGTTCTTATAGCTGCGATTGGAAGGGATGGAAGGTGAGGAAGAAGAGCTGGTATTTCCCACTATCCTGCAGGGGTGGGGAAATCTATCAACGACTGTTCCACTAATCTGCGGATGAGTTATCTAGGGAATATCATGCAGTTGCCAAAGTTTTCAGCATCTAAAAGCCTCCAAAGTTCTCTCTGTGAGGGTCTACCTCCCCTGTCTCCAGATCCTTCCCATGCCCCTCAGACTCAGCACTTGTCCACTGTCCTTGCTACCAGGGAATCCCTCTGCAGCCCCCTTACCCTCCTGCCCCTCCCAAAAGAGCTCCAGACTTTGACCTTTCTCTTCCACCTCAACATCTGTTTGTGTCTTAAACTGATGTCCATTGAAAGAAACAGATAAACTAATTAATGCTGAGATATGACTTATGAAGTATTATGAATGTGCTAACTCTCTCAGGGGTATGTGCATTTTAATAGAGGACCAGCAGTCCAAAGGCCGGTCTCACTCCACTGTGCCCCTCTAACAGCACCGAGTCTATTTCCAGGCAGCCAGAGACCAGGCCTGAGAACTTGCCCCAGACCACCAGCGTCCCCACTGAGAAAGCAAGCAGACTCAACAGTTTTTCAGTGTTTCAGGGAGCCTGCAGCAGCAATACAGTTCCTTCAAAGGGTCTGTGGATTCTCTCAGCTTTCCTAGTAGGTTGCTGTGGTAGTTTTTGGAGCAAAAGTTCACGATGTGAATCTTCACATGCTGCTCTTTGTGCCGAGCAGGTGCTTGCAAGCTAGTTCTGCCCCTATCTGCCATCTTAATCCTAACATCTCCCATGTTTTTTTAATTTAACTTCTATTTTGGTTTCAGAGGTACATGTGCAGGTCTGTTATATAGATAAATTGGATGCCATGGGAGTTTGGGGCATACATGATTTCATCACCCAGGTAATAAACATGGTTTCCAATAGGTTAGTTTTTATGTCCTCACCCGCCTCCCATCCTCCACCCCCAAGTGGGTGCCAGTGTCTATTATTCCCTTATTTGTGTTTATGTGTACTCAGTGTTTAGCTCCCACTTATAAATGAGAACACGCAGTGTTTAGTTTTCTGTTCCTGTATTAGTTTGCTCAGGATAATGGCTTCCAGCACTATCCATGTGGCTGCACAGGACATGAGCTCATTTTTTATGGCTGCATAGTATTCCATGGTGTATATGTATCACATTTTCTTTATCCAGTCTACTGTCAATGGGCATTTAGGTTTATCCTGTGTCTTTGTTATTGTGAATAGAGCCTCAGTGAACATACGTGTGTGTGTGTCTTTATGGTAGAGCAGTTTATATTCCTTGGATTGTTGGGTAAAATAGCAGTTCTATTTTAAGTTATTTGAGAAATCTTCATCCTGCTTTCCATAGTGGCTGAACTAATTTACATTCCTACAAGCAATATAAATATTCCTTTTTCTCTGCAACCTTGCCAGCATCTGTTATTTTTTTGAGTTTTTAATAATAGCCATTCTGACTGGTGTGAGATGGTATTCATTGTGGTTTTGATTTGCATTTCTCTAGTGAATAGTGATCGTGAGTATTTTTTCATATGCTTATTTTCCATGTGTATGACTTCTTTTGAAAAGTATCTGTTCAGGGACATCATTCCTATGAAAATGCTAGTTAATTATACAAGTATTACTTGTTTCCAATAATCGATTTTTTAAAAAACCTTATAATCAATATTGCATTAAAATTTTCAGCTGTGTGATTCCTTATCATTTTCTTGGATGCAAATGCCTTGTGTCACGTACTATATCTCATAAATCTATATTGCATCTAACAAAGTGCTTTGTGTAAAGTAGGCAATTAATAAATGCTTGTTTAATGAGTAGATTTGTTTTTGTTTTATTTTGCTTTCTATGTTTTCCTAAGGATGTGGGGCATTAGGCCAATGGAAACTGTCTCTCAAAAGTTCTTATATATAAATATTGATGTCAAAGTCACTATTTTTGTACAAATAAACACATTTACCTAATTTGGTGAGCATTTATAGAGTCCTGCCTATATTCAAGGTCCCTGTGCTGATCAGTGGGCAACTGAAGAAGTATGAGGCACTGTTACTGCTGTCTTCCTTCCCTAATTGGGTCCTATACCTTATCTTGGTACAGCTACCTCCTAAGGAGGCCCATCTGTGCTGTTGAGGGTACATCTGAAGGCAGTGCACTGGAATGTATAGCCTAGGACTGGAATTTGGAGTGAGGCCCTGAGAGATCATACACATTTTTCACTTGTGGGGGAATGTCCTTAAGTAGAAATAGATGGTGATTTCAGATATTTGATCCAAACCTAACTTCCTCATTTGAATTGAGTATGCTAATAACTATTCTTGAGGCTCTGGAATAGTGATGACATTTCCTGGTTGGGAAATCAGATGCTGATTTCTGAAGCAGAGTTTTAAAGTTGAAAGATGAAAAGGGAACAAAACAATAAACACAACCTTAGACTGAAGGGTCATTTTTCTAGTCCAACTTCCCTCCACCTAGCTGCCACCCAAGATTGTCCCTCAGCCATCCTTAGAATATTAAAATAAATCCATTGCAGTGCTCAAATGACTTGTTTCTATTTGAAAATCCTTGCCATTGGAGAATTTTTCTATATATCTTACCTTAATGGCTCTCCACGAATTTTGTCAACAGTTTGTCAGCAATGTACTCATGAAAATATCTCATATCTATGTATATTCTATCACTTTAGCCTCCTTGACTTCTAGACCAGCAGTTCCCAAACTTTTCAAATGTGACCCCTTTTAGTATCAACTTCTGTTTATAAAAGTACAAAAGCCCTCACATCTTATACTTTCTTTTATGCTTTTATTTATTGAGATATTAGACAACACATACTTGTAGGTGACATGGATTCTTAGATCTAAATAACTCCACTCTCCATGGTCACTGTCACTTCAACACAGGTTGATGCAGTCCTTAGTTTGGAAAACAGTTTTGGCATAAATAATCCCAAACCTTCCTATCACTTCTTGGAGCTTTTTTCTTCATGCTTTCCTTGCATCTTTCTTAAAATGTGAAGACTACATTGGATATATTATTAAAATAATGTCATTATTAGTGCTATGTTTAAAGCTGACCTTTTCTTCCTAGCCACTGATATAGCAGTGCCAACTGTGGACTCTCTTTAGAATGAACACTTTAGTAATAATAAGTCCTTAGAACACAAACACTGTCACTTGTAAAACACTTTTCTATACTTGGTAACCTACACAGAACAGCGGTTCCCAGACTTTTTCTTTTTTTTGTCTTGTGGGTCCTTTATATATTCTTACAAATTATTAAAGACTCCAAAGAGCTTTTGTTTATGTGAGGTTTTGTTATTGATACTTACTGTCTTAGTAATTAAAACTAAGAAAATTGTAAAACAACACATCCCATTAGCTGTCAGAGCATCATCATGTCTTGTAGGCTCTGGAAAACTCCACTGTACACTCATGAAGAATGAGTGTGAAAGAGCCAAATAGTAGCTTAATATTATTATAATAATAGTTTAACTTTGTGAGCTCACCAATATAATACATATTCATGACACAGTCCCTAACATCTAAAAACTTACAATCTAAGGCCCAACATAAATACTAATAGATGATGCTAAATTCTGGCTTCACAGTGCTTCCTACAATAATACTAAAAATATATGAATTTAGACAGAGGCCAAAATGTGTTTATTAACCACTTGGCTTTGCTTAGTATTTTGTTACCCACCTTGGAGAATTGCCTCTGCTGATTTACACTTTATAAGAAGCAGCCCTATGAAATTTTTTATCATAAGTTTAACAATGATGTAGAACATACTGTTTCATTTTATAATGATCCTTGGGCAAAATGTATAATATCTGTGGGAGAAATGCTCAATGCTGCAGTAAAAACTATACTTCTCCTCAGAATCAGGTATGTTCTTATATGGTCAGTATAAATCTTATAACTGTGCTTTCTGATCTCCTTTGGCCACCAGGAAGACAGGAGCTGACAATCCAACTTACTATAAATTCTTCAGGGTCTGATGTCATTATTTCTATAAGATTTTCCCTGGCATTATCTTATTTCTCAGGTCTCACTTTTCCTTTGTTCTGATTTATTTTTCTTAATATGTTTTATTGTGTATTTGTTAATATGTTTTGTTGTGTATTTAATTGCCAATGGGGATGAATGAATAAGTGAGAAAGAAAGATACTTGATCCATTTGAGTGGGACTGCTTGAGTACCTGGAGTGGTGCAGACCAAGCAGGGTAACTGTATCAGGTTTCATTAATGAAATGGGTCTTAAGTGGAGATTAGGAAGGAAAGGAAGTGGGTTGCTGGAGAGGCGGGGTGTTTTATGTGACAGATTGGCTGTAATAAAGATGCAGCTGTGGAGTGAGTGAGTGATGTCCTGAGCACAGTAAGGAGATCTGGCTGACGTGGCACTGCACCTCATTGCCTTAATATCTTTTCATTTGATTGAAGAGGCAGCTGAGGGATAGGTGCTCTTGGAAAGTGGAGTAACCATTTCCAATTAAGGAAGGACTCTCACTTCAGTTTCTAAAATAAATTAGAAGGGAGAAAATATGAAGTCTGAGAGATCAATTAGGAGAAAGTTCTGGTGCTACATATAGAAATAGGCTTATCCGCATATGCAGGTGAGAGTACGAAGAAGAATCTGTGAATGGCAGTCATTTTTTGTAGCTGGTTCCAATTAAAATTGATTCTCTATAATGACTACTTATTGGCTGCTGCTCACCAGGTCTGCCTTTTTCATCATTGTCTGCAGAACATATCACAGTATACAGCATAGAGTAGGTGCTTCATAATGTGTTAAATGGATGAAATGGGTTCCTACCTCCAAAGGAGATGGAAAAAAAAAAACAGGCAAGTAAATAAAGTAAAATATGTATAAATTGCTTTAAGAATGTTTTATAAAAAAGGACAGTAGCCCAACAGCATTCACAGTAGGCTGGCTGGAGTAGCAGTCATTGAAGAAACCCATGAAAACAGCGGCAGAAGCAAATGTGCAGCTGCTCTGCCTTTTCACACTGTAGGGCAGCACACGAATAGTCCTGGAGCACCAGGGCCCTTAGACTGTGGGATTTTTAAGTTACCTAGTTGGCACAGCATTGACTCCTCCTCTGGTGTGATTAGGGGCCAGGATACAATAAACATATGTTATGTTGGAACTTTGATGCCAGCCTAAACTTGCCAGTTCAGTGTTTGTGGTTGCAGGTAGTATCAGCTCCTCTCCTGATATGATTGAGAGACTGAGGTCCAAGGCTTCAGGTTGAACAGAATTGATGGCCCTAAGGATTGGGTTAGAACTCTTCCAAAGCACTTAGCAGGAAGCCAGTTTACTTTTCTTGGATGCCAGCTTCCAAGAAAAGATCAGTCTTGAGCAAAATAGTCCTTCACTCTCAGCTCAGAAGCCTAATTGAGAGGGTATCCTATAAGTAACACAGCCCACTCTGCTAGTAACCTGTTCTACTTCAACCTGTAAGGCCCATGAGGCTAGCCAGTGACATCACTACAGGACACAGTGGAGGATGTTTAGGAATGGCTGGGTGATGACCAGGGTGCAGATTGTGTTTACTCAAGGCTGATTGAGAAATACTGTTTTCAGTGGTGTGCTTATAAATGTTTAACAGTGGTGGGTGGAAGGGGGGCTCTGGCTTGTAGCATTTTTCTAGTGCCCATGGTGTAAATACTCCCAACATGACCAACTTTAAGTTACCAATGTGATTGAAAGTAGAGTTTGGAAGCGAGGCACAGTAGCCCACTGTTATGTAGTATTTTTGCCATACAGATGCATAAGAGACATAAGTAACCTGAAGAACATAGATAATTATTAAATGTAGTAAAATGATCATGAAGTGACAGATCTTGAGTGTTTTATCACATTTGTTTTTAATATAATTTAATTTTAAGTTGCCATAATTTAATTTGTAATTAAGACTATGTTAATAATTGGCTTATGGAATTTCTGAGAATTCAAAAACCAGTGCCCATAGGTGGATCCAGTACACCACTAGGTAAGAACAGCCTAGAAGTACTTCTAGGCTCTTGTTCTGAAAGGTGCCAAGACTGGCATCCATGGTTCCAGTGCCAGGGTCGAGGAAAGACTTACTAGGTCCTGCAGTATTGCTCCCAAATCTCTTTCAGTGGCCAGGGAAATTATCAGCCTGAAGGCAGGCTGAATGGCTTGCTTACATTCAGGTCCCAGTATCTACGATTGACAATCGGCTTCATTTGTAAGTACCAGATAGTGCAACTCCATGTATCCAGGAGGCTGGGAGGTACTGAGAGCAGACTGATAGTGTCAAGAGACACTGAAATGACTGCCAGCTCTCTCCTGCCATATCCACTACTAAGTGAGAAATTCAGTGACATAGTCACTGAGGACTCCACCACTGCTGGGTGTTGGGGAGGGCACACTGAGTATTTCAAGACAATCCGGGTAAGATTTTTCTTGGAGGGATTCAAGTACAAAATAGTTAATATGCAGAAATGAAGCAGAAATTATTATACCTCAGAAATGAGTCAGATAATACTAAAGAAAGGAAGAAAGGAAAGCATGACTTGATTCATGTCTTTAATGATGACCAAAGAAGTTGGGTCTTTAAAGATGACAAGAGAAGACTGATCAGGTAGCAGTGAGGTGGAAGGGGAAAGATGAGAGAGGGGACATTCCTGGTAGAGGAAGCAAGGTAGACAAAGTGTAGGAATGTGAAAGAGCATAATGTATGTAAGTATTGTTCAGGTGACTTCTTGGGTACCTAGATAGTAGAGAGAAATTAGAGGTAAGAATGGAGGAAGGGGAGACTCAGGGCCAGGTTGTTGAGGGCATTTTATGCCATGCTAAGGAGTTTCCAATTTTTCCTTTCAGTAATAGCAAGAAACTTAAAATGAGCAGGGGTTTGTGTTTTTGAAAGAACTGGGAAAACACCTCTGGGCAATCCATTACCTGGGGATAATGGGTGAAATTTCCCAAGTTAGTGCACAGGCTGCTGGGTAGGGCTTGAGGCTTTCCTCTTGCCTCCTATTTCAACACTGTGGTCTTTTAGGACTTGTCCTCAACATGTTCTTAAAAGGAATGTTTGCTAACTGCCAAAACAGTAGTCTTCATATTTATTCTGTTCCTTTCCAAAAGGTAAATTGAAAAAGCAACATACCCTCAGCCAAGAGAATTAATCTTTTATCACCTAAGTTACTGCCCACTGCCTTTCAGTTTTAAAGTTAATTTAGTGTGCATAAATGGCTATGAGCCCCTGGAACTCTCTTTATGTTTGCATCTTAAATTTACCAGACCCTCCTTCTGCCTCTAGTTCCAGAATTTTCTTTGTCTTATTTTCTTCAAGAAATGTATTTCTTTAAATTGGATTGCAAATTTGGAATACACACAGTCAAAGCCTTTTAAAACCATTCTTTTAAAAAAGGACAAGTTTCTTGAGAACATTTTTAAAGGAAAAAGTTAAAATAGATGTCAATGGAAGATGCAAATATGAATATAAAATATGAAAAGCATCTATAGGCTGGAGCTTCTCAGTAGAGCTCTACTTCATTTAAAGTCATATTATCTGGCACCATTTCAAAGCTTTTGGTTACTTGATTTTGTAGTTAGAAAAAAAGTATAAAGTTGAAATATTGGGCTCTTTACATGACCATTTTGCTAGTAGCAGTGGATGAAGCTTTTCTCTAAGAGATCAATAGCTTTAGTGTAAACTTGGTCAATACCTTATTGGAAGAGGTGACTATGTCAGATTAGGTAGAAACTTTAAAAGCCAGCAAGTTTCCAAATGTCCTTCTGGAATTGGCCTCCTAGGGCCATGTGGACCAGAGAGATCTTATCACAGAAGTCATAAACTGATATCCGTGAGCCAAATCTAGCTCATGGGCATGTTGTTTGGCCTACAGCACATTTTTTTTTTTTTTTTTTTTTTTTGAGACAGAGTTCACTCTGTCACCCAGGCCGGAGTGCAGTGGCACAATCTCAGCTCACTCAACCTCTGCCTCCCGGGTTCAAGCAATTCCCTGGCTCAGCCTCCTGAGTAGCTGGGATTACAGGTGCCCACCACCACACCTGGCTAATTTTTGTATTTTTAGTAGAGATGGGGTTTCACCATCTTGGCCAGGCTGGTCTTGAACTCCTGACCTCGTGATCCACCCCCCCGCCTCTTGGCCTCCCAAAGTGCTGGGATTACAGGCGTGAGCCACCACGCCTGGCCCACACCACATTTGTAAGCAGATGAATTGGTTATTTTTAAAAATTTGAAGAATTTAACAACAAAAACAACAACAACAACAACAAACTTTTGTGTCCAGCTTCTTTTTTTTTATTGTCCCAATAGTTAAGGACAATCCTGGGCCTGCATTCTTTGAACAGTTGGCTAGACTTAAGTAGCTGCTGCCCCTTTTAGATGGGGCAAACATTCTCTACTTTTTCACAGTCCCCTTCAAGGGTGCTTCAGCCATTTTTGCTACTCACTTGTCTTCAATAAACCAAGGTCATGTTTAAAAGATTAAATAACAGTTATTGCATGCTCACCAAACCGTCACAAGGAACCAGACTTGTGTACCAGAACAGAGTCCTGGAGCATATCTCTGTTAGGCTAGACATCACTCTTTTAGTTATGGGATCATGGAAAGGTGCAGAAAGTTCCAGGGAAGGGGTCGGGAGGGATTTGGTGAGTGAGGCACTTGGAGGCATGGGTCAATAGCTTTTCACCAGCTAGCATGGAAGTACTTTTAGTGTTTAAAAACCTATGGCACAGTGGGATCTTCTAGGAAAGTAGACCCTGGAGATGGAGATTCACATGTAGCACATTTATTAGGGGATGCCACTAGGATCAATATCTGTAAAAGAGAGAGAAAGGATGTAAGAGTGGGCAGAGGGAGAAGTTGAGCTGCAAAGCAGGCCCAGTGCCAGCCTCAACTGGCTCCATAAGGAGCTCTGGCTCTGGAATGCCCTTTTATATTTGTTTCCCATGGGACCAGGATGGCTAGGCCATTCTACTCTGACATGCATCACTCACTGAAAGTGGGAAGAGTCTTGCTCTTGAGTGAGGAAATCCCCTGCTACTGAGGCAATCCCTCAAAGGAGTAAGAAGTGAAAGCTCCTGGCCTGGAGCACCTGCAACATCTGAAACAAGAAATCCTTCATTGAACAGGATCTGGGCAGCACACCAGAGTGATCACAGTCAGCAGCTATACCAGTGACAACAGATGAATATCAACTCTGCCTTTAGCCCCTAGGGTATGACACCTGGCCTACCAAGGCTGTGCCTAAACTCTTTGGACTGATTCAGAATCAAGCAAGTCCTAGCCTAAAGAGAGGAGTTTAATGTCATGCTACGCTCTAGCCCAATATTTGCTGACTTGTAATTCAGTCATTAAAAAAATTCTTTTTATCTTCACATAGTTTTAGATTGTCAAACTGTTACCGTTCTGTGTCCAGAAATTAAAATCTATTCTTTCTATTCTTTTTTTTTTTTTTTTTTTTTTTTTGTGACGGAGTTTTGCTCTTGATGCCCAGGCTGGAGTGCGATGGTGCAATCTTGTCTCACTGCAACCTCCGCCTCCTGGGTTCAAGCAATTCTCCTGTCTCAGCCTCCTGAGTAGCTGGGATTACAGGCGCATGCCACCATGCTCAGCTAATTTTTGTGTTTTTAGTAGAGATGAGGTTTCATCATATTGGTCAGGCTTGTCTTGAATTCCCGACTTGAGGTGATCCGCCCCGCTCAGCCTCCCAAAGTGCTGGGATTACAAGTGAAATCTATTCTTATATTTTATTGTAACCTCAGAAAAGAATGCTTTTTTGAGGACTAGAGTTCTGTCTCTTTTATTGTCTTCTCCTTTCTCTTTCCCAAACCTATAACTCTATTTTGCTTAGCACACAATGAATAATCAGATGTCTTAAATTGTGGCTTACATAATTACTAGTATAACTTTTTTGCTTTTTTTTATTTCATTTTAATCTGTTCATGAGGACTGTTACCCAGGTATTTAAAAAATCTCACTCCATTGTTTTAAGGTTAGTGGTTCCAAAGGGATTTTAGAGACCCTGACCCAATAATAGTTATATTTTTCTAAGTGGTTCTGAAGCAATGGTCACAAGTAAGAAACTGCAGTTCAAAACACATCATAGGTTTGTTATTTTCCAAATTCTTATTAAAGCATTAATGCAAATGGAATTTTCCTACTAGTATTCTGCTTTCTCTAATCCTTGACAGGACTAATTGCTAAACTATAATATGATTTATTATAATTTTATGTTTATATTAAAAATATAGAATATGATTGCCCTTTGATGTCAAATACTAAAGATCCTGCTACTATTTTAGTTGTGCTGGTTCTTTTCTTCCTTATCTTTCATTCACCTTTTCAATTCATCTCATAAACATTTAATGAAAAACTTATTGTGTATCAAGGGTTGTTTATTATATGATTTGTAATTCAAAAACTTTCTTTCTCTGGTCTGAGAATTTTAGAAACATGAAAAGAAAGAGGGAGGGAGACCAACTGAGAGTATAAAAATAAATCTGGCATTTATTAACAGTTAACCAATTTCTTTTTTCTATAATAATTTATCTACTAAACTGTATTTTTTAAATTATTGTTTTAGTTTTTGTTGCATATATTTAAGGTATACAACATGATGTTTTTTATAATTACTAGAGTGAAACAAATTAACAAACTCATCTCCTACATAGTTATCTTTTGCGTGTATGTGTGTGGTAAGAGCTCCAGAAATCTACTCTATTAACAAATTTCCAATATGCAATACAATATTATTAATGATAGTCTTTCTGCTGTACGTCAGATTCCTAGACTTATTCATCCTTCATAACTGCTACTTTGTACCATTTGAACTACGTTTTCACATCCCCTGTGAAAATGGGAGGGGGGCCGTACCATTTGCATGGAATATCTTTTTCCATCACTTACCTTTTACTGTATGTATGTACTCAGATCTAAACTGAGTTTCTTGTGGAAACCATACAGTTGGATCTTCATTCTTTACCCATTCAGCCATTCTGTATCTTTTTTATTGAGGAGTTTAGACCATTTACAATTTAAGTAATTATTGATAGGGACAGATTTAAGCTTGCCATTTTGTCAACTGTTTTCTATTTGTTTATAATTCTTTTTTCTCTTGCTCTCTTCTTCAGTGTTTTGTTGGATTTTTATGCTGATAGGTTTTGATTTCTTCTTTTGTGTAACTTCTATATATTTTTTCTTTGTTGTCACCAAAGGGCTTACATAAAATATTTTAGAGTTGTAACTGTCCAATTTATGCTGATAGCAACTTAGCTTCCTTTGCTTATAAGAACTCTCTGCTTTTACCTCTTCTCCCCCATTATATGCTACTAATATCCCAATGTACATCTGTTTATATTGTGTATGTAGTAACATAATTTAGTTATAGTTGTTTTAATACTTGTCTTTTAGTTTTTATAGTAGAATGAACATATTTACCTACCACTGTTATAGTAATACAGTATTCTGTATTATTTTTTACCAATGTGTTCCCTACTCTGCTGCTTTCTTTTTGTTTCAATTTTAAGAGCTATCTTTGGCATTTCTTATAAGGCAAATCTAGATAAACTCTCTCAACTTTTGTTTGTCTGAGAAATTATTTATCTTGCCTTTATTTTTGAAGGACAGGATTGCTGGGTATAGCCGTCTTTGTTGTTAGGTTTTGTGTTTTTTTTTTCTTTTTTCAGCACTTGGAATATATCATTCAACTCCCTTCAGGCCTGCAAGGTTTCTGCAGAAAAATCGTCTGATAATACTACAGAGATTTCATTATAAGTAGCAAGTCACTTCTCTCTTGCTGCTTTCAAAATTCTCTTTGTCTTCAACTTTTAACAATTATAATGTGTCCTGGCGTGGGTCTCTTTGGATTCATCTTACTTGGTGTCGTTTGGGCTTCCTGGATCTGGATGTTTATTTTCTTCCCGGGACTGGAAAATATTCAACCATTATTTCTTTGAATTTTTTTCTCTCTCTCTTCTCCTTTTGTATATTCCGTAATATGTATATGGGTTCACTTGATGTTATTCCAAAATTCCCTTAAGCTATCTTTACTTCTCTTCATTCTTTTTTCTTTTTGCTTCTCTGACTGGATAATCATCAATAATCTGTTTTTGAGTTAGCTGATCTTTTCTTCTGTTTGATTTAGTCTTCTCTTGAATACCTTCTGAGTAAAAACAAACAAACAAACTGTTTTTCCTCTGCTTTCACAGTTCAACAGCAATCAGTAAAGAAGCCCTTTGTGACAAAATGTGTGTTTAGGGAAGGGGTGGTTTCCTTCACACAACAAGTAAGCAATCAGTTCTGCAGTAAATACCAGTTTGGTGTCCTCTAATTCAATTCCAACACTTCTACTGAGAGATCCTACAGATTGGGGGCTCAGTCCCCGAGACTGTCTTCCTCAACCAACTTCCAATGCCAATTGCAAACCCCAGGTTATTTTGCCTGTACTTCTTACTGACTGGCTATAAACTGAGGTTCCCACAACCCCCTTCTGAGGTTCAATTAATTTGCAAGAGTGGCTCATGGAACTTGGAAACACTTGCTTATGTTTATGAGTTTATTATAAAGGATATTTTAAGGGATACAAACAAACAGCCAGAAGAAGAGATGTCTAGGGTAAGGTCAGGAAGGGTCATGAGTACAGGAGCTTCTGTCCTTGTGGAGTTGGGGTACACAACCCTTCGGACATGTAGATGAGTTCTTGTTCACCTTCCTGTAAGCCTTCACATGTATAGCTGTCTAGAAGCTCTCTAAATCCTGTACTCTTTGGCCATTTATGGAGACCTCATTGGATAGGCATGATTGACAATCATGTGGAAATGTGATTGGACAAAAAGAGTATTAGCTAGTGCTAACAGACTGAATGGAAAACCCAGAAAGGCCTGTCTGTTCAGATTCTTCCTGGTCTCTCTCTGCAGCATTCTTTCCTCCAGGGAATGGGGCAGGACCTTTTTTGAAATGAAAATCTTATGACCTACAATCAGACAAAGTAGGTCAGAGAATTTCTTTATGGCCAGAGGCAGGGGAAGACTTAAGTGTATTTTTAGTTTCTGTTGCCTGCCTTATGGAGAAAAAGGAACAGGTGAATAGAGGGTAAGAGAAAGTCATAGAGAGATTTCTGTTTTTTGAGGCCTGCTTCTAATGTCTAAAGCACCCCAGCATTATAATAAAAGACTGTAATAAGAGCTAAGGAAGTTATGAGCCAGGAACTGTGGACAAAGTAATATCACACCCCTCTATTTTTTTTTTTTTTTTAGTTTACTTACTGTATTATTTATTTCCATGATTTCTGTTTGGTACTTTTTAATATTTTCTATCTTTTTGTTGAAATCTCACTTTGTTCATGCATTGCTCACATAAACTCAGTGAGCATCTTTATGGCTGTTATTTTTAATTCTCTGTGAAATCAGTTACCTCCATTTCATTAGGGTCAGTTTATAGAGGATTTATCTAGTTCTTTTGTTTGAAATATATTTTCCTATTTCTTTATTTTCCTTGACTACCTAGAGCTTTCTTTAAATTATATGAAATAGCCATCTCTCCCAGTCTTGTCAAACTGGCTTTGTGTAGCAGAGGTACCTCACCAATCAACTTGACCAGAGATTTGTGGTGCCTCTTTTTTTTTTTTTTTTTTTTTTTTGAGACAGAGTTTCACTCTTGTTGCCTAGGCTGGAGTGCAATGGTGCCATTCAGCTCACCCCAACCTCCACGTCCCGGGTTCAAGTGATTCCCCTGTCCCCTGTCTCAGCCTCCCGAGTAGCTGGGATTACAGGCATGCACCAACACGCCCGGCTAATTTTGTATTTTTTTTAGTAGAGATGGGGTTTCTCCATGTTGGTCAGGCTGGTGTCGAGCTCCCGACCTCAGGTGATCCGTCTGCCTCGACCTCCCAAAGTGCTGGGATTATAGATGAGAGCCACCGCGCCCGGCCTGGGGTGCCTCTTAAACTTTTGTGCTTATTCAAACCACCAGTTTTGTTCTTAGTGGCCCTCGGTAGGAATGTCCCAAGTCCTAAGTTAGTGACCAAGGTAGAGAAACCTGTCCCTCAAGAAGCAGCTAGAAATATTGGGGCTCTAGATGAGTGGTCCATCTTCCTCTCTCCTCAGGGATAAGCTGGGAGCTGGACTTTATACCCCACTCACTCTGCAGTCCAGATAGAGGATCTGTGCCAAATGCTTGTGCTCTATTTCAGACAATGCTCTCTTTAAACATTTACTTTGCTCTCTCAAATGGCAGGTCTCATTAGCTGTCCTGGATAAGTGAATTAGCTGGAAGCTTGGTTATGTTTCTGGAGTGAGGAGCTGCAGGAAGTGCCCTCATGCCTGTTCAGACTCCCGGAGTTCTACTAATTGCCTGCTCCATCAGCTCCCTGATGCAGGCTAATTAATAGCTTAATCCACGGACAGCAGCTAGGAAAGTCAGAATATTATGTATGCAGTCTAACTCCGTCCAGGGAGAAACTGAGAGCTGGGTGTTTTTGCTTGCTCACTCTTCACTGAGCTTGGGGAACTAGCTGCTGGTAGTGCACATGAGCTCATTTAAAACCACTTCTTTGTTCCTTGTGGTCTTGGGGGACACATAAATGCCAGTCCCCCATAGCTCCCAGAGCTAGGTGATTTCAGAGCCAGTCTCTCAGGTGGGAGCTGTAAAAGTTGGGGTGCTCAATGTATGGACAAACTCCTTCCAGGAGAGATTAGATGCTTGATTTTATCATTGGATTGAGCTGGGGGAGAAGGCACAGGAAGTGCCCACACACTAGTGCCCACATACATACCCTTTCAAGCTCCCAGAGGTCTTACTAATTACCTGCCCCACTGGCTCTTAGTCCACTTAGTAATGCTATAAGGAATACCTGTTGCTGGGTAATTTATGAGGAAGAGAGGTTTATTTGGTTCATGGTTCTGCAGGCTGTACAGGAAGCATGATGCTAGCATCTGCTTCCAGTGAGGGCTTCAGGCTGTTTCCACTCATGGTAGAAGGTTAAGGGGAGTTGGCATGTAGAAATCACATGGCAAGAGATGAGGCAAGAAAGAAAGAGGAGAAGGTGCCAGGCTCTTTTCAACAATCGGTTCTCTCGTAGAAACTAAGACTGAGAACTTAACCACTGCCCTGACAAGGGCACCAAGCCATAAATGAGAGATCATTCTTATGACCCAGACACCTCCCACAAGGTCCACCTCCCACACTGGGGATCAAATTTCAACATGAAGCTTTCTGGGGCCAAACAAACTGCATCAAAATCGGGCTCCCAGTTTTAGACTATGTAGAACTTTAATCCTTGGGCAGCAGCTGGGAAAGTGCAATAAAACCCCTACCAGAGAGAAACTAGGAGTTGGGCAATATCGCCTGTTCACTCTGTACTAAGCCTGAGGGAATTGGGGTAGGAAGTTCTTGCACACCTGTTTAAAATTGCCACCTTGTTCTCTGTGGTCCAGAGATAATTGCAAATGCTGAGCCTATCTGCTTCCAGAGCTAGGTGAATTGGTGATTATGGTTTGGCTCTGTGTCCCCACCCAAAGATTGATCATGGGGACGGTTTCTTCCAAGCATTCTCATGATAGTGAGTGAGCTCTCACAAGAGCTGATGAAGTTTTAAAGGTGTTTGGCAGTTCCCCCTTTGCTCACTTTCCCTCTCTCCTGCCACCATGTAAGATTTGCCTTGCTTCCCCTTCACCTTCCACCATGATTATAAGTTTCCTGAGCCCTCCCCAGCCATGTGGAACTGTGAGTCAATTAAACCTCTTTCCTTTTTAAGTTACCCAGTCTCAGGTAGTTTCTTTCTAGCAGGGTGAAAACAGAATAATATAAGGAGCAAGTCCCTCAGGGAGGAGCTGTAAAAGTTGAGGTGCTATATGTGTGGTCCCAACCCTTTAACTTCTAAGAAGGTAAAGCTAGGAGTTGGGTTTCCTTCCTGATTACAAAGTGATGTGCCTGGGTGGTGCTATTGGTGTGAATTAACCAATTTCTTAAACATCAACTAGGTGTTCCAAACTGTGCTAAGGGCTAGGGAAAAGGCTTTGTTATCCTTATTCTGAGAGAGCTTATAGTCTGATTAGGAATAAGAAAACTGACACAAAATAACAGCAAATAACAAGGCAACATAATCAGTTGCTACATGTTATGGTGGTATATAAATGATGGTAGAATTTAGAAAACTGAAAGGGGACAGGATAGACAAGAGTGGTCAGGAAGGCTGCATGGAAGAGAAGGAACTTGATTTGGGATAGAAGAAGGGGCTGGGATTTGGGAAGACAAAACAAAAGAAGAGGGCCATTCCAGTATCCAAGTAATGACAGATAGAGGCACAGGGCATGTATTAACACGAGAATAGCAGAAGTTTGATGTTGGTTAGAACTTACTACCAACTTCTTACAGAACTTTCCTCTAAGAATTATGAGTTTGAAAACATTCAACACCTCAATCTACTTTCAAGATTTCCTGGCAAAGTGAAGGAAGCAAATACCTTTATTATTTTACAACTGAAGTTACCTGTTTTGTCAGTTATGATCTAGGCTGATTCTAACTACCTATGGGCAACCTAGAACAGTCAAAAGAGCTAGGAATTCATTCAAAAGACCAAAATCTGCATTGTCTGGTAGTGTGAGCATGAGCAAATCACTTCATCTCCTTGAGCCCCAGTTTTCTCATCTAGGAATGAAAAGTAGAGCCTTATCTATCTGACCAGGTTATTATGCTATTAAGTTATATAAGTAAATGTGAAAATTCTTCTTAAACAATAAAACAATATAAATTTTAGTTGGTACTTTTGTTAACATCTACACTAGACCACGTTTATATAGGTAATTTAAAAATAAAAAAGAATGGGGAATTCATTCTTATGTCATGGATTTATATTTTTTTTGTAGTACAAAGTTAATCGCTCAGCAGTGTTTGTTACATTTCAAGTAGCAACCATCATATTGCCATGAAATTTATTTAGTAACCCCTAACTACTTTTTTTTTAATGAAATAGCATAGAATGAAAGTATAGTGTATATTGTACTTTTTAGGGCAGTAGATTATATCATTTGTCATAAAGATGAGTGTCGTTTAGTGACACACAAAGGCATAAGTGACATACACACTGGTCAAAATGTAAAATATATTTCTTTTTGTGGATTGTTGTCAAAGAAGATTGAAAGACACTAATTAATAATATAGTATTTCAAATATAAAATCCTCAGTCTTCATATTTTGAACCCTCAAATTAAACTAACCAAAAAGATAAATTTCAGAGAAAAGTTATTTTATGTAAAGAAAGTGAGATTTTGATGAAATGAGACATGCTACCACATATTCTTTATTTTCTTCTTATGTCTCTTGCTGAAACCCAAATTCTGTCTTCACTTCTGCTGCCCAAGTATACAAAGCAAAGGGATTTTTTGTGTGTGTTTCCATCAAAAGCTACATGCCTAGAAACTCATTGTACTCTATTTTTTCTGGTAGCTCTTGAGTTGTTTATTTTAACTATCAATCAATATTATATAATTTAAAAATAAAAACTTAATTTGTGACAAAGTAAGTTTTCAGTCTGGGTTCAGGAAAGAAAGGGATGGCATATGCAAAAATGATGTAACCAGGAAGAATGCAATAATATGTCTATGTACAAGAGGGGTGATAGAATTAAGGAAACCAACCAAAGATGGTGAAGAACCCAGAGCTAAGAAAAGGGTACTAGCTCCCAGGCCTGAAAGGTCACAGTGTTCTAGGTTCCAGAAGTGACACTGAGCAGTGGGAGAGGAGCAATATTACTAGTGCCATCATGGGAAACCAGTCTTTTCAGGAAAGAGAGAGGCATGGAGGGGACAGGTGCCAATGGCTGAACCCAATGAAGACCAAGGGTTCTGGGCAATGTCATCTGTAATGGCCAACTTCCTGGGGCACAGAGCAGGGAAGACGAGAGTGGAAAATGAGTGTGGAGCAACAAATGGGGAGTAACCAGCAACCTATTATATGAATGATCATTTTTCATGTCAGATGGTGGCATATAGCTTTTCTACTCAAATTCAGTTTCCTTCCTCTGTTTGCTAACTGGCCTAGACCAATCCTGATCTAGCCCATGGTAGTTTACTTTGGTTCCTAGCTGTTGGGTAGCCAACCAGTGGTGTCTTCCTGCAGGAACTTCTTAGAAGGGCCAAAGATAAAGGATGAAGTGTCCTCATTGATTTCATAGACACAACCAGTTCTAGATCACTGGTTCAAAGAGGGTAATAAATTAGTAAAGTGGGAGAACACGAAATTAGGAAGATTCATTTCTGCTTTATTGTGAACTGGGTCAATTTTTGCTTTCTTAATATTAATCTTGAAAAAGATATCCTTTGAAATCTCAAAATCCTTTTCTGTAATTTAAAAACAACCTTACCATCTGTGTCCTCTGTCATATGGTACAATATTCAAGAGGGTGAAATAATGGTCCAGTGACTAAGAAAAACCTTAAAGGATAAATTGGCCTTAGTGACTGTCACTAAAATGTAAACATGGCTTTAAAAAGTAAATCAGGAGGCATGAAAGGGCCTTGACAGCTAAGGCTCTCAGGAAGGGTCTAGAAAGACATGAAGCACAATTTTATAAGTGTGATATAGGAGTTACTCTTCTTTTTTTATTCATGTGTCATAGAAGGGAAAGGAAATTTCTAAAGGAGTAAGACCAGCCAGATATCACAAGAATATACAGGAATGTAAGGATAGCATGTTCAAGGGCAACATGAGGAGTCAAAGAAAATGTCCTGGATGCCAAGACTAGCTGTGTTCTTGCAGCTGCTGGCTCCTCCTTGGCAAACACACCATTGGCAATGAACTGATCTGATGTGAACCCCTCTAAGTCCTTGAGACTCTCTTTTTATTGCAAAGCTTGCCAGCCTCTTTACCCAGTACATGTACTCCACTCTAAGAAGAAAAAACAAAACTAAGTGACTGCTAAGCTCATGGACAATGTTTTTGGGTCTCTCCAGCAGCCAGCTAGTGGCTGACTAGGTAAAATCATTTATTTTTCTCAAGATGTTGTGATTCTGGGAATGCAGGGTTTGGCTGCCATGTTAGCCTGGATTTTCTGAGATGCATCCCTGCAAGAGATTCACTGGGAAATTAGATGTGCAAGAGATTTATCTGGGGAAATGCCTATGAGGGAAAATGGAGAAGGAGCTGCAGAAGGCTGGAAGAGATGACCACTGCAGTACAGGTCTAATCCCAGTGGAAAAAAAAAAAGGAGAGAAGGAATGAGAAAAGGGAAAGAGAGAAGGAGGGAAGAAAGGAAAGAGGTAGGGAGGGAGGGAAAGTCTTAGACATCAGTGCAGTGCCAAGAAAGTTTTGGCAAGGCTGATGGGGAGTCTTCAAACCAAAGTCACTTGAAAGAGGAATCCCCTCATCATCCCTCTAGGAATGGGCCTGCCTTGGTGTCCTTGTCATGCAAAGTCACTGGCTGGGTGGATTTCAGAGCATAGCAGCTGAGGGCATAGGCCAGTTACACTCTGCCATAGGAGGCTTGAGAGATGCATTTTCATAGCTGCCACATTTGCCACTGAAACCTTCTGGGAGTGATGGGTTGTGCTGGAAGAATTTGAAGATACTATCTTATGCTCCAGATAAAGAAATGCATTGATGAAGGCCCTTCACTATTAGATTTATTTTTGTGTGTCCCAACTATTATATAAATTCCCCTATCAAGGAATTTTCAGTGTTTTCTCCTTGCCCTTAGATATGTGATCTTATATCCCAGGTTTGCTGAGACATTCCTCTTACAGATAGTTCTACTGGCTCATGAGTGTAATGTGTCTAAATGTATGGTTGGAAAAATGTGGTTATTAGATCTAAATTTTAAGTCCAAATTTCCTTAGCCTGAAGTTTAGAGTCTTCCACAGTCTAGTCCCAACCACTTTTTCCAACCTTAATTACCATTGCACTTTATCCTGTATTTCAATTCATTTGAAATATTTGCTCCTTTCTAAATTACTCTTGCTTACCCACCACTATCTCTTTGTTCATACTGTTCTCTTCAACTAAGGTTAATTAATCAACATGTATTTATTGCCCCCTTCCCATGGGCCAAGCCCTGTGCTTAGAACTGTATGTTAGGGGACAAAACGCACATGGTTTCTGTCTTCTTAGAGTTTGAATTTAGTAGAAGAGGAACAGACAAATACACAGGTCAATGGACAGTGCATGCTTACAAATCATGTGACAGTGTCAAAAGTAAACAAAGAGGGTTCCCTGACAGAGAATTAGAGGAAGGTTTTATTTTAGATAGAGCTATCAGGAAAGAAATGGCATTTCAGCTGGAACTTGAATGATAAAGGGAATGTAGTTACTAAGGACTTAAGTCCTGCAGGTACCAGTTCCATCATCTTCAAGATATTGCCATGATCTTCACAAAATCTTTACTGACTCATCATTGGACTCTCAACCAATTTTAGCCCTGTGCTATCTGCATCTTTTATATCACAGAAAGTGTTGAAGTTCATACTATATACTAAATGTGTTTGTCTCCAATCAGACTATAAGATTGTGGAATGTTAGACCCATGTGTGATGTATGCCTTTGTATCCTATCAGATTATATGATTTTGGAAGGTTAGAGCTATGTCTGTATCCAGCATAATATTTATCTCTGTATCTGCATGATACTTAGGATAATAGTATGTGGCCACATCCAACAAATACTTGTTGAATGAATAAACAGTATTCCACTCTCTGCAAATTTGGTCTTTCTGACATTTGTCTGAATTATAGAAGGAGAAGGAGGCTTTACATAATAGTTGAAAATTACTGTTCATGTAATACAGAGTTCTGAACTTCAACCAGAAGCAAGTCTACAGCAGATGAAAACATTTGTAATGAGGGAATTAGCTGTGGATAACTTTCGGATAGGATGTTATAAGTTTAGCATTTGTATTAAAATCCATTATTATATGCATAATTAAGTTTTAGGAAGAAAATCTGGCTGAATAGTAAACAATTACTATTTTCAAACAGTTCTTCAGCAGTTAGTTACCACTGGCTTCTAGAATTTAACTGTTGTTTTTTTTAATATATCAAACTAGCATGTGGGTTGAGACACAACATCACATTACAAATGGGTAGTCCCTTCACTTGTAGATCAATCAGTAATAATATAGATACTGATTTTTACAGTTTGTAAAATTATTGTCATTTCTTTCTCTTATTATCTGTATTCTCAGAAACAAAGAGTATAAACAAAGAGAAAGGGCATGATGTATTTTTGATAGGCTACCATCTCAAATTTTCATTTCAATGTTTATTTGGAGAAACACTTTTATCTAAAATGGACCTTTTCCATTTTACAATTGCACTTGCTCTCAGAATGAGAACTGCACCTTCCAGGAGAGATTTCAATCTGACTCCAAAGCCTTGACCCTCACAAACAGTGTTGTTTGTAATGGCCCCTGGTTAGAAACTCTCAGCCTAACAAGCATGCAGCATAGCCCCTGAAGTCTCTCCTCCTATCTGCATAAATTGGGGATGTAGAACTCCTGCATATCCAGCCTCACTTACTCATAAAATGCTGGGAATCATTCCAAATTGCTCTTCCAGAGGAGGGTTTGTTTTTAAAATTATTTCAGATAGAGATGTTTCAAATTCTACATAAATGCATAATATTATTTCTGATTGTGCTTTCTTGGTATTTCTCTTCCTGTAACACCTACTTAGCCATTCTCCAGGGACCACTTCAAGGACTTTTGTAATCCATATAGCTTTCCTAAGCTGTTCTAACTTTCAGCAATCCCAACCACATCACTGACCGAGTTTGTAATGACTCACCAGACAATGTGTTGGGTCCTCTAGTAATACTTTGTTAATTCCAAGTTATCCTTGCTGCTGTTGTTTCTCCGTGTGTGTTTCTATCTGCGCTCTCCAGTTAAGCTGTAATCAACTTAACCACTGGGCTTTGTCTTATACTCTACTTCTCACAACCCTTGCCTCTTAAATTGGTTAATGTATGTTTGATGACTAATTGTACACATAATAGCTACTTGATAAATGTTCTTAAGAAAGGGACAAATTAAGTATTTTCCCTGATAATCCTCTATACCAGGCATCGCTGTGGAAAGCTGCACAGTTGGGAAAGCGTCATTTCAAAAACAGGAAAAATCACCTGTAAATTATTTCAGGGATTTGACTTTGACATTATGTTGACATAAAAGAGGCTTAAGAACAGCTATTAGAAAATAGAAACAGATAAATGAATGAGTGAATGGCATACCTAAATGGCATGAAATGTGAAAATGATACAAAATGTTAAGGTAATCCTTTTTTCTTCTCTAATTAATCTCCACTGGGTATGGGGAATAGGGAACAACTGGGGTATTCGTAACAGGCAAACATTCCTGATTCTTGCCCTACTAAAGGTAGGGACATTAGGAGAAAGGATCATCTACTTGGAAAATAAACTGGCATTGCTAAGTCTAAATGATTGAGTCAAGTGCAAATTTTATAGGCCAAATAGAATTTTCACAAGTCCATTGACTGTTGAAAACTACTTGTACCCTGGCTCAAAGGACATTTTCTTGCTGTCTGTAGTAAGCGGTCTGTAAACTGTGTTTAGGACCTGAACCGAATGCTGGCCTTTCACTTCTCAAACTATAGCTTAGTAATCCCAGCTCAGAAGTCCCTCCATACACAATTTAGTAAAATTAACATCAGAGCATAACCATGCTTTGTTCCCTCCAGAAGTAAAATGTGAAGTTTCTTCCCATTGGAAGTCTATTTATTATTAGTTTCAGATGTTGTGACACCGTTTTCATCCAAATGTTAGAGAACAGAAAGAAGCCTTTTTTAAAAGCGTAACTTTCATTATTCATCTAGGTTTTTTTCAGGGTCCTTGAGAAATGCTAAGATTATGCCTTGTGTTTGAGAAGTAGAAAAGGAAAAAGGGAGGAAAACCACCTAGAGAAGTGCTTCTCAAACTTTAAGGCACACATGAATCACCTGGGGACCTTGCAGATTCTGATTCTGAAGGTCAGAGGTGGGGCCTGACATCCTGCATTTCTAACGAGCTTCCAGGGGATGCTGATGCTGCTGGCCCACAGACCATACTACCTAGAGCAGCAAGCTTTATAGGCCATAGAGGACATTTTTTTTTTTTTTTTTTTTTTTTTTTTTTTTGCATGGAGCACAGATTACTGCTCTACTCTAGGTTACAATTCCAAGGAAATAATGACTAAAGAAAAATACTGCTGTTTCAACATTTCTGAGTCATTTAGTAAGAATGGAAGGTTAACATTAGCAATTTAACATTTCAAATGTGGTGGGAGTATTTATTGATGTACTAATTTGCATTTTGTTCCTGCCAAATCTTTTTACTCTGTTGGCTCCAGGGAGTTTGAAAGTCTAGGACAGAATTTTTCTTCCTAGGTTTGTTTACATATTGTGGAAAAGAAGTGAGCATCTTTGGAGTTAAGGAGAGTTAAGACCCAAGGAGAAGAAAGAAAAAGACTATGAAAGATTTTTAAAATGTTTATCCCTGTGTAAGATCTCCAAAGCCCCTCCCTTGACCCAGTAGTAGCAAATGGAGCCACAGTGATGGCTGAAATTGAATATCCCACTAACTTGGTAAAAGTTGGGCAGGCTCCCAGTCAGACTTAAATCATTTTAGAGAAGTACAATAATGTGGCATTCCTTGCACCCTGGTGATATGCAGAAAATACATACCTGCTTCCGACGAAATTTAAACATGGACTGTTAACAAGAATGTACCCTTAAAGTTTTGTAAACTCTACAGCAAAGAAAAAAAAAACTGCTACAGAAAAAATAAGGATTTTTTTTCTAGCTTTACCAGCGACCTATACTTTCATTTCTTCATGTTACTAATTACAGAAACTTTCAGCAGAAATGTATCACTCTTGGGCATCAGTTAGTTCTAAACATTTTAGCTCTTAGGAGCCTCTGATGACATCTGTTCTGTTGTTAGTTTTGCTCCCTGACTAGATTGTAACTTCTAAGCTCAGGAATCATGTCTGCAACTACTTTTCTTTAGTCCTAACCTAACCAAGAGCTAGGCATTTAGGAAATGCTCACTATAAATGTATTGACAAATGATTATGTATAATTAGCTCTTCATCACAATATTTTTCATCATCAAGAAATAGATTTAAAGGAGATATTTTCAAACAGTATGGATGTATCATCCCCTTACCTTTATGTATGTGTCTGGTTGTGAATAGTCAGCACATATTATGGTTAAACTCAAGAAACAAGGGAGGTTATTTTCTAAGCCTGCATCATAGCAGTAGAAATTTGGAAAAAAACAAAAAACAAAAAAAAAAAAACATAGAATTAATTGAGTTGTAATCAAAGAAAATTATGTGACTATAAATTGTAATATTTCTAAAATATACCCACATATGCCAATCTATTGTAAGAAAATGTTCGCAGAGGGAAAACAATGGAAATTCCTAGAAGCTTTAGATAGATTCTAATGATTGGAAATAAGTATTACAAATGGTCCACATTTTAATGTGACTTCTAGAATTTTTTAGAAGTCATAGTATCCTTTCACGCTCTTATGCTGCTTGCTTACAACATACACTTGGGTCACGTTTTTCTGTTAGGAAATATCATACTAATGATTTGTGATCATATTTACCACTTGGGGATCTTGGTGGCCATGATAAGGAATTTGGACTTTATTCTGATTACATGGGAAGCCACTAGAGAATTTTAGCCAGTGAGGTAGCATGATCTTACTTATGCCTTAAAAAGGTTAATTGTTTTGGTAGTTAATTGAAGGAAGGCAAAAGTGGAAGTAGGAAGTCTAGTTAGGAAACTATTTGATTGTTCGGGAAAAAGGTGCTGGATGCATGGGCTATAATAATAGCAAAGGAGATGGAGAGAAGTGAATGGATTGAGATGGAACTGAAAGAACTTGTTGATGGTTAAATGAGTTGGAAGGAGTTAGAGAAAGCAAAGTGACAAAGATGACTCAGAAGTGTTTGGCTTAAGTACCTGAGTGGATGGTGAAACAATTTTCAGACATAGAGAAGAATTTAGGAAGAACAGTTTTTTTCAGACATTGCTCGAGAGTTCTGTGTTAGGATTGAGATACCTATTAGATACCAACTGAAGATACTGAAGAGGCTGAGTAGAGTCTGAAGTTCAATGGAGAGGCTCAGACTAAGATAGAAATTTGGAACCATCAATGTGTAGATGATATTTAAAGCCATGAGACTCGATGAGATTCCCTTTGCAGGGGAAAAAAAAAAAAAAGCTAGAATATTGGAGGGAAGAGTTTTGTAACAGGACAATATTTATGGGTCGGGCAGAGGAAAAGAAGCCAGTAAAGGAGACCAAGAAAGAACAGTCGGTGAGCTAGAAGGGACACCAAGTGGCTCAGGCATCCTCAAAGCTAAGCAAAGAGCATATTTTTAAAAGACAGTAATGTACTGGGTCAAATGCCTCTGAGAAGTTAAGTAATATAAGAAATAAGAAGGGACTATTGA
Organism: Homo sapiens; assembly: GCF_000001405.40. NCBI lineage: Eukaryota > Metazoa > Chordata > Mammalia > Primates > Hominidae > Homo > Homo sapiens. Next base: position 42,616,925 of record NC_000005.10, read on the forward strand.
ATTTGATATGAACAGGTTTAGTGGAATGGAAGGATTAGAAGTAAAACCAAAGTAGATTCAGAAGAGGAGAAATTAGGAAGTAGAGACAGCCATTCAGACAAGGACTTAAAAGATCCAGGAATGGAAAGGAAATTCCTGGGAGCGCAACCCCTAAGAAGCCAAAAATAGAGTATGCTTTCCATGTAGGTTTTTAATTCTTTTTTGGTGGTGTTCTTTAGAAAGAGAAATGTCTGTTGGGATTATTGTTTGAAATGGTGTTGGGGGCCCAACCATTTCTGGCTTCTATAGATCCCCTTTTTGTACATGCTCATTCCCTTAAAAAAAAAAAAGAAGAAGAAGACTAGATTTTCTAATTTAGGGCAAGGGGCTAATAGCAAACCAAACTCATTTGTAATCTAAATGGTCACATATTATTTTGGTTGCTCTTCAGTGGCACTAGCTGCTGCTAGGAAGTTCATTTTACACACACACACACACACACACACACACACACACACACACAGCATTTGCTGCAGATCCTAAACTTGAAGCCCTGGATCTTCCTTACATCATTTACCCAGAAGTATCTTTGTCAACCTTCTTAACTTACATCCACCAGAAAGTAGAACAAGGCAGAAGTTGTGTGGGAGTTCTGTTCCTCCCCATTTCCCCCCTCACCTGCTGGCGTCAGCACAATAAATACTGTGTTCAGAACTTGGCTAACTGCTTCTTTTCCCACATTCGATCAGGGAATACTTAAAGCCATACAGTGTCCTTGTTCTGCCAAAAAGCATATGGGGCAGGTTGCCCCTTCAGGCTGACACAAAGACACACTGTGCAAGACATCTATGGCCAGTGGAGTGGCCGTGTATGGGTTATCAATGAGACTTTTGACTTTTTTCTTTATGTCATATTGTCATCACATTAAATAGAATTCAAACAAGGAAACAAAATTTATATTCTAGACTTTTAAGGCATTGCCTGCCCTATAGCTATGAAACTTTTCTTTTTCATACCTGGTATAATTTTCCACTTTAAACAATGTTGTGTGATTTGATTACCGTTTTGACTCTCATTTAATTGTCCATTTTAAAAATTTTAACTGAAGTTAGATTTAGATTTAAAGTTCAATACCCATAAAGGATACTTCTCAATAGAGCCGAGAACTTCAGAAGGCACAACAAAAAAAGGGCAAAGTTCAAAAAACTAAGCATCAGGTAGCTACTTTTTACTGCCCAGGGACATGTCTAGGTAAACTGTCACCATATCCATCTACATTTGCTTGCTAGTAGAGCTTCCATTTTCTACTGCAAAATAGTTTCTGGAACCACTTCCATGTTGGCCAAAAGAGAGTGTCAACAATTCCTTTCCAAAATTGACCTTTAGAAAGTGAATCTAAAATGTTTGATTCAAGTATGTGAGGGGAGCTGCATCAAAGTTTTCATTTTTACTACATACAAAAGTGACAGATAAATCCGTAAAATGTATGCATTTTTCTGCTAAGACTGCTAATTAATTTAAAAAGAGATTGTTAGAATAAAAGGTCAGAGAGTAAACATATTACAGATATTTATTGAGAGCCTGCTGTGTGCAGAGTTGGAAAAAATAAAATGAGGTTGCTCCTTTCAACAGACTTACAATCTAATTGAGGGAGCGACAGCATAAATGTATGCAAAGCAAATAATGCAAGATACAGCATAAGACATAATTAACTATCAGATGAGTGACATATATAATAAATACCATTAATTCACAGGCAATCGTAATCAGAAGCACTTAACTTACTATGTGCCAGGCATTCTGCTCAGTACTTCACATACATTATTTCATTTTTTTGAAATATTATTTCTACTTTATAGATGGGAATTGGCTCTGATCTTCCCCCTATTCTGGAGAAAGCAAGGATAATGGTGTAAGGTAGACAAAGACCCAAGCAGACATGTTGGTCTGGGGCAAAGGTCCATTTAAGGGAATGGAGAGAAATGAACCCTGGGGCCAGCATTAGTCTGTTTACAACCATATCCCAGTGCCTAGTATAGTGCCTTGCACATAATAAGTGCTCAATAATATGTCTTGAAAAAACAAATGGCCCTCTGGTCTGTGCCTGTAATCCAGATCAAGTACCATGGAATAAAGTTAATTAGTGAATTAAAGCCACATACCACATAGCTTAAGGACCCATCCCCAAGACCTCCCAATTCCCAACTATGACAATAAAGGATTGCAGTGGAAAAGATACATCATAAGGGGAATAGCAATAGCAATTCCAGCTCACTGGGGTCTATTTCATGGAATCTGACATGGTGAACAGTTCATAAGTTTATTTCCAGGCTGCAAGACCCTGCAACATCTGGCCTCTTGCACCTCCACAACCTCAAATCCTTCTATTCTTCTCTCACTCTCTCTACTCCTGCCACACATACCTCCCTTCTACTCCTCAAACCCATTTCAGGGCCTATATTCTTGCTTCATATTGCCTGGAATGTTCTTCCACAAAACATCTGTGTGGCTCATTACCATACCTTCAGATCTATAACAGCCACTCTCCCCACATCTTCCCAGCTGCCTGACATTATAATACACATCTATTTCCTTATGTGTTCATCCCCGTACACACTAGAACATGGGCCCAGGAAGGCAGAATTCCATCTGCTGTTTTTGCCATTGAATGCCCAGCAACTAGGACAGTGCCTGGCACATTGTAAGTACTCACACACAGCAACTCTAACTCAGGATTACTTTTTCTAGCTCTGAAATACCTACTTCCAAGAGAACGAAATTTATTCAAGAAATGTTGGATGGAAATTGAAGAGTGAGCTTGGAAACGAGACACAGAGTGGCAGGAGCCCAGACCAACCTGTTTATGAAAGATGCCTTTGCCCATAGAGGGAAAAATACACCTTAAAACCTCTGCCAAAGTATATGCTTTCTTAGGACACCTCTGACATGCTGAATTGCACCTGGTCTGAACAAGATCTATGAATTTGCCAAAACAACTAATTCCTGTGATTTAAGAGTCACTACTACCAGTATCAGCCTAGTAAACAAGTACCAAGCAACGAGCACCACATATGTCAGTATCCAAAGACAAACATGCTGCTGCATGCAAAACCAGACAAATGCATTCACGCGGGTGACAGTGAGTGGAAGAAATTAATCTTATTTTTATTATTTTTTCCCTTATCAAACACTAGCAAGGGACTAGATGTCATAAATCTAGTTAAAATATGTTGACTTTGCCTCAAATTTGAGCATTCATGGTTCCAAAAGGACACTTGTTATAGGATCTGATGATGTACTTTAGAATCTTCTTTTGTGCAAATTGAGACTTCAGAGAACTCAAAATATATGGTAAATTCAAAGTAATATTATAAGTAAAATCATAATGCCTCACAACATTTTTTGAAAGTTAAATATTTAGTAATTTTACAAATATGTATTGAGCACTCCCTATATTTAAGGAACTATGCTAATGCTGTGATGGATCAAAAGGAGAATAAGCCATGATCCTTACCTTCAGACTTCAAGCTTATTATTCATTGGGCAGTTAGATAACTAACATATCAGACATGGAATAATAAGTGCCATTGTCCAGATATTAAAAACAAAATTGGTGTTGTGGAAGCAAAAAGAATGTAGAGATGGATCCCAACTAGGAGAAAGAAAAATTGCTTCCTAAAGAAGACACAGATTGACCATGAAAGGTGGATGGTTCTACACAGGACTAGAAGGTAGGAATTCTTCATTTGTTGGACTTGCTAATTTTTTTTGGTGTAAATATACCCACTGTTGTTGATTTAAAGTTGATAACGTGATGCAACTGAACACAGAACTGGGAAGAGAAGGTGGCTCCAGCACGCTACCTATGAGTCACCAGCTGAGCTCCAGACTTAATTAAATCAACCTCCTCACTACTATTTTGAATGAGTGAATTCACAAGTCTTAAAAAGATCTATGATAACATTATAAGGGAAGAGATAGTCACTTCTGTCATTCTCCCTTACATCTCCATCTCACCTTCCAATATTCTGTTTGAATATCCTTCCAATTTCAGTCATATGTTCCTGGCTGGCCTACCTAGGATTAATATTGGCCCAGTGCCAAAATGTGATTCTATTTATTCCTTTTAGCATTGCTGTGATTAATCTGCGCTCCTGTTATCCCATGGCATAGCAAACTCTCTTACTGATTATGGCCTGGTATTGACACCTCTGCTGTTCTCCATAACGAAAAGCAGCTTTTGGGGTGGCTAGCTGGGCAGGATGTTTTGCTGCTCTTGTAACAGTAGGAAGGAAAAGCTGGAGGAATTACTGGGAAGCTTTGCAGAAGGAAGATACAGGCCAGCTGAGAGCCAGCATTCATATTGCCTGTTCCTTTCAGTATTCTTTGTGAAAACACCACCACCAATGTGTTCCCTGGACGTCACTACTGCACCTTTAACTGGCCTTATTATGCTAGGGACTGCATTTGAAAAGCCAAACTCTAGTATCTGTCTGTAATTGCAAGCGGATATCTCAGCACATGCACAAGCTTATGTCAGGAGGATGTTTATGAAAAACTCACCAAGCAGAACACTGCTAGACAGGAAATAAATATGTGAAGCTTGAAGTTGTTAGGAAACTTCCACATTTGTCCCTCTAAGCCAGAGATAGGACCTGTGAGAAAAGAAGGTCTTTATCATTGCGCATTGATTCTTGCTGAACCCCTGCTATTCTCAAAATACATTTACAGCAAAATGTGGCTACTGCAGATGTATTTAAACATGTGCTTTTTTAAATGACACTGGTTTATCTTCCAAGTTTGTTATCTACTATTTTACTGTAAAGCATTAAAAAGTGTTTGAAACCACCAGCACCATTTCACAGTTCCTGTTTTATTTGTTTAAATTCTCTAGCTCATGTAATATGCTGTATGATTTACTGTTCAAGTAGAGAAGAAATACACTCCCTCATGGAGATGTGGGGAGGTAATACTGTCTCTTGGAAGGGCTCAGAGATTTCCTGTTTAGATTACACAGGCTTCTTTAGAGCTGCCAAGAGTCATAACATGTACGAGATAATACACTTTGGTTCAGGAAAAACTATGGATAGGAATGTAATTAATTCACTGAGCCACAAAAGATATTCCAGCTTAGAAATGTCACTGCACTCAGGCCTGGTGGACTCAGTATGCCAAGGGGTAGCCATGACCAAAAAGAGGATTGCTGCCTGAGGACCCACTGAGTAGTATCCAACCACAGAGCAAAAGGAGGGGGCCTGGCTGCTAAGGACATCACACGTCTCACCTGCTTCTTTGAGAATTGATCCCTGAAGGGTATTTCTGCCCAAAGCCTCAGCAACCTGGCTTCATCAATATAACTTTGTGATGCTTGTGACATTGAGATCAATCAATCAGCATGTACTTTATCAAGTGCCTCCTCATGAGTACCAATTGTGGCACATAGTGGGGAAACCCTAGAGGCAGAGCCCTGCAGAGGATATGGTGATTCTGACCAGAGCAAGAAGGTATAGTGAAAAGTTTCCTAAATATATTTTGTGTCTTGTCATAAGAATCACCTGGCAGGGAGGGGTATGGAAGGGCAAGGTAAGCATACACATTCCCAGGACCTTTCCAAAATGTAGAGTGACCAGGGACTTAGAGATTCAGACTCTATCAATCTGGGGCAGGGCCCTAGACTTGGTATATTTAATAACTGCTGTGTGAGGCCCTTTACATGCATGACCTCCTGTAATTGTATAGCTTGGTTGCTGTATATGGTACTATGTTTACTTGTGTTTGCACTGTCTATTCAGGGGTGTTTCTAAATGCCATTGCTACACAACTGGTGAATTATGATTCTTGCCAGAACATTGATTCTCCTACTCTTGCTTCCTTAATGACACACTAGAGAACTGGGATTGGCTGCATTTAGTCTCAGGATGAATCATTGCCATAAGTAGATTTCCATCCCCTACTCCACCAACTCATTTGCCAAACACCCTTAAAGAACAGAACCCACTGCCTACATGCAGCCTGCACCAGGAGGGCCTAAATGGTCTAGCTGGGTTTATGACAACATCCCGTCTTCACATCAGCAAAACCCTAAGTGCACAAAGTCTAATGTAAACACAATGTCAAGTTCTCCATAGGAAAAGACATGTCCCTGCTGTCAAGGTAGTGACTAGCAATAATAATAATGACAAAAACAATAACAATGATAAGCATATATAACACTTACTTATCACTAATTATATTGTAAATGAAATGATTTGCATGTACTAACTGATTTAAATCTTATATATATATAGATACTTTTACTCTCTCAATTTTAAACACAGAGAAACCAAGACCTAGATACGTGTTTCTGTTGAGAAGTTGAGTACAAGGTTGAGTGTAAGTAGGGAAAGTTCAACTGCAGTCAGTTCTAGTCTTGGTAAGTACACTGTGAGGCGCTCCACCCCAAGCATAGCAAATTAATGGTTCCCCAGTGTTTGCAGAATCAAAATTAAGTTCTTTGGCTAGGTTCTCCCTGATGTGCCCCTGCTTCTTCCCTAATTCAACACATCCCCAGCTCCATCCATGCATTCCCAACACATCACAGCTCTTTACATGCCCAGGCTGTGTCTTCTGCACCTTTGTACCTTCTGCACCTTTGTTTCCTTGGCCCCAACTGCCCTTTCTTTTCCTCCACATTACCCTTTATCCCAAATTTAGCACCTGTCTCAAGGAGTCACCTTCCCAAGGAAGTTTCTCCAAATTTGTTAACAGATATTCCATTGTTCCTCCAATGCTTGACCACTCTTCCTTTATAGATCCCTGCCTAGAAAAATGTGGGCTCACTGAGGCCAGGGGCTGCAGCTAGTTTATTTTATAACCCAGCATTTAAAAGTGCCTATTTATTGATTTGTTGGGAATAGTTAATAAATGGAGTCCTTGCAGATCATAACCAAGACCACAGTTCGTAATGGTTTCATTAACTTTGTTACTATTGGATGTGATTCTCTGCTTATGGTCTTCCTTTACTTGTTTTTCCCTTACTGCTCAGCACCTCTAGACATTAGGTACATGGCTCTGATGCTAATTAAAATTGATGACTGAGAATGACACTTCCATTTGCTAAGCCAGCGCAGTTTTGTTCATTGTGCTTTACTTTTTAACCAGCACCCTTAGCATAAATCTGTAGTCTTTCCATGAGGGTACCATTTGTTCCTTTTATGTCTCGATTCATTACATATTTTCAGGACTGTTAGCTGACTAAGACTTTTTGCTTTGTGAAAATGTCACCAAATGCACGATAAAGGCAAAGTCACAAGATGTCTGTTTGCAAAAAGAATTAAATGCTGGTTTGTGAAGATTCAAGGCTGGCCAGGGCTCCCCAAGCATTTCCAGGCCAGAGCTTTGGCTCTGCACTCTCCTTAGGATCTCATAACTGACCCCCACATTCCATTTCTGCCATCGTGGAAAAATTTGTCAACTTTACTGCTGATGTTAGGCCTGGAAATTGTCATCCATTAGTTTTCTCAGATTCAAGCTGAAAATTGAGACAAACTTCCTACGTAATTTTGACCAAAATAACACATATGTTTATGTGCTATCCCATGATTAACATATTTTTAAAACCACTTTATTGAGGTATGGTTGGCATACAAAAATCTGTGCATATTTAATGTATACAGCTTCATGAATTTGGAGATAAGTATACATCCATGAAATTATTACTGCATGTATGCCATAAACCTATCACCTACAAAAATTTCCTTTCACTTTGTTATTATTTTGATTAACTTAATTTTTTTCTTCCTTTGAACTATCAAAACTTTCTCAAGTAATACATAGTTGTCAGTTATACAAACTTACTGAACCTTGACCAAAGGTCCTCTTTTAGTGCTCATCTTAGAGAAAGAATTAATGAAACAAAGTGTTCTCTGATTTGTAGCAAAGATCTGTGATGGTGGTGGGAATGGTTCTAGAAAATAATGGTAATAATAAAAACTTAGAGTATCAAAGCAGCAAGTAGATTTGAAGGAATTGTTACAATGCAATTTTGCTTTCCCGCCACTTTAAAATCAAGGTGTAGTACTTTATTTACTTTAGGAAAATGTTTGCTTTTTGTCATAATTCCTTATTGCATATGAGAGTAAATGATCTATAGATGAAGATAATAATAAAATTTAGAGAGAGAATAAAAAAGAAACACTTTCACAGCTGAAAGGCTGCTTCCCAGTTAGCTAACTGGGAGGAGTTACTGAAAAAGTACATTGAAAAGCGGCTCAGGGGCAGGTGAATTGGACTCACCAGGCTCTGACATTCAGAGAGATGGGAATGAGTCAGCTCACTGTCCAGCACATCTTTATTTTATTTCTCTTTCTTGTTTTATATCAGAAATAGATTTCTTGGCATTGTTACTGTGGGTTTCTATTAAGGACTGAAACAAAAGTATTAATAATCTGAGAGTATGTAAAAAAAAAATTCATTTTCTCCTACTATACTCTCATAACACAGAATATTTTGGTGACCAGAGATCACCAAAATGTGTGTGGTGTCAACGAAAAGAGTCAAACTCTCTAAAATATTTGAAGAGATTTTTTCTGAGCCAAATGTGAGTGAACATGGCCTGTGACATAGCCCTCAGGAGGTCCTGAGAACATGTGCCCAAGGTGGTCAGGGTACAGCTTGGTTTTATATATTTTAGGGAGGCATAAGACATCAATCAAATACATTTAAGAAATACGTTGATTTGGTTCAGAAAGGCAGGACAACTCAAATGGGGGGCTTCCAGGCTATAGGTAAATTTAAACATTTTCTGGTTGACAATTAGTTGAGTTTGTCTGAAGACCTGGGATTAATGGAAAGGACTATTCAGGTTAAGATATGTTTCTTATTGGACCTAAAACTGTGCCTGGCTCTTAGTTGATTACTGCCTGGATCTGGGAAGGAAGGAAGGAAAACAAAGGGGGAAGGGGATTCTCTATAGAATGTGGATTTTTCCCATAAGAGACTTTGTAGGGCAATTTCAAGGCATGGCAAGGAAATATACTTTGGGGCTAATATTTTTTCCTTGTCTCATAATGTTATGCCAGAGTCATATTGAAAAGCAAGTCACAATATACAAGGTCAAATAAAACCCATCCTGATGAGAACCCATGGTTTGTAGGGCATGACTCCCCAGAACCCTTAGGTAGGAATTTGGGCAAGATAAAAAATCGGAACTTAGTCCTCGGTGGGAATCTCTCCCCACACAAATTCTCCAACAGATTCTTCAGTGGGACACCAACTGGGTGTTCTCAAATTCAATTCAATTCTGACAATCTACCTATCTACCTGGAAATAGCATCAGATAACCACAGGTTTACGGCTCATTCCAACAATACTGTCCCCCACTTCAGATGCCAACTGCAAGTAATAGGTTGTTACCTATACTTCTAGCCAGTCAGCTGTAAATTGGTGTTCCCACAACCTCCCCCTCCGGTTTGATAATTTGAGACAGCTTGCTTACATGTACCAGCTTATTAGAAAGGATATTACAAAGGACACAGATGAAGAGATGGATAGGGTAAGGTATGTGGGTTGGAGTTGCAGAGTTTCCATGACCTCTCTGAGTGCAGCATCTTCATGTGTTCAGCTATCCAGAATCTCTCGGATTAAGACATTGGCCACTGGTGATCAAATTAACCTTGAGTCCCTCTCCCCTTCCTGAGGTTGGAGAGTGGGGCTGAAGTGTCTCAACCTCTAATCAACTCTTGGTCTTTCCTGTGACCATGCCCCATCCTGAGGCTCTCCAGGAGCCCCCAGGCATCAGTCAACTCATTAGCATACGAAAGACACTTATCACTACAGAGATTCGAAGGATTTTAGGAACTGTGTCAAGAAACGGAGACAAGGTCAAATATGTATTTCACAATATCACCAGTAGTTTCACTGGGAGGTAAAACTCAGTGTTTACTGTGGGCCTGAGCCATGCTGACCCTCTAAGAATAACTTAGAGGTAACGTGATCAGATGTGGGGAATTCTGGAGAAACACCTTTCACCACCAAGCCCAGACAAGAGATGCATACTTTTCTAGCTGGGATGCTTACAAAGCAACCCACTCTAATACTTCAAGGTAGAGTGACACTACATTCATCATTTTTCATTTTTTCCTGTTTTTTATGCCATCTACTACTAATGTCAATCAAATTACGACTGTGTTTATAGTGGATGAATTATGGACCATCTCACACCATAAAGTTCTGTTTCTCTCATGTTGAGCTTTTCACCTCCCTTCATTCCCTCCCTACTTCCAGGATCATTCACATGTTTATTTCTAAAAATAAACTTTTTTTACTGAACTTTTTTTCATACTGTTTAAAAAGAATTTATATTTCTCTTCATTCTTACAGATAAGATTCAAGTTTAAACTCAAATAATGTAGGAAATCTTTTTTTAAAAAATTGTTCCCTACTGTGTCTAGGCGTGAGACCAAAAGTAATTAAGACCAGGTTTTCATTTGCTGTGATTTGTGTGAGTTCTTTTTAGAGGTTAGGTGCAATTTTAATTTTTAAAAGGGGGATTATTATGAGAGGAGAAATCATACTTTATCATTTGAAAATGATGCCATAACAGGTGTTAGCAGAAAAATCAAACTGTAAAATATTTTAAAGAGATTTATTCTGAGCCAATATAAGTGACTGTGGCCCCATTGAAATGAGCGAGTTCCCTGATCCCTCTCACAGAGCTTGCGACAGGGATGTGGCTCACCTGTTCAGTTGCCCCACTGCTCAAACCCCTAGGGGGAGAATACAGACGGTCAGGTGCAAAGGCTGGGGCAAGTGCCTTGGCCCCTTGGCCCCTTAGCCCCGAGGTAGTGTCTAGGGGTGGGGTGCCTGCAACCCCAGTGTTACAAAGTTCTTTCAGCTTTGCAGTCCACGGACAGCTTGAGTGTTAATCAGCTCAATGGACCCTCTGCCTTATAGCAAAGGCAGAGGGCCAGTGTGACAGCTTTCTGTATCCCAAGCTCTTGCCCAGTGTCCTAGAAAAAACAGATCATACAGGGGCTCGAAGGATGAGTGCAAGGTTTTATTGAGTAGTGGAGGTGGCTCTCAGCAAGATGGATGGGGAGTGGGAAGTGGGGATGGAGTGGGAAGGTGAACTTCCTCTGAAGTCGGGCAGCCCAGTGGCTGGACTCTTCTCCAACCTCCCCCAGGCAAGCTCCTCTCAGCGTCCAGATGTTCCTCTTCCCTCTCTCTCTCTGCCGCATCATTTCACCATCTGTCTGCTGGTCAGCTGGCTTGCTGGTGTGCTGGTCTGTTGGTCTGCTGGTCTGCTTCTGGAACCTCAGGTTCAGAGTTTATATGAGTGCACGATAGGGGGTGTTTTGGGCCAAAAGGTAGCTTTTTGGACATGAAAACGGAAATGCCTGTTCCCATTTAGGGCTGCAGGTCTTCAGGCTTGAGGGTGGGGCCTTTGCCCAGGAACTACCCTCTTCTACCCAGTGTTTCCCTGTCTCCTGTCCATATCACCAGTATTCACAGTCTCAAGGAGTCTTGAGAAAGTGTGCCCAAGGCCGTCAGATTCAGTTTGGTTCTGTATGTTTCAGGGAGGCAGGAATTACAGGCAAAGACATAAATCAGTACATGGAAGGTATACATTGGTTCACTCTGAAAAGGCAGGATGTCTTGAAGTGGGGACTTGCAGGTCATAGTTTGGTTCAGAGATTCTTTAATCTGCAGTTGGTTAAAGGAACAAAACTGTACAGAAGCTTCGAGTTAGCAAAAAGAAATATTTAAATTAAGATAAGGATGCTATGTCAGAGTCAGCCACAAAATGACCTGTTTAGCAAGATTAATGGCCTATAGGTGTGACTTAACCCTTGCCTTGCATGGCCTAAGGTCTTGTTTATAATTTAGTATCTTATTGCCCAAAGAGTCTATTTAGTCAGTCTTATGATCTCTACTTTAACATTAATGCTGGTCACTTGTGCCTAAACTCCAAAGGGGAGGTATATCCAACCTGCCTTCCCATTGTGGCCAGGAACCTTTCTCTGGAGTCCCCTTGGCCAAGAAGGGGTCCATTCGGTTGGTTTGGGAAGCTGAGGATTTTGTTTTTAGTTTACACAGGGTCATATCAGATTGTTTTGATGGGGATGACTAATGGTTTTCTTCTCTTTCTGTTTCAGCCACAGCAGCTATCCTTAGCAGAGCACCCTGGAGTCTGCAAAGTGTTAATCCAGGCCTAAAGACAAGTAAGAATTTCAGTCCTTTTTCTTCCTTCAATGATATTTTCCATGTTTTAGTGTAATTAAGCTACTATCCTTTCTCTATTTTATTTGGGATGGTAGTAACTGGAATAGTGACTGAGTTGAAATTTTATAGGCAAGCAAAACATTTTTTAAGGATTTATTTTTTAACTTCTGATATAGTTTGGATGTTTGTCCCTTCCAAATCTCATGTAATCCCCAATGTTGGAAGTGGAGACTGGGAGGAGATGTTTGGGTCATGTGGGCAGATTCCTCATGAATGGTTTAGCACCCTCCTCTTTGTGCTGTCCTCACCATGAGTGAGTTCTCATGAGATCTGGTTGTTTAAAAGTGTGTGGCACCTCCCCCTTCAATCTCTTGCTCCCACTCTCGCCCTGTGAGACACCTGCTCCGCTTCACCATGATTATAGGCTTCCTGAGGCTTTCACCAGAAGCAGATGCTAATACAGCCTGCAGAACTGTGAGCCATTTAAATCATTTTTCTTTATAAATTACCCAGCCTCAGGTACTTTTTTATAGCAATGAAAACAAACTAATACAACTTCTGTGCAAGGCTGCTTTTTTTTCTATTTTTTGCTTGTGCTTGGAGGTTAAGTAAGGCCAAATTAATGAAGGAGGAAAAAAGAGGAAATGATACATCATGGATCAACAATTATTTATTGAATTTAGGAAACTGCCTCTTTTTATAAATTCTTTTTAAAATTATTTTCATTATTATCTTGAAGTATTTATCTAAGGTTTACACTGGTAGAAAGTTAAACTTGTCTCTCCAACCAAATTGCCTTAAGCTTCAAAATTATGCCTTATTGTAAGCTCTTTCTTAACCTTAAAATGACTTTACACATTCCCCGCTGGTCCTTTGACAATCTCCTCTTCAACCACAAGACAGAACCCCACCATCAACTCTGTGGGGAAGCGTCTCCAAATTCTCTAGTCCTGAACAACATTCTGCCTTCTCTGCTTCCATGGAACTTTGTCCTTTACAACATGATAGCGTTTGCCTCCTGACATTTTAGTGTGTGTGTTAGCCCTGCATATAGAACTCACCAGATTGTGTGGACTGCATGAATGAATTAATTCTATTGAACTTTAAGGCAAAGCCTAAACTTTATGCTTCTTCTAAATCCCTTACATCTCCTAAAAAAATTCTGATCCATAGTAGTAGGTACTTGTTTAATTAAATTTTAGGGATGGATATTTTTCATCAGTGGAAGTATATGCTAGAGTCCATATTATGCAATAAGGGAAGGGAAGACAGTGTACCTAAATCAGTTAAGATATTGCTATTCTTGTTGTTATTCTAGAGTCACGAAATCATAATTTGAATTTTATGACTAAATTGCAGAATTAATTTCCAATGTGAGATTTTAACATTATTTCCTTGGAGGTGACCAAAAAGGAGAGCTGGTACTGTTTTTAACAACTGTCATTCAATTGTCAGTTGTGCCAGACCACAAATCCTTTATAGCCCTCCTGTTTAAGAAGCATCTGACATGTTAAGCTGCTCCCTAATTAACACAGAGGTTGTAAAAGAAGTGGCTGTTTGGTTCTGTTTGGGTTTCCCAGCCAGTATATTCCAAAGCCTTTTTTCACTCAACAGATGAGTTATGTGCTTTATATTCTGTAAGGAAATGAGAAGTAATCAGTTGAAAATGTGTTACTAATGGTACATGCTTCACATTGAAACCATCCTCCTGACACAAACATAATACTTTGCCCTCCACTGTCCCCCAAAGTGGCAGTAGGATTTCTCTAAGTAATTTTCTTTACTTATATGAGTGCAGGATAGGGGGTGTTTTGGGCCAAAAGGTAGCTTTTTGGACATGAAAACGGAAATGCCTGTTCCCATTTAGGGCTGCAGGTCTTCAGGCTTGAGGGTGGGGCCTTTGCCCAGGAACTACCCTCTTCTACCCAGTGTTTCCCTGTCTCCTGTCCATATCACCAGTATTCACAGTCTCAAGGAGTCTTGAGAAAGTGTGCCCAAGGCCGTCAGATTCAGTTTGGTTCTGTATGTCACAGGGTCTAAGAAGCGTAAACATTGTGTCTTGTTGAAATACAGCCTCTAGGTATGGAGGATGTGTTGAACAACTTCCTACCAGTCATTTGGCATATGTTGATTTCCTGTCTTCATGATACGTAAGACGACTAGCTAATTATCATTCATATGTGGTAAGTCACATAGATACTGACTTCCCCTATCTTTCCAGCTTTTTCTTATCAAAAGTCACCTGCTCTCTGTCCCAGGAACGACTGGCTAAAGTAACCTATATCAGTGTCTGTAACAGTGGGCACCTATCATAGTGCACATGCTTGAACATATCATTGCCTTTTATCATCACGAGCCTCACATCCAGATGTGACAGACTCAAGTGCTCACATCACCTCACTCTGTCACTGTATACATTGTTACCGTGTCACAAATATTTAACAGTCTGCTGTGTACTCAGTCTTTAGCTGTGTGCCCTGAGGGAGACAGAGTAAGATACTGCCTTGACATCAAGGAGCTCACATTCTCCCTAAAGAGATAATTTCACATGAAAAGTTAGTGTTTAATATGAAAAGTTAGTGTTTAACATGAAATGTCCTGAGAATATACAATTATAATTTACACGTTTCCTGTGTGTACTTTTCTAAGTTCTCAGACTCAAAACAAAGCCCCATGGAAGAAAAAATGAAATAAAAACCCTGTCAGGACAAATCCTAGCCAGAACTGACCAAACATAAAAAATAAATGCCACTGCCCTCTCCAAGCTACCTTTACTTTATACTTGGGTCCAAGAAGCCCAAACATTGTGCCTCATTGAAATATAACCTCTAGGTATGGAGGATGTGTTGAACAACTTCCTACCAGTCAGTGCAGTGCAGTGACCATTTAGCAGCATCTCCCTCCTCTCTCCTTCCACCCCCTGCCCCATCTCTCCTTCCTTGCATCTATCTTCCCCTGCCAACAATAATTTTCTTATGTTCTAAGTAAATATCTTTAGTGCTCTCCCTACTACCTAAACATTAAACTTCAAACCTTTCCCAAGACCCTGAACACCCACCCCAGCTTGTAAGTTCAGGCTACTTACCATTCCCCAGGCACACTGTATTTTCCCTCCTCTGGTACACTGCTCATGTCATCGAATCTATCTTCCTCCCACCCCATCCTGGATTCTGTAAATATAAATCAGTCCTGCCCACCTTTAAGTTTCAGTCAAAACCTGATACTCATGGCCTGAAGCAATCCCTCCCTTCTCCATGCTGGTCTGAGAGAGGTCATGATATTTCAGTAGCTCTGGAGAGACACATATGGTCAAACCAGACCAGCTAAAATTAACCCATGCTATGCACAACCTAAAGAATCACCTCTTGCTGTAACCTCTTTCTTCTCTTGCTCACCAAAAACTGTCTGTCACATTTGCTAAGTAAGCCCTTAGGGCTTTGCTGTGCTGGCAAAAGGTCTTAATCCATGTGAATGTGCATTTTTGTGTTAGTGAGCACATGCTAACATGCCTTCCACAGATTAGTTTCTTAAGAAACATTTTCTGGGGGAAAAAAGACCTGTTTTTGGTTAGTAACCCCAAAAGGACCTTTCAGTTCACATACGTGGTAGCAGCATACTCCACTTATGCAAAGGTCAGCCCAGGGTAAATATGGGCAAAAACACAGACTTAGGATAAGAAGAATGTTAAGGGAGTTTACAGTTTAAAGAGATATCCAAACAACTTTTTTATATTTTAAAGAAGTAATGCTATAATTTTACTACAAAGAAAACTTCTTTATATTTCTGGGGAGAAGAATAGGAAGAGTTACAATCTCCTAGAGAAAAGCAAAACATTTTTAGTATTCCCAAATAAGACAGGCACCTCAACTAGGGTGCTGTGGTTGCACGTTCTTTGTAGTTTTTCAAGAATTTTATTTCTCTGTCATGATTATTTATTGGCAGAAGATTTGTTGGGCCAAACATGTAAGACTTTCTTAAACACATATAGAGAAAAAAATTAGATGATTGCACATCTTTCTGAGGGAGATTTTTCCCCTATTTTTAAAAGTCATTGCTTTTCACTGAATTTGTCTTGTATTCCTATAAAAGTGTAAATTTTGTGATTGATAGCATTTTTACCTCAAAATGAAATGAATATCCAACTGGAGCAAGTTTTATTGACTGCTTATTGGAGCATAAATTAGTCTAAGTTTTCATGAAAATAGGCATTTGAACATGAGTATTAATGGCTGAGATCAGAGGCAAGTTTTGAAAGGATTCCAAAATATTATCATATTAGATAGGCAAGCAAATGAATTGCTTGAATGCTAGAAGTTCACAAACATTCAAACAATTGTGAGTTACATTAACTTCAATAAAAACTTTTGCAGGACAAAAATTTAATATAGTAAACTTCATCTTGCTTGTCCAGGTCCGTATACATTCTTAGCTGGACTCTTGTCCTAGCTTCCTAATTTTTCTTCCTATCTCCTATTTTTCCCTATTCCAAGCCACCATACTCTGTTCTTGATTAATTCTTCCTGCCTACCTCTGATTCAGTGATTCATCTGCCCAATCATCTATAGTAGCTCCAAACTCTTTTCTAAATTATGAATAAACTTATCTCCCTGGCATTCAGAAAATTCAACAGCATTCATCTTACACACTTTTCTAGCCTTATCTCCCTTTTCTCTTATGTACTCCTATGTTTATATTCCCTGCAGTCTTGCTTCATTATATCCATTTACAATGACCCTTTTACCAGTAATTTCCTCTTCTTTCCTCTCAGTCTGAAACAATCCTTCATAGATTTTGTCCTGTGAGCCATATTTCAAATACAACTTTATCCACAAAGCTTTGCCCAGTTCCCACAAGAGGATTCTGCTTTTGCTTTAGAATTGTAGCCTTTTTTTCCTCTCTCGCAAGGAGAGAGAGCGTAGCACCGCAGTTTAAGTACTCAGCCTCTGGAGTAAGCTTTAGTTTAAGACCCAGTTCTACTGCTTACTTCCTGTATGATCTTCTCTAAATTTTATGATCTCTTTGTCTTTTTTTTTTCATCTCTAAAATAAAGATGCTAATAGTACCTACCTCATAAGATGGTTGTGAGAATTATAAGTGTTGATATATTTAAAGTAGTTAGAATAGTATCTGGCCCTACAGTAAGCTTACGTGGTATTTATTGTATTCTCTTATGGCTCTTATTTTATTCCAATGTGTATTAAATTGAACCGTATGAAATTGCCCATGTCAACTCTATATTGGACCCTAAAATCATTATGTCTTTTGGTTCAACCAAATGTAGTGCTTTTTGCACCCCCCCTTAATAAATTGAACTATCTCTAAAGATAGGGACAATATCTTACACATCATTATATCCTACAGTACCTGCTACATACTTGACATATGCTGAGTATTTCACGGATGGTTATTGAATTTTGCACACACACACACACACACACACTGCAAAAAATAAACAGAAGCCAAGCCCTCCCCAGTATCTTAAGTACTCTTTGGCTACCAGGGAGTTTACTCCATGCTGTTCAGCAGTCATTTATGAAAGGAGAGTGATAAAGATATAGAGGAGGAGAATTTTATCTTGTCTATTGCTGAGTATAAATACTATGCCTTTCCGAAAAGCCTTCCACAGAACCTTTCCTTCAGGTCAGGGACCTAGTGTCATGGGTCGGTCTTGGATAACGTTGCAGGACATATCAGTTCAACTGCCAAGGGAATCATAAATAGTCCTACTCCTGCCTGCGGCCCACCACTGCCTCTCTGCTTTCATTCTTTTTTATCAGATATTTTCAACATCAAGAACTTATTAGCTGATAATTTAACTAAATTAAGTATAACATAAGGGAAATGTGTCCTGGCAGAGATGGCATCTTAGAGTGAATGCACAGTCTTTATTGGTTACCAAAAACAAAAAAAAAAAAACTTGAGCTTTGGACAAGCAGTAGAGAGCAGATTTGATACTGGGTTCTGACATGGAAGCTGACATTAAATTATTGACAGTCTACTTGTTTATAAACTATTCAATAAACAATTTAGTAAGTAAACATAGATTCTTGCAATCCCTTTTAAGGAAACAGTGTTTATGTTGGCTCTCTCTTGTACCCAACCTAGTGCTCAGCCTTTCCTGACTCACATAAGCACTAATCTCCAGATAACACCAAGCACCCTAGGGTTATTATTTATCCCCCTTCCTTGTTCTCTGAAATAAGAGAAAGGCAGGTTAAATTATGCACTTTATGTAAGAAGAAATGGAGGTACAGAGAAAACAGCTTAAGTCTCTTAACAGCCCAAGAGAGTGAAGAAGATATTGCCAATGCAATGAGTTGTATCTGTCCCTAGGTAAGTAAAATATTAATTAAAGCATACAACTATATTAATAATTAAAACAACAGTCTTTACTTATATGGACTTTGCAGTGACTTTTTTCCAGCCTGAAATACTCAGATAATGACTGCCATTAGTTTCACACGTTAGTGCTTTATTATATACTGCTTTGTTTTCACACAAAATCGTTGAGAGGTAAGAATTTTTTGAAAGAAATATTTGGTCTTAACTTTTTTATCCCCCTTCAACTTCAAGCAATTTTCTGAGCAATGATAAGTGGTAAGTAGATATTTACCACTTAGTTTACAAGAGACCTGTTTCTCTCTGTGCATTGACTTAGGCACTATTAATGAAACCTTTGGAATGCAGGTCCCTTCTGGTTGTAAACATATACTGAGGTCTTCTATTTCTTTTGGAACTCAAACAATAAGAAAATAGTTAGAAATCTGTTTGTGGGCATAGGTCTCTAAAAGCCTTAATCTTAGAAGTGAGTAAAAAAAATTTTAGGCCAGACGCGGTGGCTCATGCCTGTAATCCCAGCACTTTGGGAGGCCGAGGTGGGCGGATCACGAGGTCAGGAGATGGAGACCATCATGGCTAACACAGTGAAATCCCGTCTCTACTAAAAATACAAAAAATTAGCCGGGCGTGGTGGCGGGCGCCTGTAGTCCCAGCTACTTGGGAGGCTGAGGCAGGAGAATGGCGTGAACCCGGGAGGCGGAGCTTGCAGTGAGCCGAGATCTCACCACTGGACTCCAGCCTGGGCGACAGAGCGAGACCCCGTTTCAAAAAAAAAAAAAAAAAAAAAAAATTAGAGCCTAAGAAGGATGATTAAGCATCTTACTTAAATTTTCAGTATGCCTATGTACACTCTATATACTGACTTCTAGCATGGTTTCTTTGCCAAAGCATAACACACATTTTTTAAAGGGATAATTCAAGACAAACATTCTTTCACCCTGGGTGACCCCAATGGGTGGTGAACACTTTTTAGTAACTCTTGAAAGTTAAAGCATCCAACAGTTGGTTGTGACCTTTTTGGTTGTGACCTTTGAGTTCTTCTAGCTTGTAGCCCACTGATTTGCTGCTTAATTCCACAGCTTCAAAACCAACTCTAATCACTGCTCCCGAGAGAGCCCTAGCTTCTGCACACATGAGTCTCTCACCAGGAAAGGATACCTGAAGTCCAGAAAAGCCCTTTGTTCACACTGGCTCCTCCTAGTGGGGAACAGTTTTTTTAAATAATGTACATTTATGCACTGGGAAAATATCTTGAATTTATTATTTAGGTGTAACCAGACTTTAATACAACTTAACCTACACACTGAGAAAGCAGACATTTACAAAAAGATTTATGGCTTTGACAAAGCGTTCAAATGTAGTTACCATTAAATAGTAGTTCAAGTAATTGTGTGTCTCATGGCAAATACATGCAATATAAGGTAATATATATTTAAGCCAAAAATAACAAGAGGTGATCATTTGCTAAACAAAGAACTTATTACTTAGGAAAAAATGTTACACAACTTTCAAAGGACTTTTGAAAATATAGTATGATTTATAGGAAATTTATTTGCATATAATTCACAATATCTGGTACAAGGTAAGCTACCTCTGTGTTTTTTTTCTTTAGGTCAACAAATATTTAAACCAAGGGTTGGCAAACAGGCCCTCAGACCAGATGCTTGTTTTTGTAAATAAAGTTTTATTGGACCACACCCATGCCTGTTTGTTTCAGATTGTGTTTACTTTAGGGCTACAGTGGCAGAGTGGAGTAGCTAAGACACAGAGCATAGGTCCACAAACCTAAAATATTTACTCTCTGGCCCTCTAAAAAAAAGTATGCCAAACCATTCTAAACAGCAAAGCAATTAATTCTTTTTTTTCAACTCTTATTTTAGATTTAGGGGGTACACGTGCAGGTTTGTTACATGGGTCAATTGCATGTCTCTGAGGTTTGGTGTACAAATAATCCCCTTACCCAGGTATTGAGCATATTACTTGATGTTTTTCAACTCACACCCCGCTCCCAATCTTCACCACTCTAGTAGTCCCCTGTGTCTACTGTTGCCATCTTTATACCCATGTTTATCCAGTGTTTAGCTCCTGCTTATAAGTAAGAACATATGGTATTTCGTTTTCTGTTCCTGCGTTAATTCACTTATGATGATGACTTCCACATACATCCATGTTGCTGCAAAGGACATGATTTTGTTCTTTTTTATGGCTGCATAGCTTTTCATGGTATACGTGTACCACATTTTCTTTATCCAGTCCACCATCAATGCGCATCTAGGTTGATTTTATGTTTTTGCTGTTATGAATAGTCCTGTGATGAATATATGAGTGCGTGTGTCCTTTTTGTAGAATGATTTATTTTTCTTTGGGTATCTACCCAGTTATGGGATTGCTAGGTTGAATGGTAGTTCTGTTTTAATTTCCTTGAGAAATCTCCACACTGTTTTCCACAGTGGCTGAACTAATTTACATTCCCACCAGCAGCTATAATATGGTTGTTTGTTTGTTTGTTTGTTTGAGACGGAGTCTCGCTTTGTCGCCTGGGCTGGAGTGCAGTGGTGCGATTTCGGCTCACTGCACTCTCCGCCTCCCAGGTTCAAGCAATTTGCCTGCCTCAGCCTCCTGAGTAGCTGGGATTACAGTCGTGCACCACCACGCCCGGCAAATTTTTTTTATTTTTAGTAGAGACGGGATTTCACCGTGTTGGTCAGGCTGGTCTCGAACTCCTGACCTCGTGATCTGCCCCCCTCAGCATCCCAAATACTATACTGCCCCCTCAGTATAATATAGTATTTTAAGGAACTAATCATCAAGTTTGTACTGGTTACCCTCTTTTAGTCTCCTGTTATCTTCAATTTCATAATTGGCATTAATGACAATACAGTGTTCACTTTATAAATTTGCTTCATAGTAAACTCTTCTGAAATAAATTACAGTCATGCATCACTTAACAGTGGGGATAGGTTCTAAGAAATGCATAATTAGGTAATTTCATCATTGTGTAAACATGAAGTGTACTCACACAAACCTGGATGGTACAGTCTGCTGCACACCAGCCTTTATGATATAGTCTATTGTTCCTAGGCTACAAATCTATACAGCATGTTACTGTACTGAATATTCTCAGCAATTGTAACACAATGGTAAGTATTTATGTATCTAAACATAGAAAATGTACAGTAAACATATAGTATTGTAATCGTATGGGACGACTATCATATATGCAGTCTGTCGTTGACCAAAACATCATTATACAGCACAAGACTATAGTTGAAAATTTTAAATTACATATGTGGGTTGCACTGTATTTCTGTTTGCAGCATTGATATATACATTTAATGGTTTGTATGTTTGTGCTTGCATTCATAAATATTAAACTGTTACAGGGAGCATATTTTCTTGTGTAAAAAAATAAATAATTTTTATTTCTAATGACATATAAAATTATTATGGTTATGTTTAAAGAGGCTTGAAGAGGTATTATGGTTATGTTTGAAGAGGCAACGGAAACGTCACCTTTGTCATTGACCAAAACATCATTGTGTGGCTCACGACTGTAATAGTGTAAAGTAAGGATTCAATGTATCGGCTAATCAATGTGGACATATCATTCAGTATTATTAAAGATACTCCATCCAATGAAGACTGAACACCTGTAAATGCTTGGTGATGGATGGAAAGGGCAATTATTTGCAGCTGGACTGTCTGAGACGTGTCATCATTATTGCATAATATTTATTTAATGAAGGATCAATGCACCATACAGCTCCAGTTTGAGAACACACTTGACATTGTAGTTTGTAGATCTTTTATAAACTAACTGCTATCACTGAATTTTTGCTGAAGAATAAAGACAAAAGATTCTCTCTTTAGGAAATTGTGCACTTTAAAGACTCATAAACCTGAAACCTCACAGAATCATAATAGATGTATTTTCAGAGACAATTTCTGAGTCCTTGACATATTCTCAAATGTCATTCATGTCTTCACTGCCGCAGGTTATCTTTTTATTTTTATCTGTCATGGAAAAGCAGCCTTTTTTCTTTTTTTATCTCCTACTATGCCTTAATAAATAGAATTTAAAACCCCGAATTTGAATTATTGTGAAAGCCAATATTTGTAGCAAATCCATCTATGCTCTGTGTTGTCAGCACATATGGTTTTGTGTACCTGCTACCATGAAACTCTGCCAGGGTTATCCTCAGAGAAATGGAGAGACACCTGATGCCATCCTTACTCTGACAGAAGTTTTTCTTTCTGTGAATTCCAAAAACTTTTGAAGTTATGCATCTCTTGCATTGAACTTCAGTGGCTTGTGTACACATGGTATCTTCCTTTCTAGATTGTAAGTTCTTTGAGGGCAGGGACTGAACCTTTCTCATCTTTATATGCTCTGCTCCTCCACCCTTGGTTTAGCCAGGGCCTTACAAAAAGTAGAAGCTTAAATAATGTTTATTAGGTGAATATCATACTAAGTTCCAGAAATTACCTGAGAGCAATTGAAGAAGGGAAGTGTGGAGGGAGAGGTGTTAGCATAGATTTCATAGTGTTTGAGTTTGGCAGTTTGGCATCCTTTTCCTCAACACTAATACTGACACAGATAAGTAACCTAACTGCCTTCTCAAATCTGAGAGCAGTAGATGCATTTTCTCTTTTGGGACTTTTCTATCTCATGTGGGAAAAGCAAACAAGAAGGTCCTGCAAAAGTCTTGTGGGTATTTATTCTTATCAGTGGTTGTGGCAAACTCTCTTACTGGTTTCAATTGGTCCCACAGGCTATGTGATGAGGACTTTGGGGTTTGGGGAGCTGGGAACCATGAGTTGTCTCTTAAGTATGACCTAACATACTGCTAATACCCCACAAGCTTCAATTTATCCATCTCGAAATGGAGATACTAACATCTATCTCAAAGGGTCATTGTGAGGAGCGAGTAGGAACATAGAAAAGTTCCTAGCACAAAGTAGATATGGAAGATATGGAATAAGGTGTTAGGTATTTTATTATTTTTACTGCTGCTGCTGCTGTTACTACTACTGCTATTATTATTACTACTCCTGGAAGAGTAGGACTTGCCTGGGACACTGACCCTACTTACCCCTTCACCTCATTCACCAAAACTTATCTCCTATATAAATTCATGTATATTTTTCTGGAAGGATAAGAAAAATCCTTCATCTAGGTAGCGTATTTTGTATTTGAATAGTTTATGTTTCAAATCCCAGAGAAGGCCTATACAGCCAAATTTGGAAAAAAAATAAATTTAAAAATAAATATTCAGTGTTTCATATATAATAAAATACCTAACATC